>NC_000002.12:70417625-71042625 GCF_000001405.40 Homo sapiens | reverse complement strand
TTCAATCAATCATAAGTGATGTTGGTAATAAAGTAATAATTAATATTAAGATTAATAACTAATAATAAAAGTGACATTAATATTAATAATTAACGTTAATCATGCATAATCCTATCTTGAAAATAATCATTAATGATTAATAACGTTATACTATTAATTAATACTACCATGGCTAATTATTAACAAGACTGATGTTTAATAATTCATAATATTATTACTGCTAATGCCGCAGGGGGTGTACAACTACCTGTGATATTGTTCCTAATATCCAGGGATGGAGAGCATGATATTAGTTTTCATATCACAGTAGGTGTACACTCACCCTGTGACACCGATCCTAATACCCAGCGGGTAGAGTATTACATGACTGCCAACATAGCAATGATTGTACAGCCACCCGGTGATATTGTTCCTAATATTCACGGAAGAAGCGTATGATATTACTCCCAATATCGCAGGGAGTGTACACCTCTTCTGTGATATTGTTCCTAGTAACCCGAGGGGGAGAGGATGACAATAATTGCAGCATCGCAGGGTGTGTTCACCCAGCCTGTGAAATTGTTATTAATATCCTGAAAGGGAGAGGATATATTACTCCCCATAATAGATAGATATGGCTCCCCATAATAGAGCAGGAGGTGTACACCCACCCTGTGATATTCTTCCTAATATTCAGAGGCCCAGAGGTTGATATTACTCCCAATATCGCAGGAAGTGTACACCTCCATGTGAGATGGTCCTTAATAATATTCCAAGGCGGAGGGGGTGATATGACGACATATATGGCAGAAAGTGGACACCCCTCAGGGATATTGTTCCCATGATCCTGGAGGCAAGACGATGATATTACCTTCAAAACGACAGAAGGTGGACACGCCCCCACTGATATTGTTTCTAATTGCAACGTGGGAGACGAGGATATGACACGCGACATCGCAGGGAGTAGAAACACCCCTGTGATACTGTTCTTAATATTCAGGGGGGAAGAGGATGATATTACTCCCAAAACAGACGGGTGAACACCCTCCATACACCGAGGGTGTACACCCGTCTGTGAAACAGTTCATAGTCTCCAGAGGGGGAGATGATATTACTCACAATATGGTAAACAGGCTGTGAGTCCACCGCTGATCCTAAAAACCAGGGGGAGAAGAGGGGGTGGCTCTTACTCCCCGCATCGTGGTGGGTGCCTCACCCGCCTTGCGATGGGGGTCCTAAGAGCCGGGGGGGAAGAGGGGCTGGCTCTTTCTTACTCCCCGCATCGCGGGTGGTGCCTCACCCCCCTGCAATGGGGGTCCTAAGAGCCAGGGTGGGGAAGAGGGGCTGGCTCTTACTTCCTGATTTTTCCTAGGATCCTTTCTATACTGCCACCCTCGGTTCGCACCCTGGGACATTATCTTCCATATTCTAGCAAGATGCGGCTGCTAAAGTCGCGGGGGGTATACAGCCTTCAATATTATTCGTAATTTTGTAGGGGAATTGTAAACCTGATGTCACAGGACTCTGTATACTGTGATGTTATTCCCAATATCCTACCTTTACCTTAGTAATAATGTCACATTGTGTGTACACCTTGTGGTGTTATTCTTATTCTCCTAAGGAGAGGTTGCTTTTATTGTCACATGGGGTATGTTCCTTTTGATAGTATTCATAATGTCCTAGAGGGATGTCACTCCTTATGTCACAGGGTTTGTACGCCTTGTCAAATTAGTCGTATTAACGTCATAAGATGTCACTCCTTATATCACAGAGGGTGTACACTCTGTGATATTGTCGTCATATTCTAGGGAAATGTTACTTTTAATGTCACAGAGGTTGCACACCTTGTGAAATTATTCGCTATAATTTTGTGGGATGTTACCCCTAATGTCACACGGCGTGTGCACACAGTGATGTTACGTCCGATATGCTATGGAAATGTTACTCGTAATTCACAGGTCCTGTCCACCCTTTACTATTCTTCGTAATCTTCTAGGAAAACGTTACTGCTAATGTCACAGGGCCTGTAAACCCTGTCATAAAATTCCTAAAATCCTAGCGGGAGTTCACTACTAATTTCACAATGCGTGTACACCCTTTGATATTATTCGTATTGTCCTGAAGAGATGTTACTCCTGATGTCCCAATGCAGGTACATTCTCCGATCTTATTGGTTATATCCTCGGGGGATGTTACTTGTAATGTCACAAGTGGTCTACTCCCTGTGTTCTATTTCATCATATCCTAGGGCAATGTTACTTTTAATGACACAGTGGGTGTACACATTGTGATATTATTCGTGATATTCTAGAAAGATGCTACTCCTAATGTCACAGGGCTGTACACCCTGTGATAGTATTCATAATTTCCCAGGGGTCTATACTCCTATTGGCACAGACGATAACACCCTGTGACATTATTCATAATATTCTAGCGAGATGATACTCCTCATGTCACAGGGGGTGTACACTCCGTGTTATTATTCTTACTATTCTAGGGGGATGTTACTCCTAATGTCACAGGGATGTACACCCTGTGATATTATTCATAGTGTACCAGAGGGATATTAGCACTAATGTCACGATGCGTGTACACCTTGTGATATTATTTGTCATATCCTAATGTCACAGGGGGTGTGTTCCGTGTGATACTCTTCCTAACATCCTAGACGGATATTGCTCCTAACGTCACAGGGGGTGTACACCTTGTCACATCATTGATAATATCCTAAAACTATGTTATTCCTCAGGTCACAGGGGGTGTTCACCCTGTGATATTTTTCGTCATAGTTTTGTGGGATGTTACTCCTAAAGTCACACGGGGTGTACCCAGAGTCACACAGTGATATGAGTTGTAATATTCTATAGACATGTTACTCGTAAATCACAGGGGCTGTACCTCCTGTGATATTATTCGTAATATTCTAGGGGAATGTTGCTACTATTGTCACGGGGGTGTACACCCTGTGATATGACTCATCATATCCCAGCGGGATGTTACTACTAATGTCACAATGCCTGTACACCCTGTGATATTATTTGTAATATCCTAAAGAGATGTTACTACTAAGGTCACAATGCATGTACACCCTCTGATATTATTCATTATATCCTCGGGGGATGTTACTCCTAATGTCACGTGGGGTGTACTCCCTGTCATATTATTCATAATATCCAAGGGGGATGTTATTTTTAATGTCACCGGGGGTGACGTTACACATTAAAAATGCGTATTCAACGCCTGTGATACTATTCCTAATATCCTAGGGGCATGCTCTTCCGAATGTCGCATGGGGTGTACACTATGTGTGTACACCTGCTGTGATATTATTCGTAATATCCTAGGGGAATGTTACACCTGATGACACAGGCGGTGTACACCATGTGTGTACCCCTCCTGTGTTATTATTCATAATATCCTAGGGGGATGTTTCTTTTAATGTCACAAAGAGTGTACAAAACGTCCCAGAAGGTGTACACGTTGTGACGTTATCTGTAATACCCTAGAAGGATGTTACTCCAATATGTCACAGGGGTGTACACGCTTTGATGTTATTTATAATCTCATAGAGAGATATTACTTCAAATATCACAGTGGATGTACACACATAGTGTATACCCTGTGATAGTATTCGTAATATCCTAGGGACATACAACTCCTGATATCACAGTGCGTGTACCCCGTGTGTGTACACCCTTGATATTAGTTGTAATATCCAGGGTAAATATTACTCCTCATATCACACAGTGTGCACACCCTGTGATATTTTTCCTCCTACTTTAGGGAGATATTGCTTCTAATATCACGGTGGGTGTACCCCATGTGTCTATACTCTGTGACAGAATATTCTATATCCTAGGGAGGTATTACTCCTAATATCACAGTGGGTGTTCACCCTGTGATATCATTCTTATTTGACCTTGCTGCCTTTTTAACCTACACTACAAAAGGAATGGAACAGATAAGAAGATATTGAGATTAGACCGTGCTGCCGTGCGGCCACCGCAGGACACTTTTAATATCCCTGTTTCTCAGGCTGTAGACAAAGGGGTTCAGCATGGGGGTGACCACCATGTACATCACTGAGGCCACTGCAACCTTCCTCGGGGAAGATGACACATCTCAACTGAGGTACCCTCCAACGCCTGTTCCATAAAATCAGCAAACAACTGACAGGTGAGACCCACAGGAGGAGAAGGCCTAATACTTCCCACCTGATGATGAAACCCTCAGAATGGAGGAAACAATTTTATAGTAAGAGAAAAGGGAACCCGAGATGGGAAGAAAACCAAATATGGCAGCAGGGAAATACATGATTATGTTATTGGTGAAGGTGTCACAACATGCAAGATGGGGGAGTTGAGAAGGGTCACAGAAGAAATTAGGAATTTCCACATCCTTGAAGCAGGTCATTTGTAAGGCAATCAAGTTGTGCAGCTGGGCATCTAAAAGACAGAAAAAAAAAAAAGACAACAAAACTAGAAAGCCACAGAAACACGGGTTCATGATGGCTGAATGATATAGAGGGTGACAGATGGCTACAAAGCGGTCAGAGGCCATCACACTCAGGAGCGTGTCTCTCTTCCATGCCTCCAAAAATGGCAAAGGGAGACATCTGAGTCAGGCAGCCTGCATAGGAGATGACTCTGCTGTGAGATTGGATGTCCACAATCATCTTGGCTACCGTGGTGGAGGTGAAACCGATGTCAGGCAAGGACAGGTTGGAGAGGAAGAAGTACATGGGGGTGTGGAGGTGGGAGTCAGGGCTGACGGCCAGGATGATGAGCAGGTTCCCCAGCACCGTTACCAGGCACATGGACAGGAACAACCCAGCAAGGACCAGCTGCCATTCTGGATCCTCTGAGGTTCTCGGAGGAGGAATATAGAGACATCTGTTAGATTCTGTGGGTCTGTAGAGATTGGACACCTTTTGCCTAGAAAAGAGGATTGAGAAATCGGAAACAAGTAAACCAACACCCAGAATCATGTCTGCATTTTGGATAGAAACAATTCGCAAGTAATGTTTTCAGATTTCAGAGCAAGCCACATTCAGCAATACTTTGCAGTTCTGACAAACTCAATTGTCTTCTAATGCTTTCATCATTGATTTCTGTGTTATTCACTTCTTGCTGTACACACCTGCCTCAGAGACACTAGATTCAAGAATGTTCCAAGAACCAGATCATCATATATAACAAATTCATAATTGCTAGAAAAGACAGCCTATCTTTACCGAAGGAAACTATGTAATAAAACCATTCTCTTCACTGTAAGAAAAAGGTTATCCTAGTGAAAGGAAATTAAGAACTCAAATATTTTATTTTATTCGAAGAGATTGATAGAAATTCCCTTGATTTAGAACATCTGTAAACACTGTATAACTGCTGAGACCATGCCATCTGGAAATGAAATTAAAGTTGATAGTTCATAAGCAGAAAATAGTTCCACAGGCCAGTTAGGTCCTAGTGATGTCATCAATATGTTTTCTGACTTTTCTCCTTCAAGAGAGTAATTTCTTACTCAAATCGGTGGGTCTTGTTTTAAAATTCATGTAAGCTGTAACTCCTGTCCTTAGCTTCGGTGGACTTAGAGTTTTCATCAGAACGTTTGGCCGGACGCGGTGGCTCACGCCTGTGATCCCAGCATTTTGGGAGGCCAAGAAGGGTGGATCACGAGGTCAGGAGATCAAGACCATCCCGGCCAACATGGTGAAACTCCGCCTCTACTGAAAATACAAAAACTTCACCCAGTATGGCGGCGCGCGCCTGTAGTCCCAGCTACTCGGGAGGCTGAGGCAGGAGAATGGCTTGAACCTGGGAGGCAGAGGCTACAGTGAGCCGAGATCACACCACCGCACTCCAGCCTGGGCAACAAGAGCAAAACTCCTTCTCAAAAAACAAAAAACCAAAAACACACGCTCTGTCACACTGACGTCACACCGATGACAGCCAATTTTTGTGAACCAAGGAAGTGTCAATTCAACAATTCACATAGATGTTTACTTTGCTATCTCCTTGATGCCAAGCAAGATATAGGCTCTGGGGAATCAGAAACAAAAGAGACTCACTTGTTCCTCTCACAATACTCAGTACTTACTGAGATAAGGACAAAATAAAATGTCCTGTCCGGAATGCAGGGAAACCAGAACTTCAGGTCAGGGGACATTTCCGTTGAACCGTATGGAGTTTAAGCTTAAAATACTAACGAATGTATCTAAAATTCACTTTGCCTTTACTTTACGCATCCATCACATAGAGATCACGCAGCAGGCACCCACGATTGGTTTAATCATCGCTCACTTCCATTGGATCAACTAGAAATCAACTCAGATGAGAGTGCTGAGTCTCAGAGGATGGACGTCTCACCCCTTGCCATACAGATAAGTAGAAAGGGTGGTACTGAAAATCAATGGCCAGACTCTAAGTCCCGGGCACTATACTTGATGGTCTCCCAACCCTCAAAATGTTGTGGGTTCTTTTTTGTTTGTGTTTGTGTTTTTATTTTTGTTTTTGTTTTTGAGACGGAGTCTCGTTCTGTTGCCTAGGCTGGAGTGCAGTGGAGTGATCTCGGCTCACTGCAACCTCCGCATCCCAGGTTCAAGCTATTCTCTTGCCTCAGCCTGCCGAGTAGCTGAGATGACAGGCGCCCACCACTATGCCCAGCTAATATTTTTCTCTTTTTAGGAGAGACGGGGTTTCACTATGTTGGCCAGGCTGGTCTCGAACACCTGACCTTGTGATTTGCCTGCCTCAGCCTCCCAAAGTGCTGGGATTACAGGTGTGAGCCACAGCACCTGGCTTCCACAAGTTTTCAACAGAGCTCAGAGGTCTTAATCACGGGCACATCTGAGGAGCATTTTTGAAATGGTTTCCAGCTTCCTCAATAGGAACGGAAGCCAAACCCCGAATGTATGACTCCTTTGAGGAAGTCGAGAGCTGTAAGGAAAGCCAGGAAAGGGGCAAGGGAGAGATGCATCCCGAATGATCCTGTGCCAATTCTTTCTGCAATCTTTGATGTGATCTCAGCTGCCCTTTCCATACTTGACACAGTGATTGTGGCACCCACTGGTCTAGCTGTGGTCTACAAGGAACCCCCAAAGGGAAGGGCACAGTGAGCCGGGGCATCGGCCTGAGTGACAAGGATTTGAGAGGGCAGGTTGGATGCAGGGAGAGGACTGGCCAAATGCCATGTGTCTGGCCTTAGACTGCCTGGTTCAAATTGGGCTTCACCCTTTTTGACTTCATGATCTGGTACAAGTTATATGAAAATGTGTTGCTCCTTTTCTAGTCTGTAAAATAATCATGAAATGTGCACGAATAACTGGGAGACTACGCAGATGAAATGAAACAAGCTGCATAGAGCACAGAGCTCAGAGCCTGGCCTTCAGGAAGCCCTCAGTTAGGGTTCATGATGCCATGGTGTCTGTCATCATCCTCTTTAACCTCATCATCAGCTTCATCATCTTTTTGTTGTTCTGAGGGAATAGTTTAGAGGGACTCATTCCCTGCTATCGTGGGTGAGATGTCTATGAAAAGGACAACCAGTGGGGGAGGTAGGCAAAATTTTGAAGAAGATTCCTGAGAGAGACCCCCCACCACAACCAAGAACAGAAACTCCACAGTCTGCTGAGCTGACAGTTTGCACATTGGTCTCCTCCCATCTGCCCACGGCACTCTCCTGTTTGTCCTGAGGATGAGGAAACAAACAAGGCTCCCGACGGTCCCTCAGCACTCACTGAACTGCCCTTCCCCTCTGCTGGGCCATGACCACAGAGAACAGGTCCACTGTCCTCCCTGCGTGGTGCACATTGGAGGCTCAGACTCCGTCCTCAAGGCTGGCCAGAAGACAGGGTGAGACATGAGCCTCCTGATACAGGTGACGGTTGTGGAGCCCACAGGACTGCAACCTCACACTGCAGGGCTGGAGGCACAGACTGAGTATTTACTATTCTATGGCCTGGGGGGCTCAAGGCACAGAGCTCCTCATTAGCCAGAGTCGCCCAAGTTCCCCAAGCTCTAAGGATTTCCTCATCATCATGCAAGAAGAAGAAGAGAAAAGTGAGTGTCCATAGAAGCTCTGGGGCTCTTCCTCTAATCAGGAGAGAGCTTGTGTGTATTATTCGCTTCTTTCTTTTCTTTTACAAGATCCAAGTGCTTTAATTTTCATCTTTTATTATGGGAAAATACACCACATATAAATGCTAAAAATTATAAATCTAGATTATTTCATATAGAATGGCCAGTATAAACATTTACAATTTGCACTGTTTTTCAGTTTACGGTTTAATCACATTAGGTACATTCACATTGTTTAGCAACCATCACCGCCATCATCTCCAGAACAGTTTTATTCTTGAAAATGGAAATTGCACCCATTAACCAAACTCTCCATTCCTCTCTCTCTCGCCCACCCCTGGGGGCCACCATTCTATTTTGCAACTCTATAAATTTAACTACTCTAGATGTGTGATATAAGTGGAATCATACCGTGTTCAATTTTTTTGGTTCGTTTGTTTTGGAGACAGAGTCTTTCTCTGTCACCCAGGCTGGAGTGCAGTGGCATGGTCTCAGGTGACTGCAACCTCCACACCGTGGGTTCAAGCGATTCTTGTGTCTCAGTCTCCCGAGTAGCTGGGATGACAGGCGTGCGCCACCACGCCCAGCTAATTGTTGTATTTTTAATAGAGACGAGCTTGCACCGTATTGGCCAGGCTGGTCTCGAACTCCTGACCTTAAGTGATCCGCCTGCCTCAGCCTCCCAAAGTGCTGGGGTTACAGGTGCGAGCCACTGAGCCTGGTCGTGTTTATCCTTTTGGGATTTATTTATTTCACTGACGAGAATGTCTTCAAGGTTCATCCGTGTTGCACCCTGTGTCAGAAGTGCCTGTCTGGTTGTTTGAGTGTTTTGTTTTGATTTTTTTGTTTTGTTTTGTTTTGTTTTGTGTTCACATGGAGTCTCACTCTGTCGCACAGGCTGGAGTGCAGTGGCACAATCTGGGCTCACTGTAACCTCCACCTCCCGGGTTCAAGCGATTCTTGTGCCTCCGCCTCCCGAGTAGCTGGGACTATAGGCACACGCCACCACGCTCTTCTAATTTTTTGCATTTTCAGTAGAGACAGGGTTTTACAAGATGGCCAGGCTGGTCTTGAATTCCTGACCTCAGGTGATCCGCCCACCTCGGTCTTCCAAGATGCTGGGATTACAGGCGTGAGCCACCGCACCGGCCGGAAGTGCCTGCCTTTTTAAGGCTGAATAGTCTTCCATCGCATGAATGAACTGCAGTGTGCTTTTTCATTCATCTGTCCACGAACCCTTGGGTTGCTTCCACGTTTTGGCTGTTGTGAATAATGCTGCCAAGAATTTGGGTGTACAAATCTCTCTTCCACTCCTGGCTTCTAATTCTTTTTGGCAGGTACCCACAAGCGCAACTGCGGGAACATCCGCTAATCCTGTTTCTACTTTTTCCGGTACACGCCATACTATTTTCCCGGTTCCATCACGGTTTTACATTCCCTCCAATCAGATTCGAGCATTCCTACTTCCCTCTAGTTTCACCAATGCTTGTTTGTTTATCATATCCATCCAAATGTGTGGTATCACATTCTTGGTTTGATTTGCGCTTCCCTATGATTAGTGATTTTGAACATCATTTTAGATGCTTATTGGCCATCGCTATATCTTCTTTAGGGACACGTCTACTCGAGTCTTCTGACCATTGTGAATGGGATGCTTTGGGTTTCTTGTTGTTCAGTTCTAGCTGTTCTTTGTACATGATGCATATCAGCCTCTTTTCAGAGATATGATTTGCAAATATTTTTCCTAATCCATGGGTTATCTTTTCACTCAGTTCACAGTGTTTGCTGATGCACAAAAGTGTCTGTCATTTAGATGTCATCCAAGGAATCTAATTTTCTTTTGTTGCCTATGCTTTTGGTGTCATATCCCAGAAAGCATTGCCCAATCTGATGTCATGAAAGTGTGACCAATGTTTTCTTTTAGGCATATTATACTTTCAGCACTTGGGGTTAGGTCTTTGACCCAGTTTGTGTTAATTTTTGCACCTGGTGTGACATAGAGTCCACCTTCATTCTTCTGCATGTGGAAATCAAGTTTCTCCAACACCATTTCTCGAAAAGGCTGCTTTTCCACCAATGGACTTTCTTAGCACTCATGTGAAAAATCATTTGAACATATAGGTGAGAAGTTATTTCTGGGCTCAAAAACAAACAAACAACAACAGACAACAGAGAAGGATGCAGCATGGGCCGGGTGCGGTTGCTCACGCCTGTAATCCAAGCACTTTGGGAGGCCGAGGCGGGCGGATCACCTGAGGTCAGGAGTTCAAGACCAGCCTGACAGACAGGAAGAAACCCCTGTCTCTACTACAAATACAACATTAGCTGGGTGTGCTGGGGCATGCCTGTAATCCCAGCTGCTCAGGAGATGGAGGCAGGAGAATCGCTTGAACCCAGGAGGCAGAGGTTGCGGTGAGCCAAGAATGCACCATTACACCCCAGCCTGGGCAACAAGAGTGAAACTCTGTCTCAAAACAAAAAACCAAAAACAAAAAATCCAGCATGATTTCGAGAGCAGAAAGAGAATAGCTGGAAAACCAGCATAATGAGAAAGTTAGGAAACTTCTTACCAAAGCATCTGGAAATATGCAAGAAATTCTTGTGAACTAAAATTTTCATACTGTACTATCAAACATTAGAACTCACTTATTCCATCTTTCTGTATTTGGGGACCCAATTATCCACTTCTCTTCATTTCCCATCCCACCCCTTTTCTTCCTAGCGTCTGCTAACCACCCTTATACTTTCCACCTTCCTGAGATTCCTTTTGTGTGTAGGTGTGTGATGGAGTCTCTTTCTGTTGCCCAGGTTGGAGTATACAGGCACAATCCGGGCTCACTGCAACCTCCACCTCCCAAGTTCAAGCGCTTCTTGGGCCTCAGCCCTCCGAGTAGCTGAGACTACAGGCACGCGTCACCACGCCCAGCTAATTGTTTGTGTTTTCAGTAGAGACGGGGTTTCACCATGTTGGCCAGGTGGGTCTCGAACTCCTGGCCTCAAGTGATCCGTGCGACTCGGCCTCCCACAGTGCTGGGATTACAGGCCTGAGCCACCACACCTGGCCAAGATTTTCTTTTCTGTTCCTACCTAGAAGTGATGATATGAAATATTTGTCATTCTGTGCCTAGCTTATTTCACTTAACATACAGACCTGCAATCTCATCCATTTTGTCTGCAGTGGAGAGGATTTCGTTTATTCCTTTTTAGGCTGAATAATACTTCATTGTGTGTGTATACCACAGTTTCTCAATTGAAACAAATTTCTAAAAACCAAATGTTTTTAACATGTCTCGGAATGTGAAACTTCAGGGATACTGTGCCCGTTTTATTCTTTTCTATTTCCCATCTTATGTATATGCAAGTGTATAACAAAGCAGCAATCAAAGTGTGTATAAATCTATAATTTCAACAAATGTAAAATGAAAATGCTAAGTGGTGGCTGGGCGCGGTTGCTCACGCCTGTAGTCCCAGAACATTGGGAGGCGGAAGTGGGAGGATCACCTGAGGTTGGGAGTTCAAGACCAGCCTGACCAATATGGAGAACCACTGTCTGTACTAAAAATACCAAAAAACAAAACAAAACAAAACAAACAAACAAACAAAAAAAAACTTAGCCGGGCACGGTAGCGCATGCCTGTAATCCCAGCTACTTGGAAGGCTGAGACAGGAGAATCACTTGAATACGGGAGGCAGAGGTGGCAGTGAGCCGAGATCGTGCCATTGCACTCCAACCTGGGCAACAAGAGTGAAACTCTGCCTCAAAAGGAAAAGAAAAAAAAAAAGAAAAGAAAAAGAAAAAAATAGAAAATGCTAAATGGTAAGAAACAACAGCATAATAAACATTTGTATGGTGTTGATGGACAATGCATTTCAGGATAATATTTGAAGAAATCATATTACAATTAACTTCTGTTCTTACTCATTAGAGCTTGATGCCTCTAAAAACTTTGTCATTGCAAGCACCTCTGGTGCTTTAAAAAAAAAAAAAAAAAATCCACATACTCACACAGGTGCAGGGAAATCAGAATCTCAGGTAATGAGACCCAGGCCTCATCAATTGTAAGCTCCTCAGGTGATTTGACTCAAAGCCAAACTTGAGGACCAGTGACATGGATCTCTACACATAACCTGCCCAAATAGATTCTCTAGAAGCAGTTTATAAAGAAATTCCACATGAACTCTGGAAGAGGATATGAATTTGATATACAGTATGTCCTCACTTAACATCTTTGGAAGTCTCTTGGAAACTTCACCTTTAAGCAAAATTAGGTAGAGTGAAACCAGTTATTCCTCACCAACATTATAACTACACAACTTTGAATGCACCAATGGTGTTGGAGGACCTGCTGTACATTGCTTCCATAAAGTCAATTTTCAGGGAATTCCAAAATGAAGTGAGGACTTCACGTATATAAAAAGAAGGTTGTGATTCCACCTGGATGACAGGGTTATTGCTCAGAAACTAAAGGAGGCCACCTAGGTATAGAGGATTCAGTCATGAGGTTTCTGCTAAACAAAGGATCCCAGAATCCTCACCCCTTCCAGTTAAAGGCATAACGAAGAAAACAATATTCACATAGGAAACGCGGAAAGAAATAAAAGCCATCAAGCCACAAAAATAATGTGACTAAGGGGCAGGATTTGCAGATGTAGGGATTTAATGTGCTTGCCCTTTCTTACCCACACAAGAAAAAGGATGGAACAGATCATGAGATTTGACTGTTCTGCTGCGCAGCCTCCACAGGGCGCTTTGAATGTCCCTGTTTCTCAGGCTGTAGATGAAAGGGTTCAGCATGGGGGTGACCACAGCATACGTCACTGACGCCACCACACCATTCCTGAGGGGTGGTGCCACAGCTGAAGTCAGGTACACGCCAATGCCTGTTCCATAAAATAAGCAAACAACTGGCAGGTGAGAGCCACAGGCGGAGAAGGCTTTATACTACCCATCTGACGATGAAATCCTTAGAATGGAGGGGACAATTTTATAGTAAGACAAAAGGATCCCTGAAATGGGAAGAAAACCAAACATAGTACTATCGAAATATATGAACATGCTATCGATGATGCTGTCAGAACAGGCAAGCTTGAGAGGTTGAGATGGGTCACAGACAAAATTAGAGATTTCCACATTCTTGAAGAAGGTGAATTGCAACACAATCC
This sequence comes from Homo sapiens, assembly GCF_000001405.40. Taxonomy (NCBI): domain Eukaryota; kingdom Metazoa; phylum Chordata; class Mammalia; order Primates; family Hominidae; genus Homo; species Homo sapiens. Next base: position 71,029,408 of record NC_000002.12, on the reverse strand, counting down.
AACTGCGCAGCTGGGAATCCAACAGGCTAAGGAAAAGGACACCGAAACTAAGAAGACACAGAGGTGAGGATTCACGATGACTGGGTAGTGCAGAGGGCGACAGATGGCTACAAAACAGTCATAGGCCATCACAGTCAGGAGCATGTCTTCTACACATGCAAAAAGGACCAAGAAAGACATCCGTGTCAGGCAGTCCGCATAAGAGATGACTCCGCTATGCGACCGCATGTCCACAATCATCTTGGGAACCGTGGCCGAGGTGAAACCGATGTCAGCCCAGCACAGGTTGGAGAGGAAGAAGCACATTGGGGTGTGGAGGTGGGAGTCAGAGCTGACAGCCAGGCTGATGAGGAGGTTCCTCAGCACCGTGACCAGATACATGGACAGGGACAGCCCAGCGAGGATGGGCTGCAGTTCTGGATCCTCTGAGAGTCCCAGGAGGAGGAGTTCTCAGGCTCCTGTGAGATTCCGTGGCTCTGTGTGACTTGGACACCTTGGGAAGAAAAGAAGGTTGGAAAAATAAAAGATAAAAACCAGCCCTTAATGCTGTGTGTATATTTTGGATGCAAGCAATTCACAAGGAACATTTTCACACTTGAGGACCATACACCGTCAGCAATATTTCTCAGTTGTGACAAACCCAAAAATCCCAGAATTATTCCATGATGATTTACTGTTTTCTATTCAACTCCTTCTGTATGTACTACTTTAGAGAAAATCCACTGAAGAATGTTAGAAGACCAAAACATAATATATAACAAATCCGTGATCTCAGTAAAATACGGCCTACTCTTTTCAGAAAGAATAAAACGCAATGAAGATGCTCTTCTGTCTTTAAGAAAAAGATGTCAGCCTAATTGAAAGAAATTAAGAAGCAGTGAAATACACTCTGTTTTATTCTGACACCGTGCGACAAATTCCTTTGATGTAGAATATGGAAAAGGATGATACAAGAGCTAGGACCGCATTATCTAAAAATGAAATCGAAGCTTAGAGTTCTTTATCTGAAGACCTTTTAACATGCCAGTTACTTTTCATATTTATTATCATCCTTAGGTTTTCTGACATCATTTCTTCATAAAAGTACATGCACACTCAAATATGGGAGCTGTGTTTCCAAATTAATTGAATATATAACTCTTGGCCGAGCGCCATGGCTCACACCTGTAATCCCAGCACTTTGGGTGGCCGAGGCCGACGGATCACCTGAGGTCAGGAGTTCCAGACCAGCTTGGCCAACGCGGTGAAACCCCATCTCTAGTGAAAATAAAAAACAATTAGCCGGGCCTGGTGGCGGGTAACTCTAGCTACTCGGGAGGCTGAAGCAGGAGAATCCCTTAGAACCTGGAAGGCAGAGATTGTACACCCTGTGATATTATTTTGGATATCCTAGGGGGATATTGCTCCTGACATCAGAGTGGGCGTACACCCTGTGATATTGTCTGTGATATCCTAGAAAGATGTTGCTCCTAATATCACAGTGGCTGCACACCCTGGGGTATTAATTGTAATATCCTACAGAGATATCACTCCTAATAATACAGTGGGTGTACACCCTGTGATATTATTCATAATATATTATGGAGATACGACTCCTGATATCACAGTGAGTGTACACCCTGTTTGTACGCCCTGTGATATTATTTGTAACAACTTAGAAAAATATTACAGCTAATATCAAAGTGGGTGTACACCCTGTGATGTTCTATGTTATCTACTCGGTAGATATTACTCCTAAGATCACAGTGAGTGTACACCATGTGTGTACACACTGTGAAATTATTCGTAATAACCTAGGAAGATATTACTCCTGATATCACAGTGGGTGTACACCCTGTGATATTATTTGTAATCACCTAGGGAGATACGACTCCTAATATTCCAGTGGGTGTACACTCTGCGATGTTCTTTGTAATGTCCTAGGAAGATATTACTCCTAATATCAAAGTGGATGTACACCATGTGTGTACACTCTGTGATATAATTCGTAATATCCCAGAGAGATATTTCTCCTAATATCACAGTGGGTGTACACTCTGTGATATTATTCATACTATCCTAGAGAGATATTGCTCCCAGTATCACAGTGGGTGCACACCCTGCGATGATATTCATCATATCCTAGAGAGACATTACCTCTAATATCACAGTTTCTGTACACCCTGTGGTATTATTCATAATATCCTAGGGAGATATTATTCCTAACATCACAGTGCGTGTACACCATGGGTGGACACCCTGTGATGTTTCTCGTCATATCCTAGGGGGATATTACCCTTAATGTCACAGTGGGTGTACACCACGTGTGTACACACTGAGAAGTTACTCGTAACATCCTAGGGAGAAATTACACCTAAAGTTACACTGGGTGTACACCATGTGTTTATGTTCTCTGATGCTATTCGTACTATCTTAGAAAGTTATTAGTCCTAGTGCCACAGTGGGTGTATACCATGTGTGTACGCTCTGTGATGTTATTGGTATTATCCTAGGGAGATAGTTCTCGTAACTTCACCGTGGGTGTACATCATGTCTGTACTCCCTGTGGTGTTATTGGTTATGTCCTGGGTTGACATTACTCCTAATATCACCGTGGGTGCACACCATGGGTGTACATTCTGTGATGGTATTCGTAGCATCCTAGGGAGATATCACTCCCTGAGTCATAGTGGGTGTACGGCCTTGTGATATTATTAGTATCCTTGGGACGTATTACTCCTGTTATCACAGTGGGTGTACACCCTGTGATAGTATCTGTCATATCCTAGGGAGATATTACTGTATACCCTGTGATATTATTTGTGACATTTTAGGGAGCTATTTCTCCTAAAATCAGAGTGGGTGTACACCCTGTAATATTCTTCCTAATATCACAGTGGGTGTACACCATGAGTGATATTTTTTCTAATATCCAGCGGGGAAGAGGATGATATTGCTTCCAATACCACAGAAGGTGTACACCCCGCTGTGATATTGTTCCTAATATCCAGGGAAGGAGAGGATGACATTATTCCCAATATCACTGGGGGTGTACCACCTCCCGCCGGGATATTGTTCTTAATATCCGGAGGTGGAGAGAATGATGTTACTCCCAATATCACAGGGGGTGTACACCACCCCTGTTCGTAAACACCCCCTGTGATATTGTTCCAAATGGCCTGTGAAAGAGTAAATATGACTCCCATTATCGCGGGGGGTGTTCAGCCCCGATGATATTGTTTTCTAACATCCAGGGAAGGAGAGTATGCTATTACTCCCAATATCGCAGGGGTTGTACACCCTTTTGTGTTTTTGTGCCCAATATCCAGGAAAATAGAGGCTGATATTACTCCCAATATCGAAGTAATTGTACAGCACCCCTGTGATATTCTTCCTCATATCCAGAAAGGAAAAGAATGATGTTACTCCCAACAGCCTAGGAAATGTATACCCGCGCTGTGATATCTTTCCCAATATCCAGGTGGGGAGAGGATCATATTACTTCCAATGTCGCAGGGTGTGTACACCCCCTCTGTGATCTTGTCGCTCACATCCAGGTTTGGGGAGGACGAGATTACTGCCAGTATTGCAGGGGGAGTACACTCCCCCGTGACCTTGTTAGTCATTTCCTGGGTGGAGAGGATGATATTACTCCCAATATCGCAGGGGTGTACACACCCCTGTGAAAATCTTCCTAACATCCAGAGGGAGAGAGGATGATATTACTCCCAGTACCACAGGGGGTTTACACAGCCCTGTGATACTCTTCCTAACATCCACAGGGAGAGAGGATGATATTACTCCCAATATCGCAGGGGGTGTACACTACCCTGTGATATTGTTCCTAATATCCAGAGCGAAAGAGGATGATATGACTCTCAATATCGCAGGAGGTGTACACCCCTCCTTTCCTATTGTTCTGAATACCCTGGGAGGGAGAGGGTAAGGTTACATTGAATATGGCAGGGAATGTACACCGTCCCCCTCTGATACCCTTCCTAATGTCCAGGGGAAGAGAGGAAAATTTTACTCCCAATATCGCAGAGGCACTACACCCCACCTGTGATGTTGTTCCCAATATGCAAGGGGAGAGAGGATGATACTACTCCCAATATTGCCGGGCTGTTCACATCTCCAGTGACATTTTTCCTAATATCTAGGGGAGAGACAATTATATGACAGCAAAGGTCGCAGGGTCTGCACATCCCTTCCTGATATTGTTCCTAATATCCAGGGGGGAAGAGGATGATATAAAATATGAAAGGGGGTGTACACCCCCCACCCCTACGATATTGTTCTTAATCTTCATGAGGGGAGACGATGATATTACTCCAAATATCGCAGGGGTTGTTGACACCCCCCTGTGATATTGTCTCTGATATCCGGGGGGGAGAAAATCTTATTACTTCCAATATTGCAGGTGGTGTATACCCCACCTGAAATATGGCACCGAATATCCAAAGAGGGAGAGGATGGTATTAATACCAATATCGAAGTGTGTGTACAAGCCCCTTGTGATATGGTTTTTAATATCCAGTGGGCGGGAGGATGATATTAGTCCCAACATCCCAGAGGGTGTACACCACCCCTGTGATACTGTCCCTAACTTCCAGACGGGAGAGGATGATATCACTCCCAATATCTCACAAGTTGTACATCCCCCGTGATATTGTTCATCATATCCAGGGAGGCAAAGGATGACATTCCATTGAATTTCACGACAGGCGTACATGCACAGTGTGATATTGTTCCTAATATCCAAGAAGGGAGAGGATGATATTACTCCCAATAAAGCAGTGGGTGTACATTACCCCTGTGTTATTGTCTCTAATATCCGGGGCCGGGGGAGGTGGGGAGAGGATAACATTCCCTCAAATTTAGCAGGTGGTTTGACGCCCCTTGTGGTGCTGTTTTAAATATCCAGCGGGGAAGACAATAGTATAGCACTATTTTTGATAGTCCGATTCATCCACTCCACCTTTCCGGAACTCTGAGGCTGGGAGGCGGCATGCAGTTTCCGTGTGATCCCCAATACCTTTGCCGTCTTCTGTACCATGGCAGCCAAAAACGCAGGCCCGTTATGTGAGCCGATCCGTAAGGGCAGTCGAAATCTAGGAATCAGATCTGGAAGAAGCACAGGGGTTTCTTGGCCAGCTTTCTCAGTTCGTGTTGGATAGGCCTCCACCCACCCAGAGTAGGTACACCCAAGAACTAGTGAATACTTGTTACCTCCACACTTTGGCATCTCTCTGAAGTCTACCTGGAGATCTCCAAAGGGGGCTGCTCCATAAGCTTGTATGCTGGGCGGAACGGCTGGACCTTGCCTCACATTATGCTGTCGGCAGGTAACACACCGCTGCCTCACCGTTTTGGCAAGGGCTGACAAATGCGAGGTGTAGAAATACCGGCCTAACAACTTTTCCAGTGACTCCTGACCTACATGGGTGGTTTCTTGCACAGCCAGTACAACTGCAGCTCCTAGCAACTGTGGCACAGCTACTCTCCCATCTGGTAACCGAATCCATCCTTCCTCCATCACTTGTCCTTCCCTCTACCTGGAGACAGTCCTTTTCTTCTTTAGAAGAAGTAGGTAGGTCCAAGATCAGGTGTTTGAGGGAGCACTGATGCCCGGAAGAGGGCAGATGCTGCTTTTCGAGCCTCTGAGTCAGCGTGGGAATTCCCCAAACCCAGCAAGGTGGAAGCTCGCTGGTGTCCTCTGCAATGCATAACTGCCACCTTGTGGGGTTTCCATACTGCTTCTCATAATTGCAAGATTTCTCGTTGATATTTTCTGTCTTTTCCCCCAGAGTTCAATAGGCCCTTTTCTTTCTATCACGCTCCATGCACTTGAAGGATTAAAAAGACATACCGAGAATCAGTGTAAATGTTGACAGTCTCACCTTCACTGAGTTCTAAGGCCCCAATGAAAGCAATGAGTTCAGCTTTCTGGGCTGCAGTGGCCTGGGGCAACGATCTGGCTTCAACAACAGTGTCCAGGGTTACCACTGCACACCCTGCACCTCTCTCTCCTTGGGGGTTGAAGAAGCTGTTCCCATCCACGTATAGTTCCCAGTCTACTGATGCCCAAGGCTGGTCCCGGAGGTCAGGTCTGCTAGAGTCAACTGAGTCCAACACTTCTACACAATCAGGCTCGACAGGGCTCTCTGATACCAGGAGCAAGGTGGCAGGGTGTAGAGTGTTACAAACTTCAATGGTTATACAGGGATTTTCACAGAGCAAAGTTTGGCACTTGGTGAGTCTGGCATTCATTAGTCAATGATGTCCTTTAGTATTCATTGAAGTCACCACAGCATGGGGGGCCTTTATGTTCAGGTTTTGCCTAAGAGTCAGCTTATTTGCTTCTTGGACTAGCAGGGCAGTTGCTGCCAAGGCCCTCAAACAGGGGGGCCATCCTTTAGAAACCCCGTCTACTTGTTTAGAGAGGTAGGCCACCAGCCTCAGCCAGGGCCCCACACTTTGGGTTAAAAGTCCAGCTGCCATCTTTTCTCTCTCTCAAGCATACAATGGAAAAGGCTTTGTCAGATCGGGTAGCCCCAGGGCTGGGGCTGCCAGAAGTTGTTCCTTTAACTCATGAAAGACTTGCTGTTGTTGGGATCCCCATTCCAAAGGTTCCCGGTCCCTGCCCCCTTTGTGACCTCCTACAAAGGCTTGGCTAATACTGCAAAGTTTGGGATCCACAGTCTGCAAAACCCCACAGCTCCTAAGAATTCTCTCACCTGCCTTCTGCCTTTAGGCTCGGGTAGATTGCAAATGACCTGCTTTCTTTCTTATCCCGGCCTCCGTTCCGACCCCTGTCGGATAGTAAATCCCAAGTAAGGTACCTGCTGTCGGCAGATCTGAGCTTTCTTCTTGGACACCTTATACCCACAGTCCTCCAGGTGCCGGTGTAGGGCATCTGTTCCCTTGGTGCACCCGACTGCCGTGGGGTGTCCCAGCAGAAGGTCATCAACCTACTGGAGCAACATGCAGCCTAGGTCTCTGGTGGGAAACTTCTGGAGGTCTTGAGCCAACGCCTCCCCGAAGATGGTGGGGGAGTTCTTGAACCCTTGGGGAAGCCCGGTCCAAGTGTACACTACTCAGTGTACTGACACCTGACTCCGGATCTTCCCACTGAAAGGCAAATAGCTTCTGCCTCTCAGGGGCTAATCTGATAGGAAAGAAAGCATCTTTCAGGTCCAAGCAGGTGAACCAGCTGTCCTCAGCTGGCAGCAACCCCAACAATGTGGATGGGTTAGGTACTGTTGGATGTAAAGTCAGTGTAGCTTGATTAAGCAAGCGCAAATCCTGTACCGGCCGGTAGTCCTTGGTCCGTGGCTTGGGAACAGGCAGGAGGGGAGTGTTCCATGGAGACTGACAAGGAACAATAATTCCAAAAGTTCTTAGGTGCTCGAGACGGACCTGGATACCTTGAAGAGCTTCTCTGGGGACCGGGTCCTGTTTTTGCCTAACCGGCTGGGCCCCAGTATTAACTGGCCAATCCCAGAGGGATGTCTTCCACCCGTACTCTTGACCACCGCTAAGCCAGAGCTGGTCTTCTCTCTTGACCCGGCTCAGTTAAGAAAAGTCTCCATTCCTCCTCTCGGGGGACCGTAAGGGTCATAATGACTCCCGTTCCGGGTACCTTTAGCAGCAAAGAGCCGTGCTCTGTCAAAGAGATAGTGGCTCTCAGCTTGCTGAGCAAGTCCCTTCCCAAAAAGGGCAAGGGACAGTCAGGCATGTACCAAAACTGATGAATGACTTTACGTCCTCCTACAGTACAAGTCCGAGACAAGCAGAAAGCTTGCTTTGCTGAAACCCCCGTGGCTCCGATGACGTCAATAGTCTTTTTGGATAAGGGGCCGACCAGGGCGGTTACTAGCGAATGTTCAGCACCGCTACCTACAAGAAAATCAATGTCTCTACCCCCGACTGTCATTCTGACCAGAGGCTCTTTGGGGACGCTTGAGCCCGGTCTCCCTCAGTCCAATAACCCTTCTGCCAGGTTGAGCAGGGCCCCTTCCTCCCTGTCCGGGGCCTCCTGCTCTGAGTCACCTTGTTTTCTTTTGAGCTGAGGGCATTTGTTCTTCCACTGTCCTGTTTCTTTACAAGAAGCCCACTGGTTACGCTGCAAACTCTGACAGCCAAGCTGAGTTTCTTTCCCAGGGCCCCCCTTCCCTTGCCTCTCTGGGGGGACCCCCTGTGATTGCTGCAGCTAACAAACAGGTCGGTGTTTCGCCGGGCCTGACCTCCATTCTCTTTGCCATTTTCCTTACGGCTTACTGCATCCCTGTTTACAAACACCTGGCTAGCTATTTCTGGTAATTGTGATGTATTCATCCCTGCAAGCCCAGCCTGTTTCTGCAGTTTTCTTCGCATGTCTTCTGCGCTTTGATGGACTAAAGCCATGTTAATCATGCGCTGATTTCAGGGCTATCGGGATCAAAGGGAGTATACATACGATAGGCCTCACACAGTCTCCGTAGAATTGTGCTGGACTTTCTTCTTTGCCCTGAATGACCTCAGAGACCTTGTTAACGTTTGTGGCCTTCTGAGCTCCCCTCGTTAATCCTTCCAAGAGAGCTTCCCTGTCTCGGTTTAGCCTTTGCATATCCTCTCTTTCATGTGGGTCCAACTGGGGGAGTCAGTTCCTGGTAACTGGGTCCTTACATACTCTTGGGGGTTTTGGTAATCAGCTGGTGCATGTTCCTCCAGCCACTTAGTTGCTGCTTGGAGGACTCTCCGCCTTTCTTCGCTGTTAAAGAGGAACATGAGCAACTGGTGCCAATCAGCCCAGGTGTGGTTGTGGGTCTGGATAACAGTTTGGAGCAAATCAATTAGGGCTTGTGGCTTTTCGGTATAGGGCGGTGTATTGCTTTTCCAGTTGAGAAGGTCGACGGAGGTGAAGGGCTGGTAGCCAAAAACACGCCTCTCCACCACGTGACCATCCTCATCTATCCCAGTATACCGCTGTTCTCTCGGGGACATTTGTATCCCCGTTTTGGGCCGTAAAGGAGCTGCCGGGGGAGGGGTGGAACGGCGCAATGCGACTTACCGAAATTAATAATCTCAATTATTAATTGACACTAATAATTATCAATATTAATAACTGATAATATAATTTTTAAAATCAATACCGATGATAATGATAATATTAAATAGTTATACTAACGATAACAATACATGATTAATATTAATGATTAATGTTGCCTGATATTAATAACTGATATTGATCTTATTCATTAGAAAACAGTAATATTAGCTCCTAATAATTAATATTAATATTAATCTGAAAACTTTATTAGCAATTATTTCTTAATATTAATATTAATATCGGTCATTCATATTCATGTTAAAAATAAATGAGGAATAATTCATCCTACTATTACGTCTAATACCTCAGTGGGTGTACACCCACCTGTGATATTGCTCCTAATGTCCAGGGAGGGAGAGAGCATGATATTACGTCCAATATCGCAGTAGTTGTAAACCCAGCCGGTGATATTGATCCGAATATAATCTCCAGGGGCTGGAGTATGATATTACTCCCAATATAGCACTGGGTGGGCATCCACCCGGTGATTTTGCTCCTAATATTCACGGAAGAAGAGCATGATATTACTCCCAGTATTGCAGGAAGTGTACACCCCCGTGTGAGATGGTCCTTAATAATATTCCAAGGCGGAGGGGGTGATATGACGACATATATGGCAGAAAGTCCACACCCCCCAGGGATTTAGTTTCCATGATCCTGGAGGGAAGAGGATGATATTACGTTCAACAGGACAGAAGGTGGACACTCCCACACTGATATTGTTTCTAATGGGAACGTGGGAGAGAAGGATATGGCACGCGATACCACAGGGAGTAGAAACACCCCCGTGGTACTGTTCTTAATATTCAGGGAGGAAGAGGATGATATTACACCCAATAGAGACGGGTGAACACCCTCTGTACACTGAGGGTGCACACCCGTCTGTGAAACAGTTCATAATATCCAGAGGGGGAGATGATATTACTCACAATACGGTCAACAAGCTGTGAGACCACCGCGGGTCGTGCCTCACCCCCCTGCGATGGGGGTCCTAAGAGCCAGGGGGGCAAGAGGGGTGTGATATTTCTATCCACATATGTACACCGACTGTGTCATTAAAAGTAAATTTTCCCTGGGATATTACGAAATATAACACAGGGAATACACCCCGTGTGACATTAGAAGATATTATTCAGTGATTCCTAGGATGTTTTCTATCCTGCCACCCTTGGTTAACACCCTGGGACATTATTTTCCATATTCCAGCAACATAGCACTGCTAAAGTCACACGAGATTTACACCCTGCTGTATTATTCGTAATATTGTAGGGGAACGTTACTCCTGATGTCACCGCACTCTACACACTCTGATATTATTCGCTAAATCCTTTCGGGACGTTAATAATAATGTCCCAATGTGTGTACAGCTTGTGGTATTCTTCTTAATCTCCTACGTGGAGGTTACTTTTATGGTCACTTGGGGTATGTTCCCTTTGATATTATTGGTAACCTCCTAGTGGGATGTCACTCCTTATGTCACAGGGTTGTACACCTTGTCAAATTACTCATATTATCCTAAAGATGTCACTACTCATATCACAGAGTGTGTACACTCTGCGATATTATCGTCATATTCTAGGGAAATGTGACTTTTAATGTCACAGAGGGTGTACACCTTATGAACTTATTTGGTATGGTTTTGTGGGATGTTACTCCTTATGTCACCGGGGGTGTACCCACAGTGGTGTTACGTGTAATATTGTATAGAAATGTTAGTCGTAAATCACAGTTCCTGTACACTCTTTAATATTCTTCGTAATATTCTAGGAAAACGTTACTACTAATGTCACCAGGCCTGTAGACCCTTTCAGAAAATTCGTAATATCCTAGCGGGAGTTCACTACTAATTTCACAATGTGTGTACACCCTTTGATATTATTCATATTATCCTAAAGAGATGTTACTACTGATGTCCCAATGCAGGTACATTCTCTGATATTCTTCGTCATATCCTCGGGGGATGTTACTTCTAATGTCACACGGGGTGTACTCCCTGTGTTATATTTCGTAATATCCTGGGGCAATTTTACTTTTCTTGACACAGGGCCTGTACACGTTGTGATATTATTCATGATAGTTTAGAAAGATGTTACTCCTAATGTCACAGGGGTGTACACCCTGTGATAGTATTCATAATTTCCCAGGGGTCTATACTCCTAATGTCACAAAAGATAACTTCCTCTGACATTATTCATAATATTCTAGCGAGATGATACTCCTAATGTCACAGGGAGTGTACACCCTGTGATATTATTCTTCCTATTCCAGGAGGATGTGACTCTTAATGTCACAGGTGTGTTCCTTCTGTGATATTATTGAAAGTATGCTAGCAGGATACTACCACTAATGTCACAATGCGTGTACACCTTGTGACATTATTAGTAATATTCTGGGGGGATGTTAGTCCTAAGATTACAGGGGTGTACACTATGTCATATTGTTCCCAATATTGTAGGGTTATGTTACTCCTAATGTCACAGGGGGTGTATACCCTTCGATATTACTTGCAATCTTATAGAGAGATATTACTTTAAATATCACAGTGGGTGTACACACATGGGGTACACCCCCTGGGATATTATTGGTAATATCTTAGAGAGCTATAACTCCTTATATCCCAGTGGGTGTACCCCATCTCTGTGCACCCTGTGATATTATTTGTAATATCCATGGTAAACATTACTTCTGGTATCCCACAGGGGGTACACCCTGTGGTATTTTTCATAATATCATAGGGAGATATTGCTTCTAATAACACAGTGGCTGTACACCATGTGTGTACACTCTGTGATATGATAGCTTATGTCCTAGGGAGATATTCCTTCTAAGATCACAGTGAGTGTACACCCTGTGATATCATTCATAATATCCTGGAAAGATCTTGCTGCTAATATGAGAGAGGGCATGCCCCCAGTGACATTATTCATAATATCCTAGGGAGATGTTACTCCTACTGTCACAGGGGGTGTACACCCTGTTATATTATTCGTAATATTCTAGGGGGTGTTACTTTTAAAGTCACAGGGGTGTACACCCTGTGATGTTATTCATAATATCCTAGGAAGAGGTTACTCCTAATATCACATGGGTTATCCTAGGAAGAGGTTACTCCTAATATCACACTCCTCATATCACACCCTGTGATAGCATTTGGAATATCCAAAAGGGACGTTACTTTTAATGTCACATGGGGTGTACACCCTTTGATGTTATTCGTAAGATCCTAGGAATATATGACTTCAAATATCACATTGGGTGTACACACAGGGTGTACACATTATGTGAAACCCCTACTGTGATATTATTCATAATATCCTAGGAAAATGGGACTCCTAATATCACAGTGAGTGAACACACTGTGATATTATTTGTCATATCCTAGGGGAATATTACTCCTAAACCAAAGGCGTGTGTACCCCCATGATATTATTCGTAATACTCTAGGGAGATGTTACCCGTAAGGTAATATCACAGGGGTGTACACCCTGTGATATTATTCACAGTATATGAGAGAGATATTAGCCCTGAAGTCACAATGTGTGTGCACCTTGTGATATTATTCATAATATCGCATGGGGATGTGACTCCTATTATAACAGGGGGTGTGTTTGCTGCGATAGTATTCATAGTCTCCTAGACAGAGGTTACACCTAATGTCACAGGGTGTGTACATCTTGTTATCTTATTCGTCATATCCTAAAAAGACATTACTCCTCATGTCACAGGGGCTGTACACCCTGTGATATTATTCGTAATATCCTAGCGTGATGTTACTTTTAATGTCACAGACGGTGTACACCTTTTGAAATTATTCATCACAGTTTTGTGGGATGTTACTCCTAATGTCACACGGGGTGCACACCGAATGTTATTACTTGTAATATTCTATAGAAATGTTACTCATAAATCACAGGTGTTCTACACCCTGTCATGTTATTGGTCATCTTCTAGGGGAATGTTACAGAAATTAATGTCACCCGGGGTGTACACCTTGTGCTATTATTTGTAATATCCTAGCGAGATGTTACTACTAATGTCACAATATGTGTACACCCTCTGATATTATTCGTTATATCCTCATGGGTTATTACTCCTATGTCACACGGGGTGTACTCCCTGTGATAATATTCGGAATATCTTAGGGGGATTTTACTTTTAATGTCACAGGGGGTGCACACGTTGTGATATTACTCGTGATGTTCTAGAAAGATGTTACTCCTAATGTCACAGGGCGTGTACACCCTGTGATATTACACAGCCTAACCCCCTGTGATATTATTCCTAATATCTTAGCGGGATGATACTCCTAAAGTCACAGGAGGTGTATGCCCTGTGATATTATTTGGAATATTCCAGGGTGGATGTTACTCCTAATGTCACAGGTGTGTATACCCTGTGATATTATTCACAGTATACTAGCAGGATATTACTACTAATGTCACCATGTGTGTACACCTTCTGATATTATTCGTAATATCCTGGGAGGATTACCCCTAATGTCACAGGGGTGTACACCCTGTGTTATTATCAGGAATATTCTGGGGGGGATTTTACTTTTAAAATCACAGGGGATGTCAACCCTGGGATCTTATTCGTAATATCCTAGGAAGATGTTACTCGTAATGTCACATGGGGTGTACACCCTGGGATATTATTTCGAATATCCTAAAGGGATGTTATCTTAATGTTATAGGGTGTGTACACCCCTTGATATTATTCATAATATCCTAAGGAGATATTACTTTAAAAATCACAGTGGGTGTGCACACATGGTGTACACCCTGTGATATTATTCACAATATCTGAGGGAGATATAACTTTTAATATCACAGTGGGTGTACACTGTGATATTTTTCATCATATCCCAGAAGTATATTATTCCTATTGTCACAGGGGTTTAACATCCTGTGAAATTATTTGTAGTTATCCAGGGGGATGATTATCCTAAAGTCGCAGGGTGTGTACACCCTGTGATATTATTCGTAATATTCTAGGAGATGTTGCTCCTACTATCGCAAACGTGTACACGCTGTGATATTATTCACAATATACTAGCTGGATATTGTTCCTAATGTCACAATGTGTGTACACCTTGTGATATTATTCGTAATATCCTAAGGGGATGTGACTCCTAATGTCACATGTGGTGCGCTTTCTGTGCTATGATTCCTCGTATCCCAGAGGGATGTTACTCTCACCATACATGTTGTGTACACTTTGTTCTATTATTCATCATATCCTAGAATGATGTTACTCCTCATGTCACGGGGGTGTACATCCTGTGATGTTATTCTTCACATTCTAGGAAGACGTTAACTCCTAATATCACAGAGCGTGTACAATCTGTGAAGTTATTCATAATAGTTTCGGGGGATGTTACTCCTAATGTCACACGTGGTGTACAAACAGTGATATTATTTGTAAAGTGTTTTGGATATGTCACTCCTAGTATCACAGGGTCTGTACACCCTGTCATATTATTAGTAATATCCTAAAGAAATGTTACCACTAATGTCACAGGCGGTGTACATCGTGTGGTATTATTCCAATATTGTAGAGTGATGTTACTCCTAATGTCACAGAAGGTGTTCACACTCTGAAAATATTCGTAATACCCTCAAAGGATGGTACCACTGATGTCACAATGCAGGTTCACAATCTGATATTATTTCTTATATCCTCGGGCGATGTTACTTCTAATGTCACAGAGGGTGTACCTTTTGCGATATTATTCATAATATTTTAGAAAGATATTACCCCTAATGTCACAGAGGGTGTACACCCTGTGAAGTTATTCATAATAGTTTTAGGGGCCGTTACTCCTAATGTCACCCGTGGTGTGCAAACAGTGATATTCTTCCTAATATTTTATGGAAATGTTACTGCTAACATCCCAGGGGCTCTATACCTTGGAATATTATTCATAATATCCTAACAAAATGTTACCTCTAATGTCACAGGGGCTGTACACCGTATCATATGGTTCCCAGTATCACAGGGGGATGTTACTCCTAATATCACAGGGGATGTTCACGCTCTGATAATATTCATAATATCCTAAATGGATGTTACTGCTAATGTCACAACACGTGTACATCCTCTGTATTTGTTCGTTATATCCTCGGGGGAGGTTACTCCTACTGTCACATGGGGTGTACTCCCTGTGATATTATTCCTAATATCCTAGGTGGATGTTACTCCTCGTGTCACAGGGGCTGTGCGTTTTGTGATATTATTCACGATATCCTAGAAAGATGTTACTCCTCAGGTCACAGGGGATGTACACCCTGTGATATTATTCATACTATCCTAGGGGACGTTACTCCAAATGTCACAGAAGGTGTACACTCTGTGATATTACTCGTAATGTGTCAGGGAAATGTACTCCTAATGTCACAGGGCATGTGCACCATGTGTGCACAGCCCCTGTGATGTTATTTGTAATATTCTCGAGGGATGTTAATCCTAATATCCCATATGCTGTTAACCATGTGTGAACACCTTTGTGGTATTATTCCTAACATACTAGAAGGATGTAACTCCTAACATCACATGGGGTATGCACCATGTGTGTACACATTCTGTGATATTATTCATAACATCGTAGGGAGATGCTACTCCTAATTTTACAAGTTGCGTACGTTATGTGTGTACACCCCCTCTGATGTTATTCGTAATATTCCAGCTGAATGTTGCTGCTACTGTCACAGGGAGAGTACACCATGTGTATGCAACCCTGGTAATATTATTTCTAATATATTGGGGGGATGTTGCTCCTAATGTCACCTGGAGTGTACACCATGTGTGTACACCTTCTGTGATATTATTCATAAATCACAGAAAAAGATTAAGCCTAATGTAACAGGATGTGTACACCGTGTGCATCAACTGCCTTTGATATTATTCGTAATATACTAGGGGGGTGTGACTTTTCATGTCACAAAGGGTGTACAAAACGTCACAGGGTGTGTATGCCTTATCATATTAATACTGATATCCAGGATGTTACTCCTAACGTCACAGGGGGTGGACACCCTTCGATAATACTTGTAGTCGTATAGGGAGATATTACTGTAAATCTCACAGTGGGTGTACACTCACTGTGATATTATTTTTAATATCTCAGAGATGTTACAGAGTTATAGCTCTCTGTGTTATATTAGAGAGTTATATCTCTCTAAGACAGTACAAATAATACCATAGTGGGTGTACCTCATGTGTGTACACCCTGTGATATTATTTGTAATATCCATGGTAAACATGACATCTAATATCACAGAGAGTGTACTCCCTTTGATATTTCTCATACCATCATAGGGAGATATTGCTTCTAATATCACAGTGGGTGCACACCATGCGTGTACATTCTGTGATATGATACCTTGTATCCCATTGACTGATCTCTCCGAATATCACAGTGTGTGTACACCTTGTGATATTATTCATAATATCCTAGAAGGATGTTACTCCTAATATGACAGAGGTTGTACACCCAGTGATATTTTTCGTAATATCCTAGGGAGATGTTACTCCTAATGTCACACGGGGTGTACACCCGTGATATTATTCATAATATTCTAGGGGGATATTACTTCTAAAGTCAGAGGGGGCATACACCCTGTGATGTTGTTCGTAATATCCTAAGATGTTACTCTTAATGTCACATGGGGTGTACACCCTGTGATATTATTCGGAATATCTTATAGGGATGCTACTCCTAATGTCACAGGCTGTGTACACCCTGTGATATTGTTTGGAATATCCACAGAGATGTTACTTTTGATATCACAGACTGGGTCCAGCCTTTGATAATTTTTGTCGTATCTTAGGGAGATATTACTTCAAATATCACAGCGGGTGTACACACTGTATTATTCACAATACCCTAGGGAGATATAACTTTTAATATCACAGAAGGTGTACACACTATTTGTGTACACCTACTGTGATATTCCTCCTAATATCCTAAAAATAAATAGGACTCCTAATATCACAGTTGGTGTACACACTGTGATATTATTCGTAATATTCCAGTGGGATGTTACTGCTCAGGTCCCAGGGGGACTTATCCCCTGCTATCATGGGTGAGATGTCTATGAAAAGGTCAACCAGGGGGGAGGAAAGCAAAATTTGGAACAAGATTTCTGAGACCCCCACCACAACCAAGAACAGAAACTCCAGTCTGCTGAGCTGACAGTGTGCACTTTGGTCTCCTCCCATCTGCCTACCGCACTCTCCTGTTTGTCCTGAGGATGAGGAAACAAAACAAGGCTCCCGACCGTCCCTCAGCACTCACTGAACCGCCCTTCCCCTCTGCTGGGCCATGACCACGGAGAACAAGTCCACTGTCCTCACTGAGTGGTGCATGATGGAGGCTCAGACTCCGTCCTCAAGACTGGCAGGAAGACAGGGGGAGACATGAGCCTCCTGATACAGGTGACAGGTGTGGAGCCCACAGGACTGCAACCTCACACTGCAGGGCTGGAGGCACAGACTGAGTATTTACTATTCTGTGGCCTGGGGGGCTCAAGGCACAGGGCTCCTCATTAGCCAGAGTCGCCCAAGTTCCCCAACCTCTAAGGATTTCCTCATAATAATGCAAGAAGAAGAAGAGAAAAGGGAGTGTCCATAGAAGATTTGGGGCTCTTCCTCTAATCAGGAGAAAGCTTGTGTGTATTATTCGCTTCTTGCTTTTCTTTTTCAAGATCCAACTGCTTTAATGTTCATCTTTGATTAGGGGAAAATAGACCATGTATTAATAATACAAAGGATAAATATATATTCTTTCATATAGAACGGCCAGTATAAACGTTTACAATTTCCACTCTTTTTCAGTTTACAGTTGAATGACATTAAGTACATTCACATTGTTTAGCAACCATCACTGCCATCATCTCCAGAACAGTTTTATCTTTCAAAATGGAAATTGCACCCATTAACCAAACTCTCCATTCCTCTCTCTCTCGCCCACCCCTGGGGGCCACCATTCTATTTTGCAACTCTATGAGTTTAACTGCTCTAGACACTTGATATAAATGGAATCATCCCGTGTTTAATTTTAATTTTAATTTTTATTTTTTATTTTTTATTTTTTTTTGGAGACAGAGTCTTTCTCTGTCGCCCAGGCTGGAGCGCAGTGGCGTGATCTCGGCTCACTGCAACCTCCACATCGTGGATCCAAGCTATTCTTGTGTCTCAGTCTCCCGAGTAGCTGGGATTACAGGCGTGCGCCACCACGCCCAGCTGATTCTTGTATTTTTAATAGAGACGAGATTTCACCCTATTGGCCAGGCTGGTCTCGAACTCCTGACCTTAAGTGATCCGCCTGCCTCAGCCTCCCAAAGTGCTGGGGTTACAGGTGCGAGCCACTGAGCTTGGTCGTGTTTATCCTTTTGGGATTTATTTATTTCACTGATGAGAATGTCTCAAGGTTCATCCGTGTTGCACCCTGTGTCAGAAGTGCCTGTCTGGTTTTATTGTTTTTTTGTTTTGTTTTGTTTTATTTTGTTTTGTGTTTACGTGGACGCTCACTCTGTCGCACCGGCTGGAGTGCAGTGGCACAATCTGGGCTCACTGCAACCTCCACCTCCCGGGTTCCAGCGATTCTTGTGCCTCAGCCTCCCGAGTAGCTGGGACTATAGGCACACGCCACCACGCTCGTCTAATTTTTTGCATTTTCAGTAGAGACAGGGTTTCACCAAAATGGCCAGGCTGGTCTTGAATTCCTGACCTTAGGTGATCCGCCCACCTCGGTCTTCCAAGGTGCTGGGATTACAGGCGTGAGCCACTGCACCGGCCGGAAGTGCCTGCCTTTTTAAAGCTGAATAGTCTTCCATTGTATGAATGAACTGCAGTGTGCTTTTTCATTCATCTGTCCATGAACCCTTGGGTTGCTTCCACATTTTGGCTCTTGTGAATAATGCTGCTATGAATTTGGGTGTACAAATCTCTCTTCCACTCCTGGCTTCTAATTCTTTCTGGTAGGTACCCACAAATGCAACTGCGGGAACATCTGATAATTCTGTTTCTAATTTTTCCAGTACATGCCATACTGTTTTCCCTGTTACTTCACAGTATTACATTCCCTCCAATCAGATTTGAGCATTCCTACTTCCCTCTAGTTTCACCAATGCTTGTTTGTTTATCATATCCATCCTAATGCGTGGTATCACATTATTGGTTTGATTTGTGCTTCCCTATGATTAGTGATTTTGAACATCATTTTAGATGCTTATTGGCCATCGCTATATCTTCTTTAGGGACACGTCTACTCGAGTCTTCTGACCATTGTGAATGGGATGCTTTGGGTTTCTTGTTGTTTAGTTCTAGCTGTTCTTTATATATGATGGATATCAGCCTCTTTTCAGAGATATGATTTGCAAACATTTTTCCTAACCCATAGGTTATCTTTTCACTCAGTTCACAGTGTTTTTTGATGCACAAAAGTGTCTGTCATTTAGATGTCATCCAAGGAATCTAATTTTCTTTTGTTGCCTATGCTTTTGGTGTCATATCCCAGAAAGCATTGCCCAATCTGATGTCATGAAAGTGTAGCCAATGTTTTCTTTTAGGCATACTATACTTTCAGCACTTGGGGTTAGGTCTTTGATCCAGTTTGTGTTAATTTTTGCACCTGGTGTGACATAGAGTCCACCTTCATTCTTCTGCATGTGGAAATCAAGTTTCTCCAACACCATTTCTCGAAAAGGCTGCTTTTCCACCAATGGACTTTCTTAGCACTCATGTGAAAAATCATTTGAACATATAGGTGAGAAGTTATTTCTGGGCTCAAAAACAAACAAACAACAACAGACAACAGAGAAGGATGCAGCATGGGCCGGGTGCGGTTGCTCACGCCTGTAATCCAAGCACTTTGGGAGGCCAAGGCGGGCGGATCACCTGAGGTCAGGAGTTCAAGACCAGCCTGACCGACAGGGAGAAACCCCCGTCTCTACTAAAAATACAACATTAGCTGGGCATGCTGGTGCATGCCTGAAATCCCAATGACTCGGGAGGTGGAGGCAGGAGAATCGCTTGAACCCAGGAGGCAGAGGTTCAGTGAGCCAAGACTGCACCATTACACTCCAGCCTGGGCAACAAGAGCGAAACTCTGTCTCAAAACAAAAAACCAAAAACAAAAAACCAGCATGATTTCGAGAGCAGAAAGAGAATAGCTTAAAAACTAGCATAATGAGAAAGTGAGGAATCTTCTTACCAAAGCATCTGGAAATATGCAAGAAATTCTTGTGAACTAAAATTTTCATACTGTACTATCAAACACTAGAACTCACTTATTCCATCTTTCTGTATTTGGGGACCTGATTATCCACTTCTTTTCATTCCCCATCCCACCCCTTTTCTTCCTAGCGTCTGCTAACCACCTTCATACTCTCCACCTTCCTGAGATGCCTTTTGTGTGTCAGTGTGTGATGGAGGGGCACTGTGACAGGTTATGCACAGATGCTGGGCTTGGGCCCTTCATCATACCCTCTTTATTACACTACATCCGTGGGCAACAACTCAGCCCAGGGCCAGTCTTGTTGCTGAGCTCTCTCTGCTCTCTCTCAAGAATGAGTGGGGCTGGAGCCACCATCCAAAAGGCTGGCTGGCCCAGTTGGTCCCATGTGGCCAGGCATGTTCGGTTCAGTGGCCTGCTGAGGACTAAGCAGAGGGGACAGCCGCGCCTTTCCTGAGACAAGTGGGAAGAAGGTATCAGCCATGGCTGACCGAGCGATGACCCACGGCCCAACACAGAGCCAATTAGCAGCCACCACAATGGTGGTGGGCTTGCTGCAGCTTCCACAGGAGGTCCCATGTGCAACCGGTGTGTCAGGCCGAGTTAGCACCAGGAGAGCTGAGCGGAGTCCGACTGCAGGCTGCCTGAGTGGGAGAGTGTGGGTGATAATGCTTCCCTCAGGCTCTCAGGAGCTGAGCCAAGTGAGACATGCGAATGCCTCTGCTCACAAGTGCGTGCGGGGGTGCATGCATGTGTGTTGTGTGTCTGCGTGTGCACATGTTTGTCGTGTGTCAGTTGCATGTGCATGCTTGCTCATGTTCATCGAACATATTTAGTGCATGCCTACTTTGTTTGCACTGGGAATTCTGGGACTAGTCAGGCCAAAGTCCCTGCCCTCATGGAGTTCACATTCCAGTGGGAGAGACAGAGAATAAATGAACATTGACTATATTGTCTTGTAGTGATAAGTGCTATGAGGAAAGGTAAAGTGGGGAATGGGCTGGGGGCTGCTGTTTAGCTAGTGTGATAAGGGAGGGCCCCCCTGAGGAGGTGATCTTGGCCTAAATGATGCGGAAGCAGCCGTTGAATATCTGAAAGAGGAGGGCTATAAACAGAAGGCAGAGAGCAGGGCCAGAGTGAGAGAAGCTGGAATTCTACTATGCTGTGTGTAGTGTGGACAGGAGGAGAAAAGAGATACTATATCTGGGGTGGCATCTGACAGCCCAGACGGGGGCAGCCCTCAGTAAGAACCTATTTGCCCAGCTCAGCCCTGAGAGGCAGCTCTGACCCCCTCCCTAGGCCCAGCTCCTCTGCCTGGCACACACAGGCCTCCCCTGCTTGTGTAGTCAGTGCCTGGCACTGTCCCTGTGGGTACCCCTGGCTCTGCAGATCCAGCTATGTCCACATGGTGTCTAGCTCCCAGAGATTCCCAGGAAGAGTGATCAGGGCTCACACAGCCAGGCTTGACCCTGGGACCGGAACCTGAAGCTGCTTTTGAAGCTGCATTCTAGTGGCCAGAGTCACAGCTGCCCATGGATGTTCTGGACCTGCTGGCAGATGACGGGATAGGCCTGCCCAGAGGCCTGAGGGGACCCTGGAGACTCCAGACCAGGCTCTCCCAGCCCCTGCCCCCAGACTTTCTCTAGGGGGTCAGAGGCCTGATGCGGTGTGCAATTCCAGCAAGTGAAGCAACCAGGGCTGGGGCCTGGGAAAGCTGGGAGGCCTTGCCTGCCCTCACTGTCCCAACCACCTCCCCTCCATGGAAAGGGCAGGCTCCAGCCCCCAGCAGAGGGGTGGAAAGCCAGTTTCCAACTTTGACCTCCAATCTCCCAAACCCCACAACCCTGGGACAGAGAACCTCTTAGGTCTAGGGCAGGGGAAGCTCAGCTGGCCCCGCTTCAGGGGACCTCAAAAAAACTGGGTAGATGCAAAGAAAGGGAGGTGAGATGGGTATGACAAACTGTTGTCACTGCACCAAACCGGCCAAAGGCTGCCTTTGACTGAGGAAGATTAATTTGGGTGTCTCAGGAGGATGTCAGGTGTGAAGCTGTGTCTGTGGGCCTGGTACCTGTGTGTATTTGGTGTCTAGGTTGGTCTGGTACCTTCCTGCTTGCTTGAGTGTCTGTGAGTGAGTCCTCATGTGCCCCATGTTTACCTGTGCACTCCCTGGGACCCCTGCACTGCCAGCTGCAGGGGGCCTCTCTTGTATGTGCCTTTCTGTGTGTGAGATGTGCCGAGGTTTGTGCCTGTCAGCCTCTGACGTCTATAACACTCTGTTCCCCAGCCTTGCCCTGAGGCTCTCTGGGGAGAAGCTGCCTGCTCAGCTCTCACCAACACTGCATATGGGGATGGCAAGGAGACTCAAGAAGGTCTCGGGAGATGCAATTCTGCTGCCGTTGGCTGGCAGAGGTTTGCAATTAGCTTTGTCTTCACTGTCATTACACACACACAGACACACAGACACACAGACACACACACACACACACACACACACTACATGCAGCCAGTCAAGGCAGCAGCCCTAAAATTAGTCACACATTGATTTTGGTCTCTTACTGGTCTCTGGCTGTGGTTTCAGACTCACATCACTACCATTGCCCACCCCCAGCCCCCTCCCCCTGAAGGTGCATGGAGAGTGCTGGTGAGTAAAGACAGGCAGCTTGGGTGGGACAGGCAGTATGGCTGCCACAGGAAGCTGATCTGCTGTGCTGGGCTCGGAGATTTCAGGTTTGGGATGAAATTAAGAGGTAATCTAGCCTCTCCCATCCCTCTGCCATCAACTGGTGCCATCAGCCGCAGTTGTGTGTGTGTGAGAGAGAGAGGGCGCCTGCTCCTATCCAACCTGATTCTCCAAGGACCCTTCTTAGGATGGGCCCCTCATTCCCCATTCCAGACTGGGGAAGTGGGAAAGTGGGGTGGGGGCATCCACTGGTGCATCGACTCCTGAGCATCTCCCTCATGTCTGGCTCAATATTTGGCCAGGGTGTGGTGAGCAGACAAGGGTCTCACAGACTGGTCAGTGAGGCAAGGTTTTAAAGGCCTGGAAAGTCAGATAAGAAGCAAGAGAAGTCACAGGGAGTCAGTGAGTATGTCCCATGAGGACAGTGAATGCTGGGTGCAAAGAGGAAGCTAGAGGAGAAAAGGTTAGAATGGACTGGAGCAGTTGGGAAGGCTTCCTGGAGGCAGGGATGTTACCTAGGTCTTGAAAGACTGATAACTGGATAGGCAGAGAGAAGGGGCAGGAAGGGCGCGTGGAGTGATCACGGGTGGCATGGAGGAGGGGTTTGCGCAGGAGGCAGGGACACGGGATGGACAGGGCTCTTCAGAGTTTCAGAGCTATGACTCAGAGTGTCATGGCTGACTCTGAGCCTGTGCAAGACCTGGGGGGAGCTGCACCAGGAGGGACGGACATGCTGCCCAGGAAATGCTGGCAAAAAAGAGAGGAGGCTGGCAAAGGGATTGACACTTGTCTCATACAAAGAATGGCTGTGATAAGACATGGTCTGGAAGAAGACTTGGGGGCTGTGTGTGTGTGTGTGTGCCTGCATGCGTGTGCATGTGAGAAACATTTGAAGAGTGGACGTTCCGAGGCAGTGTATTTCAGTGGGTAAGCATGTGGATGCTGTTGCCAGGAAGACTGGGGCCTGGGGTGACCAACTTGTCCCAGTATGCCAGTGGCTTTCCTGGCTTAAGCACTGAAAGTCCAGTGTCATGAGTACACTAGTATGGATTGCCCTACCTGGGACTTGCTAGCTGCTACCTAACTTCTCTGTGCCTCAGATTCCTCCTCTGTAAAATGGATCTAATGGATACCTATTTTGGCTGTGTCTGGTGGCTCACACCTGTAATTCCAATGTGTCATGCATGCGAGTGGTGGGTGGGACCAAGACAGCTCCAGGGCTCACCTTTGCTGGGTAGGATTAGGAGGAAGGGCAGGCTGGGCAGGGCTGGCCTCACTTGCAGCCCCCTCCACCGCCGTCATCTCTGTAGCTATGCATAGGAGAAGGTGGGTGTTGGTGCTCAGGACTCTAGTGGCCCAGTGTTCTCCTGTGCTTCTCCTTCTCTAGGGCTGTGTTCCATCCTGGCTGCCCTGTGGAAGCCCTGAAGAAATGGGACGTGGCCCTGTGGAAGCAGGCTGACTTGAAGAGCTGCTGATGCTGGAGCCCGTCCTAGAGAGTCTGATTCAAACTGTCTGAGTTAACTACAATGAACGGCCACAGATGAGAGCTACCAGACTGGGAGTTAGGGGACAACAAGGGGACATCGGTATGGCTGGCTGTGGGACAGGCAGGGCCCAGACTCTGGATCAGCATCTGTTGACCCCTGGGAACCTCCTCTTCTGGAGCAGTTAGGACACTTGAGTTGCAAGAAATAGAAACTCAGTAGTGCCTCAAAGAACCCAAGGGTGCTGGGAGCAGCCAGAACCGGAAGGGTCTGTAAGGCTGAGGCCACACCCCACTGACTGTACCCTCCTCACAAGCATCAGCTAGGGCCTTTTCACCATAGACTGGCTTCCTCTGTCATTGCCACGTGGCATAAATGTCCACCACGGGGCTCACAAGCTGCCATCGAGATGGCTCAGTGCCACACACTGCACACAGGCCAATCTGGCCTCACTCATGTCCACTCTCCAGTTGTGGGAAAAAGCCCATTTAGCCAGCTTGGGTCAAGGATCTCCACCTCTAACGGAGGGAGGGTGACTTGGCAGAAATATGGCTGCAGAGGCCATCCCCATAGGCAGGATAACTCCTGCCCACCTCACGTACCTCTTCATGCCAGGACCTGTGCTGGGAACTGTGGACACAGAGATGAGGACACTCCATGGCCTACTCAGGAAATATTTGAACTGGGCTTTGAAAAATGGGTGGGTGTTTTTCAGGTGGAGAGGTGGGCAAGTGGTAATGCGTGATGGGGGATTCTGTGTCTGAGGCAAGAACCCCACAGAAAGAGAAGATAGCGCCCAGCTCTCTCCCCTCTGTCTGGGTGGAGTGGAGAATGCCAAGGCATGGAGGGACCCCCGAGGGAGACCATCCTAACGTGTTCTTTGGATTTGAGATTCACTGTGCATTTTCCTCCTCCCGCCACCACCCACTGCCCCAGAATCAGACCTTCCTCCTCCAGTGGTTGGGCTGAGGGTGATATGGAGAGTTGTTCTATTTTGTGTTTGTTTTTTTAAAAGCAGGGCACACTGCTGCTCTAAACAAAATAGAGGCTCTGCTGGGAAGGAAAAAAGGAAAATAGGACTTCGGGCACAAACCCTCAACCTATGGACATGGTCCCCTTGATTGTCAGCATCTGACTCTGACTCTGCACAAGACCTGGGGGAAGCTGCACCAGGAGGGATGGACATGCTGCCCAGGAAACACTGGCGAGAGAGGGAGGAGGCTGGCAAAGGGACTGGCACTTGTCTTAAATGAAGAATGGCTGTGAAAAGGTGAGACATGGTCCAGAAGAAGACTTGGGGGCATTGTGTGTGTGTGTCTGCGTGCGTGTGCGTGTGAGAAACATTTGAAGAGTGGACGTTCCAAGGCAGTGTATTTCAGTGGGTAAGCATGTGGATGCTATTGCCAGGAAGACTGGGGCCTGGGGTGACCAACTTGTCCCAGTATGCCAGTGGCTTTCCTGGCGTTAGCACTGAAAGTCCAGTGTCATGAGTATACTAGTATGGATTGCCCTACCTGGGACTTGCTAGCTGCTACTTAACTTCTCTGTGCCTCAGATTCCTCCTCTGTAAAATGGATCTAATGGGTACCTATTTTGGCTGGGTGTGGTGGCTAATGCCTGTAATTCCAGCACTTTGGGAGGCCGATGTAGGCAGATTGCTTGAGCCCCAGGAGTTCAAGACCAGCCTGGGAAACATGGCAAAATCTTGTCTTTATGAAAAAATACAAAAATCAGCCAGGCATGGTGGCATACTCCTGTAGTCCCAGCTTCTCAGGAGGCTGAGGTAGGAGAATCACCTGAGCCTGGGAATGTCAACACTGCAGTGAGCCGTGATCATGCTACTGCGCTCCAGCCTGGGTGACAGAGCGACTCTGTCTCAATAATAATAATAATAATAATAATAATAATAATATCTACTTTATAGAATTATTGTGGGTGTTAAACAAGAGAGTGTATAAAGGACCTAACCCAGTCCCTGGCAAAAGACATGTCCAACAAATATCATCTATTTATAATAAATTATATTAGATATATAGGCTTTTTCTGGCAGTCCCAAGTGTGGAAACTGGACCAATCTGTTTAGTGTAAGGAAAAATTTCCTCACAGATCGTGGGGTAGTGAATTGCCATGGTATTCAAATATAGGCTGATGTAGGGCCTGGTTGTGAAGTGGAATGTAGAGCTAGCATCCTCCTCATCCAGAAATTTCTTTTTTCATTTGTTTGTTTTTTTGAGACATGGTCTTGCTCTGTCGCCCTGGCTGGAGAAGTTGCTCAGGCTGGCAGAAGTTTCTTAGTTCTCTGATACATTCAATGTCATCCTCTTCTCTTTGTTTCTTTCTTTTTTCTGAGGAGAGGAGCCAGCTTGTCAGAGAGAGCTGCACCTTTTCTTCTCATCAGGAATTCCTGTCATGGGAGGACCCCCTGGAGCTGCTTGGATAAAGACAGAGAGACACTTCAGCCGAGATTCCAGTGATCCGCGTTATGCTAATGACAGGAGTGACCGTGAATGGCTTTCTGCTGTCCTGGCTAATGGGGCTGCCTCAGGAGAGGAGCTGCTAGCCCAGGGAGGCTGGACTTTCATCAGCCAGCTGCCCGCCTCCCTGCGCCCCAGGCTATGGGACTAGAGCAGCCCTGCTCAGGGGCTCTGCTGCATGTGTGTGCATGCATGTGTGTGTGTGTGTGCATGTGTGTGTGTGCTTCCCTCCCCACCCGTTCCTTCTTGTCGTTCCCCAGCCCCACCCCTTCACCCCCGCCCCACCCCCTGCCCTTTATCCTCTAGTGGTTTAGCTGAAGACAATGCTGAGGCAATTAATAGTGCCCTTTGAGGACTTGTCACTAGGAAGCTCTTTAATCCAGCCACCTGAGTTGGGGCCGCAGGCATGTGACAGGGATGGGGGGGTGCCAGGACTGTGTGGCAGCTGCTTGGGTGAGGCACAGGCACCGTGTAGAAACCAGGTTGGGAGGCCTAGCTTCCCTAGACACATAGATTATGTGGACATAGCAGGGGTCATTGTTTTTCATTGTAGTTTGTCTCTCACTAGAATTTTGGTCTTGCTAGCCGGCTGCAGAACCAAGATCTTAGAGGTGGGGTGCCAAGCAACACACCTGCCAACTACAGGGGCCATCACAGGAAAAATTTCCCCCAGCATGTGGCACCTTAAAGAGGGGACATCGTGTGGTGGATGGCATGTGTTAGGGTGCAGTGGGGCGGGCGGTAACCTCTCTCCTCAGCTCTTCCTACCCCAAAGCTGTGCTCCTGGGAGGCCTGGGGAGCTGGTGGGGAAGGAGTTCAGGTCCAGGTAAGAGCCACACCGGGGGAGGAGAAGACTAGGCAGAGGGAGGGCCCTGGGCCTCCAGGCCTGTCTCTGCCATGTCTGATTTCACAGTGTCTCTCACAGTCTCTCACACAACAACCATCGTCTGTAGCCAGACCATGCCGGGGCAGCAGGAGCCCTGATGCCGAGGTGGACCCTGTCTACAATTTTGTGTACTGTGTGTGTGTGGTGGGTGGGTGTCGGCTGTGTGTACTCTCGGGGCCTGCCCACCTGGCCTTCATGAGTCGGGTAGTGGGGTCCCCACTGTCTCTCAAAACTGCTTTCCATAAGCGATGAACCTGGCTTCGGTCCTCGCCAGCTCCTCTGGTCGCCACTAGAGGGCAGCAGCCAACACAGCCCGGCAAGGGGAACTTTGGCGGCCGACTTCCGGCCGTACCGCCTCCTACTTCCACCTCCCCGCACCTTCCTAGCCCCTGGGGATGTGCAGGTCCCCAGCGTGTGGGTGGACCACTGGGACCACAGATCCTACTAAGGATGTCCTTGGCCTCAGGCATAGTGAATGTGTAAGTCTGTTAGAATGAGAAGGGGAGTGGGTGAAGACAGTGGAGGGGACCAGGGGTGGTCAAAGCCAGAACCCTGAGGTGTATTCATTTGTTCCTGCAAGGATAAAGGCAGGGGAGAAGAGGAAAAGCCCGGGGGACCAGGCAGCCTGCAGGGAGATGAGGCAGGACCCAGCCCACTGGCCAAATGGCACCTGATGACAAGGCAGGCAGAATCACCCTAACTGCAAAGTCAGGTGACTCAACTCAGAAAGACCAGAGAAAACCATGTGGACTCCGGAGCCAGCCTGCCCCGGTTTGACCCCTGGCTGCTTAAAATATTAGTGGTATGACTTTGGACAAGATATTGAACCTCTCCGTGCCTTGGTTTCTTAGCTGTGATGGAGACAGTAATAGTATCGCCTGTGCTAGATGTGTGTATTAAATAGGTTAGTACATACAAATCACATAGAGCAGTGTCTGACACAGAGAAAGAACACTATAAATGCTAGCAATTATTGCTTTCTGCACTTCATCTCAGCCAAAAACCTGAAAAGAAATTTGGTCTTTGTTTTCTGAAGCAGAGACACCTATTATGTTGAAATAACTAGTTTCCCCTAGAACCCTCTCATGAAATATACGGAGTTGGTCCTTCACCCTACAAACATTAAATGGTAACATTTGTGTGTGGTTTTTTTTTCTCTCTTTTTCTTTTTTTTCCCTTGAGATGGAGTTTCGCTCTTGTTGCCCAGGCTGTAGTGCAATGGCGCGATCTTGGCTCACCTCAACCTCTACCTCCTGGGTTCAAGTGATTCTCCTGCCTCAGCCTCCCGAGTACCTGGGATTACAGGCATGCGCCACCAAGCCGGCTAATTTTTTTAATTTTTAGTAGAGACGGGGGTTTCTCCATGTTGGTCAGGCTGGTCTCGAACTCCCGACCTCAGGTGATCCACCCGCCTCGGCCTCTCAAAGTGCTGGTATTACAGGAATGAGCTATCGTGCCCGGCCCTTGTGGGGTTTTTTGGAGACAAGGTCTCACTCTGTCACTCAGGCTGGAGGGCAGTGGTGCAAACATGGCTTATTGCAGGTTCAACCCCCTGGGCTCAAGGGATCCTCCCACCTGCACCTCTCAAGTAGCTAGGACCACAAGTGTGTGCCACCATGCCCAGCTAATTTTTTTTATTTCTTGTAGAGATGGGGTCCCACTATGTTTCCCAGGCTAGTCTTGAACTCCTGGGCTCAAGCAATCCTCCTGCTTCAGTGCCCAAATTGCTGGGATTACAGATGTGAGCCACCATGCCCGGCCACCTGTCAATATTTAAATCAACAAACTGGTCAGTCACCTTTGAACCTCCAAACCCTTTCACTCTTGAAATGAGTCCCTTGAATTGAGTGTGGGGACCTGCTATCCTTCCTTCCCTCCTTCAGGCAAGGCCTGGGTTTGCTCCCCTTGTAACTCCTTCCCCAAACACAGCCTAAGGATCCTCCCTGAGCCCCGCCCTGTCCTGTTGGGTCAGGTGGACCTGACTTCTCACCACTCTCAGGAAATGGTGGCCTCTCTCTTCCTGCCATCGGAGGAAATTTGAATCCTCAGCCTTACCTCTCTCAGGCTACTTTTGGCTTTAAAACTGTGGGAAGTGAAAGTGCCCAGCCCTGGAAAAACAAGGCTGGTTCAAAGGTGAAAGCACTTAACCTTTTGGGGCCTCCAGTTTCCCTTATCTACAATTCTGGAGAGGGATGGGGGATATTTTTATAGTTTCCTCCTTCCCTGGGAAGATGTTTAGGGAAAAAAAAATACCAATTGAGACTTTACTGGTTGGGTGTGGTGTCTCATGCTTGTAATCCCAGCACTTTGGGAGGCTGAGGCAGGTGGATCACTTGAGGCCAGCCTGGCCATCATGACAAAACTCCATCTCTACAAAAATATAAAAATTATCTGGGCATGGTGGTGAATGCCTGTAATACCAGCTGCTTGGGAGGCTGAGGCAGGAGAATTGCTTGAACCCGGGAAGCGGAGGTTGCAGTGAGCTGAGATTGTGCCACTGCACTCCAGCCTGGGCAACAGAGCAAGACTCCATGTCAAATAAGTAAATAAATGAGAGAGACAGAGAGAGAGAGAGAGAGTGAGAGAGAGATACTTTACTGTGCCGTTACTCACTGATGCTTCCGTGTCTCCAATACAAACTCCTCAATAGAAAAGATCTGGACATGAAGCTCCCCTATTGGAACAATCAGGGATGACCAAGTCCCATGACCTAAGGTTAGCAAACTTACCAGTAAGGCACAACTCAATGGTTTTTCCTCACATAGGGACTGGGTAACAACAGGAAATTGGAGACATCCTAGCAGGCCCATCATATTATGAACATTTTAATTGTAAACTTCATTTATGAATAGGTAACACCTTTCCATATCTTTACATAGTTCAATATTTTAAGGATATAAAAAGACATACAGTGGGAATGCTGTTTCCTACTCTGAAACCCCACCCCTTCTCTTCCTAGGAAGCAAGCAATATTACTGTTTTCTAACGTATCCTTCCAGAGATATTTTATAGAAAGAAATGTGTAGCCTGGGTGACGTGGCTCATGCCTGTATTACCAAAGTACTACTTTGGGAGGCTGTGGCAGGAGGATTGCTTGAGCCCAGGAGTTCAAGACCAGCCTGGACAGCATAATGAGACCTCATCTGTACAAAAAATAAAAATAAAAAAATCAGCCAGGTGTTATGGCATGCACTTGTAGTCCCAGCTACTTGAGAGGCTGAAGTGGGAGGATGTCTTGAGCCCTGTGGGTTGAGGGTGCAGTGAGCCATGATCTTGTCACTGTGCTCCAGCCTGGGTGACAGAGTGAGACCCTGTCCCTCCCTGCAAAAAATGTGTATATAGATTCTTTTCCCCATTCTTTTGCTTTTTTTCAAAAATAGTCCTATATAGGTACATAAAGAACACCCTCATTGGCTTTTAGGGCTAAATATACTTAACCAGTTTCCTATCAATGAACACTTAGGTTGTTTTCAGTCTCTTACAGTGCTGCAATGAAAAGCCTTGTAAATAAGCATATGGTGAGGCCGGGTGCAGTGGCTCATAACTGTAATCCCAGTACTTTGGGAGGCCAAGGTGTGTGGGTTACTTGAGGTCAGGAGTTTGAGACCAGCCTCGCCAACATGGCGAAATCCCATCTCTACAAAAATACAAAAATTAGCTGGATGTGGTGGTGGGCACCTGTAATCCCAACTGCTCAGGAGGCTGGGGCAGGAGAATCGGTTGAACCCAGGAGGCAGAGGTTGCAGTGAGCTGAAATCGTGCCACTGCACTCCAGCCTGGGCAACAGAACAAGACTCCATCTCAAAAAAAAAAAAAAAAAGGATATAGCCCTTTAAGGTCTCACTCTGTCACCCAGGCTGGAGTGCAGTGGTGTGATCCTGGTTCACTGCAACCTTGAACTCCCAGGCTCAAGCGATCTCCCACCTCAGACTCCTGAGTAGCCAGGACTACCGGCACCATTGCACCTGGATAACTTCTAAATTTTTTGTAGAGATGGGGTCTCACTTTGTTGTCTAGGTCAATCTTGAACTCCTAGGCTCAAGTAATTCTCCTGCCTAGGCCTCCCAAAGTGCTAGGATTATAGGCGTGAGCCACCCCACCATGCCCCATATACATATCTCTCAGGTATTCTTAACTGGGGGTCCAGGGACCCCTTAGAAGTCAGCAGGTATAGAATTTAGGGAGACAATTTTAAGACGCCTGGAAACTTGGAAGGAGAAAAGTTTCTATTTTTATCTATAACTCTCTCATATGATTAATGATATCTTGAAATATCATTTACCCTCACTCCTACTTTGTCATTGTGGTAGGTAGCTATTAGATTTTGCAATAGGTCTGCTTATGTCATATATTAATAGAGAAGCACATAAATTACAGAATACATTTGGTTTTCTAAAAATAGTTTAATACTTGCATTTCTATATAATTGGTTTGCTTTGTAATCTTTTTTGTTTTATTTTTGTTTTTGTTTTTGTTTTGAGACGGAGTCTCCCTCTGTCCCCCAGGCTGGAGTGCAGTGACGCGATCTCGGCTCACTGCAAGCTCCGCCTCCCGGGTTCACGCCATTCTCCTGCCTCAGCCTCCTGAGTAGCTGGGACTACAGGCGCCCGCCACCATGCCCGGCTAATTTTTTTTTTTGTATTTTTTAGTGGAGACAGAGTTTCACCGTGTTAGCCAGGATGGTCTCAATCTCCTGACCTCGTGATCCTCCCGCCTCGGCCTCCCAAAGTGCTGGGATTACAGGCGTGAGCCACCGCGCCCGGCAACTGCAATTTTTTTTTTTTTTGAGACAAGTTTTCATTCTGTCATCCCAGCTGGAATGCAGTGGCCCAATCATAGCTCACTGCAGCCGCCATCTCCTGGACTCAAGTAATCCTCCTGCCTCAGCCCAGAGTAACTGCGACTACAGGTACGCACCACCATGCCTGGCCATTTTAAAATTTTTCTTTGCCCAGGCTGGTCTTGAACTCCTGGCCTCAAGTGATCCTCCTACCTCAGCCTCCCAAAGTACTGGGATTACAGGCATGAGCCACTGTGCCCAGCCTGCTTTGTAATCTTTTTTTTTTTTTTTTTCTTGAGACGGAGTCTCGCTCTGTCGCCCAGGCTGGAGTGCAGTGGCGCAATCTCGGCTCACTGCAACTTCTGCCTCCCGGGTTCACGCTCTTCTCCTGCCTCAGTTTCTTGAGTAGCTGGGACTACAGGCGCCCGCCACCAAGCCCGGCTAATTTTTTGTATTTTTAGTAGAGACTGGGTTTCACCGTGTTAGCCAGGATGGGCTTTGTAATCTTATGTATTTTGTTGGGGGGAGGGGGAAGCTATGCATAACATAAAATTGACCGTTTTAACCATTTTACAATTCTGTAACACTGTATACAATTCAGTGACATTAAGCACATTCACACTGTTGTGATGCCATCAGCACCATCCATCTTCCCAAACTGAAACCCTGTATCCATTAAAAAGTAACTCCCCATTCTTTGTCCCCCAGACCCTGGCAAGCACCATTTAACTTTCTGCCCATGATTTTGACTACTCTGGGTACCTCATATGAGGGGAATCATACAATGTGTGTCCTTCCCTATTTGGCTTATTTCACTTAGCATCATGCCTTCAAGGTTCATTGATGTTGTAGCATGTGTCAGAATTTCACTTCATTTTAAGGCTAGATAATATTCCATTGTATGTTTATAGCACTTTATGTCTATCTTTTCGTCAACCGATGGACATTTGGGTTGCTTCCCTCTTCTGACCATTGTGAATAATGCTATGAATATTGGTATACAAATGTCTCTGCTTTCTCAGTTCTTTTGGGTATATACCCAGAAGTAGAATTGCTAAATCATACGGTAATTGTTTTTTTTAGGAATACGTATTTTTATGCAGGAAAAATATGATTCTGAAATAAGCCTACTAGACTCTTGTTCTACATACTTTATTTTGCATGCCTGTCTCCGCCACTAGATGGGAGACTTGTTGACAAGGACTAACCGGTTCCAGGTGCCCCTCAGGAACCCTCCCAGAGGTGTAGTAAATGCATCCAGCGCCTAGCGGACGCCCTGCGTGCCCGGCAAGGGGTGAGGTGCAGGCGATACAAAGGTGCAGAATGTACCCCAAAAGAACAGCCTAGAGGGGAATTAGGCCGGAGGATGACCGATTAAAATCACCCCAACTCCTGATTGTGCCGCTTCCTAGGTGCATGACCCAGGGCAACTTCCTTTGGCCCCGGCTTCCCCGTCTATAAAATGATTTACATTATCTGCTCAAATTTCCGACAAGAACACACCTCGCCTTTATCACAGAGCGTGGCACATATTAGGAATTCAATAATTTTGTCCCTATCACCTGCGATAGCAAGAGACAGACTTGTCCGCAACCTGCCGGGAGGCAGGTTCTGGGGAGGTTGCTGGGGCGCGGTCGGGCGGCCCTGTCCGGCCCTGGACCACCTCCAGGCTGGTACGGGAGTGCACAGGGAGGGACTGGAGGCTGCACTCCGAGCCCCAGTATGGGCGCTTGGTCGTCTCCGCCCCTGGGCACCGTCCCGCCTCCCTCTGGCTGCAGCGGTCTGCATTCATTCCCCTCAGTGGAGCGGGGGATCCTGGCGGGGCAGCGGCGGTTGGCCCTCCTCTCCGGCGGGCGGCGCTAGCGCGAGCCTGGCCCCGGGCAGCGCTAGGGCCGGGCTCCTCTCGGCGGCGGCGCACCGTCGTCCTGTCGTCCGCGGGGCGGGGACGCGGCGGCGGCGGCGGCGGTGGCGGCTGTGTGTCGCCGGAGCCGAAGCGCGCAGGCCCGTCCCGGTGGCCGGGGAGCGGGCGGGTGGGGGCGCCATGTGGTTCATGTACCTGCTGAGCTGGCTGTCGCTCTTCATCCAGGTGGCCTTCATCACGCTGGCTGTCGGTGAGACTGCACGACCCCGGCCCGCGCGGGCTCCCGCCCCGGCATCGGTGCTCGTTGGGGGTCGCATCGCGGGGGTTTCGGAGCCACTCGGGGGACCACTGCCCGGCGCTCCCGGCCTTCGCCGCCCCAACCCCTTCCCGCCTGATCCTGCCCCTCCTGTCGAGCCTGGCAGCCCGGCCTGACCGTGGCTCCTTCCAGGTGTCACAGAGTCCGCTCCGGCACTGCCCGAGAAAGGGTGACTCGAGTGCCGCCCCCGCGTCTGCGGACCGCTAACCGCTGCGGCTCCCACTCTTCGCGGGCCTGCCGCGCGGAACTTTTCCCCAACGCCTACCGCCGCCTTTGCGCCTCTGGCCCTTCATGCTCCCTGCTCTCTCCACCTTTGACACTTCTCCTCTGGCTGGTTCCCATTCGGCCTCAGTTGAGATGTCATCTTTTCCGGGAAGTCCACAGGGGTTGATGGTCCAGCAGTGCCCTGTCCTTTCCCTAAAGTAGCATTTCTCACACTAAACTCGTCTGTCTCTCCCTACTGTTCCCCTTCCCTTTCCCAAGCTGGGTCAGGGAAGGACCCTTGTCTGTCTTTTTCAGCTGTATTCTCAGCCCAGGGACCTGGCTCATGCCAAGTGCCCAGCAGGTGTTTATTGAATACGTGAAATTCCGTTTTCTGAGCCAGAGGTTATCATTGTACTGTGGCATCAAATGCAGACTTTCGTTGATTTTTATGAGATTTGTCCTTAGTTGCCCTAAGAAAGTTTTACTTCTCCAGACTTGGAAGGGCAACACATGGGATGTTTGGTTTGTTCTTGACCTTCTGGGGTCCATGAAGGGTGGATGGGGACTGGGCTGCAGAGAGAGGGGTGACCAGGATGGTGGGAGTGACCCTGGCTGATAGTCTCCCTGCCTCCCACCCTGCAGCGGCTGGACTCTATTACCTGGCAGAACTGATAGAAGAATACACAGTGGCCACCAGCAGGATCATAAAATACATGATCTGGGTAAGTGGCATCTTTCTCCAGGAGTCCTCCTCACTCTTTTGCCCTGCCTCAAAAGCAGGAAGTGGGGAGAGTTTGGCATGGATGATGAGGCCTGTGTCTCTGCTGTTTCCTGAGCATACACTCTTACCTCCTTGCCCTGAACGCTGTCTTTTGGGTCTGCACTCCTGGGCCCAGATCTTCCCTGGCCGCCTTCCCCAAGTGGCATTGTTTCACTGCAGGCCTTGTGCTCTAGTCCTTAAGGTGACAGCGAAGTGTACTTCTCTGTTGACAAGACCGTAGATTTGACTTTGCTTAGCTCTCTCCCGCTGTCTTTAGCCCTTTGCTCTGCTCACAGCATTTAAAACTTAGAGGAGCCATAAGACAGTTTTGCATATATGTTCATTGCCATCTTTCTAATCGGATCAAGTGATTTGTCCTAAGATCGGCACAGCTTCGCTGCCCTCGCCCTTCCCTGGTCTCATGGGAGGCTTCTCTTACTGAAGACACAGTCCTTGCCACTGATATCAAAGCCATAGGGGTGACTGCTGGTGGACAGACTTCCTTCAGCTGCAGGAAAGGCTGGGGGTAGGGGTGCCATTGGAGAGAAAGCGTCCACAGCCCCTCAAGTCGCCTGGTGTCAGCAGCCATGTGCACTCTGGGCATGGCTGAGGTTGGGAGTTCACAGTGGAGGCAAGACTATAGCCCTCAGCTCTGGTCCAGAGGCCCAGCTTGTGGGTGTTGGCACAGTAATTAGCCCTTCATTCAGCCAACTGTCATTTGCTAAGCACTGACAACTGTAGGTACTTATCAGTAGTGTTTTTCAAACTGTAGGCATGATTCATTATTTGGCTGTATAGTAGGTCACAATCAGCATTTTTTAAAAAAAGGAACATAAATAGAATTGAAATTTGAGCTTTGAATCATATATATGTATATATGTGTTGGGGTCACAGTGTAAAATGTTTTTCTTTTTCTTTTTTTTTTTTTGAGATGGAGTTTCGCTCTTATTACCCAGGCTGGAGTGCAGTGGCACAATCTCAGCTCACCGCAACCTCTGCCTCCTGGGTTCAAGCGATTCTCCTGCCTCAGCCTCCCGAGTAGCTGGGATTATAGGCATGTGCCACCATGCCTGGCTAATTTTGTATTTTTAGTAGAGATGGGGTTTCTCCATGTTGGTCAGGCTGGTCACAAACTCCCAACCTCAGGTGATCTGCCTGCCTTGGCCTCCCAAAGTGTTGGGATTCCAGGCGTGAGCCACCTCGCCTGGCAGATGTTTTTCTTACTGTGGGTTGCTGTCAAAAAGTTTGAGAAATGGGCTGGGTGCGGTGGCTCACACCTGTAATCCCAGCACTTTGGGAGGCCATCAGAAGTTTGAGACCAGCCTGGCCAACATGGCAAAACCCTGTCTCTACTAAAGACACAAAAATTAGCTGGGCGTGGTTGTGCATGCCTGTAGTCCCAACTACTCAGGAGGCTGAGGCAAGAGAATTGCTTGAATCCAGGAGATCGCGCCACTGCACTCCAGCCTGGATGACAGAGTGAGACTCCGTCTCAAAAAAAAAAAAAAAAATGTTGCCTTTTGGGAGCAGAGAACCTAGCTGGGGAGGCCAGACCTGTGAAATGAGGAGATTGAAGCATGAACCTAGTGCTGCCCAGAGCGGGCTGGGGGTTGGTGAGTCCAGGAACGTTGCCTGGAAGAAGCGCCCTGCACTGTCTGCCTCTGGTTGTTTCAGTTCTCCACCGCTGTACTGATTGGCCTCTACGTCTTTGAGCGCTTCCCCACCAGCATGATTGGAGTGGGCCTATTCACCAACCTCGTCTACTTTGGCCTCCTCCAGACCTTCCCCTTCATCATGCTGACCTCGCCTAACTTCATCCTGTCGTGTGGTGAGAGGGGACAGAGTTGGGGAGGCAGCTGATGTGGTTGGGTGTGCCCATCTCCATCCTGGGCACTAAAGGGGATACAGAAAAAGGAAGCCAGCTGTTGAAGTCCTCCAGGAAGCCAGGCTAGTTGGGAAGATGCGGTTCTTACTGCTGAGGACTCTAGAGCCCACCTTGGCTCTAGTGAATAGAATTTGTTGGGGCTGGGGACTCAGACAGGGAGGGCTTTCCCAGAGAGGTAAGTTTGAAGGAGAGTTTGGGAAAGAAGAGGTTGTGGATTGGCTGAGGCAGGGCCCCCAACTGAGCAGTTCCAGCCTCAAAAAAACCACTTGGCCAGAAAAAGCCCAAAGCCCTTCCGGTAGGCAGGCAGCTGTCCGTCCAGTCCTCTGACCCAAAGTCATTGTTAGGACTGGAGCCTCATGGGGCTGTGAGCACCTTGCAGACTCTGGCCTGGTGTGAATGCCTCCTGGGGGCTGCAGCTTCTCATCTCATTCTCACTGGCTGCCGCTGCCTCGGGCTTGAGCCTGGATGTGGAGGACCCAGTCTTCTTGGCGTTGCCCTGCCACCACTTTCTGACCCTGGGGAATCATTGGCCCTCTCTGGGCCTTAGCTTCTCCATCTATTCAGAGAGGATGTTTCTGAAAGAACTATTGGGAGACTCAGTGGGCATATAGTAGGTGCATATAGGTATTTACAGATATTCCTGGAAAAGGCTTCGGAAAGTATTTTGGTTGCCAAGATTGCCATTGCTCCTGTTCATCATTGCTGGCTACCCTAGCTTTCAGTCAGGGTATCAGATGGAGTTAGGGGTTTTTTAGAGTGACTTTTCTATTTCTATGAGAGAGCCTGGAGGGTGAATATTATCCACACAAAGGGCATATTGTTAAAGCCAAAACTGGTTTCTTCCTTGGGTGTGATTTCACCAAAGAATTTGTTCAGCAGAGGTTTGTTAGGGAGCCCTTCCATGGAGACCAGGCCCCTCTGTCCAGGGAAGAAGTCCTGCCCCCAGCCCCTCAGCAGCAGGCTCCCCTGACTTCACTCCCTTGATCTGCCCTTTAATGCCTAAAAGAGTTTTTCCAAAAGATCTTGTGGGCACCAGGCACTATCCTACCTCCCATTATCTCTTAGCCCTAGAGTGTGGCTAGGCATAGCAGAACTGTAGTCTTTGCCTTAGAATGGGAGAGGCAGGAGAGAAGAAAGGAGACATGAGAATTGCTGTGAGGTGTGTGTGAGGGGACAGTCAGTTTCAGGGGACATGTTCTTTCTGGTGCCTGCCCTTCACCTCACCATGGGAACCGGCAGGGATGACTGTCTCTTGAGCAGCCTGTGTCCAGGATATGCACACGTGCCCTCTTTTATAAACTCAGTTACACACCAAGGAGGGGTGGCTGTGTGTGTGTGTGTGTCCAGAACGTATCAGTTCACACCGGTATGCCTTACCTGGGGGCAGGATGAGGAGGGACCCCCTCCCCCAGAATGTTGAGGAACCTGAAGACTGCACCTCAAAGCATCTAGCAAGTCTTGCCCTTTTATTCCTGAGGAGTGAGAGCCTTTTTATTTGAGCAGGCCTTCTCCTTGCTGCCCAGTTTGTTTATTTGAGCAGGCCTTCTCCTTGCTGCGAGTTTGGAGTAGAGCCTCTTAGGGGCGTCTGGTCTGCACACCCATGATTTCTCCCCACCTGTCACTGTGGGAGAGCTTTCTTTAGCCCTCACATCCACGAAAAACGAGGTTCATCGTCATGATGCTTTGGATTATGTAACATAGAAGTCTCACTTTTATAACATGCAAAGAGCCTTCTTCTAATTTTACTCAGAATGCCCTGTGCAGTGGGCAGGTTGAGGCTCATTCTCCCATTTTAGCAGATGGGAAACGGTTCTAGGCAGTAGCCTACTCTGAGTTGAGTGTAAAGTCAGGCCTAAGACTCCATGGAGGCTCCCAACTTCTGAGGGCCTTTTGAAGTTAAAAGTACAGCTTTCTGTTATTCCCCTTAAACTGACTGACTCTTCATTCCCTCAACAGGACTAGTGGTGGTGAATCATTACCTAGCATTTCAGTTTTTTGCAGAAGAATATTATCCCTTCTCAGAGGTAAGAAGTGTCCAGCACATTCAGCTGTTAACAGGGACAGGGTAGTAAAAGGGAACTTGCATGGTTTACTTTATAAACTTAGCTATGATTTGAAACTGAATCTGTTCAAGGATTACATGTTTGAAAAAAACAAAACATAGATGGTTTGAGAAAGCTGTGTGGATGGGGACAGACTGTGCTCATTTGGCCGAGGTGGGGAGGACACTGCTCTTCCTCAGTGAGTCCTTTGGGTCCCCCTCGAGGGGTCATCCTGAGGTCAGGAAGGGGTACTAGGGTGACCTTCTCTGACACAGTCCTCACAGGGCAGGGATGGACTGCACCCCTGAGCCCCAGCTTTTCCCAGTGGCCGCCAAGGTTTTCTTCTCCCACGATTTCTCCACACCCTGCTGCTCCAGTTTGAACCTCTGGGAAGAGCAAGGTCACTTCTTTGGGGGGTGTGGGTCAGTCAGTCATGGCTTAGCACTTTGTCTGCCTCCTTCAGTCCAGGGGAGTTGCTTGTCCTAGCGACCAAGATATGGGGTTTGTGGCCACATTCAGTCATTTTCAGCCTCCACCTTTCCCCACAGAAGGATTTCCATGTCTGAGGGTGGCGTTCCCTGCTTCCCAGGCCTGGGCCCCCTTTGGAGATCAGGTGTGGCCCCCTGTGCACTCTTGACCAACACGCAGTCACCACACCCAGCCCACTCTTGGCACCTCCGGGGCACCCTCTTCTCAGTCTCTCTTGTTGCCAGGTCCTGGCCTATTTCACTTTCTGCCTGTGGATAATTCCGTTTGCGTTTTTTGTGTCACTTTCGGCCGGGGAGAACGTCCTGCCCTCTACCATGCAGCCAGGAGGTGAGAAGGGATTTGTAAGGGGCCCAGGTGGGGGCAAGCCAGCAAGGCCTGGGTTGGCAGGGGTCCACTGAGGGAACCTGAATCTAGCCCTGTGTTGGAGACACCTGGACTCGGGGTTGGGAGGGCCGTGTTCACACACATGCGCACACACACACACACACTCTCTCTCTCTCTCATATTCTTGCCTGTATCTCCACAGATGATGTCGTCTCCAATTATTTCACCAAAGGCAAGCGGGGCAAACGCTTAGGGATCCTGGTTGTCTTCTCCTTCATCAAAGAGGCCATTCTACCCAGTCGTCAGAAGATATACTGACCCCCATGCAGGCAGGATGTGGGGGGCAAGATCAGGAGAGTCAGGCCCCTGGGCCTCTATGCCAGGTGGGGACCAGAAGTCGGGAAGGCACCTACCACCTGCCCTGGCTTTCTTCCCCTCAACTCTGGAGCCCCATCCCCACCCTCCTTGGGGGGCTCAGCTTGGCTCAGATCTGATGCTTCAAGAGGCTGTAACCTCAGAGGGCACCAAGGAGGGTGGCAGAGCCTGCTTAGCCAGGAGGCCGAGGTCCCTCAGTCCTCCCCTGTCCCTTCCAAGGTGGGTCAGGAGGTTCTGGCCCCGCTGGGGCAGGCAGGGCAGGGTCTGTGAAGCTTAAGAGCAGATGGTGACAAGTTCTCTGGGCAGGTGGCCATGGGGAGGGGCCATGGCTTGGCATGTCCAACAGAAATAGTTTTTGCTGTTGAACGGTGATTTCTGTCCAAGTGCAGATTTCCGTTTGAATAAAGCTTCGCTTCTAGGTGGCACTGTTTGCCTTAATACCCTGACAGTTCATCTTCCTTTCTTCCTGCTAACCTTCTGCTCTGGACTGGACTCACTTTTCTGCTCCAGGGACTCCTTTTCTGGGTTTGGGTCTTGCCCTTCCCAAGGGACTGTTCTTGTGGCCCTTAATGGGAAGGGGGCAGGGGTGAGGAGCTGAGCCTGCTCAAGGAGTGGGAAGTGGGGCTATAGGCAGCCTCTCTGATGCACTCTCTTCCATCTCTTTCCCCAAGGCTCCGTGACTGTCAAACTGGGAGTAGGAGAGGGGACAATTTAGGACTGGGCTAGATTTTCAGAAGAACATCTACAATATCCTATTTATAAATCTTCCTCTGGGAAAAGGAGTGGTTTCTGGCTGAATACTATCTTAGGCTCAAGGAGAAACAAAATAAAAATTAGCTTCCAGGCAGCCTGTTTTTAAAGAAATGGGACTAATGGGAGAAGCTGTTTGTCACTCTAAGAGCATCCAAGCCCTGGCCCGTCTGTGCACTCTTGGCTCCTGGGGAGATATATCTGCCTTCTAAGAAGGCAGGCCAGGTCTTGGGCACAGACCTGCATTTGTTGACCTTGCACTCCAACTATAGTGCCTTGCAAGTGCTCAACAGTACATATTGGAATGAAGTCCCTATGAGAGCCATTTCTGGCCATGTTCTATACCTCAAAGTGAGGCTGGCAGGTACAGAGATGAACTGTACACATGTGATACATTTAAGCCACTGGAAAAACCCCTGTGCTTGAAAATATTTCCTCTATATCATGCCTGGAGTTCCATCATAGCCCTTCATTTCCTTGGCTTTAGCATTTACCTTCTCTTAAGAATACCAGCTTTCCCCTTTCCCTGAGAGGAAGAGCACATGTTGGTCTCCTCTTAGTGTGAACGAGATTGCCAGGCCCTTTTCTCCTATGCACACCAGGATAGACAAGGCAGGGGATACTGGCAGCCTGCATCATCCTCCCATTGGGCTGACAGCTGGCCCTACTTTCCTCCCTCTGCTGCTTGGTCCCTCACCTTGATGATGTGGCTTCGCCCCCTCCACTCTACTGCCAGTGTTCTCCCAGGGCTTGCTAAATCCAGCAGACCCCTTTCCTGTCTTACTAGATCTGGGCAGCATTTGACATGGCTGATCACCCCTTGCTTCTTGGATGGCACTTCCCTGGCACCTCTGTGGCTAGTTGTCCTACCTCCCTGGCTGTTCCTTTCAGGCTTCCGTGCAGGCTTCTCCACTTGCCCATGCACAGTAGGGTCTTTCAGGGTTCTGCTGTGGGCTCCCTAGGGAAGCCCATCCATCTGGATGGTTTCAAGGATGGTGAGGAATTTAGAGTTGACCTCCAGCCCCAACATCCTTCCTGATCACCTGAACCACAGTTTTGCTGCCCTCTAGGTGCACAGACAATTCAGGTCCATGGCCCAGATGGTACTTGCTGTCTTCTGCAAACCTGCCCCTTCTGGGTACTTCCCTTGACCCCGAGATCACTCAGGAGCCAGACAGGAAACTTATTCTATTCCTGTTTTCTCTTTCTGCCCACCACATCCAATCTCTCAAAACGGTCAGGTCTACCTTAACATCTCTTGATTTGAGCCACTCCCACTGTCATCAGCTTTCACCTGGATTATCGTGACAGCCTCCTACTGCTTCTCTATCATGTGGCCAGAGCTATCTTCCTAAAATGCATTGCATAGTTGATCAAGTCACTCTCTGGCCTAAAACCTTCCTTGGCTCCCTGCTGCCCTCAGGATAAAGTCTGGACCCCTCAGCATGGCTTGTGAGACTCATGGTGTCCTTGTCCCTGCTCACCTCTCTGGTCTCATCACTTGCCTTCTTGCATTCTGGGTCCCAGCCTCCTGTATCCAGAGATGCAGTGGCTCTCCATTGCCACTCTGATTCCTCCTTTCTTTTGGTCACAGAGAAAGGGTACTTTCTCTGTCAAATCTCAACTTAGACTTGACTTCCTCCAAGGAGCTTTGGCTATACTCTCTCCTCCCGACCCCCACCCTGGCATACTACACAGATCACTCTGGGCTCACTTGCCTGCCTAATGGTCATCTCCCCAGTAGACTGTAAGCTCCTTGAGGGCAAGGATTGTGTTGGAATTTTTGTATTAACAGTGCCTGGCTTGGTGCCTGGCACCTAGAAAGCACTCAATAAATGTTTGTTTAATGAATGAATTGTAGTGATGTGTACAAGGGGATACAGGGAAGCCAGTTAACTTCCTGGAGGAAGTACAAGTGCTTTCATAGACTCGAATGGAAACCACACATCCCTCCCCTCCCTTGATGTACTGCCCATGCCTCCCTGAACTGCAGAAACCTCAGTAGCCGCTGGGAATAAGGATGGCAGCCCAGAGTAGCAGGGAAGCCCATGCCAGGGGGACATATTAGTTGCCCTCCACCCCATTCTGGGTCTCAGCTTAGAGCCTGCAGCAGGAAGGGCTTAATCTGAACAAGAAACAGAATTTCCCAGTGGGTCCTTCCATCCTGGAAGCCTGGGCCCTTAGGGCTGGGAGGGCAGTGGGGGTGCCAAAATGTGACAACTTTTACAATGCCAAGGTGAAGAATAGTGTCTGACCCCCCACTCTCAACCTAACTTGGATTTCCTGGCGGCGGTGGGGGGGTGCCAAGAGATTTATTTGCAGAGAAAAGGGAGGCCTGGGGTCTGG
Source organism: Homo sapiens (assembly GCF_000001405.40). Classification (NCBI taxonomy): domain Eukaryota; kingdom Metazoa; phylum Chordata; class Mammalia; order Primates; family Hominidae; genus Homo; species Homo sapiens. The sequence continues at coordinate 70,985,446 of NC_000002.12, read as the reverse complement.
GCTTTTGATTGGGAAGGGTGACTCCTCGAGCTTGGGAGTGGGAAGCCCATAGGCACCCCTCCCCCTTTCCTCGCCACCCACAACGTGAATTGCCACACTTCAGCCTTCACTGGGCTGCCTCAGGGGGAGAGGTAGCCATAATAACTTTATGGGTTGGTTTGTGGGGAGGGCAGGGTGGGGAGTCCTTGATGAGATCGCACAGCTGCCAGGAAGGCTTCATCGAATGTGTCACGCAGGTTCATGGCCAGAGTGTCGGTCCAGAAGGTGTTGTCACCCAGGTGCCGCTTCCTGGGCACTTCCCTCATGCTGATGGGGTAAAAGCCCTGGGGCACCTTCATTCTGTATGGCCATACACGTGGGTACAGCATGCGCAGCAGCACCTCAAAAGGCAGCCGCGGCACGGGCGCCACCCAGTGGCCGTCCACTGTGTGCAGCCGCGCACCGCCGTGCCCATCAGGCCTCACCTCCAGGAAGCTGCTGAAGTCGTGCTCCGGAGTGGGGTCTGGATGCACGCCCAGGCGGATGCCCTGCGAGTGGCTGATCTGGGTGGTGGGGGGTCTGGCGGGGTTGTTGCTAACATTCCACATTGTGGGCCGCTTGACCGTGGGCTTCCTGTAGATGGGCTTGGGCATCTCCGTGGGCTGTGGAATGCATTGCAGGCGTGCATCCACAGAGGGGTGGAAGCTCCTGGAACGCTGCGATTCCCGTTGCTCTGGGGTCTTGGAGAGGGCGGTGGCCCGGGCTTGCTTGGTATTGGAGACCAGAGAGTGGCCTGGGTGCAGCTTGCCGTGGAGCCACTTTCTGATAGCAGCTTCTCTGAGAATTTTGTGCTCTTTCTGCAACAACAGAGGGCACAAGAGAGTCATGGAGGACTGCTGCCCTCTGCTTCTGGGCAAGGAGGTCCTGTGGCTGTAGCTTTCGGAAACCACAGTCTGAAGGATGAGGGAAACTCTGAGTCTGATGGGAGGGAAAGTCTGAGTCTGATGGAAGCAACACCTGCCTTATGGGAGCCGGTGTTCCGATGGGGGAGACAACTTTTTCCATAAGGGAGCCCCTGGGCTGAGTGGGGAGACAAAGCACCTCTCCCAAAGGGGGGATCTCCAATCTGATGGGAGAGATGTAGCCTCTGCCCTAGGTGAGACTCCAACTTGACATGGGAGACACAGTCCCTGCCCTAGGGAAAACCTCAAGTCTTACAGAAAGACAATTCCCTTCTTCTCCAAAGGAATCCACAGTCTGATAGTAGAGAAATGTCCTGCCATAGGAGAGTCTCTGGTGTGATGGGGGAAAAGGCAAATGGGAAGTGCACACTGCATCCTTGACCCTGGAAAGAGAAAGCAGAAAGGACTGGATGGCCTGATGTGGACACGCTTCTTGGAAGTGGTGGGCCTTGAGAAGTCATGTAGGGAGGATACAGTTGGCTGGCTCTCCAGGCCCGGTGGCAGCAACTCAATCTAGCTCTGTCCTTGCCTCCACGGAGCCTTCCATATATTGTCATAGAACCTCCCCCACCGCCATTGTCTCACTATCCCAGACTGTTGCTAAGCAATCAGAGGCTTTGGAGATTGACCCAGCTCCAGGCACAGGCTCTGATTGGGCTAAGCCAATCATCATAATTCCATCAGACCTTGCCCCAGACCTAAGTCAGTCAGCATATGGCTTTCCTTTAGTTCTAGCTAAAGGAACGAGAATGGACACTTGATCGAATTGAGGCCATAAGAGATGAGGGAAGATGCAAGGAGCTTCTGGAAAAGGTTAGAGCTACAGGAAACAGATGGGCCTTGCCTCCTCTGGACAGTGTGTGACTCTGAGGACTGGTGACCCTGACATCAGAGGAGGATAGGGCTGAGAACTGGAGAGAAATGGAACTGAAACAGACCCGGTGTGCCGGAGTCAGCAGCCCCAAAGCCCTCCCCATTTCAGGATTCACTTAAGATTCCCAGTATCTTCTGAGTTTTCTGGGTTTTGCACCCTATGTAATTACACCTGCTTAAAATCCCCTTTCTTCCCCAGCCAAGGTCCTTCACTGATGTGGGCTCCTGCCAAATCTTGTCAGCCTCCAACTTACATCTGATCCCCAGCTGCTCTGAGTTTTCATTCTCTGCATACATCATGTTCCCAGGTGCCTCTATGCCTTTCCATGCGGCTGCTCTTTATGCCTGGTTAGCCCTTCCCTCCTTCATATAGCCAACTGCTGCGCATCTTTCAAGACTCCTCTTAAGCATCATGCCTCCTGACACCCTCCTGGACCCTCTCCTCCTTGATGGGCCTGTAACCTGCCTCCTCTGCTAGACTCTAAGCTCCTTGAGCGTGGGGACCACATATTGTTCATCTTTAGACCTCAGGGTCTAGCAGGTTCCTAGCACAGAGTGAATGCCCAGTGCCTGCTGGAAGGAAGGGTGGATCTTTTTAACCAGAGTGTGAGCCCCAGTTACAGGCAGTGCCTTGGTCTCATTGAAGGTTCTCATCCTGAAAGAGGCAGTACACTAGGAGGGGCCCAGAAATACTTGCGAATTTAAGCTTGCTTAAATTGGCTTTCTAACACAGGATAAGACTTTTGACCAAAAGACTGGCTTATTTAAAAGAGCGGAATTTCAGTCAGAGTACCCGGTGGGAGTACAGGCGAAAGGGTGGCTCTTTCAGGGTGGGAGTGCTTCTAGCCACTCCTCCACAATATGTGGGTCACTGCCCCCTCTGCTCACATGCCTGGATAGCAGCTGTCCCCTGGCCCCCCTGCTGTCCCCCTTACTTGATACTCAATCAGGTAGTTGTGCTCCATGAGGGTCAGCTGGCTCTTGAACATCTTCATTTTCGTCATCTCACGGGCAAAGTCCTTCTTGTCCTTTTTCCACATGGCATCCTTCAAGAACCTGGTGCCAAGGTCAGGGCGGGGGTGTCATCCCACAGTGACAGAGCTTCCACCTGGGCTGGGAAGACTGGCTGCTGCTGAGGGCTTGGATGGGGATGAGGGGAGTGGCCAGAGGGAGAGGAGCAAGATGAGCCATCCCCATTGCCCGGGGCCCTCTGGCTCCCTACTTCCTTTAGGTGAAAGACGAAAGTCCTTGATGACCTGGTCACCACCCTCCTGCTGAGGAGCCAGGGGCCCCAGGGCAGGAAAGGAGGGCAGTGATCAACCCAGAGAGCAGGGGACCTGGGCAGACTTACCCCCAAGCCCAGGTGATGAGGTGATTGCCTCATCCAAAATATCCTGGGCAGTAGGCGCATCCTCCAGCTGTCTGGCTTCCCAACCCTCCCCTTAAAGGCTCAGCTGTGGTGAGGGCCCTAGGGAAAAGGCTGGGGGAGGGGAAGGGGGTGGGCAGGCTCCAGGTGGTTCTCACACTCTCACCGGGCACAGGCACGGTGGTTCCATATTTTGCAGAAGTCAATGGGTTTGTAGCCCATGGCATCTTGGGCATGGACGTTGGCGCCACTCTGCACCAGGACCTTCACACAGTCCAGCAAGCCGTCACGGGCTGCCAGGTGCAGGGGCGTGGAGCCGTTGCATGTCTGACTGTGGAAGGCCCCACCAGTGGGGATAAGGGCAGAAAGGAAAGACAAAGAGCATCTGTCCATCAGATAGATGGACACACCAGTTTCCAAGCCCTGCTCTACCATCAGTCCACTGGGTGATCCTAGCTATGTCTGTCCCTTTTGGCACCTCAATTTCCTTTACTGTAAAGGGAGGAATTGGACTAAGTGAACAGTAAAAATCTGACTTTAGAAGGTATGTGATAGTTAAGAACTGCTGGAAGGAGAGCTGGCTTGGTTCAGAGACCACTAACCTCATCCACTCTTAAACCAACCAGCCCCCTGCCCTTTCCCTATGCCTCACCAGATTCCGTATGCCCACAAGATCTGCATGACCTGGGCCTAACCTCCTCGATCTTATCCTTTGACCTTGCCCACTCTTTCCCAACACATGGTCTTTGCATATGATGTTACCTCTACCTGGAACACTTTTCCCTGGCTCTTTGCATGGCTGGCTCACTCTGTCTTCAGGTTCCAATTTAAATGTCACCTCCTTAGAGGTGATTGCTTCATCCAAAATAGATCCTCCCCCTACCTGCTTTACCCCCTACACCATCACCCCGTTTATTTTTTCATAACCACTTCCCATGCTCTGTCAGGATTTTGTTCATTTATTTGTTTGCTAATTCACTGTCTGCTCCTTTACTAGAATGTCAGCTTCGTGAGGAGAGGGACCATTTCTGTGACTCTAGCATAGTGCTTAGCACATAGTGCATACTTGATACTTTGAATGAATGCAGTCTCCTATATGCCATGCACTTTTCAGTGATCACAGTAGTCCCATGTGATAGGTACTGCTATTCTCCCAAGTTTCAGTTGAAGACACTGAGACAGAGGTTCCCAAACTTAGCTTCAAGTTAGAAGCACCTGGGGATCTTTTCTGACTTCCCAAGCCCAGGTCACACCACAGACCCATTAAATCACAGCCTTTGGATTGGAACACAGGTGTTTATATTTTTTAATTTTTTTTTTTTAGACGGAGTCTCGCTCTGTCGCCCAGGCTGGAGTGCAGTGGCACGATCTTGGCTCACTGCAAGCTCTGCCTCCCAGGTTCACGCCATTCTCCTGCCTCAGCCTCCCAAGTAGCTGGGACAACAGGCACCCGCCACTACGCCCGGTTAACTTTTTTGTATTTTTAGTAGAGACGGGGTTTTACCATGTTAGCCAGGATGTTCTTGATCTCCTGACCTCGTGATCCGCTCGCCCCAGCCTCCCAAAGTGCTGGGATTACAGGCGTGAGCCACTGCGGCCAGCCTAATTTTTTTTATTTTTTATTTTTTGAGACAGTCTCGCTCTATTGCCAGGCTGGAGTGCATTGGAGCAATCTCGGCCCACCGCAACCTCCACCTCCCGGGTTCAAGCGATTCTCCTGCCTCAGCCTCCCAAGTAGCTGGGACTATGCCACCATGCCACCCGGCCAGGTGTTCATATTTTTTAAGCTCCCTAGGTAATTCCAATGTACACCTAAGTTTGGGAGCCAGAGTACTGGGGCATAGAGGTTGAGTGACTTGCCTAAGGTCCTGCTGTCTGCTAGCAAGTTGCAGAGCTGGGATGTAGACTAGGTCTGTTAAAGGCCAATCTTTTTTTTTTTTTTTTTTTTGTTGAGACGGAGTCTCGCTCTTGTTGCCCGGGCTGAAGTGCAATGGCACCATCTCAGCTCACCGCAACCTCCATCTCCTGGGTTCAAGCAATTCTCCTGCCTCAGCCTCCCGAATAGCTGGGATTACAGGCATGCGCCACCATGCCCTGCTAATTTTGTATTTTTAGTAGAGATGGGGTTTCTCCATGTTGGTCATGCTGGTGTTGAACTCCTGACCTCAGGTGATCCGCCTGCCTCGGCCTTCCAAAGTGTTGGGATTATAGGCATGAGCCACCATGCCCGGCTAAAGCCCAGTCTCTTTATTACACCATGTGGATTCCTGACTGCTTTATGTGGGACCCAATCCTTGTCACCTCCAGCAACCCCTCTGCTTGTCCTGCATGGATTTGCCTGCCTGGAAGTAGGGCTGTGCCCGTGCCTGTGCCCGAAGCCTCCCTCCTGAAGCAGGCTGGACTCACGCATTGAGGTCTGCGCCTTTCTCCAGCAGGTAGTAGATGCAGGGGAGGGCCACGGTGGTGTTGTCCCTGTGGATGACGAGGTGCAGGGGTGTCTGGCTATTGTTGGTCAGCAGGTCCACGGGAAACTTGTACTCCTCTACCAGGACCTGCAGGCATGCAAGCTTGCCCCATTGGGCGGCGAAGTGGATGGCAGTGAAGCCCTGTGAGGTTCAGAGCAGGCAGGAGGAGGCTGAGTGGGACTGAGGTCCCAGGGTCCACAATTTATATAAATTTATTGGGGTTACCTTCACTTTCTTCCCTGTGTCCCCAGGAATGCTCACACCCTTTTGCTAATTAACCAGTGTGTGTTCATCAGCCCACCCAACCTCCCTGCCCCCAAAATGGTCCTTCCACAGCCAGAAGATGAGTTAAATTAGGAAGATCTACCCAGAAAAGGATATCTCTTCTCCAGGTGACCACTCCGAGCAGCGTAGCGGGAGAGGGACCTCGGTCTTTGCCCCAACACTCAAGACCTTACCTTGTCGTCGGTGGGGATTTCCCTGAGGCTCTGGTTCAGACAGAATCGCAGCCATTCCACGTTGCCCACAGCCGCTGCGAACAGCTGGTAGTAGCTCCCGATCGCCGTCTGGTCGATTGCCGTCTGGTCGGACTCCTTGCTGGGGCTGGGGTCAGCGCGGGGCGGGGTGAGCGAGGCAGGGCGGCGCGGCCTGGCGAGGGCAGTCGCCTGCGCACTGAGGTGGTCTGCGAGGTCGGGCAGGGGCTGGCTGGAGGGCGGGGCAGTGGGGAAGCGACTCTGGGCCACGGCCCGGGCACCTCTCGGGAGGCGATCCCTGGCCCCCGCCTGGCTGGTGGGCGGGGCAGTGGGGAAGCGACTCTGGGCCACGGCCTAGGCACCTCTCGGGAGGCGATCCCTGGCCCCAGCCTGTCTCTGCTGGCTTCTCGGGCCGCAGCCTCCGCCCCCGCCCGCTCCAGGCCCTGCCCACCAGGGAGGCGCTGGGCCGGGTTCTCGCTCCCTGCAGCCGGGACACCTTCTCCCGCTACCCACCTGGGCTGCTTGGACTCCGCGTCAGTCCAGGTGGCCTTCAAGGAGACTTTGTTCGCCTGCTGCATGGAGCCACTTGGAGTTGGCTGCGGCCGAGCACCTCTCCCTTCTCCCCTTTCTGAGTGCCAGCTTCCGGAGCCCGCCCGCCGAGCGGTGCTGCCCGCGGAGGCCATCGCGGGGCTGGAACTCGGACCCGGGCCGGGCGGGCTACTCACACACCCGCCGGCGCCCCGCCCCCGGGGGCCACTCCTTGCCAGCTGGCCGCGGTTTCCCGGCCCCTTCCAGGCCGCTAGGGTTCGGCTGCCTCTCTAGCTGGAGGGGCAGAGCCCGGGGGCCTCCGGGGACCCTGCCCGCCTGCCGCTCCCCACCCGCCGCTCTGCTCCCGGTCTGAGCCAAAACCCCCACTCAACCTCCCAGTCCTGCTGCCCGGGAAACTCAGCATCAAACACACAAACAACAAAGACACTTGGCTTTTGTTTCCGATTATCAAACTAATAAGTAGAAAACAGAAATATTCAATGTGGAAATTAAAAATTACCATCCCACCACGCACAGAAATCATGGTTTATTGCAATATATATGCATATCATGACTATTTTTTGTATCTCTTTTCGTTTATTAATAGCATTATATTACGAGCTAGCGCCCATTGTCACTCCACATACTAAACGTACATTATGACGCAACCAGAGCCCAGCGTCATAATGGATGTGCCATTGTTTCACATGTGCTGCCAAGAACGAAATGGCTCAACTCTGGTTGTTTTCTTAGAATGGATTCCTGGGAGTCGAATCACTAGGTGAAAGGGAATGAATATTTTTCAGCTGTCAATATGGGCTTGCAGACTGCCTTCCAGGAAGGTTATTATTCACTTCCACTTCCACCTGCAGTGAAGCGGGTGCGCTGCACATCAGCAGTGTGGCTTTTGGCAAGTTATCTGACTTAGTTTCTGTGGGCGGCAAGCCACCCAGGTGCCAAGGCAAGAGACCGAGGGCACAAGCTGTTCCAGTATAATAAAATATACAAAACAACAAGAGTTATACTAGATCTAGATCTAGATCATAGACGTGATTATATATGAATATCGTTAATCATTAGTTTGTAGCAATTACTCTTTATTCCAATATTGTAATAATCCTCGCTCTATAATCATAACCTAGGAAAAACCAGGCCATAGAGAGATAGGAACCAAAGGGACATAGTGAGAAGTGACCAGAAGACAAGAGTGCGAGCCTTCTGTTATGTCCGGACAGGGCCACCAGAGGGCTCCTTGATCTAGCGGTAATGCCAGCGTCTGGGAAGACGCCGGTTACCAAGTGGACCGTGGTCTGGCGGACCCTGGTCTGGCGGACCGTGGTCTAGCGGTAGCATCAATGCAAAGGAAAAGCACCCGCTACTTAGCAGACCGGGAAAGGGAGTCTCCCTTTCCCAGGGGGAGTTTAGAGAAGACTTTACTCCACCACCTTTTGTGGAGGGCTTGACATCAGTCAGGCCCGCCCACAGTTATCTGGAGGCCTAAACATCTCCCTGTGACGCTGTACTTCAGCGGTCACACTCCTGTTTCACTTTCATGTTCCATCCTGTACATCTGGCTCTGCCTTCTAGATAGCAGTAGCAAAATTAGTGAAAGTACTAAAAGTCTCTGATACACAGAAATAATGGCGTAAGCTGTCCTCTCTCTCTCTCTCTCTCTCCCTCCCCCTGTCCCCGCCCCCACCCCCACCCACCTCGGCTGCCAAGCAGGGAAGGGCCCCCTGTCCGGTGGACACGTGACTCACGTGACCTTATCAATCATTGGAGATGACTCACACTCCTTACCCTGCCCCTTTTGCCTTGTATCCAATAAATAACAGCACAGCCAGGCATTCGGGGCCACTACCGATCTCTGCCCTCTTGGTGGTAGTGGTCCCCCGGGCCCAGCTGTCTTTTCTTTTATCTCTTTGTCTTGTGTCTTTATTTCTACAATCTCTCATCTCCGCACACGGGGAGAAAAACCCACCCACCCTGTGGGGCTGGTCCCTACAAGTTGCTACAGCAGCAAAATGGGGATAATAGCACCTACTTTACAAGGAATGAAGGAATGCAAACAATGAGAACAGTGCTAGCAGAGAAGCACTACCTGTGAATCTGCTATTACTCAAAGAAGAACTATTCAAACCATTGCTAGCATCAGATATTAGGATTTTAAGTAAATGTTCACTAATTTGGTAGTGGAAATGATGTTCTAATGTGGCTCTTTGATTACCAACAAGGGTTAAACATTTAATTATCAGTGGTTTTGTCTTCTAGGAATTCTTTTACTCACATGGTTCTTTGAGGGCCTTAATGTGTTTCTTACTGATCTGTAAAACTTATTAGCATAGTGACCCTTTATGTATGTTATATTTGTTGTCAATATTTTCCTCAGTTTGCCTTTTGACTTTTTAGAATATAGAGTAGCTAAGCAATAACTGTTGCTTGAATCAGTGTTGTCTTACTGAGCCATCCACATTCTCATCCCTTCTCAACAGGAATGACCCCAAGTTTATCAGAAGGCTCCTGTGGCTCCAGGGTCAACTCTGGGCATATCTGACTACATCACTCCACCCCTACCATGGTCTCTCCTCTGTACCCCAGCGTTCCAGGTATTTCCCCTAAGAAAAGGACAGAAGGTCCCCTAAGACCACAGTGACCTGCAGAGAGGGACAAGAATACAGATTATCCACCCAGAATCACGTTTCTCCCTTTCCAGGGTACTGTCTTCTGAGAGCGCACTTGTCTGCCAACCCCAGTAGCCAGGACTCAGCATACCTGGCAAACACCTTCAAAACTAGCAAATCATGCTGGCTATCTGCCCCAGGTAGGGCCTTAGCAACTGGCTTCAAGTTGAGATAAAGTGACAGTGCTTTTCAGGGATACAGTTTGAAGATTTCCTGGGCTATTGTTGCTTCTGGGGTGTTAGGATTCTAATAATTACAACAGGACCCTGTGTATGTGGTGGGGTTGGAGAGAGCATCTCAGTACCTCTCCAAGTTCATCCTCACTATCTTGAACTGGGGTATCTTACATCTCTATACCAGTGTTTTGCAACCCTGGCTGTACAAACACCAATGCAGGGGTCTTACCCCTACAGATTCTGATTAATTCATCTGGTTTGGGGCCTGGGCATTGGTATTTGTAAAGTTCTCCAGGTGATTCTCGTGTGTAGCCAGGGTTGAGAACCACTTTAAGGCCTTTCTGCCTCAGTCAGGGAGGCAAGAGGCTGCAGGTGATTTTGAGGGAGAAGGGTCAATAGAGTAAGGGAGGAAGAAACAGGAAACTAGCAGAGTCCCCGGGGGGAGAGAATGTGTTATCCTAAAGACCCTTGGTCACAGCCATGCAGCTGGGCAAACAGATAACGCCTGGTGGAACAACAGAAGCTGGACCATGAGAAGGGCAGACAGCAGAAAATGCCCAGAGAAGGGTTCAATTTCTTCTTTGGAAGGTGATGGTAAGGGTGTGGCTCCAGATTAACTGGTTCTACAGCTCCAGGCAAGGGAGATGGAAGGCTGAGGGGAGCAGGTCCATCAGGGAGCAGTTGGGGGAGAACCTAGAGAGGCACTGTCTGTACACTCCAGGGCCAGTGCCCAAGGCCAGATGCTCCTCATCTATTCTCTAAACCACCCCAGGATCCTCTTGAAGCTTAAGCTAGTTTAGATTGAGCTTCTGTCACTTTCAACTGAAGCTTGACTAGTAAAAACTCCTGAGGTTAAAGCCTCTATTGGGTAAAAGAATTAGAACCAGTGGGATAGTCCCAGAAAAGAGCTGTGTGGGCTAGGGGCACTGTGAAGACCCAGGGGACATTGGAACCTGGCCCTGTGCTGTCTTCCAGGAGGAGTGGTACACCCCAGAGAAATGGCCAGGTACGTGAAACTAAAGAATCATGCTTGGAGTGCTGAGATCCATTTGTCTGAGCAGGAACACACCCTAAGATGGGCCTAGGCTGTGGAAGCTGACACTTTCACTGTGGCCAGGCAGCGTGCTCGCTCATGAATGGGAGCAGGGTGGGGGAACTTGGCTGTGAGAATTGGGAGTCCTCCAGTGGTGAGTCTGGGTTCTGGCTGTGGTGGTAATGGGGTAGGAAACAGGACTTTCAGAACAGCACCCTGGAGTATCCATTTGGAAGGAAGTGGATAATGCTTTTGGGGGAGAAAGAAAAATTTGAAAGACAGGTTCTAATGGGTGGGAGAGGGAATGTCTGCCTCTTGGGACCAGATTTGGAGGAAGGCAGGTGTCTGGGTGCCCACTATATTGTAGGGGTGGGGAGCTCTGCTCAGGACAGGAACCCTAAAGAACAAGTCATACCCCTTAAATCAGATTTACATTGAGGGAAAAAAGGAGTTCACTACGAGAGCCTATCCAAGTCCCTAAACAAACAAGCAAACAACAAAAACAAGCCCGAGAGGGGGGAAGGGATATCAGAATTCAGAGTTACTACAATATATTTCCTAAAAAGTTTAATTTTCAACAAAAAACCATGAGATATACAAATAAACATGACCCATACATAGGGGGAAAAAAGCAGACAACAGAAACTGCCTATGAAAGAGGCCAGATATCAGATTTAACAGACCAAGACTTCAAACCAGCCATTAAAGCTATGTTTAAAGAACTAAAGGAAACTATGATTTAAAAAAGTAGAAGAAGGTATGGTGACAATTTCTCAACAAATAGAGACTATCGATAAGGTAAACCATTAAAAAATAATCCAATGAATTCTGGAATTGCAGAGTATAATAATTGAAACAAAAAATTCACTAGAGAGGAACAATAGTGGATTTGAACTTGCAGAAGAAACGATCAGCAAACTTGAAGATAGGCAGTAGAGATTATGCAATCCAAAGAACAAAGAGAAAAAAGAATGAAGGAAAACAGAGCCTCAAAAAAAGTCGGGGGGCACCATTAGGCACACCAACATACTCATAATGGGAATTCCAGAAGGAGAGATGAGAGAAAAGAGCAGAGAAAGTAATTGAAGAAGCAATGGCTGAAAATTAGCCAAGTTTGATGAAAAAGATTAATCTACACATTTAAGAAAGCTCAGCAAACTCCAAGTAAGTTAAACACAAATATATCCACACCTAAGCTCATCATACTAAAAATGCTGAGAGACAAAGTTTTCAAAGCAGCAAGAGAAAAAGAACAAATCACATTCAAGGGAACCTCAATAAGATCAATAGCTGAATTCTCATCAGAAACAATGGAGGCCAAAAGGTAATGGGTAACATATTCAAAATGCTGAACAAAAAACAACTCTCAAGAATTTTATATCCAGAAAAGCTATCTTTGAAAATAAAGGCAAAATAAAGACATTGCCTGACAAACAAAAACTCAGAAAATTTGTTGCTAGCATCCCTGCCTTACAAGAATTACTAATGGAAGTTCTTCAGACTAGAAGTAAGTGACCCCACACCATAATCTGAATCTTCACAAAATAAAAACAAAACAAATCCAAAGAGCACTGGTAAAGATGACTATGTAATTACAAAAACAATATAAATGCATATTTCTTCTCCTTCTCTTAACTGACTTAAAAATAAATTGTATAAAACAACATATATGATTGTATTGTTGGGCCTATAATGTATAGAAGTGTAATCTATTTGACAATAACAACAAAAATGAGGTGGGTGGGAGCAAATCTGTATTGGAATAAAGACATAACAGCAGATGGTAACTCATACCCGTGAGAACAAATAACAAGAACCAGAAATAGTATAGAAGATTAATATAATATACTCTATAAATATATATTTACTATCCTTCTCAGCTTCTTTAAATGATATAAAACTATACAAGGCAATATTATAACAATGTATTATTTGCATATTATATATGCGCTATGTATAACAATAGTACAAAAAGTTAGAAAAGGGAATTGAGTAATAGAAGAATAATGTTTCAGTATCTCACTGGAATTAAGTTAGTATAAATCTGAAATAGATTCTGATAAGCTAAAATGAATAGAGTAAGCTCTAGAGTAACCACTAAGAAAACAACTGAAAAAAATAGAATGGAAAATGATTGAAGGAATTAAAATGTTACATAATAAAATATTCACTTAATGCAAAAGAAAGATTAAAGGAGAAACAGAGGAATGAAAAAGACATGACATATACAGAAAATGAAAAGTGATGAAGTCAGAAATAAATAAAACAAAAAGAAAAGAAAAGTAAAATGACAGATGTATATACTACCATATCAGTAATAACACTCAGTCAGACTGGATAAAAGTCAATATTCAACTATATGCTGTCTATGGGAGACATTTTATTTTTTATTTATTTATATTTTTTGTAGTGATAGGGTCTTACTATGTTGCCCAGGCTGATCTCAAACTACTAGCTTCAAGTGATTCTCCCACCTTGGCCTCCAAAAGTGTTGAGATTACAGGCATGAGCCACTGCACCCAGCCCAGAAGACACTTTAGATTCAAAGACACAGGTAGGTTGAAAAGGAAATAGATATATTATGCAAACAGTAAACATAAGAAAGATGAAGTGGCTACACTAATGTCAGACAAAATAGACTTGAACATCAAAACAAAATAAAACCCACAATCAAAGTATGTTACTAGAGATAAAGGAGGACATTTTATAATGAAAACAGGGTCAATCCATCAGAAAGATATAACAATTATAAACATATAAGCACCTAACACCAGAGTCCAAAAATATAGGAAGTAAAAACTGACAGAATTGAAAGAAAAAATAGACAATTCAACAATAATAATTGAAGACGTCAATATCCCACTTTCAGTAATGGATAGAATAAGTACCCAGAAGTACAACAAGGAAGTAGAAGTCTTGAACAATACTATCAACCAACTAAACCTGAAAGACATCTGTTGTACTCTTCATCCAACAACAGCAGAGTATACATTCCTCTCAAGTGCGCGTGAAACATTCTGTAGAATAGACAATATGCTGGACCATAAAACAAGACCCGATAAGTTTAAAATAATTGAAACGTTCTCTGACCACATGGGAATGAAATTAGAAATGAGTAAGAAATTAACTTGAGAAATTCACGAATCCGTGGAAATTAAACAATTCACTCCTAAATAACAAATAGGTCAAAGAAGAAGCCACAAGGAAAATTAGAGACTGCTTTGAGATTGATGAAAATAACAGGGAAAATTAACTAAACTCAAAGTCGGTTTTTATTTTTTATTTATTTATTTTTTTGAGACAGGATCTCACTCTGTCACCCAGGCTGGAGTATAATGGCACAATCTTGGCTCACTGCAGCCTCAACCTCCCAGGCTCAAGTGATCCTCCCACCTCAGCCTCCTCAGTAGCTAGGACTACAGGAACATACCACCATGCCCAGCTAATTTTGTTTAATTTTTTGTAGAAATAAGGTCTCACTATGTTGCCCAGGCTGGTCTCGAACTCCTGGGCTCAAGTGATCCTTCCACCTCGTCCTCCCAAAGTGATGGGATTACAGACATGAGCCACCATGCCTGGCCTCAAAGTTGGTTTTTAAAAAAGGTCAACAAATTTGGCAAACTTGAAGAAATAAGACCTAGTGTTTGATAGATCAGTAGGGTGACTATGGTTTACAACAATCTATTGTACATTTCAAAATATCCAGGAGAGGATAATTTGAGTGTTTCTAGCATAAAGACAAGACAAATATTTAAGGTGATGAATGTCCCAAGTGCGCTGATTTGATCTTTAAAAATTATGTGAATCTATTAAATTATCACATGTACTCTGGAATTATCTACATCTATTATGCATCAGTAAAATAATTATTTTTTAAAAATTGGCAAACCTTTAGCTAGACTGACCAAAAAAAAGAGAGAAGACTAAATTTATTAAAATAAGAGATGAAGGGGGACATTACTATGTACTTTACAGAAATAAAAAGGAGTACAAGGGTATATTATGAACAATTACTTGCCAACAATTTAGATAACTTAGATAACAAGGGAAAAAAATCCCATAATAACACAGCCTACCAAAATGGACTCAGGAAGAAATGGAAAATCTGAATAGACATATAATAATTAAAGATAATCAGTTAGTAGTAGTAGTAGTTAGTAGTAAAAACTGCCGACAGAGAAAAGTCCAAGTCCAGATGTTTGGTGAATTTTACCAAACATTTAAAGAAGAATTAATACAAATTATTCACAAAGTCTTCCCAAAATATAAACGAAAAATGAACAATTTCAACTCATTCTATTAGGCTAGTATTACCCTGCTACTAAAATCAGACAAAGACATCACAAGAAAAAAAAATTACAGACCAATATCTCTTGTGTATATAGATGCAAAAATCCTCCATAAAACACTAGCAAATAATATCCAATAACATATTAAGAAAGATTGTGCACCATGACAAAGGGAACTTATCCCAAGAATATAGGTTTGGTTTGATATCTGAAAATCAATATAATGCACTATATCAATGGAATAAAGGATAAAAAACCACGATCATCTCAGTAGCCAAAAAAAGATCATTTGACAAAATTCTACACCTCTTATTATAAAGCACTCAACAAACTTGGAATAGATTGAACTTCCTCAACTTGATAAAGGAAATCTATGAAAAACCCACAGCTAACATCACGCTTAATGGTGAACAGCTGAATGACTTCCCTTTAAGATCAGGAACAAGACAATGGTGTCCACTCTTGCCACCTCTATTTAACACTGTGCTAGAGGTTCTAGCCAGGGAAATTAGGTAAGGAAATGAAATGAAAGGCATCCAGATTCAAAAGGAATAAGTAATACTATCTCTATAGATTACATGATCTTGTATACTGAAAACCCTAAGGAATTCATTTAAAAACGATTCAAAGTAATAAATTAGTCAGCAAGATTACAGAATACAAGATCAATATCAAAAATCATTTGTATTTCTATACACTAGCAATGAGCAATCTGAAAATGGAATTATGAAAACAATCCCATTTACAATGGCATCAAAAAGCATAACATACTTAGAAATAAATTTAAGAGAAGAACAAAACTTATTCCCTGAAAATTACAAAACTTAGTTGAAAGAAATTAAAGAAGACTGGAATAAATAGAAAGATACTCCCTGTCCATGGATATGGATCAGAAGATTTAATATTGCTAAGATGGCAATACTCCCCGAATCAATCTACAGATTTAATGCAGTCCTCCTCATAATTCAGGTTGGCTTCCTTTTAGAAACTGACAGGTTGATCCTAAAATTCATGTGGAAATTCAAGGGATCCAGAACAGCCAAAACCATCTTGGAAAAGTGGAAGCACATCCACTTCCCAATCAAAACTTATTACAAATCTACAGTAACTAAGAAAGTGTAGTAATAGCATAATAATGGACATATAGATCAATGGAATAAATTTGGAGTCCAGAAATCACCTGTCACATTAATGGTCAACTGATTTTTGCTAAGACAATTCAATGGGAGAAAGAATAGTCTCTCCAAAACATGGGACACTGGAACATCCATATGCAAAAGAATGAAATTGGAACCCTGGCTCACATAATATAAAATATTACAATGGATGAAAGACTTAAATATAACAGTTAAAACCGTAAAACTCGGCCGGGCGCGGTGGCTCACGCCTGTAATCCCAGCACTTTGGGAGGCCGAGGCGGGCGGATCACGAGGTCAGGTGATGCAGACCATCCTGGCTAACACAGTGAAACCCCGTCTCTACTAAAAATACAAAAAATCAGCCGGGCGTGGTGGCAGGCGCCTGCAGTCCCAGCTACTCGGGAGGCTGAGTCAGGAGAATGGTGTGAACCTGGGAGGCGGAGCTTGCAGTGAGCCGAGATGGCACCACTGCACTCCAGCCTGGGCGACAGAGCAAGACTTCGTCTCGAAACAAAACAAAACAAAACAAAACAAAACTGTAAAACTCGGCTGGGCGTGGTGGCTCACACCTGTAATCCAGCACTTTGGGAGGCCAAGGAGGGCGGATCACTTGAGGGCAGGAGTTTGAGACCAGCCTGGGCAACATGGCAAAACCCCGTGTCTACTAAAAGTGCAAAAATTAGCCCGGTGTGGTGGTGCGTGCCTGTAGTCCCAGCTACTCAGGTAGCTGAGACAGGAGAATCACTTGAACCCGGGAGGCAGAGGTTGCAGTGAGCCGAGATCGTGCCACTGCACTCCAGCCTGGGTGACAGAGTGAGACTCCATCTCAAAACAAAAACAAAAAACTCTAAAACTCTTAGAAAAAAACATAAGCATAAATCATTGTGACCTTGGATTAGGCAATAGGTTCTTAGATATGACACCATAAGAAAAAATAAACAAGACATCATCAAAATTAAATTTTTTTTGCTTTAAAGGACATCATCAAGAAAGTGAACAGACAACACACACACAGAATGAGAGAAAATATTTGCAAATCATTGGTAAAGGACTGGAATTGGTATGTCAAATATGTGAACAAGTCTTACAACTCAATAATAGAATGACAACCCAACTTTAAAATGGGCAAAGGATGTGAATAGATATTTCTCCAAAGAAGATATACAAATGATCAATAAACATGGGAAAAGACAGCCAACATCATTCATTGTTAGGAAAATGAAAATCAAAACCACAATGAGATACCACTTTGTACCCACTAATATGGCTATAATAAAAAGGACAGATAATAAGCGTTGCTGAGGATGTGGAGAAATTGGAAACCTCATCCACTGCTTGGGGAAATGGAAAATGGTGCACCCACTTTGGAAAGCAGCTGGCTGTTCTTCAAAACATTAAACTGAGTTACCATCCAACCCAGCAATTCCACTGCTAGTTATCTACCTGAGAGAAATGAAAACATGTCCTCATAACAACTTTCACAGGAATGTTCATAGTAGCATTATGCATAATAGCAAAGAAGTGGAAACAACTCATATGTCCATAAACTGCTGGATAAACAAAAGGTGGTATATCCATTCTGTGAAATATTATTTGGTAATAAAAAGAAATGAAGTACTGATGCATGCATGGATGAACCTTGAAAATATTTTGCTAAGAAGCCAGTCACAAAAGACCACATATTGTATGTTTCCATTTATATGAAATAAAACAGACACATCCATGGACAGAAAGTAGGTTAGTAGTTGCCTAGGGCTGAGGAGTGAATGGATTGTGGGGAGGTGTTGAGAGGTGAAAGCTAAGGGTGTAGGGTTTCTTTTCGTGGTAATGACAGTGTTCTAAAATTGATTGTGGCCATGGATGCACAACTCTGTGACTATACCAAAAACTTAACTCTTACAATTATAAATAAATTGTATGGTATGGGAATTATATTTCAATGAAATTGTTATTAAAAACAACTCTTTGCCCAGCGGACACCCAAACCTTTCCCCAGCGGACACCCAAACCTTTCCCCAAGATGGCTGTAAATTATCTTGGGGTGGGAATGGGGAGGTCCTCCTTTGGTCCTAGCTCTTGATCCAATAATTCTGACGTCATCTACAACACGTTTACCTAGAAATGAAACTCAGCTCTTTGCTGAAGTTCTATCCTCCCAAACCACCCTTCTTTCCCTTCCTAGGAAGCATTCATGATTTCACTGTAGATGGGGCAGGGGAGACAGAGGAGGGATTGATATTACAAAAAAGTTGGCAGCTTTCAAAGGAACATCAGGCAGCCTAATTTATAGAATACTCTTCATCCATTTCTTAACTGGGGATCTTCAGTCTTCTGCACTCATACCCCCCAAGTCCTTCAGGCCCTCTCCCTAGCAACTCTTCTCCCTTCCTGTCTGGAGCAAACCAAATTCTACCTAGCATCTCTCAGGCAGAGCTGTTTAGAGTCACACACATCTTTTGTGGCCTTGGTTGTCCCTTCCAAGGCTCCTGAGCTCATGTTCCACATGAAATTTATCAAGATATTTGTGTGTTTATTTGTTTGTTACTGAGACAGGGGGCGACCCTGTCTCACTCTGCAGCCCAGGCTGGAGTGCAGTGGCGCCATCACGGCTCACTGCAGCCTGACCTCCCAGGCTCAAGTAATCCTCCCGCTTCAGCCTCCTGGGTAGCTGGACTACAGGTGTGTGCCACCTAGGTGATTTTTAAAAATTATTTTAGTAGATACAGGGGTCTCACTATGTTGCCCAGGCTGGTCTTTAACTCCTGGGCTCAAGCAATCAATCCTGTCTCAGCCTCCCAAAGTGCTGGGATTACAGGCTTGAATTATCACACCCAGCCTATCAAGCTATTTCTTTCTTTCTTTTTTCTTTTTCTTTTTTCTTTTTTCTTTTTTTTTTTTTTTGAGACGGAGTCTCACTCTTATTGCCCAAGCTGGAGTGCAATGGTGCAATCTTGGCACACCGCAACCTCTGCCTCCCAGGTTCAAGCGATTCTCCTGCCTCAGCCTCCCATGTAGCTGGGATTACAGGGATGTGCCACCACAGCCGGCTAATTTTTTTTTTTTTTTTTTTGTATTTTTAGTAGAGATGCGGTTTCTCCATATCGGTCAGGCTGGTCTCGAACTCTCGACCTCAAGTGATCCGCCCGCCTCGGCCTCCCAAAGTGCTGGGATTAACAGATGTGAGCCACCGCTCCTGGCCCAAGCTATTTCTTAAGGAAGATAATTATCTCCCTAAGAAAAATTTTATTGTCAACTGTTAAGACATTAATGCAGCTTTTTAAAAATTAATTAATTAATTAATTAATATGAGATGGAGTTTTACTCTGTCGCCCAGGCTGGAGTGCAGTGGCGCGATCTCAGCTCACTGCAACCTCTGCCCCCCGCGTTCAAGTGATTCTCCTTTCTCAACCTCCCTAGTAGCTGGGATTACAGGCGTGCGATATCACACCCAACTAATTTTTTTTGTATTAGTAGAGACGGGGGTTTCGCCATGTTGACCAGGCTGGTCTCGAACTCCGGACCTCAAGTGACCCCCGCCTCGGCCTCCCAAAGTACTTGGATTACAGGCGTGAGCCACCGCGCCGGGCTTAAATTTAATTTTTATTTTTTTTTTTAAGAGACAGAGTCTCGCTATGTTGCCCAGGCTGAAGTGCAGTGGCTATTCCCAGGAACGGTTCTGCTATTGATCAGCACTGGAGTTATGACCTGTTTGGTTTCAGACCTGGACTTGTTCACCCCTCCTTAGGGAACCTAATGGCCCCCGTCTCCGGGAGGTCACCATATTGATGCCCAACTTAGTGTGGACACCATATCAGCATAGCGCACGACAGACCAGAACTCCTGAGCTCAAGCGATCCTCCCGTCTCAGCCTCCAGAGTAGCTGGGACAACAGTCTCAGCATCCGCGTTGGGCTTTTTTTTTTTTTTTTTTTTTTAAATAGGGAGAATAGTTTAATGAACTCCGTGTGCTCATAACCCCAGCCCCCAGCTTCAACAATTATCTTTTCCTTTCATTTTTATCTTTCTTTTGCCAATCTTGTTTTCAACGAAGGTAAATTCATCTCAGTTACTTTTTATTTTTATTTTGTGGGCTTTTAACATAAAAATACAGATGCTCCCGTCAGAGTAAGGCATCGCAACCTTCAGTTCTTCCGCAGCACCGGGAGTCGAGGGGGAGGCATGGAGCGCGGGAAAAGGAATCGAGCGAGGGAAAGGGATGGAGCGTGCGGCGCCCCCACCACCTCGGAGCCAGCGGAGGGCGGAGGGCGGCGCAGAAGCCGCTGGTTGGGGTGGCGAGGGAGGGGAGACCCGGGAGCCGAGGGTAGGTTCCCTGCCGGTGTTGGGGTGCCACGGCGCGCGGGGCTAGAGCGCAGTGTCAGGCGCGAGGTCCTGCAGCGCCCCCTCGCGGGAATAGAACTCGTCGATCACGGCCTGCGGAATGCGCTTCAGCATCTCCTTGGGGAAGATGCGCAGCAGCTTCCAGCCCAGGTCCAGCGACTCGAACACCGAGCGGTTCTCGTAGGGGCCTAGGGACAGAGCGGGAGGGAGTGTTAGGAATGTGTGTGGGGCGGAAGGAGGGTGAAGAGGTTACTGGCTCCACACCAGCGACGCGCCTTACCCTGATTGATGAAGTTCTTCTCAAACTTCTGCAGGAATTCCAGGTAGAGCAGGTCCTCAGAGGTGAGCGCCTCCTCCCCAACTACTGCCTTCATGGCCTGCACGTCCTTCCCGATGGCATAGCAGGCGTACTGGGGGAGGGGCAAGGCGTCGGTGGCCGCTGCGGGCTTACCACGGGAGTCCAGTAGCCCCCAACCTGGCCACACTGGGACCCCGTTCGGAAAGGAATTTTGCCAGGAGAAAAGCTTGTCCTTCAGATGGGGCTCAGGCCTTCAGCTTCGGAAACTAGAGGACCTACCAGCCCCCGGACCCTCTTCTCCTTACCAGCTGGTTGGAGACATCTCCATGGTCCTTTCTTGTCATGCCTTCCCCAATGGCTGACTTCATCAGCCGCGACAGGGAAGGGAGCACGTTGATGGGGGGGTAGATCTGAGGGAGAAGAAAAAGGGAGTGGTGGACAGCAGGACTCAAGCTTTGCTCCCCCTGTCCCCAAATTGTTCTCAGGAGAAGCTCCTCACTTATCCTACATTCCGAGGGGTCAACAGCCACACCCACCCTCTCTTATCTCCCACAAATTCTAGGGCTTGGGCATCAGCTGTCTTATATGTGGCCCTAGACAGAACAGTGGAGGGGGAAGATGACATGGCATTAGTTAATAAAAGGCTCAGTATTTCAAAACTTTTGATAATGTGGACAAAAACCACTTTGAAGCTTAATGGTTAATAGCTGCAAAAAAAAAAAAAAAAAAAAAATACCTGCCAAGCAAAGAGAAAAACGTCATAGAGGTCACCTTTAACCTACACACAGGACAGATGTGTGTTAGTTAGCCGTTGTTTTCTGCCCACCGAAGCAAATAACTGGAAAGGGAAGGCAAATAGTATTGACTATCTGCCAGATGCTTTCTATATGCCAACTTATTTTTATCCTCCACAATGCGTCTGGGTGATATATTTGATTATTCCCATTTTATGGATGAGGAAACCTAGGATCCAAGAGATGAAATTATCTTCTCAAGATCCCAGAGCCAGGTAAACCAGATTCTGCTCAGGCCTGTCTTCTGTCTGTGAACCATGCAGTCTTCCCTGTGGCTGTCTCCTGTTTGGGGTTCGCTTTGGCTGGCCCCTCCTAATTCATGCCTGGGGGCAGTGAAACATCTGTTCCTCAGTGTTTCTCTGGGCTGAGAGCAGGAAGTGGGTAGGGACAGGGCAGTACCTGTCTGTTGTGAAGCTGTCTGTCCACGTAGATCTGTCCCTCTGTGATGAAGCCCGTCAAGTCTGGGATAGGGTGGGTGATATCTACAAGAAAACTCACTGGCCTCAGTGTGGGTGGGGGCCCAGGTCTCCAACCACTCAGGGCCACCTGGGGTCTGTTTCCCTCATGGGAGTGATAGGGATGTGTGGGGGGCATGGATGGTGGAGGAAAGGGCAGTGTCTATCTCGATGGAGGAAAAGCGCTGCTGCACATCTGTGCAAAGCAACGTGGGCCCTTTAAGTATCTGGTTGGAAAAGGGAGGACAGGGGAGCTCTGGAGGGTAGTGGGCTGTGAGGAGGCTACCGTCGTTGGGCATGGTGAGGATGGGGATCTGTGTGATGGATCCTCCCCGACCCTCCACGCGGCCCGCCCGCTCGTAGATGGTGGCCAGGTCTGTGTACATATATCCAGGAAACCCTCGGCGCCCAGGCACCTCCTCTCTAGCAGCAGAGACCTGCAATATCCATGGGCACTGGGGTAAGAAAGGGGATGAGAGGCTGAAGCTAGGAAGGGTGGGTGGGAGGTTCAGTGACCCTGTGAGAAATGGAGTGGGGGGCAGGGGAGGAATGGCCAGGCTGAGACCAAGCCCTGGAACTCATGGGAGTGGGGCAGGCTTGGGTGGACCAGCTCCCCTCTATTTGCAGGGTGACCGTCTGGGGTGTCAGGCTTAGGGAGGGGTAGGGAGGAATCTGACACCCCTTGCTAGCCAGCTTACCTCCCGCAAGGCCTCTGCATAGGAACTCATGTCCGTCAGTATGACCAGCACATGCTTCTCACACTGGTAGGCAAGGAATTCAGCAGTGGTCAGCGCCAGGCGCGGGGTGATGATCCGCTCGATCCTGGAGGTGTAGCCAGGTGTTTAGAGAGCCTGGAGGCCTGGGCTAATGCACCACATAGCCTGGGGGCTGAGCGCAAGGTGAACTGGGAAGCTGGTGTTGTGCATAGTGGCAGAGGAATGGATAAGATGAGCCCTTGCCCCCATCCCCTAGGCCAGGGCCATGGTTCCTGGGAGTAGGCAGACTCCAACACACACCTCGCCTACTGTCCAAGGTAGGAAAGGGGACAGGGGCTGAGGCCAGGAGGCAAGTTGGGTGGGAAAAGCCAGGCAGGGCCAGGAGTGCCTGATGAAGATGAGAGTGGCTTTTGTCCCCTGTGGACCGAAGGGGAAGGACTCTGGCATATCACACTGTAGATGAGTTGGGGGCACCTGCTTTAGCTCTGTCTTATCCTAGGGCACCCACACTTGGGTCAGCTGGAGCACCCTCACTGCATGTCCTCTGGATGGTTTCGTCCCTCTCACTGCTCCTCTCACTGTCCCTTTCACTGCTCAAAGCACACCTAATGTGCTCGTCCCTATGCTTGCCAGCCCTATGAACCCTTCCCACGTGAAGTGCTCCTGAATACCGTACCTCAGCTTCAGACACTCTCAGTTCCCAGCTCTGGAGCTGTGGCTCTTCCCCTTGGGGATGTCACCAAAACCTCCAGAATTCTATTATCTGCTTTCTGGAGTACCCTCCAGAAATACCCAGGATAGTTTATTAGAATTGTTTTCATCCACCTGACCCCCAGATTTAAACTCCCATTTTCTACACTTTTATAATAGCAGTTTGATCTTCTTGGGGTGACTTTGTGGATGTGACACAGAGATGAGGAGCCCTGAGTTGGAATGGTGGCTGGACATGGGTTGTGGGAAGAGCAGAGGGCACAGGCAGCAGACAGAGTCATGTTCTGGCTCCCTCTGCCTGTGAGTTTTCCTAGCCCTTCCCAGGCCTCAGTTTCCCTATCTACACAATGAGGGTTGTTCTCCCAGCTCTGGCGTATGGCTGTAGTTCTGGGATGCCCTGGAGCCCTGGTACTGTAGGTCTTGGAAGGGGACGGGGTCTGCCCACCTGAGGGCAGTTTGGGCATCAGGGAAAGCTCACGTGGGGTCATTGGCCAAGTTCAGGAAGAGGCAGACGTTCCCCATGGTTCCATTCTGCTCAAAGTCAGACTTGAAGAATCTGGCTGTCTCCATGTTCACCTGGATACACAGCAGGGTGGGCTGGAGGTAGGGCCCTGTGGCCTGAGGGCAAGGCCTGGCCCCTCCCAGGTGTCCTCAGGAAAGCCTGTGGACTGACCAGCTACCAGTCGCTGGGGGTGAAGACACCAAGGCCATGGGGTGACCCCGGGGCTGGAAAGGGCAGGCACTGGGTTTGCTGCCCCAGTCCTCATAGGGCCTTGTCAGATCCCCCTGGAGAGGCTGAGACTTCTTTAAGTCCAGCTCTGCTCAGTGCCATCCCTGCCCCTCCTGTCGCCAGCTGCTGCTCTGCCCACCTCCCTGGCCTCCCAGGCCTCCCGTTCCTGAAGCTATCTTTTTTCCCCCAATCCCCTGGCTTCCCCTCCTTCAGGCCACCCAGGGCCCATCCTACCACTGTGATTGCCTTTGGGACACCCTGAGGGACACATGGCCGTGGTCACTGCTCCCATCCTCACCCCTCCTGGCTGGCCGGGACACTGATGGCTTCCCCATCAGATCAGGTCATGCCAGGGGCTGAGGGAGACAGGCTGCCTGCTCACAGCCTCCAGAACTTGCCAGTCTACTAAGTCTCCTCACCCCCATGGCTGCAAAGACGATGGCGAAGTTGTCGTCATGGTAATCCAGCACAGCCTTGGACTTCTTCACCAGCCCCGCCTGGCGGCAGATCTGAGCGGCAATCTAGGGCAGAGTGGATTGGGCAGGAGGACGTCAGAGTCGGAGCTGACCCCTGTCCCACTGAGCACCACTGGCTCATGGCCTTTGGTGGGAGGGATCCAAGCCCAGAGAGGTGAGGGGGCTGCCCCAGGTGCTAGTCTTTCTTGGGGTGGGGGGTGGGAGTTATTGTGGGCTGCTAGTGGGCTGGGGGTGCCTGACACGAGAGGCAGGACAGAGTAACAGTCCCAAAGAGCAACTGCCTCTTTATGGGTCTGGGTACCTTGGCATAGGGCAGCTCCATACCCCTCCACAGCCTGCTGGGGGCGCTATTTGGACACAGAGTTGCCCTGGGCCTGTAGTCTGTGGGCCTCCAAGACACCATGTCCAGAGCTGGGAAGGAAGGGTCACAGTAGGGTGGGGGCACTTATGCCCTCTGATCACTCAGGCCATTTTGAGTGATCAGGGTGCTGGGTGGCTGGAGGAGCATCTAGAGACCTTGTCACACCAGCTGCTCTGAGAGGAAGCGGCTGTTCACTGTTGGTGGTTGAGAGAAGCAGGAGCGGGTGAGTAAAGATGAGTGCAGGGATGGTGGTAGGGGCTGTGAGCTCCCCCAAGCAGGACTTTCTACTCTGGGAGCTCCCCATGGGCTGCCTCATTTGGGGCAGCCTGAAGATTGGACCTGGAGGAAATCTTGTGCAGTCCTGAGTCCCTGAGCTGCCCAGGGACAGCTGCCAGTCTCGATGCTGGCGACCCCAGCCCTGCCAGCCCCTGCCTGCTTGGCACAGGAGCTGTCCTCACTGGTCCAGCAGCCCCAGCCTCTGCTCTGTCCCTCCCCCAGCCATGCCTGCTGGCCCTGCAGGCCTCACCTCATTGTGGGGGAGCCCGGCTGCTGAGAAGATGGGGATCTTCTGGCCGCGGGCAATGCTGTTCATGACGTCAATAGGAGAAATGCCCGTCTGAATCATCTCCTCGGGGTAGATGCGGGAGTGCGGGTTGATGGGCTGGCCTGGGAGAGGGCGATCACAGAGCCATGCTCAGGGGTTCAAACCCTTCCCTGCTCTCCTCGACACTGACCCCAGACTCCAGAGCCGCCCTGTTTGACGGAACTTTCTGTGATGATAGAAACGTGCTCTGGCCGTGCTGCCTGATGTAGCCCTAGATACAAATGGCTATTGAGCACATGACGTGTGACTCTGAAATGGGACTTTCTTTCTGTTTGAATTAGTTTAAATTTAAATAGCCACAGGCCCAGTGCTACCTTGGACAGAGCTGCCCTTGTGCTTTGGAAGTGGCAGGCAGGTGGAAACTCAGGCTGAGGCTTCAGGGCCCAAGAGGGCAGAGCCCTCATCACCACCTCCAGATACTAGTGCAGGGTTCAGAGGGCCTGCGGGTGACTCAGCCTCCTGTCTGAGCAGATGAGTCTTCTGTGCTCTGCCACTGACTTTCTGTGTGGCGTAGGGCAAGCCACGGGCTCCCACAGGCCTCCCAGTGTGTCCTCAGTAAACAGATGGGATAGGGTTTGAGGCCTGGGGAAGGTGCCCACTTGAATGGACGAGAGCCGGCAGAGCACCGCAGCCCATTCTCAGGATTGTGGACAGGAAGCCAAAGGCAGGGGCATGATGGCCTTCGGGCAGGCGTGGAACACTGCCCAATGATGATGGCATTTTACAGGGGATGGACATGGAGTGCTGACGGCAGTGTTGGGGTTCAGTGGAAGATTTGGGGATAGAGAGGCCTTTGCTGCTCTCCCATCACATCTGATCTGCTTGTGAGTCTGGGCAGAACTTCCAAGAGTGGGGAAGGTGTTAGGGCTGGGTCCCGAAGCCATCCAGAACCTCCAGTCACTCACCATTGATATCCAGAAAGTCCTCCGCCATGACCACTGGCCCCTTGTCAATGGGCTTGCCGGAGCCATTGAAAACCCGACCTGAGGGTGGACGAGGAGTGTTGCAGGGTGCTCAGGCTAGCCCTGTGTCCCTCACTACTGTCTACCCTCCACACCACCACCAGCTCCCACCCACTCCCCACAGGAGTGCCCTGTATCCCCCTCCCCGGCAGCCCACAGGTAACCCAGAGAGCCAGCTACAAGGACTGTCCTGTGAGAGTCTTCCTTCCTCTCCTGGAAACCTTTACAGGCAAGGCCTTGGCCCAGGACCATGACTCTAATGGGGGATTCCAGGACTAGAGAGAGGAGAGGGCCAGGCCAGGTCTTGGGAGAGAATTAGGGGATATTCAAGGCTTAGCAGTCCCTTTCAGCCTGGCTCCAAATAGGTGGCTACCTACTGTGTCTCTAGTTTATTGAACCCACCTTCCTCATTTATTGAACACCTGTATGTCAGACCCTGAGCTGGGGTCAGGAATCAGAGAGAAGACATACCCCAGACCTCAAAGAGCCCACCAGAGAGACAGGCAGGAAGTAAACAGGAAGTGACAGTGTAGTGTGCTGAGGGTTTGGTCAGAGAAGCTGGGCTGGGAGGGCAGAGGAGCACCCCCACCCCTGCCCCTCCCTGTCCCTCACCCAGCATGTCCTCTGACACCGGAGTTCGTAGGATGTCCCCTGTAAATTCGCAAGTGGTCTTCCTGGCATCGATCCCTGATGTCCCTTCAAACACCTGTGGGAACAAGAGGGAGTTTCTCCACTAAGGGGCCTGCTGGAGGGAATGGGGCTACCCATTCTGGGCACTTTCTGTGCTCTCAGGGAAATAGACCATTTCCTGCCTTCAGAGTTTGTAGATAGTGTGGGAACTTTATGGGTTAATTCATTGATTTAACTAGCCAATGTCCCATTGACCCCACTCACCTGAACAATCGCCTTGGTGCCAGCCACCTCAAGCACCTGCCCGCTCCTCTGAGTCCCATCTGGGAGGGTGAAGTGGACGATCTCCGCATACTGGGCAAACTGGCAGGAGGGGAGAGCAGCCACGTGACAGTGAGACTGGAGGCAAAGTCCCTTCTCCTCCTCCGGCCCTCCCTGACCCAGTCCCAAACTGTTCTCTCCCCTCTAGTGTCCAGACACTTGTGGAAATGAACTCAAGGGGCTGGGAAGTGAAAGTTTGAATTCTGTTTGGGAGGCAGTTGCACCCACTTCAGAGTTGCAAGACCAGGTTACAGCTGAAACTCTGAAGCTTAGTAGCTGCCTGACCTTGTGGAAGTTACTTTACGATTTCAGTAACTCATTAAATACGTAAGTCATAAGTAATGAGGTTTAGTTTCCTCGTCTTTAAAATGTGGATAATAATAACACCTACTTCCCACGGCTGCTGCAGGGAGGAAATGAGATAACATATGCAGATCCATTAGCATGGTGCCTGGCACTTTGTAAAACCTCAATAAAGATGTAATAATGACTGGGCTGCCTCGGGATCCTGGACAGCATATCTGTTTCTGCCTCTGTGGACTAGGGGTAAACACACTCGCAAAGTGCTTCCCTCTGCTCAGGCGTCCTTCGATACCAGTGGCATGGGACTAGAATTGACTCACGCAGTCCTTCCAGGGATCAAGGATTTTAAAAATCAGGCTAATATCCAGAATATATACAGAACTCAGGCTGGGTGTGGTGGCTCATGCCTGTAATCCCAGCAATTTGGGAGGCCGAGGTGGGCGGATCACTTGAGATCAGGAGTTTGAGACCAGCCTGGGCAACATGGTGAAACCCCGTTTCTACTGAAAATGCTATATATATATATATATATATTGCCAGGTGTGGTGGTGCACACCTGTAGTCCCAGCTACTTGGAAGGATGAGGCAGGAGAATCACTGAACCCAGGAGGCAGAGGTTGCAGTGAGCCGACATCACGCCACTGCACTCCAGCCTGGGTGATAGAGTGAGACTCCATCCAAAAAAAAAAAAAAAAAAGAAGAAGAACTTTTAAACCATAATAATCAAAAGGATTTGATCAAAGGATTTGAAAAAACATTTCTACAAAGACGACATACAAATGGCCAATAGCCACAAGATAAGATACTCAACATCAATAGTTATTAGGGAAACGAAAATCAAAACCACAATGAGATAGATGCCACTTCACACACTCTAGGATGGCTATAATAAAAAAGATAGGCCAGGCAAGGTGGTTCATGCCTGTAATCCCAGCACTTTGGGAGGCTGAGGCATGTGGATCACATAAGGAGTTTGAGATCAGCCTGGGGAACATGGTGAAACCCTGTCTCTACAAAAATACAAAAATTAGCCAGGCATGGTGGCGGGCACCTGCTTGGGAGGCTGAGGCAGGAGAATCCCTTGAGCCAGGAAGGCAGAGGTTGCAGTGAGCCAAGATCATGCAACTGTACTCCAGCCTGGCCAACAGAGAAAGACTCCGTCTCAAAAAAATAAAATAAAATAATAATAACAAGTGTTGAGGATGTGAAGAAATTTGAATGCTCATACAGTGCTGGGAGGAATAGAAAATAGTGCAGCCACTTTGGAAAGCAGTCTGGCAATATTCATAATAGCCAAAAGTGAAAATAACTCAATGTCCATCAACTGATGAATGGATAAACAAAATATGATGTATTCATACAATAGAATATCATTCAGCATTAAAAAGGAAGGGACTGCCCTGGAACCCATGGGGGCAGGCAGCCGGGTCAGGGGGCAGCCCTGGAATGGGGCTATGGCAGTACATGGGGACCCGGCTATGGTGGCTGTGGGGCTAATGAAAAACTTCTCAAGTTCCTTGGGAAGCAAAGGAGGATTTCATAAGAACAAAATGGATGGAGAGGAGAAAACCTATGGTGGCTATGAAGTCCCTGATGCCATGTATGTCAAATTGATATCATCCAATGGTCATGAATGTATTGTAAAAAGAGAACAGGCATCAACACCAGGCACAATAAAAACTATGTTGAATGGCCCAGATCAGTTTGCTGAGAACAAAACCAATGAGGTCAATTTTAGAGAGATTCCTTCACATGTGCTAGTAAAAGTATGCTTGTATTTTGCGAACAAGTTTCACTACAGTAACAGCTCCACCAAGATTCCCGAATTCCCAATAGCACCCGAAATTGTGTTAGAACTGCTGCTGGCTGCCAGCTTCCTAGATTGTGAAAAAAAAAATTATAATAAACTGTTAACTCTTTTCAGTAGTTAATACCCATAATTCAGTTAGTAACTTTTTTCATATATAGTGTGTTGCCTGTATGCAGTTGAATTATATGAAGTTCACTGCAAAGCAGATTTGTTTTTTTGCCTAGCAGAGTTGAAATTTGTTTGCTACATCAACAAATTAAGGACATTTTCACGAATTGAGAAATAAACAAATATGCCAATTCATTAAAAAAAAGAAGCACTGATAGATGCCGCAACATGAATGAACCTTGAAAATATTATGCTAAGTGAAAAAAGTCAGGCACAGCAGGCCACATATTACACAGTTCTATTAATAGAAAATGTCCAGAATAGGCAATTCCATAAAGACAGAAAGTAGATTAGTTGGTGCTCAGGGGCTGGGAGAGGGAGGACTGGAGTGAGGACTAATGGGCATGAGGTTTCTTTTTGAGGTGATGACAATGTTTTGGAATTTTATTATGATGATGTTTGCATAACTGTGAATATACTAAAAGCTACTGAATTAACAGTATGTGAGTTATATTTCAATTTTTATAACACATCAGGGTCCCAGATACTCAGGTAGCTGAGAAAGGAAGATCACTTGAGCCCAGGAGGTCGAACTTGCAATGAGCCATGATCATGCCACTGCATGCCACTGCGTGATCATGTCCCACGTCAGCCTGGGTGACAGAGTGAAACCCTATCTCAGAAAACCAAACCAAACCAAACCAAAAACCAAACCAACAAACCATCAGGCTGTTCCTCCAGGACCACAGGCAGCACATGGGCAGGTAGAGCTTTGCCCCGGGGAATCCCTGAGCTCTGCTGTCTGTGCACGCTCTGGGAGCCACCAAGTCCCAGTCTTTACCCACAGCTAGAGGAGGTCACAGACTTGGCCTGGGAAGCTGGGCTAGCAGAGCACACCATCCCCATTGACACTCATCGTCAGCTGTCATCAGCACCAAGAGATCTAAGCCCCATACCTGCACCTTCTTCCCGGAAAAAGTCCTGGAGCAAACGCATTGCATCCCCTAGGCTCCCTCACCTCACTTCCCAGGTCGCTGATTTACCAGGGAGTAAGCCATAATCATAATCCAACTAAAATTAATGGGGCCAGGCACAGTGGCTCACGCCTGTAATCCCAGCACTTTGGGAGGCTGAGGTGAGAGGATCACTTGAACCTAGGAGGTTGAGATCAGCCTGGGCAACACAGCGAGACCCATCTCTATGAAAAACAAAACCAAACCAAACAAAAACCCAAAACAACAAACAAACAAAATATTGATGGTAAAAAGACAACACTTTCCTCCCAAATTCCTAATATTCTGAGAAATTAAAGCACGCTTCTGAATTACTCCTTGTCATTAGAGGCAATCAAAACTGAAATAACAGATTATCTGGAAAAGAATGAGGAGGTCATGATTTTGTGCCATTACCTATGAAAGATATAAAGCTGTGCCATATTCTCTGACCATAAAAGTAAGTTAGAAATCAATAACAACAGCAAAAAAATGGTTAGAAATACCTCTTACATTTGGAAAGAAAAGCATTCTAGCTATAGAAGCATTTATAATCAGAACTAGAAAACATTTCGCTCCCATAATAGTGAAAAGCTGTATGTCAATATATGTGTGATGCATTCAAAGCTTTAAATGATTATATTAGATAAGAAAAATGTTGAAGAAGCTAAAAGTATGCAATGTGAGAAGTCAGAAAAAAGAACAGCATTAAAACCCCAAAGAAAGTAGAGGAAATAAGAGGAGAAATTATTAAAACAGAAAACAAATATAGAATAGAGAAGACCAACAAAGCCAATTGGTTTTTTGAAAAGCTGAATAAAGTAGACAAATTGCTGGCAACACAGATTAAGAAATAAGAAAGGCATGAATAAATAATTGTTGGGATAAATTCACAACTAGATAAACTGATAATATTAAAAAGATGAACTATGAACAATTTTATGCAACACATTTGAGAAATTAGATAACATGAATAAATATAACTCAAACCAGAACCAACTGAAAATGATATTGAAAGCCAGAATAATCCTGAAATCTTTAAGATATTAAATAGCAATCCCAGATAGTTTTACCAGTGAGTTCTAACAGTCAAGGAATAAATAATTTGAAACTTAAGCTCTTCAAAGCCAGGAAGAGAAGGTACTGTATTTAACTCATTTTATGAGGCAATTATAGCCTTGATACCAAAATAAAATAATTATGGGAAACTTGTAGGCAATCTCACTCGTGAACATGGATGCACAAATCCTAACAAAATATTAACCCAATCTAGCAATGTATAAAAAAGACCAAGTTATAAGCCAAAATAGTAAAGAAAAGAAATGAAGATAAACATATACACATAAACAGAAATTTTAAAAGACCAAGTTGGGATTATTTTAGGGATGTAAGGCTAGTCTAATATGAGAAAATCTATTCATGTAATTCACCTTATTAACAAATTAAAAGATTAAAAACTATGAACACCTAAAAACATTTTGAAAAAAGTCAAAAAAACCCATCCATGATTAAAACCAAAACAAAAAAGAACAAAAGTACTCTTTGAAAACAGGAAATAAAAGGGAAATTTCTTAACTCCAAAAAGAATATCCTCAAAAAACCCTACATAGGCTGGGTGTAGTGGCTCACACCTTTAACCCCAGCATTTTAGGAGGCTGAGGTGGGCAGATCGCTTGAGGTCAGGAGTTTGAGACCAGCCTGGCCAACGTGGTGAAACCCCATCTCTACTAAAAATACAAAATTAGCCAGGTGTGGTAGTGGGTGCCTGTAATCCCAGCTACTGGGGAAGCTGAGGCAGGAGAATCACTTGAACCCAGGAGGCAGAGGTTGCAGTGAGCTGAGATTGCACCACTGCACTGGGTGACAGAGAGGGACCCTGTCTCAACAAAAAACAAACAAACAAACAAACCCTACAGAAAAATATGATATTCAATGATACGATGCATAAAGCATTCCGTTTAAAATTAGGAGCAAAGCAAGAATCCCTGCTATTCTCATTCTATTCAGCCTTGTACGGGAGGAACTAGCTAAGCTAATAAAATAAAATGAATAACAATTAGAAGGAAACAACTACCAAATAGAAAGCCCCCAATTCCCAAATACATTAAAGATAGAGCCAAAAGGAAAACTATAGATCAATATTTCTTATTAATATAGATGCAGAAATAAATTATTAGTCTAATCAAGCAGTGCATTAAATAAACATGTATGACCAAGTAGGATTTAATCCAAGAATGCAAGACTAGAGCAATCAACTTTAGGGAATTTGTCAATATTTGATAACAAAATTCATAATAATAGAGAGTTCGTCAACATAGATTAAAAAAGAATCCTATAAGATTATGTAAATAGAAGCCAAAAGGCTTCTGATAAAATTCAGCATCTGTTTTATGTGTGGTTTTTTTTTTTTTTGAGACAGAGTCTTACTCTGTCCCCCAGGCTGGAATGCAATGGCGAGATCTCGGCTCACTGCAACCTGCGCCTCCCAGGATCAAGCAATTCTCCTTCTTCAGCCTCTCAAGTAGCTGGGATTACAGGTGTGCGCCATCACGCCCGGCTGATTTTTTGTATTTTTAGTAGAGATGGGGTTTCACCATGTTGGCCAGGCTGGTCTCCAACTCCTGACCTCAGGTGATCTGCCCACCTTGGTCTCCCAAAGTGCTGGGATTACAGGCGTGAGCTACTGTGCCTGGCCAAGCATCTGTTTCTAATACAATTCTATATAAAACAGGAATGGAAGGCAACTACTTGAACACTAAACTATTAACCAAAACCAACATCAACATCCTTGTACATGGTAAAATGCTAACGTTACTTTCATTTCCAATGAAAATCAGTAACAGAGATGCCTATATTATAATTGTTACCTAACATTGTTTTGGAAGTTTTTGTTTATACAGTAAGACCAGAAAAAGAAAAAAGAAAATTAAACATAAACAGAGAATGTTCTATTTATTTTTATTTATCTTTTTTTTTTAAGACAGAGTTTCACTCGTTGCCCAGGCTGGAGTGCAATGGTGCGATCTTGGCTCACTGCAACCTCTGCCTCCTGGGTTCAAGCGATTCTCCTACCTCAGCCTCCCAAGTATCTGGGATTACAGGCATGTGCCACCACACCCAGCTAATGTTTTGTATTTTTAGTAGAGATGGGGTTTCTCCATGTTGGTCAGGCTGGTCTCGAACTCCTGACCTGCCTGCCTCGGCGTCCTGAAGTGCTGGGATTACAGGCATGAGCCACCGCGCCTGGCCGAGTGTTCTATTTTTTTAAAGGTGGTGGTTGAAGGTGACTGTATTCTTCAAAAATGTCAAAGAAAGGCTGTGGGAAGTCAAAGAAGGGCTGTGGGAAAATGTTCCAGATTATAGGAAGCTAGACAGACATGACAAATGCAATACCTGACCCTAGACTGGATCCTATACTGGAGTGAAAAAAAAAATGCTACATTCCAATTTATCAGCTTACCCGATATCAGGTAAACTGATAAATTGGAATGTGGATGGTAGATTAAAGTATTGTATCAGTATAAATTTCAGAAGTTGATAGCTCTACTGTAGTTATATAAAAGAATATCTTAATTCTTAGGAAATATACACTGAAGTACTTGAGCTTAGCGTACCCTCAAAAGATTCAGGAAGGCCGGGCGCAGTGGATCATGCCTGTAATCCCTGCACTTTGGGAGGCCGAGGCGGGCAGATCACCTGAGGTCAGAAGTTCGAGACCAGCCTGGTCAAAATGGTGAAACCCTGTCTCTACTAAAAATACAAAAATTAGCCAGGCGTGGTAGAGGGCGCCTGTAATCTCAGCTTCTCGGGAGGCTGAGGCAGAAGAATCGCTTGAACCGGGGAGCTGGAGGTTGCAGTGAGCCAAGATTTTGCCACTGCACTCCAGCCTGGGCAACAAGAGTGAAACTCCGTCTCAAAAAAAAAAAAAAAAAAAAAAAAAAATCAGGAAAAAATTATGCACACACAGTCACACATGGAGAGCAAATGATAGAGCAAATGAGATAATATATTAACCGTTGGTGACATGGATGTTCCTACTACTATTTTTATCTTTGCAAATTTTTATAAAATTGAAATTGTTTCAAAATAAAAAGTAAAGTAAAAGTATACTGACGGAAAAAGAGACATAATTCCCTTTATTTGCAGATTATATTATACATTTAGAAAGACTCAAGAGGTTCTGGTTTAGAAAGAAGGTTTTAGAATGAATAAGATAATTTGGCTGTTTATAAGATAAATATTTAAAAATCATTCCCCCCCTCCTTTTTTTTCTATTTTAGTAGTAACCAGTTAGAAGAGGCAACGGAGAAAACCATCCCATCTGCAATAGGGCCAAAACTCATAAAATAGCTAGAAATAAATATAACAAGAAAGGTACAAAAAAAAATTATGGAATAACATAAAACAAGTCCTAAACAATGAAGAACATTATTGTCTTAATGTTCTTAGTTACTAGCATAAAAACATTAATCCTTTTGAAAAGTATATAAATTTGATCCAACCCTAATGGATTATTGTTTATTTTAAAATTTAATAAAATTATTTTAAAGTTCACATAAATGTCTGAGAATAGCCAAAGTAGTTATGAAAAAGATCAGAGATAGAGGACTTGCCTTTTCAGATATTAAAACTTGTTATAAAGCTACTGAAGTCAAGCAGTAAATTGATATGAGGTAGACAAATGGATCAGTAGGAAAGAAAAAAAGTCCAGAAGGAGATCCCAGATTTTATAGGACTATTATAGAACAAATGTTGTATATTAATTAATTCTCAGAGGGGAAATAATATATAGAACATAAGAGGATATCTAGTTAGAAGATAACCACATCATAAACCCAAATACATTCCAGGCATGTAAAAAAAATTTAAATATAAAGTAAAAACAATTTTTAAAAAATACTGGAAGAGCTTTTCTTCTTTCCTATCTTTCTGAATAATCCAATTAAAAGACAGATGAGCAATGTCTTTAAGCAAGACAAGAAATTCAGAAGGTATAAACAAAAAATATTTGATCATATGAGTATTTCAAACTTCTGTATGGCAGAGACACAATAGATGAAATCTTTGTTTCATTTATTGTTGCAAAAGATAGCCTGTGAGCAATAAACAAGGAGCTCCCGTATGCACAACTTGCTTGGTAGGAAGATTTCACGGAGAAGGAAGCAAAATCAAAATGGTAAACATATGGACAGACACTCAACTTTCCTAGTTATCAGAGAAATGTAAATAAAAGCGAGACAGTACTAGTTTTCATTTATTAGATAGGTAAAACTACAGAGAGAACATATTCAGGGCCAGCAAGGATGTGGGGAAGTGGGTCCTCTCATACCTGGTTGGTGGAAATGTGAATTACCACAACCCTTCTGGGCAAGCCATCTTGCCCCAAATTGTCAATATCTAATTTGAAATAAAAAAGTACTTGAACCAGCAATTCCACTTCTGGGAATCTATCCTATAACCACAAAAGCGTCCGTTTAAAAGGGATACAATATTGTACTATTTGTAATGGCAAAACCTGAGAACATACGAATGTCTGTCAATAATGGGACTATTGAGTAAGTTACAGTACATCCATACTATCGCCTGCTATGCCAGTATCCAAAAGAATGCGTAAAATGTGTATCCGCTGACACTGTCAGTGGATCCACTGTCAGTCCCTTGGCTCTCAAGGGACTGACCCCGAGGTCAACCTCTAACATATTTGCCTGTGTTTGAGCGTATTCAGCAGGGTCTTTCGGGGCTGAGAATAAAGCGGTTAGGGGCAGATAGTTAACTTTACGTGTCTTTCCTCTTTTTCACTAAGTTACAAGGAGCATGTATTATTTTTGCAATTAAAATATAATACATTTTTAGGACATGTTACAGCACAGTGCTGGTGATTATCATCATCATTACTATCGTTATATCACCTACTGGCCACAAACTAGTGACCTTAAGGGCTTGCGGGTTGGGGCGGAGGGTCCAATTCCCCAGCAAGGTGTGACCAAGTAGGGACCACTCCGCCAGGGAACCCCTGCTGGTCGAACTTGAGACTAGGTTTGCAGCCCTGACAATCACACGGAAGGGAGCGCTACCTTGAGTCCTCCCTTGTCCTGTGAAGAGGATGCCAGGAAGGTGACCTGTGGTTCCCCAAACCACCCCTCAGCCTTGCGGAGTGGGGGCTTCAGCACTAGGCCGGCCGGGGAGGAGGGCTCCGAGGTGGGAGGAGCTCCGAACACCCAGGCGTCTTGGGTTCTCAACCACAAGAGGGAGCCCAGGAGCACGGACAGCGAGGGCCTGGGAAACGCGTGGAACACACGTCCCGGCTCGTTTTCCTCTCCCACTCTGATAACCTGTGTTTCGATACGAAACGGGCCCTGCCTCATTATTTGTCATCTCCCTGGAGGTGACGGAGGGCTGTTTCAACCTCAGGGGAAAAGTTGCTGTACAGAACACAGGCCAGAGTGTGCCCCAAAGAAATCAGGCGGTGGAGTGATTTAAAAGTGATCATTTTCTGTAGTCCTAGCTACTCGGGAGGCTGAGGCAGGAAAATCGCTTGAACCCGGGAGAAGAAGGATGCAGTGAGCAGAGATCGTGCCATTGCACTTCAGCCTGGCGACAGAGCAAGACTCCGTCTCAAAAAGAAAAAAAAAAAGTGATCATTTTCATGTGAGTTTATGTGGGTGAGAGAGGGAGGGTGGCAGGAGAGGAGAGTGGAGAGGAGAGTGGTGCGTTCTGTGTCCCTGAAGGACAAAATCAGAGAAAATGAACTTTAAATGGCAGAAATTGTGGTCAGATCTGGGGAAGGGCCATCAGGTTTTCACACTCAGGCATGGAGGGTGTAGTGTCTGGAACCTTTAGGAAGAGCCCCAGGCTCTAAGTGTGTGCTGGATGTTCGTCGTTATTGTTGTTGGTGGTGGGATCTCATGACCAGTTATGGCAGTGGGTACCTGGGAGAATTCCCGTGGGGGATAGCTAGTCCAGGAGCTTGTATCTTAAGGGGCCCTATTTCCCAGCCGCATACTGAGCAGGCCTGATCCCATCAACTCGGTTGATGTCGGTTACTAAGAGGGCTGCAGGAAGAGGGCATGACTCAGTGCAATGTAACCCCGTGCTGGAGATTCAACTGAGCTCTCAACCAGCAAGTGGCCAGGCACAGGGGAGCTGCTGTCTACACACGGAGGACTGGAAGTTCTTAGCAAGCCTGTCGGGATTTGTGCACAGGAATGCTGCCTCTAAGGTCCCTCCTGCTGACAATGGCCAGGGCAGTGCGGAGGCTCCTCTTTGGAAATTGTCTTCAGAGCTGATGCAGACTCTTTTGAAAGCAGCCACAGACATTGGGGATGGAGTCTGGTGGTTAAGGTGAGTGCTTACTCCAATTCTCAAACAGGGACCAATTTGAATCACAGACTACAGGAGTCAGAAGATTCTCTAGAACAGAGGTTCTCCGTGTGGTCCCCATACCAGCAGCATCACCTAGGAACTTGATAGAAATGTACATTCTTGGGCCTCCTACCCCAGGCATGCTGAATCAGAGCTCTGGGGTGGGGCCTAGCAATCTGCCTGTTAACAAGCCCCCTGCACCCCTGATATTCTGATGCTTGTTCAACTTATACAAATCAGAGAGTTAGACTTTTCTGGGTCACGAACCCTGAAAAATCAGACGAAACTGTAGAAACTCCTACCAGAAAAATGCACAGGCACATTCATGCATACCTTCAAAGGTCTGCACACAATTTCAAGGGCCTAATTCCTTGGGCTAAGAACCTCTGATCTACACAAAATTCTTCCCTCAAATGTTCTTACATTTGAGGACGGAAGCAGGAAGAGTAATTGCCTGTGTGATTCAATGTGGGCAGAAGGTGGCGCTGTAGAAACAGAATTGTAGCATTTGCCAAATCCTGGTAGAGGGAAAGGGGTAGGGGCAACGGAGAGGGATGGGGAGAGGTGCCTCCACCACCCAATTATTTTTCTCTGCCAAAGCTACAGATGCATCCGATAGTCGCAAAACCACAGGTCTGGGGACCTAGTTCTGGTTTCCTAGATCGGCCTCATTTTACAGTGGAGAAAATGGACACCTGTATAGGTTCCGACTCCATGCCACACTGGGTCCCATGGAGAATGGCAGGTCTGGTGGAGAGTGTGGTGGAGGTGGAGAGGGGGCAGGAGGTGGCACCAACTGTTGAATCAGGCTTATTAGCATTTCTGCATTCCAGGCAGAAACATTGCTGGCTATTCTCAAGGGAGAATAATACTACATTTGTCTGATGTGAACCTCACAATAATCCTATTATTATTTAATAGATGAGGAAACTGGGATTTACAATCCGAGATTGATGGTTCTCTAACTTGAGCATCAGTTCACCTGGAAGGCTTGTGAGGACAGACTTCTGGGCCCTACCCCCAGAGCTTCTGATTCTGTCAGTCTGAGGTGGAGCCCAAGAATTTGTATTTCTAACACGTTCCTGGGCAGTGCTAATGCTGTTGATCTAGGGTTGGCATGTAGCTAGCAGAAAAGAGTGGGATGGATCTGGGATTAAAATCCAAACCCAGTGTGCTGCACTTAACTACTCAGCCACACTTCCTCCTGGGGCGTCCCTTACACTGGGGGGTCAAGTGGTAATGTCCGTATGAACTCAGAATCTGTTTGTTAGCAAAGAATGGGTCTGATTTATTTAATATTGTTGGCTCAGGTTTTGACAGGTGCATAGCTAGTCATGCTAACATTTATTCATTCATTTATCTCATTAATGTACTCACCTTTCCTTTGAGCAAACATGCTGAGCACCTACTATAGCCTATGTGTTCAGTAAAAATGCTGTGTTGGGCTTCTGGAGCTGAAGATGAACAAAACACAGTTCATGGCCAATAGCAGGGCACGGTGTGTGTGGGGAAGGGTAGGGAGGAGATACATGGCCAGATCTTGACCAAATACCTCAGTGGATGCCACTAATAAAACCACAAAAAGTAGAGAAGAGGGAGAGGCATCCAGGAGAAGGTGACCTCTCAACCCTGGGGATGAGTCAGAGGGAGGGAATAGGGGGAAGTGTAGTCTAGGAGGCAGAGGGAAAAATCTGTGCACAAAATTACAGCTAGCCAGGAGCAATAAGTTCTAGTGTTCTATACCACAATAGGATGACTGTAGTTAACAACTATATATATATATATATATATATATATATATATATATATATCTCTTCAAATAGCCAGAAAGAGGATACTAATATTCCCAACACAAAGAAAGGATGCTGGAGATGATGGATATGCTAATTGCCCTGACCTGATCACTATGCATTATATGTATCAAAACATCACTGTGTACCTCAGGAATATGTACAATTATTGTGTGTCTATTATAAAATGCACAGACACAATCCCCCATTCTTTGTCATTCCTTTCTACATACTCTATCCTCTTGTCCAACTAATTGTGAGAAGGGTTCTTTGCCTAGAACCTATCTCAGAGTCTACAGAGAGAACTCAGGGCTTCTGTGATCTTGAATGGGAAAGTTACATTTTTACATTCATTAACGTTTACGCAAATTTAGTGTTTCCTCTAGTTCTGAATGTAAGGAACAAACCACGGTAGAATTAGCATTTCCACGGTACCTGTGACTTTGTTACCATCAGAAATCACAGATATTTTCATACCACATTACAGTCGTTGCAGGTATCTCAAAATAGTATTTGTGCTCATCACTGCTTTAAAATTATAGCAGTGAAACTGGCGGTGACATCTCGTAATTTAATTTGTTAATAAACATACATTACTGATCACATTTTTAAAAAATGACATGCAAGTGCCCAGAGATCTCAAATGGCAGCCCCATGCAGACACTATTTCAGGTGTTGGTTTCTACACAGGGAAGGGAGAGTGATGAGAGTGAGTGGAAAGGCTTGCAGGCACCCTCATAGAAAAGACCTGTAAGCAGCTGGGCACGGTGGCTCACGCCTGTAATCCCAGCACTTTGGGAGGCCGAGGCGGGCGGATCACCAGGTCAAGAGATCGAGACCATCCTGGCTAACACGGGGAAACCCCGTCTCTGCTAAAAAACAAATAATCAGCTGGGCGTGGTAGCGGGTGCCTGTAGTCCCAGCTACTCGGGAGGCTGAGGCAGGAGAATAGCGTGAACCTGGAGGGCGGAGCTTGCAGTGAGCCGAGATTGCGCCACTGCACTCCAGCCTGGGGGACAGAGTGAGACTCCGTCTCAAAAAAAAAAAAAAAAAAGAAAAGACCTGTAAGCTGAGGGCACTGGAGAGCCCTGGGCAAATTTGATGCAAGGGTCAGGTCTGAAGGGCTGGAGGATGGAGACAGGATAGGAGGGTGCCAGGCTGGGAGCCCAAGGCCATCGCCATCACAAGGTAGCAGTGGGGTGGGAGGGAGCTACAGACATGGGCGCTGGCAGGTGTGGGGTCTGGGACAAGAGGGGTCAAAGGGGCACCGAGACTTCCAGTTTGCTCAGCTAGGAGGTGGGGTGGGAGGCTGAGGGAGTGGGGCTGGTTGGTGGAGGGAGGATAAGAGAGTGATCTTGTACCTTTGCAGGGCTCTTTATGGCTCAAGAATTCCCAACCCCAGGACTCAAGATACTGTCAGTGTCTGCCAGTTTCCCAGGGGCTACAAAATAGCCCACAGCCCACTTACCTTTGGTGGGGCCCACTTCACTTACCACCCATGTTGCTGAGACTGAGATATTCCAAAGGCCTTTGGAGGCCATCAAGATCCCTAGAAAATTTAGTTGGCATTGACTTGCCACCTCCTCCTCTTTCCCGTTAAAAGAAGATCCTGTGAGAGTCGAGGGTGGGGAGAGTCTAGCCCTCGAGGAGGTTAGGTACAGCCGTGCTGTGGTCCAGCCTTCCTCTGAGGAGGTTAGGTACGTCCATGCCACTGATAGGGAAACGGAGGCAGGACAGCTTGTTAGGGATAGTAGGAGGTTTCCCAAGGCCCAGGGCTGGGCCTCCATGGGGTTTTTATGGTTTTTACTGAAAAGGCAGGGAGGAGAAAGCTTGGACGGCTGGGGATACAGCTAGGGAAGGAGAGTGGGAGTGGGTGCCTGGATGGAGAGAACAGAGCAGGCCCTGGGGGCCATGGAGGGAAAGGGTAATTTAGAAGAAATCCTGCAGGGCAGGGGAGAGGCGCCCTGGGATTTGGCCTTAGTGCCAGGGAGGCAGCAGAAGAGTCTTACCTTGACCCGGTCCAGCACCACCAGGGGCCCGTTCACGCTGCACACAGTCCTGTAGGCTGGGGGAGGGGCGGGGGTGAGTAGGGGTCTCACCCCAAACACCCTGCTCACACACACAGAGGCATCCTCTGCCTTCCCTTCCTCTCTCCACACCCCACCTCCTTCCCAGCCTGGGCCGTCAGGGTCATTAGCTGTGACAGGGCCAGCCACCATTGCTGTAAGGGTCATGCCCCTGCCCGCAGGGCCCCTGCTGCTCGGACACCTGCAGGAGGCTGGGGGAGGGCCAGGCAGAGGGCAGAGGCCTCCTCAGAGTCCGCCCCCACCACACAGAGGCCTCTCATCCCTGAGGCTGCTTCCCCTCTGGCTTCAACCCCCACCTCACCCACTCCCTCCTCTCTCACTCCAAGCATTTTCCAAAAGCTCCTGGCCCCCGGCTGTGGCCGAAAAGTGCCCTCCTCTGCCCTCACCAGGACTGCATTTCCCTCCATTCACCCCACACTGATTGAGCAGTGTGTGTGTGTGTGTGTGTATGTGGTGTGTAGGGGGTGCAGACGTCAGTGAGAAAAACCAGACGGGGCCTCTGCTCTCATCACAAGGTTCCTGGACTCCCCAGGCTCACTGGGTGCTCAGCATGGGAGGGGAGGGAGTGAAAAGGCAAGGGAAGGAGGGAAATGCCTGCAGATGTGGCAGCTGCAGAGACCCACACATGGCAAATGAGCTCAGCTTGCATAGGGAATTGGGTTAGATGCCAAAAAATACTTCCTAACTCCCATAGAAGAAGCTGTGGACTTGCGGGAGGCAAGCCTAGTTTTGGTTCTGCTAGAGGCTGGCTGAGAGACCTGGGACAGTCCCTTGCCCATAGTCCTGACCAGTGCCCTTCTCTGAGGTTCTTGTGATGCACCAATGAGATGAGACACCTGAGATGAAGGCATTTGGCAAGGTGGGCAGGGGGTCTGTGAGGCCTCTGGGTCAGCCACAGGCTGGCAGGATGCAGAGGGGAGTGGCCCAACCCCTCTTTCACAGGCAAGGAAAATGGGGCCCAGAAGTGTGAGAAGCCTTGCCCAGGGCCACACAGCACATCTGTAGCAGAGCTGGGGCTGGGAACCCACCCTGTGCTTCTTGCTGGACCACACTGGTTCTCGGTTCACTTACCCTCTTGCTTTGGGCAAGCCTGGCCCCGAGCCACCCCATGCCAAAGAAAAACCAAAAGTCCCTCCCCTTCCCAGTCTGGATATGTGTGGTCAAGCTTCTTCTTTTTGTTTGATCTAAGCTCTTTTCACCAGGACTTGGACTAGGAAGATCAACTGGGCACGGTGATTCTTGCACAGATTTTTATAAGGATCCTCCAAGTGTAACAACCATTTGGAAAACTCCGGGCCTTGAGGACAGCCAGAGAAGATAAGTTCAACTTGCACTTTGCCAGAGCAGGGGATCTCCCTCAGCTCCCTGCCTTCAAACCTACCTTACAGACCTGCCTGGCCTGCACCTGAGCCACCCTCTTCTTCCTTCCTATTCCCACTAAGGAGGTGTCCCTGCTTCCTTCATAGTGGGTCCTTCCCCTGCACCGGGAAACAGGCCCTAGAGATGACTCCATGGGGTGAAGGACCAGAGCCTCCTTGCCTCTCTCTCTGTCTCTCTCTCCCTCTCTTGTCTTCCCATGAAGCTCTGATGTTTCCAGTACAAAATAAACCTCGCTCAGTCCCAGTCCTTCTCCAGTTCCTCCCCTCACAAGCATGGCCCCCCACTGCTGGCTTTCCTTCCCCACCTTCCACCCTCTCCTTGGCCTTCTCCACTCTGGCTTCAGTGGCCTCCGATGGCTACACTCAGAGCCTGGGTGCACTGTCCTTTGGAAGCTTCCCTCTGGGGCCGCCTGTCAGCCTCCTCTGAAGACTCACACTCCTCGCTCTCAGACCTTTGGGTGCTGGAGGACTTCGAGGTTTGGCCTGGCTCTCCACTTCTTCCTCTCCTTTCCTCTGAGATCTGCCTTCTTCCTTCCCTCCCTGCTTCCTTTCTTCAAGCATATCTACTGCATGGATGCCTTCTATGTACTAAGCTAGGCAAATGAAAGTGACAAATGAAAATGTGAAGTGCCTACAGGCTAAAAGAAGGATACAGAGCAAATAACATAATTACAAACTGCAGTGGGTGCTCCTAAGGGAAAGATCAGGATGGGTGAACGAGAGTGGGAGGGAAGACCAGACTGGGTGCGCTTGGAGGAAGCATCTTATGGGAAGGGCCGTTTGAGCTGAGCCTTCAGGGTCAAGGGGTGCCAGCCCCCAGGGAGCTGGGGAAAGGGCACTTCTGGCAGAGGAGAGAAAGGACTCATCCAGGGCCTTCGTGGAACAGAAAGAGGGGCAGTGGGCTGGCATGCACAGGCTCGCTTCAGGTGCAGTAAGACCTGTCACCTCCAGGAGGGCAAGACATCATCTGTGGTGCTCATCGTTGTGTCCCACTTCATGGAATAGTGCTGGGAATATGGTACACACTCAAGAAATATTTGGACAGCTACAGTGGCTCACACCTGTAATCCCAGCACTCTGGGAGGCTGAGGTGGGTGGATCACTTGAGCCCAGGAGTTCGAGACCAGCCTGGGCAATATGGTGAAGCCTCGTCTCTACAGAAAAATTTAAAAATTAGCTGGGCATGGTGGAACGTGCCTGTGGTCCCAGCTCTCAGGAGGCTGAGGTGGGAGGATCACCTGAGCCCAGGGAGGTTGAGGCTGCGGTGAGCTCTGATCATGCTATTATTGCACTCCAGCCTGGGTGACAGAGTAAGATCCTGTCTCAAAAAAAAAAAAAAAAAAGAAAAAGAAAAAGAAAAAAGAAAAAAAGAAGAAAAAGAAATCTTTGTGGATGGATTATGAAAGGTGTTAACTGACCCCATCTGCTCCTTCTCATACTTCCCACATCAGAACCATTGTGTGCCCCCTCCCGACCTTCCCAAGCCTCCAAACCAAATGAGAGTCCCATTGACCAGCCTAAAGGGTTGCACCCCTAGCACCAGCCATACTTCCTGAGAAGGCAGAGAGTAGAAGAGAAAGAGGATGTACTGGGCTAAGGGGCTGTTGGGCATAGGAAGACTCCTCAACGAGAAAGGGTAGGAGACAGAGGCTTGGGCATTACCCTTCCCATCAATTAAAAAAAACTCCAAACAGCCACAGCACTCCCACACCCACATGGTGTTTGGATCAGATTGTCTGGATTGCTAGTGGATTGTGCAAGCAAAGGGATGCAGGGCAGGCAGGAGAGACCCTC
Source organism: Homo sapiens (assembly GCF_000001405.40). Lineage (NCBI taxonomy): Eukaryota > Metazoa > Chordata > Mammalia > Primates > Hominidae > Homo > Homo sapiens. Next base: position 70,940,462 of record NC_000002.12, on the reverse strand, counting down.
ATTTTTATAAGCCCCCGGGAGAGCTGGCATCTTGCATGCCACACCTGCCAAAGGGCTGCGCTGGGGGAAGAAAGCAGTGATGTAAAGATGCAGGGTGGGTGGGCTGGATAGGGAGGTGGGGGTGTGGGAGGGGATGGGGCCCAAGGACCAGAAAAGTCCAGGGAATCATTTCTAATTCCACTGCCTCAGGAGACAAGTCTTTCAACTTCCTCCCTTCCTTCACAGCTGCTCCCCCACTTCACAGCCCCTGTCATGTAGAATCCCCATTAGCCCTGACATCCAGCAACTCCACCTGGGAGTGGGGGCAGCAGCAGAGTGGGGGACAGAGGATTAGGGGATCCACACAGCCCTTCCCTCAGGAGGAAGGGCTGGGCTGGAAGGGGCCTAGAGGCAGCTGCAAAGTGCTTGCTGCAGGTCCTCTGGGAGTCAGATGCCTTCCCCGGCCAGGCCGCTCGGGTGACCGGGGTGAGATATCGAAGCTCAACATCTTAGCACATCAGCCTCAGCTGTGAGTTGCCTTCCTGGGCTTCTCGCAGCCTCCAGGCCTGGCTCTGGGTGAACACATCGCTTCATGGCCTGGACCCATCATTGCAGATAATCCACTTAGGCGGCTGTTTCTGTTCAGCATTGGACTATGCCCATCCTTCAAGGCCTTGCCCTTGACTGACTACTGCAGCCCACTGGGTCCTCTCCCCACTGCTGTCCCACGGTACTACAGACTGGGACCCTAGAGGGATGTCTCTCCCGTCAGATGTCTTAGAGCTCTGCCTCTCCCCTGTTAAGCCAGCCTGATCTTTTCTTCTAGGCTGTTTGGTTTGGACACAGCCAAAATGGGGGCTGAGCAACAGAGGTGTCCTTGACTGCAAGCCGGTCCTTTTGTTTGTACACTGCCGCCCCTACCTCCGTGTGTCCCTTGCATGGAGTGGCAAAACGAGGCCCAGAAAGTGGGCTAGTTTCTGGCAGGACGCACCACAGTTCAAGACGGTATCCTGCAGCGCTCAGCGATTATGGCCCACTCTGCAACCCTGGGATGTTCGCCTTGACCCTGGAGAGGGAAGCGGGTGCATTGCCACAGGCAGAGGGCTGGATCAGAAGACCCAAAGGGCGCTCCTTCCATGGGCCTTCCAGAGACTTTGCAGACACTCCCTCCAGCTGCCCGGCCCACCCCCTCTCCATTGTCTTAGCTGACACTTTGGGTTGCGCTCCGGACTTCTGGCTGGTGGAGCGCCTCCCTGCCCCCACCTCCCTACCGCCTTTTCTGTCAAAGGCTCAGCGGGGCCCCCGCGCGGCCCACTAATTAGCGCTGGCCCAGCCACACCTGCAGCGTCCTGGGAGAGGGCTGAGACAGGCGCCCATGCGTGAGGCCGGGATGGGGGCAAGCCCGGGGCAGCAGGTCCCGCACCTCCTCCCTGATCCCGCTGGAGGGATTAGAGGAGGGAGGGCAGGGGCTGGAAGCTGAGGGCTCTTCAGCCCAAGACCCTGCTTGTTGGGACTCTCTCCGTGTAACTCCTTCCCCTTCCAGTTGAGGAAACCGAGGTGGGGAGGCAAAGACAGTGGTTTGGCACTCAAGCTCCTGGGGGATCTTCAGGGATCTGACCTGGCTTCATCCCTCCAACCAGGCTGCCAGCTTGTCCTTCCTGACCTTTGCTCCTGCTGGGCACCTCCACCCTCCAAGCCCAACATCTTCTGCCCAAACAGATGAAGCTCCAGGATACCTCCTCCCCAGCCGGGAGCCAAGGCCCTTGGGGAACCATTCTAGCTCCACGGGAGGCACAGGGGACCCTTCTTTCCCAAGGTAGATGTTGGCAGGGTCAGCTCCCCAGGCTGCCTCCACTCTTTCTAGTGTCTCCTCCTTTCTAGCCAATCCTCTCTCAGCCACTGCAGTGAAATCAGCCTTAAAGTCTCAGGCCTCTTTAGCCCACCTCCCCCGGGGGAGGGGAATGCCTAAGTCACCTGGACTCACCTCCACCGTGGCCCAGCGAGCACTGGGGCCTCCCTGCCCTTAGGCACCCCCAGCTTTTCTCCCAGAGTTCTCCTGTCTGGGAGTGCTTACAGACCCAGGGTAGGAGGCCAGGCTGGGGAGGAGACAGGTGGAGAGGGACAGAGTGGCCCTGCCTCTGGCGTACTGAGGGTGCAGCCCTAAATTTCCAAACCCTTGCCAGCCCTGCGCCTGTCCACAGGCCCCAGGGAGAACCACCCCCCTCATCCCTCCCACTCCCAGAGCCTGAGGAGGAAGTGAGTGAGGCGGGGAGGGGATTGGGAGACACTGTGGATGAAGGGACACACCAAGGAATCCCAGCCTTCCCCTGGGGGTGGGAGGGCATCTGGGCTGGGCTGAGGCTGGCCCGGTGCATCCTGTGAGGATACTTGATAGGCAGCAAAAGTAAAGGCGCTGGCAGGGAGCAGAGCCTAGAGGGGCTCCCCTGCACTGACCTTTGCTCTGGGTCCACTGTTGGGTTGTTTGGTGTGAACACATTCTCCTGGGTGGAGGCCATATAGAGCCAGCATCGAGGGAAGCATGCAAACATGGGGGGCGGGCACAGCCATCCCTGGGTTCCAGCCTGGGTCAGAACCTCCAGGGCATGTTGACTATACATAAGGGGCTGGGTGGGAAAGAGCTGGCTGGAGGTGGCTCCAGGCTTGGGCCAACCTGCCCAGAGGAGTGTGGGGTTAGATGGTACCTATAGGGTCCCTGGGTATCAGGAGGTGGGGGCACTTTCCAGGAAGAAGGAAAGCAGAGCATGAAGGTGCAGATCACACACCACACTCAGCACCCAGCAACTCCCGGGTGCCTGCAGGGAGGAGGGACGGCCTGCAGGGAGTGGGGCTCATCACAACAGACTGGCAAGAGTCACACATGCCAGCTCAGGGCTCCAGGCCTGGGCTCTGGACCCAAGGGGGCCCAGTCACTGCATATTTCTGGGCCTTGGTGACCCTAGCTTTGGCCTAGGGAGTATCCGGACCTCCTATCCTCCCCCGAGCTCCATGGGGCAGGGCCTACAGGCCTTGCTTGAGAAATCTGACCCACCCCATTCTCACCATTTCTTCTTAGCTGGAATGTGCTCCACCCTCAGCACCTGCCTCAGGCCTCAGGAGGTGCCCCACACCCCAGGGCTCTCCTCCCATGCGCCCCCGGGCCCCTTTACTCTGATTTCACCCCTCAGCTACCCTCTGAGTTCACTCCACCTCCTCTCCTGGCCTGGATAGCAACAGAGGAACAGAGGGAGGTGGGGTGGCTGCATCAGGCTCACTTCCCCTCACACCACACTCCCTGTTAGGAGCCTCTGGCTCTGCATAGCTGTGGCGGGCCATGCTGGTTTACTCCAGTGAGCCTCTGGCTCTGCATAGCTGTGGCGGGCCATGCTGGTTTACTCCAGTGAGCCTCTGGCTTTGCATAGCTGTGGCGGGCCATGCTGGTTTACTCCAGTGAGCAGGGCGGCCTGAGAATTCACCAGGCCAGGGAGAGTGACCTTGGACAAGGAGATGCAGGGGTTCCCTTTGGTCCTCTGGACCTTGCCCCAGACATCTGGGCCACCCTTGCAGGACAGGCACAGGAGCCACAAGTAGGGCCTCCCCTCTGAAATTGACAAGGGTACATCCCAGCACCTGTAGACACTTCCATGCCCCACACCTGGATACGCATTCTTATCCCAGCTGTACACACACTCACCATACTCAGATATGTGACACTGCCAGAACACATACACAAGTGTTCTCTCCATGAGTGCACATGCACACACGTACATCACACCTAAGTGCACACACACACACCTTTGCCCTGAGTGCATAAGCATGCAGTCACACATTTCCTTACCCCAAGTGAAGGTGGGAGCACCCCCTAGGCACATGCTCCTACCTGCTTATGCACACAGGCACCCTCCTCAGAACACACATACGACATGCACCCATTGATGTGACGCACACGGGGCACCTATTTCCTCAGGCTGAGAGCGCTGACACTCTGCACTGCCACACACACCACTCCAAGTACACTTAATCACACCCCGCCTGACTCTGAGTGCTTGGGTGCACACTCCTCACACAGGCACGTTTACACAAGAGCAGGTGCACAGCACACCCCACTCTCAGGGGCAACTGGAAGCTATCTCTGGACTTCGGGTGTTACAGCAGGATTGGGCTGATGACAGCTACTCCCCAGCCCTCTCTTCTGGGGTGGGCTGGGCTGGGGACCTGCAACCCTTCACCTGCAGAGGTGGCCTCTGGTCCAGGTGGCCCCACTGCGTCACTCTGCTGGACAGAGAGCCCTCCAGGTCTCCCCAGGTCTTGGGTCCTCCTCCTTTTCTGAGGCAAGAAGCGGGGCCCGGGAACCTGGCAGCCCACCCCAGCTCCCCACCCTGACCTCACCCGTCACGGTGGAGGGGCTACTCACTGACACGGGGGTGGGTGATGTAGTTTCGGGTGACCGCCTGCATGTGTTCTCGGGCTGCACCTAGGTTGCAGCTACTGCCGGGGAGCCCCCCAGGCCTGCTGTCTATCTCCATGGCCATGGAGCAGTCCCCAGCTGGGAGCCCAGTGTCTGAGCCTGCTGCTGGTGGCAGCTCTGAGACTTCAGGTCCAGCTGGAGCTGGAGAGAGCTGCTCAGCCTTCCCCTGCAGCCACCCCTCCCCTCTCCCCCTCCCCTCCCTCTCCTCCTCCTCTAGGTTGACAGTAAACAAGGAAGCCTGGGGCTCTGGCTCCCAAGCTTTCCCCACACCAAGCTGTGCAGGTCTGGGAGGGGCCCCCGTCACCTGAGAGCTGGAGGATGTGGAGGGAGAAGGGAAGAGGGGAGGGCTGGCTTTTTCCTTCTTCTGTGCTAGGCGGTTCCTCCCCGCCAACCCCAAACTGTATGAATTCAATTCCTCCCCTGGACCATCAGGTGCTGTCAACATTCCCACACTCGTCCCTCACCACAGCTCTTTCTGGTCTCTCCACACCCAACTTCTGGCAGGCTGCCCTTTCTTCACTGTTCTCGCAACCTGACCTTACCCTGCACTCCTTGCCCTGACTATACCTGGATACTTCTGCCCCCTGACAATTCCATCGTCATCTTTTTGAACATCTGTAGAGAATTATTTCCTGGTCAGCCTCAGTGCCATCTCCTACATGAAGCCTTCTCTGGATTCTCTAGCAGCCAAGATTTACTACACATCTAGCCTCTTTCCTAAGTCATGCCCTTTAGGAGAGGCCTCTCTTGTCCCTGCCACTGGGCTGTGAGCCCCCAAAAGCTGAGCCTGTGTCTCAACCCACAGACCTGGGTCTCCTGAAGCCTGTCTGTCTCATACTATTGAGAGTTCTTGAGAATGAGGGCTGGTCTCTCTCCATCTGATCATAGAACCGTGTCTCATCTTCTCACATTCACCTCCAGATTTCTATACAGCAGGCCTGCCCTGACCTTTCCAGCCCAGGTCAGAAAGTAAAATGGAGGTCCCTGTATTGTATAACTAAATACCTGGAGTTATAAATCAAACTATGTGCACAGCCTGGCCTGGGTTCCACCCAAGACCTCACCACTGCTTCCCAAGAACTCTCTCTTCATGTCATGAAACTAAGAGTTGTGGTTTCTCCTGGTGAGTGGAGTGTGGTACAGTTCCTCTGGGCAAGGCAGGGTGGACCCTGGGTGGTAGCTGGACCTGCCCAACCCAAGGTCTTCTAGTCACCCCCATGCCTCATTCTAGGCTCAGGATTTCTGCATTTCTAAGCTCCTCCCCAAACCATACCACTGAGCAGAGGGAACGGCAGAAGTACATTTGCCTAGGGATCACTGTCCCCAAGCACCCACTCCAGGTGACTCAGGACAGCCAATTTGAAACCAAAGCAGCAGCTACTATGTTTCTCAGAGCAGACTGGAGGAGACTGTGCTTGTTATTTCTCTTCACAGAGTCAAAATCTTACCCCGCATCCTCCCTCCTGAGGACCCATTTCAGGTCTCTGGTTCCTAATGCCCATCCTTTCAAAGAACTCTCCTGTGGAGGGCGGGGGTGGGTGTGACCATCAAGGAGCAGCATGAGGAAGATCTCTGTGGTGATGGAACAGGTCTGCATCTGGATTGCAGCAGTGAGTCCATGAATCTATAAAATGACATGGCACTATGCACACACACGGTACCAATGCCAATTTCCTAGTTTTGATATTGTACTATAGTTAGGGAAGATGAAGCCTATCTGTCTCATACTATTGAGTTCCTGCCAATGGAAGGAACTTCTCTGTCCTATCTCTGCAGCTTCCTGTAAATCTATAATTACTGCAAAATAAAAAGTTAAATAAAAGAGTCTTGAGCAAGACTCTTATTTAACTTTAAAAAAATTTATATTGTTTGAGCAATATGAAATATATATAATATGTATGTGTGTGTGTGTGTGTGTGTGTGTGTATATATATATATATATTTTTTTTTTTTTTTGAGTCAGAGTCTCCCTCTGTTGTCAGGCTGAAATGCAGAGGCATGATCTTGGCTCACTGCAGCCTCCACCTCCTGGGTTCAAGCGATTCTCCTGCTTCAGCCTCCTGAGTGGCTGAGATTACAGGCGCCCGCCACCATGCCCAGCTAATTTTTGTATTTTGAGTAGAGATGGAGTTTCCCCATGTTGGCCAGGCTGTGTATAGATATTTTAAAGGGTTTCATGTTGCAGTTTGTGATGGGTAGGCCGTCTCTAAACATCTGGACTCTTGCTTGTGTTTAGCTTTGATGCTCTCTCTCCCTCTCTCTCAACCTGGTCTCCCCTTTCACCATTCACCCTCTTCAAGGTGACAATGTTTCCCTCTCTCAAGTATTTTTATGTTTGAAAGAGAGCTTGTAAAGGGCAACATTTAACCAAAGAATTCGTGTTGGTGCCATGGGCTTCTATTGAGTGGGAATCAGGTGCCTGCTGACCGACACATGTGAGTCCCCTGACCCCCAGAATCCCAGTTTCTGCCCTCTCCCATCTGAGGTCCCTCTGACTCTAAGCCCATTTTCCCTTCCAGTGACAAGAGGGATAGAAGGGATTGAGGGGTAAGTAGTTGTGCTGTGGGCACCATTTCCCTTCTTGTCATTGTTTTCCTTTTATTTCAGTGAGAGACACACACACTCACACTGCACTCACGCACACAAGCTGCGGGACCAAGGCCATTTGGTCACGAGTCTCTGAGCTGGGGGGCAGGTGGGGAAGAGTGTGTGGCTGCAGCCCCTCCTCTCCGGGGCCTGCTCAGTGCTGTCCGCTGGGGCACAGGAGACTGGGAAGGTGCTGTGCTCGGGACTCAGTGTCACAGGGTGGGAGTCTTAAGTGTTAGCTTTCTTGCAGCTGCTGGCGCTGCCCACTTTCCGTTCTAGCCAGCTGTATGGCTCGAAGGCCGAGGAACCCAGTTCGTAGCCGGCAGGCAGATCCAGGAGCGGGGCCGAGGAAAAGCAGACAGCTGGCAGAGGGGGCGGCAGTGGGGGGGACGCTGAGGCCGAGGACAGCGGGTTGAGGCGTGGGGAGGAGTTCCTGGGGTCACCTAAGGAGGTGCCCCTGTGGCTGGCAGGTAGGCCTGGCAGGCTAGGGGTCAGCGCCAGGAGGCTAGGGGCCCTGGGCACAGAGAGCAGCCGGCCCTGCTCCAGCAGCCGCAGAATGTTGGAGGTGGCAAAGGCCTCGGAGGCTGAGGAGGACGCCCGCTTCTCCAGGTCTCTGCTCTGGTCTTTCTTCTGCTTGGTGCGGCGGTTCTGGAACCAGACCTTCACCTTGGGGTGGGGGAGGGGGTGTCAAGGAGGGAGATGGGACAGGCAAAGCAAAGTGGGGGCAGGTGGGAGGAGGAAAGGAGAGGAAGGGCATGGGGTTGGGGCAGGTGGTGGATGGGGGTGGGGGTGGGGTGTGAGGGTGGAGCAAGAGGGAAAGAAGAGCAGATTGTTGTTAAGGTCTCCCCACAACCATCCTGCTGTAGGCGAACTGATTAGGGACTCTGGTCCCCCAAATTATGGAGGCCCCTCTACTACTAAACTGACTCTGGCCTAGGATGGAGGAATGGATCGACAGACAGAGAATGGAGTTTGGGAGTACAACTGATGTTCTCCTCTTGGCCCACATGCCCTTGGCTCAAAGTCAAGTTCACAGCCTCAGCCACCATTTATGTGCTGGTAATTCCAACTCTACCTCAGGCCCAGAGATCTGAACTGAGATCCAGGCCATGTATCCACCTGCCTGCTAGACATCTCCCCATGGATATCTCAAAAAACACCCCAAACCCCACATGTGCAGCTCTGTCCTCCAAACAGAGGCTTCCCACGCTCCCTCTTCCATCATGGCTGCCTCCACTCACTCATGCAGGAGCCTGTCTCCCAGCTGCCTAGAACAGACCCTCCTCTCTCCCTTTGTTCTCTCTGACCTGGACCGTGGCATTGTCTCTACAGCAGCACCTCTCGACCCTGGCTGCCCATGAGAACCTGGGGAGCTTTAAGCCCCTAACTCACTTCTCACCTTGGACCAATAAACTCAGAACGGGGGAACCTGGGACCCAGACTTTAGTAGTTTTTAAAGCTCACCAGGTGATTCCAAGGTGAAGAAGCCAGTGTTTTAAAGGTGTCTCTGCCCCAGGTCTAAACTGTAACATCTAGAGGGCTGGGGCAAGAGAAAAAATGGAAGCCTCTGGCTCATGGCCCACCCTGGCTCTGACCCACACGTGTGTGGCTGCCCCAGCCTGTTCACAGTCTGCAAATAGCCCCCCATTGGCCGCTTCTTGGGCCTGGAGTGCTGAATAATGTCTGTGGTCTGCCCTTGGGAAGACTGACCCTGGAGAGGCCCAGGCAGGTGCCGGATGTGGCTCAGGGCCATTTGGCGGGGAATTCTGAAACTGGACACTTTGTTGGCAGGGATGGGTGGTCTCAAAGGTGGGCACAGGCTTCTGGCAGGCGAGACCCCTTGGCTTTGCAGAGTCCTCATTCCGTAGGGAGGGGCATGACCAGAGGAGGGGCCAGATGCCTGTCTGGGGATGGTGAGGTCTCTGCATCCATGCTGGCCGCCACGCTGCCTTTGGAGGGAGCTCTTTCTAACCCAATCTGGCCATTGCCCGGTTTGAAGTTTTTAGCAGCACCCTCCTACCCCATCACCTATAAAGGCCAAGTTTCTCAATGTGACACCAAGTGTGACTGGATGTGGCAGGTTGTTGAGGGGGACTTCTGTTGGCCACACATTCAAAGCTGAGGACAAAGAGGTGCCACAGTCTGAAGAAAGTCACCAGAATCATGGAAGAGGTCTTTTTCAGGGCCTCTGAGAGGAGGCAGAACTGGCCCTGCCTCTACTACCCAACACCCAGTGCTCCAAACCCCTTCCTACTCTACATGAGGAAAGGGAACTGGGCAGGAAGCTGAGGCTCAGTCCCCTGGGGGCCACAAAACCTCATGGGAGGAAGGGTGTGCTGCCCTGCAGATGCAAGTTGGGGGAGGGCCCAAAAGAATCACTTGTAGGCACTAGAAGGAGAGACTGGCATTCATGCCCCACTCCAGAAACTCATCAGGCCACAGCATCTACAGGCCCATGTCATGGAGGCCACCATGGGAGCACCCAGACTTGTTTCCCTGGGAACATAGAGGCCAACCCTGCTCCTCGCCTGGAGCTGGGGCAGGTGTACCGGCAGGGAGGGTGAGAACCGTGGAGGGGAGGGCCCAATAAGAAAAGGTCAGGAAGACCTTGCTGGTTCCTTCCAGCTTTTGGAAGATTTAATAGTCCAGCAACTGCTGTGGTTTTGAGAAGTTGCCAAGAGATGGGTGGAGGAGAAGGCTTGAGCCAGAGGGCTGCCCAGGTTAAGAAGACAGGCAGAGCCAAGACAGACTGGGCCACCTGGGCCATGCCAGACATCACCACCTGCTAGGAGTGACTGGCCCTTCAGCAAAGGCCTTCAGAAAGTGAGGCCTTGGTGCTTCCCCTCCTCACACCAGAAGATGTCCAGTCTTTTAAAAAGATCTCTGCCTCCTTGAAGCCACCCCCTGTCGTCTGATCCTGGAGGAGGTGGCTGTTGGGGGAAGAGGGAGCAAGTGACTGAGACAGATCACAATCCCCTCCAGAGGCTGCACTGGGAGGAGGTAAAGAGTGGGCAGGGGTCCTTTTGTAGTTCTTCAGCAGGATGACTGGGTGTTCATGCTCCTATGTGAGATGTGCTTTCCTCAAACCTCAAACCTTGCTGGCAAGCAGTGAGTCAAGGCTGTTCTGAGTGGGGAAGCAGGTGTGGGGCTTCAGGAGAAGATGAGATTTAAACTAGATGTGAGTTGGTGTTTTGAAGGACATTGGATTGAGTTTATTTCTTTATTTTTGTTTTTAGAGACAAAGTGTTGGTTTTCTGCCTGGGCTGCAGTACACTAGTGTCATGAGAGCTCACTGCAGCCTCAAAATCCTGGCCTCAAGTGATCCTCTTGCCTCAGCCTCCCAAGTTCTGGGACTACAGGTGCACACCACCGCACCTGGCGGATGCAGATTCAATAATCAAAAGTGACCAGAAAGTTATGAGACCTACTTGAGGTTGATTGCTTCATTTATCCATTCATTCACTCACCAGATATACATTGAGGCCCAGGGAATCAGCAGTGAACAAAGCCCAGTGAATCCTTGCCACGTGGAGTGGGCGGTGGAGTTGGGGAGGCAGAGGATGAACAACAAACACAAACAAGCCTGTCTGTCAATTGGCAGCAAGGGCTTTGAGCCGTGTTTCTCAAATGATTTGAGGTGAGGACCACTTTATAAAGTGTCCAATTTTGTTGAGGACCAATACTTTAAAAAATACAATTAAAATGAATTACTGGAAAGATTGCTATATACATTGTTTTTTTTTTTTGAGATGGAGTCTCACTCTGTAGCCCAGGCTGGAGTGCAGTGGCATGATCTCGGCTCACTGCAACTTCCACCTCCGGGGTTCAAGTGAGTCTCCTGCCTCAGCCTCCTGAGTAGCTGGGATTATAGGCGTGTGCCATCACACCCAACTAATTTTTGTATTTTTGCTAGAGACAGGGTTTCACCATGTTGGCCAGGCTGGTCTCGAACTCCTGACCTCGTGATCTGCCCACCTCGGCCTCCTAAAGTGCTGGGATTACAGGCATGAGCCACCGCTCCAGGCCTTTTCTAAATACCTATTCTTTATTTCTATACTTACCATGTCATAGACAGGTAACAGTTTATGGGCTGGCAGTGGCCCAAGGGCCATACTCTGGGGGGCACTGCTTTAGAGAAAGGTGGCAGGATAGCAGAAAGGAAGGAGGGGGGTGACTGTTTTGTTAATGGAATGGCACATACAGCCTCCCTGAAGAGGGGACATTTGAAGAAGATATCAGTAAGGGATGGTCAAGGAAGATTCAGCCAAGTCTAGCTGAAGGCAATGACTGGAAAGAAGAAAACCCTTTCCCATTTGTCACCTCTGGAATCTGACTGCTGAGGGAAGGAGTCTCACCAGATCCTCAAGGACCATAGCGCTGCACACTGCTGCATTCCCCCTCCCTGCTGGGAAGCTTCCTGACCTCTTAGCCAAGCCAGCACCTCCCCGTCCTAGGACCTGAGGCCAGGCCACCTCCAGGAACCCCTGAGCCTCAGTGTCTTATCTTTAAAATGGGGACAATAATACTTGGCTATTGCAGAGATGAAAGAAGAAAACCCATTTAGGGAGCTTGGCATCACGCCTGGCCCACAGGAAATGTGAATAGTTATTTATCGCTGGCTTTCTCTGTTTCTAGCTCTGTTTCTGAACTAGAGGGAGAGGAGACACAGATGTCATGACTCCAGTCCTTGGGAAGCTGAGGGTCTAGTGGGGGAGTGGCACTAACTCATTCCCAAAAAACAGAGGGCAATTCGTACTCAGGGAGTGGCAGTAATGGGGTGTGACAGATGAGGAATGACCAGGCATTTACAAGGTGCTCTCCCACATATCCCATCTTCCTGCAGCTCTGGGTGTAGCAAGGAGAGGCGGGTGTGGGCTGGTGCTGGGTTTGGGCGTCTCCTGAGAAGGTGAGCCTGGACCCTAGGAGAGGAGAAGTCAGAGGCAGATGGAGCAGGGGCTGGGACCAGGGGTGCTTGTTTCTTGGCCACATATGGGCTAGGTCAGGAATTCTCAACCTTGGCCGCACACTGGAATTTTCTGGGATGATGTCCGGGCCTCATGCCTCACCCATATTAAATCAGAATCTCTAGGGAATGGGGCTGAGGCCTGGGTATTCTTCTAAAGCTCTGTGGGTGAATCTAATGTGCTTCCCAGCATTGCAAACTTCAAGGGTGAGAGTAAGAAGGGTCAACTCTCTACTTCCCACCATCAAGCCCATCAGGCCCACCAAGCCTATCAGGCCCTTCAGGCCCTAGCGGGTAGGTTCACAGGGCCCTGCAAATGTTGTCTCTCTGTCTTTCTGAAGAACAGACAGGCTCAGAGCCCTCTGAATGTGTCCCTCCTGCCCCAGGAAACCTTCATTTCCATCTCAGGTTCATCCTCTTCTCAAGGTTAAATCCAAAGTGATCGGTCCTTATCCACTTCTGGGAAACCATTCCTAGCCGACTTCACAGGGTGGCGGGGCCAGCACACCTCCGCAGCTGTGCCTCTCCCCTCACCTGCCCAGTGCACCTTCTGGGCTGTCTCCCTCCTCTGTTTTCTCAGGGTCCTGTGTGGCCTCCTGGAGGCTGCCATCTTGACTCCCTGGGACTCAGTGAGTGCTTGGTGGCTGCCCCGCCCCCCTCCGCGATCTCTTGCTGGGCCACACTGTGACCCATGGCACTGCCCCCTCCCTGATTTCTTTCTGGGCCACACTGTGATCCATGGCCGCGCACCAGGAGATGGGCACAGTTTCCACTTGGCTGCCAGGACTACAGAGGAATTTTCCAGGAGATTATCCACCAGCTTCTTTGGGCTCATGGTCAATATCAAATTCCAGGATTCATTGTTGATCTGGAAATGGCATTCATCTTTTGAAGACTGTTTTCTGTGACCATGGGCCCATACTTAATCTGAGGTGAGTGGTATCTGTGTATCTAGGATGGCTTGGTTTTTGTAATCTGCACTAGGAAGGTACCATCTATCGTGCTGTTCTGGAAGAAGCCATCTGAGGCAGAGGCATCAAGCATGAGGCTGAGGACAATGCTGAAGGGCTGGAGCAGCTCTTACCCAAGCTAGGTGGGCATCCCGGGGGGATATTGGGACTTGGCAGTTTGTTCTCCACCTGGCTCCTGGGCTCCTGGCCCTGAGAACGTCCTCCAGCCCAGCTGCAGGAGGGGAGTCCTGAGCCAGCTTCTCATCTTCCTTTCCTCTGCAGCCACATCCTCTTATGTCCTACTTGGACCCTGGTACTCTGGTCATTCATTCAGGCAACACAGAAATATCAAGCATTTGATGCAAGCCAGGCATTGCCAGGTGCTGAAAAAACAAAAATAAATAAAACTCCATTTTGACCCTCTTGGCTGTCAGACACTAGCAGGGTGGGTCATGGGCAAGCAGTAAGTGTTACAACACGGTAAGTGTTTTGGTTGAAGTAGCAAACAATATAGTGGAGGAGACAATATATAGTAGCAAACTATCGTGGAGAATCAGAGGTCAGACAGCCACTGATTCAATTCTGGTTCCCTTAACTAGCTAGATGACTTAAGTCAAGTTACTTAACTTCTTGGAGCCTCAGTTTCCCCACCAGTAAAATGGGGTTCTTAACTCTTCCTCATAGTTTTGTTGTGATGACTCGGTGGGCTAATAATCACAGACTTATTAAAGTGCTGGCAGTTGATGAAGTCTTTTAAGCAACATGGTGATCACATCATCTGGTCAGATTTGCTCACTTTTCCATAAGCCAGTGATTCTCAGACATCACTGTGCATTAAATCACCTGGAACAAAAAATATATAGGTTGTGGGGTCTTCCCTAGAAATCTGACTGGGAACCTCTGGGCTGAGGGTGGCACAGGCATCTGTATTTTACCCCAGGGGAGCTGTACGTACAGCTGGTCTCCAGAGCATACCTTGAGAAATGCTGCTTTAATCAAACACCAAACTTTCTTTTTCAAACAAAGCATGGTGACAAGGTGTATCAGAAGGTTTCTAAAACCAAGGAGAACTGGACTAAGTGGGGCTGTCCATGTTCTCTGACATGAGAAGAACTTTCAGTGTATGCTACCCTTGGGCTGACAAAGGTGGGCAGAGGGTTCTTTTGATAGTCTTGAGAGAGAGATTCCTCTGAGGCTGCCCCTGCTCTCCAGGGCAGCCATGCTTAGCCTCTGTTGCACAGCCATGGAGTCTGGGCAAGGCCGGGACAGAGGTCAGCTGCACTGTGTCTTGTTCACTGTTCCTACTCTGGTGGACCCTTTGTCCTGTAGAGCCCTGTGAGTGGTGGAGAGCCAAGGAAAGGGCTTCGCCATTCTGCCTGCCCAATCCTGTAAGTGGGTTTCAGATTTAAATCTGCAGACAACTGAGCTGAATTGGGCATGCTAGATTAAAGAAGAGACTAGCCATGGAAATGGGCCCTGAGCAAGCTCTGTGTTTTCTCTGCCTGAATTGGGACCATGCCTGGGTCCTCTGAGTATCCAGGGAAGAAGGTAGAGATGCTATTTGGCAGAAGGAAGAGAAGAGAAAAAAGAGAGGAGAAGAGATAAAAAGAGAGGAGAGGAGAGGAAGAAACAGAGAGAGAAGCAGATATTTTGGAGAGCAGTTGGAGCACATACTCAGCAGAGCACTGGGAGGAAGTTCTGTGAGTAGCTGGTGCTGAATCCCTCGGGCCCAAAAGAGCCTTTGGCTTCCAGTCTCTTCCAATTCCTGGCTACACCATGGTTCCTGTTATTGAATTTCAACAAGGCTATGGCTTCTGTTTTTAATCCCTGGGGAGTCCATCCATTATCTGAGGGCACTTGAAGGAATTTCTTATCTTTTCCCCCAAAAGAGCTCTGACAGAGACTCTCAGATAACTTAAACCAGAGAAAAACCAGCCCTCCCCCCAAAATCTGACATGCTTTCTTGACATCTCCGCTGGGATCTCAAACTTAACTGATCCAAAACAAAATTCTTGATTATGCTCCCACCATCTTGCTTCTCCCCCAGTTTCTCAACTCATTATATGGTGTCACCATTCTCCCAGTTGTTCTACCCAAACCACTTCCTTTCCCTTGCCCTGGGCGTATAATCCATGAGCAAGTCCTAATATGTTCCAGCACTAAATTAGAGTGCCTCTCACATTAGTACGCTTCTCTCCTCCACCACTGCTCTGTTCAGGACCCATGTCAGTAGTTCCTACCTGTCCACACCTGTCCACTCCTTTCCCCTGTGGGTCCCTTCCCCAAGTGGCAGCCAGAGAACCTCTGTAAAATGCCAATCATCTCCTGTCACTTTCTCTTCAATGTATTACCATAGTCTCTAAGCATCGCATGATCCTCCCCTACCTACTTACCCAATTACCCTGTAGCTCCAGCCACTCTGGCCTTCTGATACTTCTAGAACATTCTATGCCAATTCCTGCCCCTCACGTCTTCATAGTTACCGTCTGCCTTGACGTCTCCTTCTGGCTCCTCATCTGGCTGTTTCTCCCTTGCCACTCAGGCCTAAGCTCAACGTCATCTTCTCAAAGAGGCCTTCCCTGAACACCCCAGTAAAACACTTCCTTTTAGTCTCTCTCCTATGACCCCATTTGAGCTCCCTCACAACACTCATCACTCCTGGAAATGCGGTTTGTCTTTGTCTCTGTGGATCTTAGCTGCACGAGGGCAGATGCCTGGTCTGTTTTGTTCTAAGCCAAAGCCCAAGTGCCTAGAAGAGTACCTGCTATATAGTAGGTATTCAATAATATTTTTGAACAAAATTATGGGTGAACATACTGAGAATGCCACAGAATTCTAGCTACAAGTTAGTTAACCTCTCTGAGGCTCAGTTTGCTTAAATGGGGATAATAGTACCCATAAAGCCATCTTCATGGGTACTATTACCCATGAATGCACCCGCTGCAAGTCTTGAGCAAGTTATCTATTTAACTTTTCTATGCCTCAGTTTCCTTCTATTTAAAGTGGAAACAATATACTCTTATTGGCTGGGCATGGTGGCTCACACCTATAATCCCAGCACTTTGGAAGGCCGAGGAGGGAGGATTACTTGAGACCAGGAGTTCCAGGCCAGCCTAGGAAACAAAGCGAGACCCCGTCTCTACAGTAAACATAAATAAATAAATAAATAAATAAGACTTACTGTTGTATGCTAATGAGGTGATTCAGGGTGGATCTCTAGGTAGTTTCAGGACTGGGGCTGGTTCTAGAAAGACCATACTTGTGATTAGAGGGTAGAAACTTTCAGCCGCCCCCATTCTTTCCTTCTAGGGAGGGGAGGGGAATGGAGATTGGATTATAGTCTTTTTTTGTTTGTTTTTGAGATAGAGTCTTGCTCTGTCATCCAGGCTGGAGTGCAGTGAAGCTAACATGGCTCACTGTAGCCTTGACCTCCTGGGCTCAAACAATCCTCCCACCTCAGCCTCCCAAGTAGCTGGGACTACAGGTGTGTGCCACCACACCCTGCAGTTTACAGTGTAAACTGTAAAAAATGTTTTAAAAAACTTTTTTTAGAGATAAGGTCTCCCTCTGCTGCCAAGGCTGGTCTTGAACTCCTGGACTCCTGAGCAATCCTCCCTCCTTGGCCTCCCAAAGTGCTGGGATTGCAGGCGTGAGCCACTGTGCCAGGCCGGCCTGGATTTAGTCTTGAACAAGGAGACCAGGAGAACTTCTGGTTGGCGAACACGTGGAAGTGCTGGGAATGGGGGCACTGGAAACGGCATGGGAGCTCCACGCACCTCCCCCTTACCTTGCCCTTTGTGTCTCTTCCATCTGGCTCTTCCTCACTCGTGTCATTTATAATAAACCAGCAAGTGTAGGGGAGGTGTTTCCTGAGTTGTGTGCGTCATTCTAGTGAATTGTCAAACCTGCAGAGGGCGATGTGGGAGCCCCCGGTTTTAGGCCAGTCCATTCAGAAGCACAGGTGGCTCCTGGAACTTGAGTCTGCTGTGGCACTGTCTTGTGGGACAGAGCCCTTAACTTGTAGGGTCTGTGCTAGCTCTGGGAATTAGTGTCAGTATTGAACTGTTGAATATACTCAGTGATGCTGGAGAATTGGAGCACTGCCTGCTGGTGGTTGGAACATACCATACACCTGGTGTTGGAAGAAAAATCTCACACGTATCCCATAAGGTTGTGGTGAGGACTAAACTAGTTAGACTATGTCACACCCTTGGAACAGGACCTGGTGCATGGGAAGCGCTCAATAAGCATCAGCTGTCCATTACTTTTACTATCTGTCAACCCTAGGACTGGGGACAGAGGAAGGAGGGTTGTAGTGAGAACAGTGCGGAGGACTTGCTGAGGGCCTACTATGTGTCCAGCTGTGTTCTGGGCTCCTTGTGAAGCACGACGAGGAGCCATGGCCTATAAATACATTCTTGTCCTAGGGAAGCAAATACTGGTGGACATCCAACACCACACACATGTACACATGCACACACGTGCACACACACACACACACTATCTGTCTCTCCAGGTCACGCCATGTGGAAGGGTCTCTTGGGAAGAGGGCAAGGTGCCTGCAGAAGGCTTCCTGGAAGAGGGGGGCTTGGGCTTGACCTCCAAGGGCAGCTCAGTGTAGGGAATACGGGCCTCAGTGACTTCCCCAGGAGTTCTGGCCTGGCCCTGCCACTGCAGCCTCCTCTCTGAGCACAAGCCTGGCTTCCCAGCCCCCTGTTGAGCCCAGCTGGAGGGAGGCCCCGCAGGGTTGTTTGGGAGCTCTGCAGTGGCAGCTGGGGAAAAACAAGTGCAGGTGGAGATGACCCGGCCCTGCAGGACAGCAGCTGCTGTCCTTCCCCGGCCTTCCCCTCCTCCCGGCCTGCCCCTCCTCCCGGCCTGCCCCTCCTCTGCCTCTCACCCCTTCTCACCTCTTCCTCTGCCCTACTCTCAGTGTACCCCAGGAGGAACCTGCTAACCTCTCAAGGGGACCAGGAGGACTTCCAGGCGCATCTGACTACCCCCTCCCCAGGGGTGGGCTGCACAGCACTCTGTTGGGGGGATTTGAGGGGCTGGAGGAATTATGCTGAGGGAAACAGGGAGAGCTGACCTCACTGAGGCAGGGACACAGGGGAGGACAGCAGCCACACAGCACAGACGGGAAGCCCTCACTCCAGCACAGCCTCCCGCCTCGCTCCAAGGAAGGAAACCAGCACACTGCTCCAGACCAGTGCTTCCGCATTCCCCTCCTCCCTTCCTCTCCACTTTATCAATCCTGTTTTGGCCGTCGTTTACAATGCATGTATTGATTGATCTCCCTCATATATGAGAGCAAACTACTAGAGCTCTGGCTGAAAGAAGGGTCTCTGAGTTATTCTTTGACAATCTCAAGGAAGGTTGCCCAGTTTATAGGCAGCATAAAGATGAGAGACTGCTTGTCCAAAGCCCAGCTCCGGAACTAATTAGTTGTCTGACCTTGGGCATAACTTCCTTTCACGTGTAACATGGGAATGACATCATCTGCTTCTTGGGAGGGATTAGTTACTTAACATAGGCAAAGCACTTAGTGCCTGACACATGTAAGTACTAAGTATTAGTAGTAGTAGTAGTAGTGGTAGTATTTTATAGCTCTAGTACCAGCTTGAAGGGTCTCCATTCATACAGGGTAGGTGCTTAATTTACAAAAGTTTTTTTCTTTTGAGTTAAGCACACTGCTGTTAAAATGCCAGTCCTACCCAGGTGAAGGGGGTGTGCAGACCCCTCCTTTCCAACAAGAGACTGAGGCACCCTGAGATGAAGGGAAGGTGATGGAGGGTGGGAAAGGGCCAGAAATGGAGAAGCGAGAGGTCCCCAGCCCAATTTTATAATGTTTCATCTTCCCCAGAATCGTTATTTCCAACCAGCCAAGCCCTCACCATCCCTTCTTGTCACTCCTCTTACATGCCAACACCCCCCCAAGCCACTCCCTGTGCCCTGAGGGCTGCTCTTCCCCAGTTTCTCTGAACCTTTTCCATATTCCATCCAAAAGTGCCTGATCTATCCAGAAGGCCCCCATTGGCATTTCCTGACTGTCTGTGGTCGGCGCTATATTTATTTGCTCTTTCACTCTGGTTTACCTGTAGCTTAAAGTCTTTCCCTCATGCTTGTCTGAACTCCTCCAAAGTTGGGTCTCCCTGTAGCAGCTCACAGGGCCTCATATCCCCAGGAGTTCCCAGGCTGCCAGGACAAGAGTGGAGTGGCCTGGCCCTGGTCTCTTACCTGGGTCTCGGAGAGGTTCAGCTGGCGGGCCAGCTCAGTGCGCTCGCGGCCCACCACATACTGGCAGCGCTGGAACTCCATCTCCAGGCGGTACAGCTGCTCGGCAGTGAAGGATGTACGTGTCCGCTTGGGCCGGTCCAGGTCCAGGCCCTTAGGCAGGACAATTTCCCGAATTGTCCCTTTGGCATCTGCAGAGGCCATGAAAGGAGCCAGCTTAGTTCATTAGCTAGGGAGTTAGATCACCAGAAAGCATCTTAATAAAAGGTGGTGTGATCTATCGCAGAGCTCCTCAGGCCTGGATCTGGTTGCATGACCTGTGACAAGTTGCTCACCCTCTCTGGGCCCAGATTCCTTAACCACCCAATGCAGGGTATTATATCTAATGGGTGGCTAAATGTATGTGAATAGGCCTCAGTACAACTGCCAGGTCTACCAATGTGGTCTGGGAAGAAAGGACTCACTCTGTCCCAGCCAGGATTCTGGGCCTTTGCAGAGTAAGGAACAGATGGGAAAAATATGCTGGGTCCTCAAGTACATAGGGGATGATGGGTTAGAATTGAATGTGATCAATCAGGTAAGGCTTACTGGAGAGGTCAGAGCCAGGTCCTAAGCTGTGCGTGTGTGTGTGTGTGTGTGTGTGTCTGTGCATGCATGCATGCATGAAGGAGTGTCATGCATCCACAGACCTGGGACCTGGGGTCCATGAGGAGGAGGCTAGCTGATGAGCGGTAGAGGACAGTCTGGGGAGCTGAGGTCCCTAGGAGGAGCCCAAGGACAACTGCTACCATATCAGGCTGCTGGATGCCTTCCAGAGGGGGGCTGCTGCCACTCCCCATGTGCCTAGTCCTGAACAGCAGGGCCACTCCTGGGCTCTGACCAATGCCCTCCGCACAGAGGGCCTCCAATATTTTGGAGCCCACTGAAGAGTGATTTGGAGCCCACGTTCCCCACACATTCCTGATAAAGAACTTAGTAACATTTAACTACAGGGGTGGAGATGATCCATGTGTGACCCACATATACTGATGGCTTGAAATCTAGTTATTAGAACATTTTATATTACAAATTAGATTGTGGAAATATGCAGCATCACATCCTGTAGGATTTACAAAATCACTCCCTACAAATGATGTCCATGATAACGAAGCTAAACTAACAGGAATTTCCATTACTTAGCATTGGCAATGGGAAGCTTACCAACACAAGGCCGCCTTGAGGAAGCCCAAGAAAGCAAGCAACCCTCCACAGGTGCAGGAATTCCAATACCCTCCAGGGGGCGCACGCAGTCGGAGTTTGCAACGCGGCCAGAATGGGCAGTGGCTGTTGACATTCCAGCCGTAACAAAGGCTGACAAACGTCTGCAGTACTTGCTCTGGGCCAGTCACTGTTCTAAGCACTTAATTAAATTTAATTTTGTTTTGTTTATTTATTTTTTGAGACAGGGTCTCACTCTCACGCCCAGGCTGTAATGCAGAGGCGCATCTCAGCTTACTGCAGTCTCGACCTCTAGGGTTCAATCAATCCTCCGACTTCAGCCTCCCAAGTTGCTGGGACTACAGGAGCACACCACCACGCCCTGCTAATTTTTGTATTTTTTGTAGAGACGGGGGGCATAGGGGATTTCACCGTGTTGCCCAGGCTAGTCTGTAACTTCTGGGTTCAAGTGATCTGCCCGCCTCAGCCTCCCAAAGTGCTGGGATTACAGGTGTGAGCCATTGTGCCTGGACTTATTTTATTTTTTAATTATTTTTTTCTTTGTTTTTAAAAAATGAGATGGGGTCTCACTTAGGCTGGTTTTGAACTCCTGGGCTCAAGTGATCCTCTTGTCTCAGCCTCCCAAAGTGCTGGGATTATAGGTGTGAGCCACCACACCCTGCTGTTTTAAGCACTTTAACCTTCTCAATGTCTCCATGAATTTGGAACTATATGATCCCCATTTTACAGATGAGGAAATGGAGTAACAAAATTTAAGTAATTTATTCAAGGTCCTACTGGCAGTGTCCAAGAAACTCTTGAAACACCGTCTTTTTTTTTTATTCTTTTTTTTTTTTTTTTGTGGAGACACACTCTGTTGCTTAGGCTGAAGTGCAGTGGCACCATCTCGGCTCACCACAACCTCCGCCTCCCAGGTTCAAGTGATTCTCCTGCCTCAGCCTCCCAGGTTCAAGTGATTCTCCTGCCTCAGCCTCCCGAGTAACTGGGACTACAGGCGTGCGCCACCATGCCTGGCTAATTTTTGTATTTTTGGTAGAGACAGGGTTTCACTATGTTGGCCAGGCTGACCTTGAACTCCTGACTTCATGATCTGCTCACCTCGACCTCCCAAAGTGCTGGGATTACAGGCATGAACCACTGCGCCCGCCTCCATCATTTTACTTTATGTCTACCCTCAGTTGGTAATTCTTTTTTTTTTTTTTTTTTTGAGACGGCTGGAGTGCTGTGGCGCAATTTCAGCTCTGCCTCCAGGGTTCACACCATTCTCCTGCCTCAGCCTCCCAAGAAGCTGGGACTACAGGCGCCCACCACCACACCTGGCTAATTTTTTGTATTTTTAGTAAAGACGGGGTTTCACCATGTTAGCCAGGATAGTCTCAATCTCCTGACCTCGTGATCTGCCCACCTCGGACACCCAAAGTGCTGGGATTACAGGCGTGAGCCACTGTGCCCAGCCCTCGGTTGATAATTCTTAATAATTCAATTAATAGGTTGAAATGAAGAGGACCTGGTCATGAGTAAAAGATGGAATCTTCTGGATGGGTTCATCATTCCCCTAGAGAACATAATGGAAAGAGCTGTATTCGGGATGTGCTGTCTGGCAGGAGGCTCCTTGTGATCCACAGGGACGGTGGGACCTACCTTGAGAATCCCTGCTCTAGAGGGTTACCCTGAGCCCCTCCCTCCAAGCGTCCCACCCCAGGAGACTGACTCTTTCTGGGTCCTGCCAGTGCAAATTGACACTCCCCTTCCAGGGTATGCTCTGGCTCCTGGCTCAAGAGTCCTGGCTCAGATCTCACAGGTTCTCAAGCACCGTCCTGTTCATAGTCAGCCTCAGGGAAAAGGTGAGCCAGGGTGGAGGATGTGTCACTGCTCAGAGGTGGCCTCCCTCCCCATCCCAGGCCAGGTCCTGCCAAGCTGCTGGGCAGAGCCTATCAAAAGGATGTGTTCTAGAGACTACAGGCCTCTTAGGACAACTCAAGCTCCCCAACTCCAATTCTGTTCACATTTCAAAAAGATAGGATAATATGTGTGACCCCACTGTGACTGGATCAGTCTCCTTTGCTCAGGTTCCATAATTTCCAATTGTGAGAGCAGACTCAGAACTTTGTGGCAAAACTCCCAAGTGAATCCATCTCAAAGGCACTGATTTTATCAAACATGTTTTGTGGGGTATGAATAGGAGGAAGGGTGCTGTTACAGCTGGTGTCTTACCCTCCCCTTAATAAGCCTCCTCAAGCCCACCCTGTAGCATCTGAGCCTGAGTCCCTAAACATGAGATCAAACCATCCTTCCCTCTTTATACAAGACCTAAAAGGGGGATTGCCACCTCAGGGAGCAGCCAAGTGCAGCTGTCTCCCTCAGGGTCATGGAGGCATGACCCAGACGAGAAAGGCAACCTCAGACTTGCCACCAAATATTAAAACATGCCATACAAATAAGCACATGAAAAATGTTCAACATTGCTGGCCATCAGGGAAAGGCAAATTAAAGCTGCAATAAGAAACACCTATCAGAACAGCAAAAAGAAAAAATACTGAGAGTGGAAAAGCTGGTGAGGATGCAGGGAAGCTGGATCTCTCTTACATTGCTGGTAGGAATGGAAAATGGTACTACTAGCCAGGCAGTTTCTTAAAGAGTTAAAAATATACTTACCCTACAACCCAGAATAAATGCCCAGAATAAATGGGCATTTATTCTAGGGAAATGAAATATTTGTTTTTGTTTTATTTATTTATTTATTTATTTGGAGATAGAGTCTCGCTCTATCCCCCAGGCTGGAGTGCAGTGGTGCAATCTTAGCTCACTGCAACCTCCACCTCCCAGGTTCAAACGATTCTCATGTCTCAGCCTCCTGAGTAGCTGGGGTTACAGGCACCTGCCACCATGCGCGGCTGATTTTTTTTTTTTTTTTTTTTTGAGACAGAGTTTCACTCTTGTTGCCCAGGCTGGAGTGCAGTGGCGCGATCTCGGCTCACTGCAACCTCCGTCTTCTGGTTTCAAGCGATTTTCCTGCCTCAGCCTCCTAAGTAGCTGGGATTACAGGCGCCTGCCACCACAACCAGCTAATTATTGTATTTTTAGTAGAGATGGGGTTTTACCATGTTGGCCAGGCTGGTCTCGAACTCCTGACCTCAGGTGATCCACCTGCCTGGGCCTCCCAAAGTGTTGGGATTACAGGCGTGAGCTGTAATCCCATTTCAGCCCAGCTGAAATCCTATGTTCACACAAAAACCTGTATACAAATGATCATAGCAGCTTTATTTGTAATAGCCCCCTAATGGAAATAAATCAGATGTCCTTCAATGGGTGAATGGTTAAACAAACTGTGGTGTAACTGTACTCTGGGATACTACTCAGGAAAAAAAGGAAGAACGATTGAAACACACAACAATTTACACAGGAAATTATACTGAGGGGAAAAAACAGTTCCCAAAAGTTATACACTATATGATTCCATTTATTTAATATAAAGGTAACAAAATTATAGAGGTGGAGACCAGATCAGTGGTTGCCAGGATTTGGGGATGGAGGAAGGACCTGGCCATCAATGAGTAGTAAGAGGAAGTTCCTTTGTGGTGACACCACAGTACTGTATCATGGCTGTGGTGGTGGTGACATGGATCTATATATGTAATAAAATGTCATAGAACTATATACAAAAAACAAAAAAACAGTGCAAGGAAAAACAGGTGAAATCTGAGGAAGGTCTGTAGTCTAGTTAATTATATTGTATTAATGTCAATTTTCTGGTTTTGATAAGGTACTATAGGTTTGTAAAATGCCATCTACAGAGAAGCTAGGTGATGGATACATGGGACTTCTCTGTACTATTTTTATAACTCCTTGCGAGTCTATAATTATTTCAAAATAAAAAGTTGACAACAAAAGCATGCCACAAAGCTAGAGTGATGTGTTGTCACAGAAATTGACAAATCCATTAGTAGAAAAAACACGATAGTGTCTCTGTATTCCACTTATGGTTTGTAAGATGATTTAAAATTGTACATAAATAAGCATGTCATTTAAAAAGTTAGGCATTTATTTTAATGTTTACTAGAAAAAAATTTAAACCTATAATTTTATAGGCTTAGGGTGAGGCTAAAGTGGAAATTTAATCTTAAAATGCATTATGCTAAAATATTAAGAAAATAAATGGAATATTAATATAACAAATGAAGATGGGACTCAAATGACTGCATGTGGGGAAACAATAGCATGGGAAGTACAAGATAAGGGGATATTAGACACATGTATCCATAGTCATAGAGTTTATCATAAAAGGGCATTCAAGATGGGAAAAGAGTGATTTAGTCAATAAGTCACGTTAAGCAGATTGGTGACCATAAATTGTATGTTTGGAATAAAATTAAGTTAAATTCCTATCTCGCTCCATAAATAACAACACATTTCAACTGGATTAAAGACCAAATCATAGATGATAAAATTATAAGGGCATTACAAAAAAATATAGGAGGATGTTTTTAGAATGCTAGGCTTGGGATGAAATTTCTAAGCAAGCTGCAAAACTGGAGGCTGTAGGCTAGGCGTGGTGGCTCACGCCTGTAATCCCAGCACTTTGGGAGGCTGAGGCAGGTGGATCACCTGAGGTCAGGAGTTCGAGACCAGCCTGGCCAACGTGGCGAAACTCCGTCTCTACTAAAAAATACAAAAATTAGCTGGATGCGGTGGCAGGCACCTGTAATCCAGCTACTTGGGAGGCTGAGGCAGGGAAGGGGAAGTTGCAGTGAGCTGAGATTGTGCCATTGCTCTCCAGCCTGGGAGACAGAGCAAGACTCGGTCTCAAAAAAAACAAAAAACAAACAGCAAAAAAACTGGAGGCTGTAAAGGAAACACAAAGGATGTATTTGACTATATTAAAGCTAAAAACTTGGATGACAAAAGCACCAAAATCAAGGTAAAGTACAAGAAACAGATTTGAAAAAAAAAATACATTTAAGAGTCAAAGAGGCTGGTTGTGGTAACTCATGCCTGTAATCCCAGCACTTTGGGAGGCCGAGGTGGGCAGATCACTTGAGGCCAGGCATTGGAGACCAGCCTGGGCAACATGGTGAAACCTCTTCTTTACTAAAAATAAAAAAATTAGCTGGGTGTGGTGGCGTGCGCCTCTAATCCCAGCTACTCAGGGGCCGAGGCATGAGAATCACTTGAACCTGGGAGGGAGAGGTTGCAGTGAGCCAAGATCGCACCGTTGCACTCCAGCCTGGCAATACCGTGAGACTCTGTCTCAAAAAAAAAAAAAAAAATTTAAGTAAATAGCCTGATAAAATAAATGGTCAAGTAATTTATCTGGGTCATTCACAAAAAAAGACAGCTAAATGGCCAATAAACATATGAAAGGATAAGCATAGCTTTATAGTAATCAATATAATACAAGTTCCAGCAACAATGGAAAGCCCTTTATATCCCATAAGGTTGAAAGGACATTAACAAGTGATTAAAAACAATGATGACAATTAATAACAATGGTGCACTGTAGGGAAATCTACACTCCTATACGCTATTAATAGAACCATAATTGAGTCCATCTTTTAAGGCTGCATTTATCAAGATTAAAGATGCACATAACTTTTGCTCCAATTATTTTATTTTATTTTTTGAGATAGAGTCTCACTCTGTTGCTCAGGCTGGAGTGCAGTGGTGCAATATCAATGCTCACTGCAGCCTCCGCCTCCCGGGTTCAAGTGATTCTCCTGCCTCAGCCTCCCAAGTAGCTGGGATTACAGGTGCCCATCACCACGCCCCCTAATTTTTGTAATTTTTTAGTAGAGACAGGGTTTCACCATGTTGGCCAGGCTGGTCTCAAACTCTTGACCTCAAGTGATCCACCCACCTTGGCCTCCCAAAATGCTGGGATTACAGATATGAGCCACCGCACCTGGCCTGATTTTATTTTCGTTGGTATTTGTCCTAGAGAAACACAGGCTCAGGTGCTCCAAAGTATATACAACAATGGTGTGTGTTGCTGCACTGCTCAAAACACCAAAAATTTGAAAGCATCCTCAGTATTTTCCACAAGAGAAATGGCTGAACAAATAGTGGTACATTTGTATTATAAAATACCATGTAATAATTGAAAAGAATGAGGCAATAAGCTATGTGAACAGACATTAGTGTATGAAAGTAAGTTACAGAATAACATGTAGTTTAATCTCATTTATGTAGATTAAAACAACTGAATATATTCAACCATTCAACATGTATTTAATAAGCCCTTATTTGTCAAATATTATTCTAGGGCCTGGGGATACAGAAATGAGCAAAAGAGAAAAGCATTTGTTCCTGTAAACCTTGTACTGGGGAGGGAGACAGATAATAAATGTAAAGTTATTTATTTATTTATTTATTTATTTATTTATTTATTTATTTATTTTGAGTCGGAGTCTCGCTCTGTCACCCAGGCTAGAGTGCAGTGGCGTGATCTTGGCTCACGGCAACCTCTGCCTCCTGGGTTCGAACGATTCTCCTGCATCCGCCTCCTGAGTAGTTGAGATTACAGGCACCCACCACCATGCCCGCTAATTTTTGTATTTTTAGTAGAGGCAGGGTTTCACCATGTTGGCCAGACTGGTCTCAAAAGGCTCAAGTGATCCCCCCGCCTCAGCCTCCCAAAGTGCTGGGATTACAGGCGTAAGCCACTGCACCCGGCCTTCAAGCAATTTATTTCTAATAAAAAATAAATTTTAAAAATATGTAAGGCAAAGACGAGTGTTGGGAAGGCAATAAAATAAGATAAGGGGATATTACCATCCCTGCCCTAAATAACAAAACCCAATAACCAGAGAGTGTGTGTGTGTTGCCACACCCTTTCTACTGTGATGGTCTTGGAAGCAGGAGTGAAGAAGCTTTACCAGCCTGGGTTTCTGAGTATCAGGATGAGCCCCTGTCCACTTGTGATGGACTTCTGTGAGTGATAAATGCATTTGTGTTTTGTTAAGCCTCTAAAATTTGCGGTTGTCTCTGCAGCAAAATATAGCCTATCTTACTAAAATAGTCCTCTTTTTTTGAGTTGCTCCTTTTCTAGGAGGAGTTTGGGAGGAGCATCTGGAAAGAGGAACAGCTTTCATTCCAGGGCTTCCTTGCAGGTAGGCACTTATTAGGGTGAAATGAAATGAGTCCTGCATTTTGCTACCCCTCAAGTCTCCTCAAAGAGCAGTGAGCTCTGAGGGTATGTGGGAGGGTGAATTCTGCCCAAGAGCCTTTGCTTGGGAGAGGTGGTGACCCCCGGCCTGATAGTAGTTAGCTTATGCTTCTGACCTCTGGTGCCCCTCTGGCACCTCTCCCAATAGACATCCCCCCCACCTCCAAAGCCCTATCTCACTTCTTTTCCTACCTAGCACTAGGTAGTCTCTTTGCACGATAAGCTGATAATGTGCTGACTTTTTTTTGAAACGGAGTCTCACTCTGTCACCCAGGCTGGAGTGCAACGGCGTGATCTCAGCTCACTGCAACCTCCGCCTCCCGGGTTCAAGCGATTCTCCTCCCTCAGCCTCCTGAGTAGATGGGATTACAGGCGCCCACCACCGCGCCTGGCTAATTTTTGTATTTTTAGTAGGGACGGGGTTTCGCCATGTTGCCCAGGCTGGTTTCAAGCTCCTGACCTCAAGTGATCTGCCCCCTCTGGCCTCCCAAAGTGCTGGGATTACAGGCATGAGCCACCATGCCTGGCCGATAATATGCTGACTTTTAAGTGTGCAAGGCCCTTCCTGCCCCCACCTACAAATATAATGTGATTGCTATAAAAATTCCTTATGGAAAATTCATTCTCAAGTTTATTGGGAACATTGAAAATGCAAGGATAGTCAACAAAAAAAGTTAAACAATAGTAGTGAATACTTGCATTACCACACAGCAAATATGTTACAAATCTACAGCAACTAAAATGGTATAATGCTGCACAAGAGTTATGAAGCAAATTCATGTGTCTATGTGGATCTGGTATGTTGGGAAGACAGTATTTTGAATTAGTTGGAGGAAAGACAGGGTTATTAGAGACATAGCTTTTGAACAATTAGTTCATTATTTGGAATAAAGCTATTTATCTCACACTGTGTGCAAAAATAAACACAAATTTAAATGTAAATAAAAGCTCTAAAAATTGAAGAACAAATATAAAATAACTTTCTAGAAAGGAAAATAAATGACATATTTGAGTACCTAAAAATAAACGCATCTGCAGGGTAAGAGACAGATGGGGAGAAAATATTCATAATGAATTCTTAACAGAGTCCTAATGTCTGGTATACACACAGCCTCTGTAAACCAGTGAGTAAAGTCAAGCAGTCCAGTGGGAAACCGAACAAATTATTCAGAGAAGAAGAAATGCATGTGGTTAATAAATATGAAAAAATACTCGGGCTAGAGGAATCAGAAAAATGAAAGTTATAACAGCAATGAGATATCCTTGTTTTTTGAGATGCCATATTTTATCTATCAGATTTGGAAAATTGTACTGGCAAGGCTGAGTAGAATTAGGTTCTCTCAAGCTCTCTCAATAAGAACATAAATTGATATAATATATGGTTTTTGAAGAGGAATAATGCCTAGCTAAACTTAAAATGCACTGTTCCTTTGTCCCAGCATTTTTATAGAGCTTTCTATCACACAGAAACGTTGGCGTAGTTGATAAATACAGACCCACTGTTTGTAGCATAGTTTGCAAGAGGGAGAAAAGGGGGAAAAGCTGAATGTTTATCAATAGGAAAATTGTCGATAAAATCACAGTCTAGTAATAACTTTGGCTATATGTAAACATTAACAAGAATGAGACACATAACCTGGATGGATGTTTATTGTATACTACTAAGTGAAATGGCAAGTGTGCATAAACCCATTTTTATATTAAAAAAACAGTAAAAGTAAACTCTTTCTGTGTGTGTGTTTGTGTTTTTGTAACCACATAGGAACAAGTCTGGCAAAAGAAGCACCTCACTCTTCTCTTGCCTCTGAGGAGTGGAAACCGATCAGGGAGGAAAGATTCAACTCATTTTTTGTCTTTCTTTATTATTTCTTTTGGTGAAAAGACTAGGGAATAAAATTTTTTTGGTAGCAAACATTTTAATATGTTTGTGTATGCATATATAATGTTTTAAATGCTGGATGAAGATTTTTCTAACTAGGAGCTAGAATCTAGAAGCCCAAAAAGGAACAACCATTAAATGTGGTTAGAGTTTAAATTTCAGTTTAGAAAAAAAAAAAATCCCACAAAGAAAGTTTTTTGTTGCTGTTTTTTTGTGGGTTTTTTGTTTTGTTTTGTTTTTTTTTTTAAGAAAGTGACCTGGGAGTTGTTTGCAATACATGTCACAGAAAAAGGGCTCATTTCCTTACTATATAAGTGGCACTTACGAAGATGAGAAAACAATTAGTGATCCGATAGAGAAATGGCTAAATATATGAAAAATTCACAGAAGAGAATATTAAAATGAAGAATAACTACATAAAAACATGCTTAACCTCACTAGCAATTTAAACTACTAATAAAATGAGATTATTCTGTCACTTGAAAAGATTTCACTCTAAAAAATTAAGTATATTCTGAGTTGGGAGGACGTAGAGAAATGACACTTTTATACAAGATGGCTAAGAGTATAAATCAATATAAGAGTTTTGGTATAAAATTTGGAAATACTATCATAACTTTAAATGTATATCCTTGGATTTTAAAAGTTTGCTTCTAGGAATTTATCCTGTAATTATATTCATACCATGTATATGTAAAATGATTCTTGTTACTTTAAACAGTTTATTATGACAAATTTCAAATATTTACAAAATTAGGGAGAGCAGTACAATGAGCTCCGATATACCTATCCCCCAATTTCAACTATTAGAAACTCAGGAATAATCTTCTTTCTTCTATTCTGCTGTAATTATTAGCAAATTCTAGAAGTCATAACATTTCACTTATGAGTATTTCAACATGTATCTCTTAAAAAGGGGGGACTCTTAAAAAAGTCACCTATAATACTATTATCACAATAAAAATCGACAATTATTCCTTAATATAATAAAATATCCCACCTGGTTTTACATGTTCCAAATTGTCTCATAAATAAGATTTAAAAAAAACCATTTGTTCAAGGGAGCACTCATTCTATGGTATAAATGAGGTAGGTGTTGCCTGGGATAAAAAGATAAGAATAATTAAAAATAAAACAAACCATTTGTTCAAATTAGGATACAAAGATGTTCACTACAGCATTGTTTGTAATAATGAAAAAGTACAACCAACCTAAATATCCATTAATAGAGGACTAGTTAAATAAGTTATATGATATCTACATAACGGAATCCTATACAGTGGTTAAAAAGAATGAGGGAGTTCTAGAAAGAAAGATTTCCACAAATATTCTTTTACTCTACTTGCAAGCTAAGACAATTTGTTTAATTAAGAAAAAAGTCATTGCAAAAAAATCCAATTTTTGTAATATATAACTTACATATTTATATTTTTCAATTACTAGGTAAAGTTTGGAAGGTAAATCTTAGGAGTGGAAGTGTATCATGTAAGGGAAATTAGAAACTTTTAAATTTTACATGACATAGCAAAATAGTATGGATTGCTTTTGTAATTAAAAAGATATTTTATGAGAGGCGCAGGTGGGAGGATTGCTTGAGGCCAAGAGTTTGAGACTGGCCTCCTCAATATGGTGAAACCCTGTCCCTACTAAAAAAAATTAAAAATAAAAAATTAAAGAAAATAAATAAAAAATTAAAGCTAGGCCAGCATTGTGGGGAGTGCCTATAGTCTCAGTTACTCCAGAGGCTGAGGTGGGGGGACTGCTTGAGGCCAGGAGTTCAAGGTTATAGTGTGCTATTGTTGGGCCACTGCACTCCAGCCTGGGTGACAGAGTGAGCCCTTGTCTCTAAAAAATAAATATAATGACATAATAAAAATAAAAAGACATTTTATACTTCTGAAAACAAAAGACCATCCTAAACAAAATCAAAGGATAAATTGTAAATTAAAATGTTGCAACACATATTGAAAGCAATACATAGAGTTTCTACAGATCAATAAGGAAAAGGTATATTTGCAAATTAAACTGGTCAAAGGAAATGAATCAATAGATAGAAGAAATACAACTGGCTAATGAATATGAAGATCGACAAAGATGAAATGATACAAAATGTCCAGTGTGGGGACAGGGCAAAGGGGTGGACATAAGTAACTAAACTTCTCCTGCAGAATAACTTGACTATGTTCATCAGGATGTAAAATGTGAACTGTGCTGGCAAATTTTGGAGAAACAACCACTTTCAGACATCGCTGGTGGCAGTGTAAACTGCTTCCATCTTATGGAGGACAAACAATTGGGCATTATCTTGCAAATTTCAAACACAGATACCATTTGACCCAGTAATTCACTTTTAGGAACTTCTCTGACAGATATACTCACACATGTGGAAATGACTAAGAAACAAGTTTATTTATTTCAGGATTACATATAATAGCAACAGATAAGAAAATAACCAAATGTCCACAAATAGGGTACTGGTTATATGATATACATTATGATCCACCTAGTCCACTTAAATGGAATATTATGCATCTATAAAAAAAACAAACAAAAAGTTATTTACACCCCAAGATATATTGGAAGAAAAAAGTTATATAACTGCACTGATTTCCATAGGCATAAACATTATCTGGAAGGACATATTAGAAAGTCCTTGAACCAGGTGGGAAGTGGGTGATGGGGACAGGGATGGGAGAGGTTTTTCACCGGATACTTTTTAAAAAGTGCAGTGGCTCCCACCTGTAATCCCAGCTATGTGAGCACTTGAGTCCAGCTTAAACCCAAAATAGTGAGACCTCCCATCTCCTGATGTCTGAAAAAAAGATGTTTTGATGAATTAATTATCTATTTTACAATTACCTATTACAGTAAATGAAATATATTTAAATTGTGTGTGTAAATCTTTCGAAGCAGTAATTACACTGCTAGAAACTTATCCCACAGAAACAGTCAAAGGTCTAGAAGAACCCTGCCTTCGGAGCTTACTTCACAGTGTTTATATTAAGGAAAAACAACCCCAAGGTCCCTCCAGTCTTTAGGGGAATTAGGCTTTCCCCAACTAAAGGAATACTTAATTCTACAGTCAAGGGACAGCAAGAACTGGTTCAGCAGAGAAGATGATCACTGCAGATTAAATTTTTTTGAAATGGTAAATTGCAAAACAGCCTATGAAATATAGTTCTGCTTTTATTTATTTGTTCGTCTATAAGAGCGTGGAAAAATCGCCTGGAAGGACTCGCCCAGAATTGAAAACAGTGGCTGTTCCTG
Organism: Homo sapiens; assembly: GCF_000001405.40. Classification (NCBI taxonomy): domain Eukaryota; kingdom Metazoa; phylum Chordata; class Mammalia; order Primates; family Hominidae; genus Homo; species Homo sapiens. The sequence continues at coordinate 70,907,762 of NC_000002.12, read as the reverse complement.
GGATCCTTCTTTGCTTCCGGTTTTTAAAAAAATCGAGCTCGTATTACTTTTTGAATTTAAATCCTCTATTTTCCTGTCTACATTGTAAGTGTGGCCCTGCCGGAGGCTGTGCCTCGTAGAGTGTCCTTTGCCCGGCCCTGGCTTCCGCAGCTCCGCGGGTGGACGCGGTGGGCTGCCAAGTAGTGGGGAATGGAAGGCGGGACAGGGGCTCTGAAAGTCAATGTCTCCAGCAAGACGCTAAAGAAACCGTGGCGTCAACTGCGCGGTTATTTTTGGCTCCAGCCGTGGGCTGCAGCCGTGTGAGCCGGCAGGGGCAGGGGCACAGATTTATCCAGTTATTTCTGTCAACCCTCTGGCTGGCTTTGCCCGTGGAACCTCACACCCGGCTGCCGCCGAAAGCCGAAAGCCGAAAGCCGGGAGACTCACCATTGACTTTACGAGCGGCCCAGCGCTTCCCAAGACCTCCGCTCCAGCCTAGGCCGGCCTCTAAGCCGCCACATATATGAGGGTTTTCAGGTTTTGTAATTCAGTGCTTCCCAAAGCTGCGGATTGCAGAAACAAAATTTCGAAACTATGGGGTTGTCAACTTCATGCTTTAACAATTATTCTATGTTCTGCCATGATCACTGTTTCATATAAGAAGGACATTGCAACGTCAAAAAATAAGATAATATTAGAACACACGTTCTTCCGGGAGAAGGCGTTGGCCGCCTAATTAATACCTACAGAATTATGCCATGTTGATGAATTTTGTCCCATTTAAGTTATTCGAGAAGTATTTATTGAGTGCCTACAGTGCACTAAAAGCATCCGGGAAGATCGCCTGGATTTGGTGGGCACAGTGACCACCTCCTACGTGGTCTTTGCCTGGCTTCAAGGGAAGCAGGCTCGGGGAGCCCGCCCCCTCGACTTCAGCGGGGAAGTCTCTACCCAGCTGTTTCTGGCCTGACTGTGGGAGCTGGGCAGAAACAGCTTACATTTATGGGAAGCTGCGTGCCAGCAGCTTGAGCCAGGATCAGTCTGGCACACAGTGAGTACGCATTAATGTTTGTAGAATAAGTTAAAGAACAAGAAACGCGCGGTAGCTCAGTCCTGTAATCCAGCACTTTGGGAGGTCGATGAGGGAGGATCGCTTGAGCCCAGAGGTTCAAGGTTACAGTGAACTATGATTGCACCCTTGCACTCTAGTCTGGGCAACAGAGCAACCACTCTATCTAAAAAAAAAAAAAAAAAAAAAAAAAAGGAAAAGAAAAGAAAAAAAAAGAAAGAATAAAAGATGTTAAGGCCACGGGGGAGATGGTTCAAGGAGGGCCCTGAGCCTTTACAAGCCCAAGCCTCCGCCAGGGCCTTATAGCACACTCCTTCAGTCTGGCACTCACCCTGACTTTCCGGGTGCATTCACCCTGGCTCTGTAGGCCACATCCAAGCCTGGGGCTGCTACCTCTTTCTGCAGTGCTGAATGTCCCCAGTCAGCATCCACCAACAGTGGGAGAACCCAGGACACTGAAACCCCCAACTGCCTTCCCGGATGAGCTGGGTTGGGGGTATGAGGAATGAACTAGCCTCCTAGACCTGTCTCGCCGCAGGGATTGGTGGGCAGGCCCATGCAGCGTTGGTGTCTTCTATCAGAGTATCTTGAACTGGGGTACAGAATCTGCAGATGCACAGCCAGGTAACCGGCTACTGGCTCTCCAAGGGTAGTCAGGTCTAGCATTATTTGTGATTTTATATTAAGCAAGGAGCAAATAGGCAAAATTCATATGCTCCACCTCCCACCATTAAAATAGAAATCAAAGAAATGTAGCCAACAAGAAGGGAGCCTGCAGCCAAGGGGTAATTGGGGAAATGGCACCCAGGCCAACGTGATGCATAGACACCCTCTCTCCTTACCGGTGCTGCGCAAAAGAGGAAGACTTGAGCCCGGTGGCTTTGACTGACTGCGGGTGCATGCCACTGCCATCTCCTCCCTTTCCTGTAGCCCCAGGTACCCACTCCTTGTCCGGGCTTCCAAAGGATTTGGCCTCCTTGCCCCTCGGACTCCCCAGAAGCTACCTGGGGGACCATCCCTGAAGATGCAGGTGTGTGGGGCAAGGGGATGCGGTGGCAGTTCCATGGGTTCCTGGGTCTACCAGACCAGGCGGGGAACAGAAATCGCCTGAGGAGGGAAGGAGCTGTCTAATCTTCCTGAACCGTTCCCTGAAAATGAAAACTGGGCACACAAGACACACCTACAAGATGATTTTTCGGGTTGCTGGTCTGCTTCAGTGTGTGTTTGTGGGGGTAAGGGTTATGGAAGGGGGGGAAACAAAAGAAGACCCAAATGAGAGGGCCCGGCATAGGAATAGGCACGCTATGGGAATGTGGGCCTCCTGCCGAAAACAAGTAAAAGGAAAAAATAACGTAAAGCAACTCCAAGAAAACAAACAAACAAAAAAGAAACCCTCTACAAATGCTAAAACCAAAAAATAAAACAAATACAAAAATCTCAAAGTGCAATTCCTTGCATGAACCATTTACACCTTTCCACGTCTGCCTTGGGGGCTGGTCCTCGGTTGTCAGGTCTATTAACAGACTCAGATATTGAGACTAAAGTCCTGTGGTCCTTACTAAACGCCTGCTCAGCAGGGCTAGGCCTGCGGCCCGGCCGATCTCCCCAAGCCCAGTGGCTGTTGGTAATCCAAGCAGAAAGCGAGCAGAGGCCGGCCGGCCCTGAGCCTGGACCCGGCTGCTGGAGGCGAGGCGTCTGTCCCTGCAGTAACCTCCCAGCCAGAGCCCCGAAGCTGCGCCCCCTTGTATGGCTTCTTCAGACGCGTCTCTGGGAGTTAGGGCCCCGGCGGCTGCACGCCATTGTGCTGTGTGTACGAGTTCGGACTTGGGTGTTTCCGGAGCGTGGGTCCCGACTGCCCGCGGATTCTCCGAAGGACTGGACTCCACTAAGGTCAATCCCACCCGTCCCACGGCGGGAATCGCCCAGCCCAAGCAAGAGGCCTGGGCTTCACGCGTCCCCTCAGCCCCCAGCCATCCGCGCATCCATGCAGCTCCCGGGTGAAAGCGTTTTTGCTGCTGGTGGTGGGGTTGCAGCGAGTCACTTCTTCAAGGGATCCTGCAGTCATCCCACCCTACTGCTCCCAGACACAGGGGTTCGGAGGGTTTCGAGTGGGGTTTGAGGACCCGCAGGGGTGGCTGTCAGCCCAGAGAGGCCGCTTTGGGTGAGCAGGAACGGACGCCACGCATTGTCTGTAAAAGTTGCTGTGTTGGGTGACGCTGGTGGACAGAATTTCCCGGATCTATCAAAATCGGTCGTTAAATTCGCGTCTGGATTAATTTGGGAAACAGGTGCGTTTGAGCGTGCAGGTGGAGCATCGATCGCGGGGTTGTAGGGAGTCTGCGGTCAGAGTTGTCCACCTCTTCTGCCTGCTGGTATCCCAGCTCCACCGAAAAGCCTGGTGCTCGGCCACTGCCCTGTGCTGTTTGAGCCACGGCTCAGGCGGCCTGTTGTTCCTTTGGTTGCTTCCTGCCTGCCTTTGGCGTAAGGTTTCCAATATAAAACAAAAGGATTTCCCCGTCCCCGCCCTCACTGGTCTAGGGACTGTGCACGCGGAGGTGTGGAGCGGCCTTCTCAGGCCTTAGGGTACAAATGGGAGGATCGCTGCGTCCGCGGTGCGATGTGCGGGGTGCCTGTTATGCGCCCGGCCTATCATCTCAGCAGCTCTGGTCCGTGCCCATGTGTGACATGTAGGAGTCTTCATTTTGAGGCAGGAGACGCACCACGTTTGGCCTCTTTGGCTCTCCACCCTGTATTCGCAGAGGCTTGAGTCACTGGCCCAAAAAGGGTCCCACCAAGGAGATTGGGGAGGGCTGCACTGTGTGGTCTGCAAGATGGTGCTAATTTTCCTTTACCATTAGTGGCTTCTTAACCCCTAGGTGCTCACCTCCAGTACAGCCCAGGCCCCGGGCCCAGAGCCAGAAGGAGGGGGAAAGGGGTGACTTGGGAGAGGCCTCAGACAACGAAGGTCCACTGCCCCACCCATCAAAAGTGGTTCGTGGGTCACCTCAGAGCTACACCCTTCCTTCTGTCAACAAATATTTATGAAGATCCTACTGGGTGTTTGCAATTTTATAGACATCACCTCTGATTCTTGGCAAGTCCTTTAAGATAAGGGCTATGGGTCCCTTTGTAAGATAAGGAAACAAGCAAAGAGAAACAAAGAAACTGGTTCAGGTTTAAAGGGCTATAAGGTCAGTAATCTAAACCAATTTTGCTTAACTCTGGTGCCCAAGCTCTCCTCCTACTCCCTGTGCCAAAGGACTCCCTCAACAAACCTGCCCCCCACCCCCCTGTGGTATGCCCTTAGGTGGAGGAGTGCAGAATGAAAGGGAGGCAGAAAGGACCCAGAAGGGGTGAGGCCTCCCCAAGAAAGGACAGGTCCTGGGGAGGCCCCAACCCAACATTGACATAGGACAGCAAGGGCAAATGCCTCCCTTTTACCTTTTAGTGGTTTCCTTCCAAAGGCTCTTTGGGAGGATGTGTTCTCTGAGGTCAAGGGCAAAGTGTATTGAAGGCCTATGGAAGGAATGTTCATTCAGGGGCCAAGGCAGTTAGTTCAGACTTTCCTTCACCAGTGCCAGGCCTGTTTCATTGATCAGAGCCCTGAGCCATGGTGGGACTGCCAGTAACACAGGTGACCCTGGCTAGGAGAGATTAGTGGCAAATCACATCCTGAGCGTTTCAGGCCCATAATAACCTCCCTATCATTAAATGGGGAAGGGCAGAGGGATTTATAAAAGCCCCATTTGCCTTTCATTTCTGTCAAGTGTGTAAATATATCCTCTATGCTTTATGTCTAATATTTCGATTATATTTTACAAATGCATTGGCACCTCTGTGTGTGCACATACATTTATAAAAGTACACCCCCTGAAGACGCACACAGGCTGTCTCACATCCAGTGCAAGCCCATCTCTGCCTGGCTGTGGATTGCTCCCAGCTTGGGTGGCCCCACCTCACAGGGTGGAGGGTCACTTTTGAATTCCACTTCCTATGAGTTTACCCCTGAAGGCTATTTAATTGACATCTGTACACAAAACTTATTTGCTCTACATACAGGGTTAGTAGAGTGGAGAGGATGTTAGGTGGGCACAGAACTCACAATTGTCCTGGGGGGAAGAAAATGTCCACCCATAGGTGGGGTTCAAGGTGATGAGTGTCACAGGCAGTGACTTTAGATCCTCCCCTGGGAATGTGTGGGATTGGAGGACTGATTTCTCTGGCAGTCCTACAGATATTTTTAATGGAACCAAAAGGTCTGCTTATGCCTTCACTCAAGACATCCCACAGTCTAAAGAATAAAATCGGATTTAATCCCTGGTGCCCAACAGGTCCACACACCTGCTGGAATTCCTGATGGTATAACTGCCTTGACTCAAGCAGTCAACTATGAGTAGCAGTGAGCACCTACTGTCCCAGTGACATCTGGCACCAGGAATGTTTCCCAGAGCTAAGGCCCCTGTCTCTGTATTCAAGGCAGTCATCAGTCACCCTCACACTGGGCTGCATGCATGCTCTACCCTCCAGTCCCCAGTGCCACCCACACCCAGCAGCCGCAGAGAGGTAGTGCCCAACTGGCCCAGGGTGTCCCAGTCAGCTTGAGGGTAGCCGAGCTCAGATCAAACATAATCCCCTCGCTGGAACGACCCAGGGCCAGCTTCCAGCCTGTTCGCCTTCCCCAGGCGGAGGCCAAAGAAATCCGCTCGGGCCGGTAGCCTCCAGAGGCCCAGTGGCTCTCCCGAGCGGCGCGTGTGAAGAGGCTGGAAAGAGGCAGCAGGAGGAAGCCGGGAGGAGGGAGCCCAGGAAGGAGCCTGGGGGAGCCATTACCGCCAGTGGCCTCTTCTGGCGCTGGGTCTCCCGGTCCCAGGGCTTAGGGATGGAGGAGGCAGCGGACTTCAGGCTCTGGCCGCGGCCTGGGGTCGGGCTGAGGGCAAGACCCCGGAGTCCCCTTTCTCCTCTCATCTCGCCGGGCGAGGCCCAGATCGAGGGAAAGCGGAGCCCTTGGCATTGCGAAAGGCTGGCGCTGGGGACCTGGGGAGCCTCGGCCTCGCGGAGAGGAGGCCGGGAAGAGCTGGGTAATCGGTCGCAGTCCAGATGGAGGAGCTTGCAGGAAGAAGGTGCTGGGAAGGCGCGTTCGGCTGAGAGGAATGGCCGGGAAAGACGAGAGGAGGACGAGGGCCGAGGGAGAAAGAGAAGGACGTGAAAGGCCAGGCCGCGGGAAGGCGGCGCCGAGAGCCGGCTGGGCCCAGGCGCCGCGAGGAAGTGGGAACCGAGAGAGTGAAGCACAGCGGGCTAGCGCCGCGCACGCCACCCTCCGCGTCCCGCGCCGTCTCCCCTGGGCAATCCGTGCGGGTCCCGATTGCCGGGGACGGGAAACGCGGCTAGGCAGGAGGCGAGGAAGCACCCCGGCCGCCCTGCAGAGCCGGGGCCTTTTCCTCCCGCGGTTGCCGACGCTGCTCCCTCCACGTCCTGTCCCCGCGGAGCGCGCAAGACGCTTTTCTCCGCACTTGCCTTGAGGGTCACGGGACGGAGTCCAGGCTCTCAGCATCCCGCACTCCATTTCTGCCCCCGCCACAGTAGCCGTTCCGAATGGGCCTAGAACTAGGGGACTGGCCCGAGAGGCGGAGAAACGGGGACCGCTTCGGTCCCATTCGCTGCTTTGTCCCTTGCACTCAGCTTAATGTCCAGCACACAATAGACGCTCAAAATAATATTTGCTGAATGAATGACTGGATGACGAATGAATGAATATATGAATTGAGAGGTGTCAGCTGCAGCTAGGTCGGGGGCCCCAGTATGGGTAGGGTGAGGGTCCAGTGGAGCAGGGCCGCGGGCTGTCCCCTTACCTCGCACCAGTATGCGGCGGCAGTGGTCTGCCTCGCCGGGCCCGGGCTGCCCGTCGCTGTCGGCTCCACTCTCCCTGGAGCCTGCGGGACTGGAGGCTGAGGTCCCGGCCACCTCCGTTGGGCTGTGGCCACCGCCATCAGCTCGCAAGTCCCCCGCTCCGCTGCGGTCTCCGCAGCGCCCACCGCCGCCACCAGACTCCGCCCGGCGCGCGGGGCCCCGGTCGCGCTCGGCGCCCCCATCGCCCATGCTGACCGCCACTGCCAACCCCTCTACGGCGGAGCCAGCCTACGCTGGCCGGGAGCGCCGCTCCCCGCCCCTCGCGCCCCCGCTCGACTCCTCCTCCTCAGGCCCCGCTCCTGGCCGCTGCTCCTCCCCTCCCTGCTGATTGGGCGGGAGTCAGGTTTCCAAGACTCCCAGCTGCGCCGGGGCTCCGCGCCAGGGGGAGAGGGGGAGGGGAGCGGTGGTCCCGCTCCACCCCTAGTCTAGCCCTGCTCCAAGCCCGGCAGAGGGAGACTGGGGCGGCCCTGAGGAACGCCCTACACCCCCTCCTAAAGTTGATCAACCTCTCCTCCCCTCCACCGTTCCCCTAGCCTACTCACCTCCCCACTCCGTTCTTTCCCAGAGAAGCGCAGCCGCTGCGCTCCGGCCGGTTCAGCAGGATCAATAACCAAAGTGCGCAAAGAAGGCGACCTCGGAGAGACCTAGCAGAGAACAGGAGGTTGGCCTTGCTCGGGCGCTTGGCGGGGTGGGGTCGGTGGGGGTGCTGGAGGCGGGGGCGCAGGCCTAGGCTCAGTGCGCCAACCCCTAGATTTATACCCACACCCACACTCATGAACCCAGACCGGAGGACCCCCTCCCCCGGCCCTCCTGGAAGAGCAAGGCAAGAGTGGGCGAATAAGGCTAGCAAAGTGAGGCAAGAAGACCGACTCACCCGCATCCCCGGGGGAGAGTGAACAGGCACACAGACAGACAGCCGGTTGCAGGCGCCCAGAGGCTCGAGAATAAGGCTGAGACCGTGGTAGGCGGCAAAGTCCTGGGTTCCCCGCAGGTCTGAGGCCGTCACAGGGGACCGCACCACGAGACAGGGATAGAAGGTGGGGATTTCCTTGTTTCCCCCGCGGAGCTTTCTCCGTGCTCTGTCGCTGTCCCGGGTCCCGCCTTCTCCGAGGCTGAGGAGAGGTAAAGGGCGGAGGTGAGCACGGCTGGAAGTGAAGCAGGGTCAGGCTGTGAGGAGCGGAGCAGCTGGGGTCCCGGGGCGCAGCCCTTTGAGGCGTGCGGATCCCCACCATTTACTGGAGAGGCCAGCGCTCTCCCGAGCCTAGTGTCTCTCTCAACGCACCAGAAGGGGCCTTCTTTGACTCAGAAGGGGGCCTGGACGAAAGATTGAGAACGAAGGTGTGTGTGCAAATGTGTGCACGAGCAACAAGGCCTGTGACCCTTCCCCTAAAGCACTACAATCTCAGACTTTCCTTCGTTTTTCTGACCTGCTGGCGTGAGCAGGGTGCTTTGGTCTGTCCAATAATCTGGTTAAGGGTGTCTGTGAGAGCTGGCGTGGATATGCCCGTGAAAGTGGCTGTAGCATGGCTGAGTGTGTCCCTGGTGCAGCCTCCATTATCCCTGTGAGTGGGAAAGCAGGTGTATGAGTGTGTGCGTGTTTCAGTGGCATAGTGTGTGTCCAATGTGCATGTGAATGGTTGTGTGTTTCCGATGCCAGATGTTCCCGGCAGAAGGTGAGGTTGGGGGGGACACACACCAATTATTTAATTGAGTGATTAACAACTACTCCACTTAGGGTATGGAACCTAGGAAAAGGGGAGGGTAAAAAGGGCAGGTCGGGAGGTCTTGCTGGTAATACTAACGGAAAGAAGGGAAGGGAGGAAAGAAGAGGGGAAGAAAGGAAGGAAAGAAGGAGGGAAGGAAGGAAGGAAGGAAAGAAAAAAAGGAAGGAAGGAAGGAAGGGAAATGCAGCCACAAAGTGATTTGGGCGGGGGGGCAGGAAAGGTGGGATTGAGCCCAAGGCTTAAGTTACGGTTCAGAGGGAGAGCAGCGTGGACTACCTGTAGGTGCTGAGAGTTTGTGGGCCTGGGGCACGGGGCTGTAGGAATGTATATGTATGTAGGAGGGAGGAGTGAGAAAGAGGTTTCAGGAGGGTCCTGGGGAAAGTGTGATCCAGTGGAACCGAGCTCGAGCTCGGCTGAAGGAATCCATGTTGCATGATGTGCGGTGAGCTCTGCACTCTGTTCCTCCCGGCCAGGCCCTGGGAGTGGCAGTGAACTCCTTAATGACTGCCATGCAGGTCAGACCCTCTCCCTCTCCATCCGCCAAGCTCCCCAAAAGTCTTGTCTCTCACCCAACCACCACTTCTACTCTGCACTTCAGTTTTTTGCCTCTCTGGCTCTCTCAAGTTTATTTTTATTACTTGAGTAAGATGCATCTAGTATACAAAAATTATAAACAGAAATATAAGCAAACACTCGGCTTGCCTGGACACTGCACCCCTACCCCCAGCTCTAGCGGTTCTGCTTGCTGCAGATGAGACCCCAGTTTCTGTGCAGACAAAAACAGAAAAACAGCACTTGCTGGACCGTGCCAGGCTTTGTTTGTTGTCATCGTTTTAATTTTTCATTTCACAAATGGCATCTTTCCACACCAGTAACTCGGGTCTTAGTCCCGGAGTCCTCTTCCAGGGCCCATGGATGAGGTCCTAGGTGTCAGCACACTCCTGGGAAAAGTCAGAAGCCTCCCATAGAGTCCTTCGGAGCCAGGACCCCGGAGGTTCTGGCAGCTTTCTCTTCCCTGTCTGCCCCGGGGAGCCTTGCAGGGAGCACTGCCCAGCTCCAAGCCAGCTAGGTGTTGACTCTTGGGTGTTCCAGTCTTCTCCTTTCTCCTGCACCCTTTATTCTTCCTTTCTCACGTTCTCTCTTGGAGGTATAAGATTCGGCCTCCCTCAGGAATCCTGGCTTTCTCTTCTGGGCAGGTCTGGGCAGTGGGGCGCCAGCCCCGGTGCACGTGCATGCGGGGATGGAGTAAGGAAACCAGGGTTTCTGTGTACGGAGGCGCCGGGGTGTGTATGGAGGAGGAGTGGAGAGGAGGACTGGGTCTCCTCACCGAGCCCTTCCCTGACTAGTCAGACCCCTTTCAGGCCGAGCTGGGAGCCTGGCCAGCCTCTGGAACACAGGTTCTTGAACCCCAGGCCGCTTCGGCCCCCGAGCCTCCCTGAGCTCGCTGCCTGGGCGGTCTAGTTCCCCACCAAGAAGGCGCTTTGTGCAGGAGCCACTAGGCTCCCACCGGCGTCCTCCCCTTCCTAGAGACAGAGGACATCTTGCCTCGCTAAGTCCCCCGGGTCCTTGGTGAGGAAGGCTGGGCCACATGTGCCCGGGTACAGACACATGGTGAGGGTGTACTGGGGGATGTAGGGGTGCGGTACCGCGCCTTCAGAGTATGTGCGTGGGTTGGAGAACAAAGCGTGCGTAAGTTGGGTCCCTGCCTGGGTCTAGAGGAAACTTCCTGCCCAGTGCAAGACGGACGCAGAGCTGGAGGAGTGGTGAGTCCGCCTGGCACGAATTCACTGGGATCAGGGATTCCTCATTCGAAGCTGGGACCTGTCCCGGGCCTGCTGCTCTCCTCTTCACCTTCAGTCTCCACCTGCGGCCTCACTGTGATCTCAACCCGCCAATACCCCAGGAGCCCAGATAATTTCTTTCGACTCTTTACTTCCTCTCTTTTTTGGTAAGATGATTGAGAAACTGAACCTAGGGGAGTTGGAAGGGAGATGCCAGACGGTGGGGGGAGGGCAATGGTGGTTCAGGTCCTTCATTCTCAGTGGGAGGAATGGCAAGACCTTCGGCAGGGAGGGGCACTCCTGCTCCCAGCTCCCCTTAGAACTGGAATCCCCTGGGGTTTCTCCAAAGCCCGGCTGAAGTCGGGTAAAGAGGCCATCCTCTCTGGATTCAACCTTGCTCAGCATCCTCCGCCACCCTCCAATTCCTGCCGCCTTTTCGGGGCGTGGGCCCATTCTGGTCATTCCCCCGGGACCCTCCAGACCCGCACCACCCGCCTTCTTGCCTTTTGGCCGCTCAGCGGGAGGGACTGACCTCCCGAGCCTTCGTGGTGCTAGGAACTGGATCCCTGGTGCCTGTGGATAAATACACTCCCCTGCCCCCTACCCCCAACACCACGACCCGCAGCAGCCCTCTCTAGGGTCGGCAATGTGAGGCCTGTGCTGGGTGCTAGGGGAGCTAAGGGATGTATGTGAGTGGGTGGAATTCGTAGGCCAGGCTCCCCCAGACACTACCCAGTACCTTTCTGCGGAGCCGTTCTGTCCTTCACTGCCAGCGCTCTGGAGGGCTGGCAGAGCCTTCAGTATCCGGTTCAGGTGCTCAGAACCTGTGTCCAGCATTCTTTCTTCTTTCGTATCCCTCGGGGTGCTCTGGCCGGTGCACCAGGCCGGCTCTCCAGGCCGGCTTTCCAGGCCTGGACTCTGTCCTGCTCAGCTTGGCTCCTTCGGGTGCGCTTGCCTCTAGCTGAGCCTGGGGCCTGGCCTCTCTCCGGCGGTGCGCAGGCGTCGGGTGCCTTCCCGGGTTCCTCCTGCTTCTTTCCTGTCCTCCCCTTTGACCCCTCTGCCTCTACGACCCTGTTGCCTCTCTCAGCTAGCGCATCCCCCCAGCCATTTCAGACCCAGAGCCCCAGAGGCTCAGGCAGCCTGGGTTCCTCAGCTCTGCTCCACTAACTTTCTTTTTGGGTCTCCTGCCCTCCTCTCTCCTCGCTGGTTTTGGGGCCCACCTTAAGGCCCTTGGGAAATCCTCAGTGGCACTTGCCCTCCTCCCCAAAAATCCAGTCTTTGCCTGCCATTCTGCTCAGCCATCATGCAGGAATGGGAGTTCTGCAGCTAAAGAGAGCTGGGAGCTTGGGATGAGCAGAGAGGAACAATCCTCAAAGAAACCACTCAGGGAGCATAAGTGAGTTGGCAGAAAGCCTCTGCACCCTGCTTCCTTCTCCAGCCCCCTGCCTGTGCCCCACCTCTAGTGCCTGGGATCCTGACCTCGGCACCAGCCTGTTTGGGAGTGACCCGCTATCCCACCCGCTGCTAGGGAAGGATTGACATTTTAAGATGTGATGGTATTGGATTTTGGTATTTTTACAGTAAGTATTGTTATTTTCATAAAATAATAAAAATATATTTATTTCTGAGAAAAGTAGCAGCACTGAAAGTGAAGGAGGTAGCTCCAACAGTGAGACCACAGGCAGTTCCTTGGGGTGTCCAGAGAGGTGGGAGAGCTCCTCAAATTCCACTGTGTAGGCCCCTCCTGGATCACTGGCCCCTGCAGGCTCAGTCACTGCTTATTTCAGACAACACAAAATGACCCGTGGCATGTCTGTGCTGGATGCCAGTGTTGCACTCTGGGGTTTATGCAGGAGAAGGACCCGTGGGCTGTAGGGGCACTCTCTATGAGCATGGGTGAGAGGTTACCCCTTAGTGGGGAACAGGGAACCCAAGTTTGCTGTGCTGAATCTGACTGGTTCAGGGTGAGAAGCCAAAGACTCCAGCCACTGCACCACCTCTGGACCTACCACCTATCCAACCTGGCGTTTACCTTCTCTGGCCTAGGCCCACAGGGTCTTCAGTTGGCCTTGTGTGCTCTGGGCTGCAGGACAGTAGCTTCAGCTGCTGCTGAATCCTTCCCTCTGCCACCTCAGTGTGGGTTTCTGGACCTAGTTTCCCCTAAGACACCTCTAGGGCACAGCAGGGAGCCCCCTAAGGCAGCACTTACCTGGTTTGCGCCCCTTTGCTCCATCTTCTCTGCCCCAGCAGGGATTCCAGCCAAGTGGTGGGAGCTCTAGAGCCCGTCAAGATTTGCTGCCTGTGTGCCAGGCCCGATGCAAGGTGCTGGCAACTTTCCTGATCTGCTGAGCCCCAGGGCCTACCCAGGAGGGCTTCCACCAGGGAGGCTGTGGGTCTAGGCTGGGCTGTAAAGAAGGCCACACCGGAGTGACCACTGCTAACATGCCAGACCTGAGGAGATCCTTTAGGTACCTAACCAGGCAAATATATATCAGGCAGTACTGCCTTGGCTGTGGCCTTGGTCCAGGGTCAGGAAGCTTAAGGAAGGAGGCAAACTGGAGTTCTCAACACTTGCCACATATTAAATCACCCAGACAACTTAAAATGACTGGTGCTCAGCTGAAGACCAAATGGCTCCTTAGTGGTTCCTAGTGGCCATCCATATATTTAAAAGCCTTCCAGGTGAAGCCTGGTTAGGAACCACCTGAGGGCTGGGGAAGCTGGCACTTTGCTGGAGCAAAGGCCAGTGGTGATCAGCATGCTCTGGTTCAGGAAATGAGAAATGGTCAGGACTTTAGGTGGGGTCAGGGAGGAGGAGGCAAGCCAGGGGTGGTGGAGTCTGGGAGATGGGAGAAGTTTTGCGGGGAGGAGGTTCATTCGGGGATGGTTGAACAGACCCGGGCAGGACACGACTGGACCCAACCTCCAGGTGTCCAGCTTAATCTGAAAAGCCTCTCCATCCACAGGACTCAGGATTCTCCAGGGCTGCCCAAGGGCAGGGAGAGGATGGCTGGGCCAGAATAGGGAGAGAGGTCCCAGTCGGCAGCCAGTGGAGACCAGTGTCCCCAGGTTCTGGAAGGGGGGCTTTTGGACTCCTGACTTGGTAATCTTCTCGTCTCCAGATTGATCCCAGACTAGCTGGCTTCTTCCTTCTTCTCCCCAGTAGTTCTCTGTGACTCTTCCTCCTCCTCCCCTCTCACCTGATGATTTGGCCACCTCCCCCTCCCTTTGCCTCCGCTTCTCCTTCTTTTCTTTAGCCTTTCTCCCTCCCCTCAGCCACCCCTTCCCTGGGCAGTTCTGTCCTTCCTGTCCCTTGAGTCTTTGAGGCAGTTTCCCTGGTAACCTCCCCACCAACACTCTCTCCTTCCTCCATCTCCCTCTTCTTGCTTCTTAATTTCCCCTCTTCTTTTCTGCCTTCTCCAGGAGTGCCCTCTTTCACTTGTCCATTTCGGACAATTACAATCCCACTGGGTGCAGAGTTGGAATGAACAAAAGAGATGCAAGAGACTTGAGACAATCTTCTAAAACTTTTTCTTCTTTCTTAACAAATTAAATCCCTTTACTCCTACCACTCTGATTTTATCTATGTCATCCCCTAAATTCACTCAATCCTTCATCTGTTTTCTAACATGGAATACACTGGCTAGTGCCGGAAGCTGTGCTAGACTCATAATTTAATGAAATACTCACAAGACTATTTAGGACGGGGGCTCAGTTGTTTCAATTTGCAGAAGAGGATACTGAGACCAAGGTCATATAGCTGGTTTGTGTGGGACCCCAAGGGCCCTGCCAAGGCAAAAATCTCTTCCCCTCCCTCCAATTTCACTCTGTGAAGGGAGCTCTCTCCCAGTCTAAGAGGTTCTCGGTAGGCTGGATTCAGGCTCCTGGCACAGCCCAGGAGGGGCCTTTTGAATTGAGGGGCAGTATCATTCACTGCAGGGGAGCTGCGGCCTCTACAGAGACTGAAGGAAACTTGGACTGCAAGGACATGGACACTTGCAGGGCAGAGCCTGGATCTACCTTGACTGGGTGGTGGCCTTAAGTTCTAGAACTATGTGTGTATGTTGTGTTGATTTTGTGTTTTGGTAATAGCTTTATTGAGATGTAATTCACATATCATAAAATTCACCCATTTAAAGTGTATAATTCAATGGTTTTTCGTGTATTTACAGATATGTGCAACCATCACTACTGTCAATTTTAGAACATTTTCATCACCTCAAAAAGAAATCTCGATCCCCCAGCCTTCTATCTCCTCAAACCCCCAGCCCTAAGCAACCACTAATCTACTCTCTGTCTCTATGGATTTCCCTATCCTGGATACTTCATATAAATGGAATCATATCATCTGTGGTTTTCGTGCCTAGCTTCTTTTATTAGCATAATGTTTCAAATTTCATCCATGTTGTAGCGTGTATCAGTACTTCATTTCTTTTTCTGACTGAAGAATATTTCATTGTATGATTAGCTCACTTTTTGTCTATCCATTCATTATTGATGGAAATTTGGATTATTTCTACCTTTTGTGTGAGCACGTCTGTGACTCCCAAACTGGTTTTCAGCCTTCAGGTCAGCGCTTGACCAGAAGAGTGGGGGAGTTTTCTTGGGAACAGCTAGATGAGCCCGGCAAGGCTTGGGAAATGCCACTGGATGGCTATGGGTCCCCAGCTAATCAGTCACCTTCTGGAAGCATTCTTTCTGGTTTTGTCCAATGGGGAGGAGCCACCTGGACTGCAGCCTTATAGGAATACAGTCTCTGGAGCAATGATTCAGAGTCGTGGCTCTTGGCTAGGTTGGGTTCAGATCCTGGTTCTACCACTTAACTAGTTGCTAACAGGCTGCTGAACCTCTCTAGGCTTCAGTGTTCTCATCCATTAAGTGGGAGTAATATTAGTATCAACCTCTGGAAATGTTAAGAGGAGTAAATTAATATATTCAGAGCACTTAACCCAGTGCACTTTACCTGGCACTCTGTGGGTGCTGAAGGAAAGATTTAAGCTTGTATCATTTAAGGCTTAGAGCCAAGAACACACTGTAGCCCTAATTGCTCCCTCTCCTCCTCCTGCCAGGGTGAATGAAGAAATGAGGAGGTTAGCCATGCCCAAGGGGAGCAGCGGGAGACTGTCCAGCATGCGGGTTGTGAACCCAGATTCCAGGGCCCTCCACACTGACTACCTTAGTGCCTGTCCCAGGTGGTGGGTGCAGGAGAAATGCAACTGGCTGCCAAGGCTGAGGACAGCAATTCTCCTCCCAGGTTGGCTCAACCCTCTTTTTCCCAAAAGTGGCCATTGGGCTCAGAGGACAGTGTGCTGTGAGGCCCAGGCTGGAGCCCTGTCTTCATCCAACTCGGCCCTGGCACAGACCCTGGGGAGCATTCTGAGTTTATCATTCCAGTCTCATACCCAAAGCCAGATCCTGCATTTTTCCCAACCTGAGAACCCCAGCCTATTCATCAGCCTTTCCTGAGGCCCAGGGAAGAACAATTCAGGGAAGGAACAGCAACTCGAGCCCAAGAAAGATCTGAGTCCTCTGGCAAAGAGGCAAACGGAGATTGCAAAGGCTGTGTGTGAGTGTGTGTGTGTGTGTGTGTTTGTGTGTCGCGGGGGAGACACGGGAGGGGGCAGGCATCATTTCCCAGGCATTTCCCACGTGATGCTCCTGGAAAGCTCAGGGTGCAGTTTGGATCACTGGGACTGCTCTCTGGACTGTCTTTGGGGAGGGGCCTGGAGGTCAGCATGGGCGGCCTTTATATCCTTTGATACCTTTTGAATTTGTGGTGTGTTAAAAGTCAAACAAATCCAGTAAAACACAAATTTAAATGTCATTGTTAGAATGGATTTGAAGCATTTCGTTTCTGTGTTTCCATCAAGGGCAGTGGCTCACCTTTCCTTCCTGACTGTGCCTCAGAGAGGTTGCCTACAGTGACTTACCACTTAGGCAGGTCTTCTTTTCGTCTTTGCCACTAGTCACTACAAAGTAGGCAGGTCTCCTTTTCATCTTTTTGTCCTTTTTGTCTTTGCCATGCCTTCTGTGCAAGCCAGAACACTGTACATTCAAGGTCACTAACCACCTGTCTCCCATGTCCCCAGTGCTAGGAAACCCTCAGGTTTAGGGCCCTGTTGCCTCAAGCAATAATCATTTGCGATCAGTGATCTGTGTCACCTGCAAGCGGGTTCCAGACTGACCTTGGCAATCAGGAGCCAGGCATCTCTGGCACCTCTTCCTAGGTCACCCTCTCTCTGGTTTCCCCTTCACCATGTGAGCCAGAAGCTCTGCTCTCGGGCTCAGGTGGGTCCCAACAAGCATCCAAGGCCTGTCTGCTGAGTGGCCTATTGTCCATGGTGAATAGGAGGGGTTACCTAGGGACTGAGTCTCTAGGAGCCACTGGCCTGGGTGGGACCAGGCTAGAGGAATTCTCTATCTCTTGACCCTGGGAGAGGACTTTCAAAATGCAAGGGTGAGGAGCTGAATGACAGCCTGTTTTGGGTGACTGTTGGGCCTGTGTGGGAAGGCACTGGCCACTATCCAAGGCCCTCTAGAGGTGGCAGCCTCGGGGGCCCGTCCTCTTACCCCAAGATGCTGCTAGGAATTTATATCTACTGGAAACAGTTCTCCAGGAGCTGTTGCACATTCTTTGAAATATTTGTCATCTAACAAATGTTTATTGAGTTCCTAAAATATGCCAGGCACTAGGGGACAGCTGTGAGCCAAACAGACTCGAATAGTCGGTCATGTAGCCTATATCACTGGAGATGGCCAACCTTCCAGGGGCAGTCAGACTGATACAGGGCCAAGGCTGGAACCCTGGAGTTTGATCTTTGGGGGTGGGAGAAGCATGCTACCTGGTTGTTTACATGTTGCACATACCAGGGGATAAGTCTAAGTATCCGATTTTTTTTTTTCCTGGCTAGAAAACAGCCTCTGAAAATAACTCCCCTTAAATAAATGCTTTTTACTAAGCCTCCATGGTCCTGTAATAAACACCAAGAAGGGGAGTACAGTGCTTTGTGTTGGGTTCAGTTTGCTTACAAAACAAAACAAAACAACCCCAAACAAATGTGCAGACCCTTGCCTTGGAGGTGTTTGTGTGTGTGTGTGACCTGTGTTTGTAAATGTGTGTAGTGTGAACTAATTTCATCAACTTTTAAAATAATGACTTTTACTATTTTTTTTTTAAGAGACAAGGTCTCACTCTGTCGCCCATGCTGGTTGCAGTGACACGATCACGGCTCACTACAACCTTCTACTCCTAAGCACAAGCTATCCTCCTGCCTCAACCTCCTGAGTAGCTAGGACAACAGGCAGGCACCACCACACTCGCCTAATTTTTTATTTTTTATTTTTTTGCAGAGACGAGGGTCTCGTTATGTTGCCCAGGCTGATCTGGAACTCCTGGCCGCTAGGGCTTCTCCCTCCTTGGTCTCCTAAACTGTTGGGATTACAGGTGTGAGCCACCCCGCTCTGCCTTTTCTTTTTTTTCTTTTTCTTTTAAAAGGAAAACATGCATCTAAGAAAAAATTCTAAGCAGCACAAAAGATTAAGAAATGACTACCAGGTGTCTCTCCAGAATCTCAGCCCCATCCCTAGAAGCTCAAGCTCTCGTCCCATCTCACTCTCCGGTTTTAAAAATGAGATCAAGTCGCCCTGTCCGCGGTTCTTCCTGCCTGCCCGCCTCGCCGGCCTGGCTCTGGCTCCTAGCGGCGGGTCTCCTGCTTACCTTTCCTGCGCCCTCACTGCGCGCCAGCCACTTGGGAGAGTGCTTGCTTCCCCACAGCGTCGCCAGTTTGGTGTGTTACCGAAGATTTTGATCTTTGTGGGTCCGATGGGTTTCTTAAAGAAAGACATGAATTATGCTAGGGAAACAAGAGGAAGCAAGAGAAGGGCAGAATGTTTGAGGCAAGAGACGCTTTGCTTGGGTCCTGGGGGTGCGAGCGCGGGCTGGGGACAATGCGGGGGCAGTAGTTGCCTGAGCTCCAGATCACACCTGCACTCAGAGGCGGGAAGCCCTTATCCTGGTCACAGCCGCGCGAGCGGAGAGAGGCGGCGGGGCGGCGGGGTCAGCGGGAATTAGCGCGCCAGGGCCGGGGCGAGGGATTGCCGCGGGGCGAGAGTTCGGGACGGGATTAGCGGGTTCAAAAGCAGGTCAGGGAGAGCTAAGCAAGGCGACGAGGTCCGCGCGAGGTCAAGGTCCCCGAGAGAGGCGGGTTCCGGACTGGGCTCGGGAAAGGCAGCGGGCATTGCGATCGCGGGGAGGCTGCACCGGGAAGCCCAAGTTCCGAGCGCGTGGAGGGCTCGGCCGGCATTCGAGTGTAGGCCGCGCCCTCTGACGGCCGCGGGGCGAGGACACCTCTGACCATGGGCCTTGGTCGGGAGGAATGAGCGAGGGGCGAGGTGAACCCGGGTACGAGTGCGCGGCAACTTCAATGAATGTATCCGAGGTCGCCAGGCGCGCGCGCCGCAGATCTGCGGAACCGGGTTTATCTATTCGTCTTTTACATCGTAATCCCGTTTCCTTTTATTTTTACAACACTTTTTTTTTTCTGGCAAGGGAAGTCATCTCTTAGGCAAACAAACAGTCAAAAATAAAAATAAAAAACCGCACTGAACAATGCAAAGAAATGTTCTTGGCAGGAGCCAGTCTCTCCCGCGTCTCCTGGCACCTGTGGCCTCCCTGCGGAACAGATCCCAGAGTGTGACACCTTCTGTGTAAAAATAATCGCAACCCACACTCCACCCTTCTGTGCGTCCTGCACACGCACCAAGGGAGAGCTGGAAGGACAGCCGAGGGATACACGCTCTTCCACGAAATAAATATGTTTTAGGGGTGTGTGTGTGTGTGTGTGTGTGTGTGTCTGAGCCTCTGACTTGAAGTTATTGGAGAAGGTATTCACACATTATTTGGGTTCTCTCTTAAAGAGCTCTTGGGTTCTCTCTTAAAGAGCTCATGGGAAACACACCTGGCGGTACTGTGGGATGCGAAGTGGGCGCCTCACTCGGAAACCCCGGCCTTGGTGGATGATCTAAGAAAAAAAAAAACCCAGATGGACGGATACATGGGCACTTTCGGGATCGCTGGGTGCAGGCCGCCGTCGCCATTTCCACCGTCCACTACTCCAGGCACCTGCCTCTCGTCCCCAGCCTTGGCCTTTAGGTCTCCCTTCCCGCAGATGTCGCCTGGAGAAATGGAGCCCGGATGCTCAGGCGCGCGGCGTGGTATCCCCAAACCCGGGACCTCTGTTTTGGGTCTGGTTGATTTTCCACGGAGAACCGAAGAGTCCGCTCCTCAGGGGCGAAGTTTGCAAGTCCTTGGGGTAGATGGTGACGGGGGCTGGGGCGCGAGTGTGAAAGGACAGGAAAGGAAGGAGAGGGGAGAGAGAAGCAGGCTGAGAAGTGGGGGAAGCCGCGGAAGCCGGCAGCGCGGGAGCGGAGACGCGGAAGCCGGGTAGGGGGAGGGGCGGACTGGGACCAGGGCGAGGGGCGGGGCCGGAAACGGGCGGACTCGCGCCCTAGACAAAGCGCGGCCCGGTGGGCGAGGGCCAGCTGCTCTCCCCGCAAGGTCTCCCGAAACCGGGCTTTCGCTCGGCCAGCCGGCTGGTTCTGGTGGGGACGCGCAGGTTGCTAGTGGGGAAGCCAGTCCAAAGGGATCGATCGCCGGAGAAACCCCACGCATTCACCCAAACAGCCTTCGGCTCAGGGTGGCCGGAGCAGAGCCCAAGGGTCAAGGGCGAGGGGCCCCTTCCCTGCCCTTTTGTCCAGGTGGACTCTGTGGCCGTCGTTTTGTTCTGAGACCCCCTGGGAATGCCACTGCCGGGCCACAACCCCGACTGGCAGGTCAAGGTGCAGGAAGTCCCGCCATTAGAAATGCATTCCCCAGGCTGATATTACCTTCTTTTTCTCAGTTTTACAGTCATATACACAATGGTAAGACTCCTCTTGACGCCACTTCCAACCTCTGTGCACTGTTCGCATGGCTAGAACAGCAATAATAGAATTGAAAGCAGGAAAAATATCCCCGTGCTACCCCTAAAAGACTCAGTCTTTTTTTTTTTTTTTTTTAAATGTGCATCTTTATTTTGCATAATGTTAGTCCTGGTGAACATGTAGTTTTGTATTCAGTCTTTTCTACTTGAGGCCACACTTCAGTATTTGCTATGTGCTATGATCCTCATAAGTATACTTTTCAATGGCCGAGTAATGCTCTATTATGTTACTGTGTAATTTACTTAACCGTTCAATTACTTGATATTCTTCCGTGTCCAGTTTTTCTGTATGAAAATAATACACAACCTAAAATCTTCGTGTATATAGTTTTCTCCTTTGGGGAGGATTATTTCTTCAAGATTCTTACTGTTTCAGCAGGAAGGGGACATTTTCACTACTCTTAATAAATTGCCCAACCGCTTCCCAAAGCAATTTACGCAGGCATTTATTTTCGGGTCATTATGGGCGTGGTGCTACCGGTCAGGAATGTCCAGACTAAATCAGTCCCACCCTTAGAGCACTTTCCCTGCACCCCAAGCCTCTGGGAGGCAGGCCCTTGGAGCAAAAATTACCGCGCAAAGTGGGCAGCACGGTAGGGAGAGGAAAGAAGAGGCAATGGGAGCCGGGGAGTGGGTGAGGGGTGTGGGGGTTCTTTCCCCAGCCTGGAGAAAGTCAGGTAAGGCTTCACCTGACTTAGCAAGGAAGTGAAGGTGACTCCCGAGTACAGCCCCAGGCAGGGGTTTGCCAAGTAGAAATGGAGAGAGAAACATAGAAACCTTTGTCTGCGCAGGCTGCAAAGTTTGTTGGGTTTGGAGAGGTACGTAGTGGTTATACGCTGCGAGGGATCATAAATGTGGGTGGAAAAGTCCAGGAAAGTGGGATTCTCGCCATCCAGTCCAAGGAAATTGGAAACAGACAGCCTGGTTATTGTGCATTTGCATTATTTTAAACGGTTGCTGTATTAATAGAGGCATGATTACATAATCATTATTGTTGTAAATTATGTTTTACTGAAAACTAGTTTACATTTCCTTATTTAAAAATACTAATTGTCTTGCTTTCTGACTCTTGAGGCTGAAGAAAGAAATAGGAATTGTCCTTTAAGAAACAATTTCTTCTCTAAACCACAGTAATATGTATTTTAAATCATAAAAGCAATACATATATTATTTGATTTTTTAATAAGAATATATTCACATAAGATTAATTTAAAGATTATAAGTGAACACAAACTCATAAAATAATCAGACAAGTGTCTACAAGTCCTTCCTTAATCCTCTGTGCAGAAGTAGCATGGCTTATAGTTACTACGTTGCATATGTGAACTATTTAGATGTTTTTTGCAACAATGATTTATATTCCCTGCCACTCTGCAAATTGCCTTAAAAAAATAGGTCATAGTTTTCTTACATGTTAATGGAAGTAGCTCTATCTCATTCCTAGCAGCTGTCTTGGTAACATTATATAGATGTTCCATCATTTTTTTGTCTGTATTAAAAAATTACATATTTGTTTATGTGGTTGTATTTTATATAATAAAAGTTCAAACAGTGCCAAAAGATAAAGATAAAACATGACACCTCCCTTCATGCTTGTCCCTACTTCTACCCCATCTCATTCCTCAGAAGTGTGAAGTGAGAAGTTTGGGGATTGTTTCGGCAGCTCCCCTCCCTAGTCTGTTTTAAAAATAGTGTATTTAGGCCGGGCACGGTGGCTCATGCCTGTAATCCCAGCACTTTGGGAGGCCGAGGTGGGCCGAGGTGGGCCGATCACCTGAGGTCAGGAGATCACCAGCCTGGCCAACATGGTGAAACCCCGTTTCTACTAAAAATACAAAAATTAGCTGGGCGTGGTGGCTAGCGCCTGTAATCCCAGCTACTCCGGAGGCTGAGGCTGGAGAATCGCTTGAACCCGGGAGGCGGACGTTGCAGTGAGCCGAGATCGCACCATTGCGCTCCAGCTTGGGCGAAAAGAGTGAAGCTCCGTTTAAAAAAAAAATTGTGTGTTTAATCTTTTTAGACTGAGCACTCACGCACTCACATTCTCCTCCCTGAATTTCACAACCCCCTCCTCCAAACCACTGGGTTGTATTTGCTGTTAGTCTTTGTTGTCATATATTCTCACAAAATAAGCTCTTTTTTTTGGTGTGCGTTTTTATTGTATGTACATGGTATTGAGTTTTATATTTCATTTTAAATATTATTTAAAATTGTTAAAAACAATTTCAAATTTATGGGAAAGTTGCAAGAATATTACAAAACTCTAGTATTGTCTTTAAGCTGCAATTGCATTATCATTCTCTTTTAAAATTATTTTTATGGAAGCATTTGAGGATAAGTTGCAGACACCATGCCGTTTTACTATTAAATACTTTCGCGTGCATTTCCTGAGGGCCATCACCTACATGCCACATTGCAGTGATTAAAATTAGGAATCTTAACATTGATATATAATCTTCAGATCTTATTCAAATTTCATCAATTGTCCCAATAATATCCTTTATAATATTATTATTTTTTTCTGGTCCCAGATTTAATTCAATATTACCCATTGCATTTAGTTTTTAAGTTCTTGTTAGCCTCCTTTACCTGGAAACAGTTTATCAGCTTTTTTTGTGTATGTTTGTAACAGATATTTTTGAAGAATATGGACCAGTTAGTTAGATTGTATATATTGGAGTTCCTTGTTTTATTTTGAACAGTCTGAAACTTACAGAGAAATTGTCAAGAGCATTACAAAGAAACCCCCTCCTCCACTTACCTGTTTGAACTCAAGTTGCTGACATAATGCTTTATTTTGTATTTCTAACAAACAAGGACATTCTCCCTTGAAATCGCAATGCAATCATCAAAATTAGAAAATTAATGCTATCACAATTGACTCCTCAGACCCCCTTGTCAATGGTTCTGCAAATGTCCTTTATTATCAAAAGGATGCAGTAAAGATGTATTGCAGTCAGTTGTCACGTCTCTTTAGTCTCCTTCAATCTGTGACAGTTAGTTCCAGTCTTTGACTTTCACGGCCAGTTATTATGTAGAAAGCCCCTCGGTGTGGATTTATCTCATGTTTCCTCACAATTCAATTCAGACTATGCATCTTTGGCAGGAATATCACAGAAGTGATATTGAATTCTTCTCATTGTGTCCTATCAGATGGTACATGATTTTGATATATCCTGTACTGGTGATGTTAACTTTGATCATTTGAGTGAGAATTAAGTTTCTCCCTGTAAGGTTATTTTTCCCTTTGCATTTAATAAGTATTTTGCAGGGAGGAACTTTTAGACTATCTATATATCCTGCCCCTCATCAAGCTCTTTGTGCATTGTTTAGATCAATATCAACAAATGGATTCCTAATGTATTCAATAGGCTATATTTTGTTACTATATTATTTATTTAATTTGTGAATTGTCCCAAATGTCCTTTTTTGGGGGTAATAGCTTTATTGAGATATCATTCATGTATCATACACTTCACCTATTTAAAATACACTGTGTAATGTTTTTTAATATGTATATTCACAGAGTTGTACAACCACTCCTATAATCAATTTTAGAACATTTTCATCATCCCCAAAAGAAATCCCATTCCTGTTAGCTTTCACCTCCCAATTCTCCCATCCCTGCCAGCCCTAGGTAACTATCTACATTGTGTCTCTATAGATTTGCCTATTCTGAACATATCATATAAATGGAATTGTTCAATATATGGTCTTTTGTGACTGACTTCTTTCCCTTACCATAATGTTTTCAAGGTTCATCCGTATTGTAGCATAAATCAGTACTTCATTTTTAATGGATGAATAATTCCATTGTATGGACATACCACAGTTTATCTATTCGTCAGTTGATGGACATTTGGGTTGTTTCCACTGTTTAGCTATTATGAATACATCCTGCTGTGAATGTTCTTGGAGAAGTTTTCGGTGGCCATATATTTTCATATCTCTTGGGTACATACCTAGGAGTGGAATTGCTAGGTCAAACAACTAATTCTATCTTTAAATTTTTGAGGACCTACCGCACTGTCTTCCAAAGTGGCTGTCCCATTTTACATTTTCCCCTAGCAATGAATAAGAATTCCAATTGTTCCACATCCTTGGCAACACTTGTTATTGTCTGTTTTTTCAATTATAGCCATCCTAGTGGATGTGACTTTGTATTTCAATGTGGTTCTTATTTGCATTTCCCTGATGACTAATGATGTTGTCTATCTTTTCATGTGTTTCTTGGCCATTTGTATATCTTCTGTAAAGAAATATCTATTTATGTCCTTTGCTCTTTTTCACATTGGGTTATTTGTTTTTATATTATTGAGTTTTATTATTTATTATTTATATTTTTAAGGTAGAGTCCTCTAGTTGCACAGGTTGGAGTGCAGTGGTGCAATCATAGCTCTCTGCAGCCTCGAAATCCTGGGCTCAAGTGATCCTCTCACCTCAGCCTCCTGAGGAGCCAGGACTACTGGTGTGCACCACCATGCCCAGTTAATTTCCCATTTTTTGTAGAGACAGAGTCCTCCTATATTGCCCAGGCTGGAAGAGCTTTTTCTAGTTTTCTTCTTTTCTGTATTTATGCTACCTTCTCGAACAGTGAGAAATCTGTCTCCTATTTTCCTCAGTATGTATATTTGATCAGTTTCCTGGTGTGTAACGAGTTTCCTGTGGCTGCATTGCCTCTCTGTGCCCCACCCCCACTGAGGAGACTCTGCTCACCCCACTGTGGCTGAGGTATCTGATGCTGACACTGTGTGGATGTCTCCCTGCTTGGATCCCAACACACCCATGCGGATTCACCATGGCAGACACTCTCCCTTATGGGGATGCTTACCTTGCTTGGCCCTACCTAATGGCTTTTGGATGACATTTTCAGGAAGGGAAGAGCAACTATATATATATATAAAAAATTGTATTTTTTTTGCCACATCAATTGACTCTTTTTTTTATGAGAGATTTCTCTGTAGCATGAGATGCTGTTTGACAGCATTTTACCCACGATAGAACTTCTTTCAAAATTGGAATCAGTTTTCTCAAACTCTGCTGCTGCTTTATCAACTAAGTGTATGTAATATTCTAAACCCTTTGTTGCCATTGCAAATAATGTTCACAACATCTTCACTGGAAGTAGATTCCATCTCAAGAAACCACTTTCTTTGCTCAACCATAAGAAGCAACTCCTCATTCATTCAAGTTTTATCATGAGATTGCAGCAATTCAGTCGCATCTTCAGGCTTCACTTCTTTTTTCTTTTTTATACTTTAAGTTCTAGGTACATATGCATAACATGCAGGTTTGATACATAGGTATACATGTACCATGTTGGTTTGCTGCACCCATCAACTCATCATTTACATTAGGTATTTCTTCTAATGCTATCCCTTCCCCAACCCCCCACCCCCTGAGAGGCCCCGGTGTGTGATGTTCCCCACCCTGTGTCCAAGTGATCTCGTTGTTCAATTCCCACCTATGAGTGAGAAAATGCAGTGTTTGGTTTTCTGTCCTTGTGATAGTTTGCTGAGAATGATGGTTTCCAGCTTCATCCATGTCCCTGCAAAGGACATGAACTCATCCTTTTTTTATGGCTGCATAGTATTCTGTGGTGTATATGTGCCACATTTTCTTAATCCAGTCTATCATTGATGGACATTTGGGTTGGTTCCAAGTCTTTGCTGTTGAATAGTGTTGCAATAAACATACGTGTGCATGTGTCTTTATAGCAGCATGATTTATAATCCTTTGGGTATATACTCAGTAATGGGATCGCTGGGTCAAATGGTAACTCTAGTTCTAGATCCTTGAGGAATTGCCACACTGTCTTCCACAATGGTTGAACTAATTTACACTCCCACCAACAGTATAAAAGCATTCCTATTTCTCCACATCCTCTCCAGCATCTGTTGTTTCCTGACTTTTTAATGATTGCCATTCTAACTGGCATGAGATGGTATCTCATTGTGGTTTTGATTTGCATTTCTCTAATGACCAGTGATGACGAGCATTTTTTCATGTGTCTGTTGGTTGCATAGATGTCTTCTTTTGAGAAGTGTCTGTTCATGTCCTTTGCCCACTTTTTGATGGGATTGTTTGTTTTTTTCTTGTAAATTTGTTTGAGTTCTTTGTAGATTCTGGATATTAGCCCTTTGTCAGATGGGTAGATTGCAAAAATTTTCTCCCATTCTGTAGGTTGGCTGTTCACTCTGATGGTAGTTTCTTTTGCTGTGCAGAAGCTCTTTAGTTTAATCAGATCCCATTTGTCTATTTTGGCTTTTGTTGCCATTGCTTTTGGTGTTTTAGTCATGAAGTCCTTGCCCATGCCTATGTCCTGAATGGTATTGCCTAGGTTTTCTTCTAGGGTGTTTATGATTTTAAGTCTAACATTTAAGTCTTTACTCCATCTTGAGTTAATTTTTGTGTAAGGTGTAAGGAAGGGATCCAGTTTCAGCTTTCTACATATGGCTAACCTGTTTTCCCAGCACCATTTATTAAATAGGGAATCCTTTCCCCATTTCTTGTTTTTGTCAAAGATCAAATAGTTGTAGATGTGTGGTGTTATTTCTAAGGGCTCTGTTCTGTTCCATTGGTCTATATGTCTGTTTTGGTACCAGTACCGTGCTGTTTTGGTTACTGTAGGCTTGTAGTGCAGTTTAAAGTCAGGTAGCATGATGCCTCCAGCTTTGTTCTTTTTGCTTAGGATTGTCTTGTCAATGCAGGCTCTTTTTTGGTTCCATAAGAACTTTAAAGCAGTTTTTTCCAATTCCCTGAAGAAAGTCATTTGTAGCTTCATGGGGATGGCATTGAATCTATGAATTACTTTGGGTAGTATGGCCATTTTCATGATATTGATTCTTCCTATCCATTAGCATGGAATATTCTTTCATTTGTTTGTGTCCTCTTTTATTTCATTGAGCTGTGGTTTGTAGTTCTCCTTGAAGAGGTCCTTCACATCCCTTGTAAGTTGGATTCCTAGGAATTTTATTCTCTTTGCAGCAATTGTGAATGGGAGTTCACTCATGATTTGGCTCTCTGTTTGTCTGTTAATGGTGTAGAGGAATGCCTGTGGTTTTTGCACATTGATTTTGTATCCTGAGACTTTGGTGAAGTTGTTTATCAGCTTAAGGAGATTTTGGGCTGAGATGATGGAGTTTTCTAAATATACAATCATGTCATCTGCAAACAGGGACAATTTGACTTCCTCTTCTCCTAATTGAATACCCTTTATTTCTTTCTCTTGCCTAATTGCCCTGGCCAGAACTTCCAACACTATGTTGAATAGGGGTGGTGAGAGAGGGCATCCTTGTCTTGTGCCTGTTTTCAAAGGGAATGCTTCCAGTTTTTGCCCATTCAGTATGATATTGGCTGTGAGTTTGTCATAAATAGCTCTTATTATTTTGAGATATGTTCCATCAACATCTAGTTTATTGAGAGTTTTTAGCATGAAGCACTGTTGAATTTTGTCAAAGGCCTTTCTGCATCTATTGAGATAATCAAGTGGTTTTTGTCATTGGTTCTGTTTATGTGACGGATTATGTTCATTAATTTGCATACGTTGAACCAGCCTTGCTACATTTATTGATTTGCATATGTTGAACCAGCCTTGCATCCCAGGGACGAAGCTGACTTGATCATGGTGGATAAGCTTTTTGATGTGCTGCTGGATTCGGTTTGCCAGTATTTTCTTGAGGATTTTCGCATTGATGTTCATCAGGGATATTGGTCTAAAATTCTCTTTTTTTGTTGTGTCTCTGCCAGGCTTTGGTATCAGGATGATGTTGGCCTCATAAAATGAGTTAGGGAGGATTCCCTCTTTCTCTATTGATTGGAATAATTTCAGAAGGAATGGTACCAGCTCCTCTTTGTACCACTGTTAGAATTCGGCTGTGAATCCATCTGGTCCTGGACTATTTTGGGGTGGTGGGCTATTAATTATTGCCTCAGTTTCAGAGCCTGTTATTGGTCTGTTCAGAGATTCAACTTCTTCCTGGTTTAGTCTTGGGAGGGTGTATGTGTGCAGGAATTTATCCATTTCTTCTAGATTTCCTAGTTTATTTGCACAGAGGTGTTTATAGTATTCTCTGATGGTAGTTTGTATTTCTGTGGGATTGGTGGTGATATCCCCTTTATCATTTTTTACTGCATCTATTTGATTCTTCTCTCTTTTCTTGTTAGTCTTGCTAGTGGTCTATCAATTTTGTTGATCTTTTCAAGAAACCAGCTCCTGGATTTATTGATTTTCTTAAGGGTTTTTTGTCTCTCTATCTCTTTCAGTTCTGCTCTGATCTTAGTTATTTCTTGCCTTCTGCTAGCTTTTGAATTTGTTTGCTCTTGCTTCTCTAGTTCTTTTAGTTGTGTTGCTAGGGTGTTGATTTTTGAACTTTCCTGCTTTCTCTTGTGGGCATTTAGTGCTATAAATTTCCCTCTACACACTGCTTTAAATGTGTCCCAGAGATTCTGGTACGTTGTGTCATTGTTCTCATTGGTTTCAAAGAACATCTTTATTTCTGCTTTCATTTCGTTATTTATGCATTAGTCATTCTGCAACAAGTTGTTCAGTTTCCAAGTAGTTGTGCAGTTTTGAGTGAGTTTCTGAATCCTGAGTTCTAATTTGATTGCACTGTGGTCTGAGAAACAGTTTGTTGTGATTTCTGTTCTTTTACGTTTGCTGATGAGTGTTTTACTTCCAATTATGTGGTCAATTTTAGAATAAGTGTGATGTGGTGCTGAGAAAAATGTATATTCTGTTGATTTGGGGTGGAGAGCTCTGTAGATGTCTATTAGGTCTGCCTGGTGCAGAGCTGAGTTCAGGTCCTGGATATCCTTGTTAACCTTCTGTGTCACTGATCTGTCTAATATTGACAGTTGGGTGTTAAAGTCTCCTGTTATTATTGTGTGGGAGTCTAAGTCTCTTTGTAGGTCTCTAAGGACTTGCTTTATGAATCTGGGTGCTCCTGTATTGGCTGCATATATATTTAGGATAGTTAACTCTTCCAGTTGAATTGATCCCTTTACCATTATGTAATGACCTTCTTTGTCTCTTTTGATCTCTGTTGGTTTAAAATCTGTTTTATCAGAGACTAGGATTGCAACCCCTGCTTTTTTTTTTTTTTCTTTTGCTTTACATTTGCTTGGTGGATCTTCCCCCATCCCTTTATTTTGAGCCTATGTATGTCTCTGCATGTGAGCTGGGTCTCTTGAATACAGCACACTGATGGGTCTTGACTCTTTGTCCAATTTGCCAGTCTGTGTCCTTTAACTGGGGCATTTAGCCCATTTACTTTTAAGGTCAATATTGTTATGTGTGAATTTGATCCTGTCTTTATGATGTTAGCTGGTTATTTTGCCTGTTAGTTGATTCAGTTTCTTCCTAGCATTGATGGTCTTTACAATTTGGCATGTTGTTGCAGTGGCTGGTACCAGTTGTTCCTTTCCATGCTTAGTGCTTCCTTCAGGAGCTCTCGTAAGGCAGGTCTGGTGGTGACAAAATCTCTCAGCATTTGCTTGTCTGTAAAGGATTTTATTTCTCCTTCACTTATGAAGCTTAGTTTGGCTGGATATGAAATTCTGGTTGAAAATTCTTTTCTTTAATAATGTTGAATATTGGCCCCCACTCTCTTCTGGCTTGTAAGGTTTTTGCTGAGAGATCTGCTGTTAGTCTGATGGGCTTCCCTTTCTGGGTAACTCGACCTTCCTCTCTGGCTGCCCTTAACACTTTTTCCTTCATTTCAACCTTGGTGAATCTGACAATTATGTGTCTTGGGGTTGCTCTTCTTGAGGAGTATCTTTTTGGTGTTCTGTGTATTTCCTGAATTTGAATGTTGGTCTGCCTTGCTAAGTTGGGGATGTTCTCCTGGATAATATCCTGAAGAGTGTTTTCCAACTTGGTTCCATTCTCCTCATCACTTTCAGGTACACCAATCAAATGTAGATTTGGTCTTTTCACATAGACCCATATTTCTTGGAGGCTTTGTTTGTTTCTTTTTACCTTTTTACTCTAAACTTCTCTTCTTGCTTTATTTAATTAATTTGATCTTCAATCACTGATATCCTTTCTTCCACTTGATTGAATCAGCTATTGAAACTTGTGCATGCATCACAAAGTTCTTGTGCCATGGTTTTCAGCTCCATCAGGCTATTATGGTCTTCTCTACACTGTTTATTCTAGTTAGCCATTCGTCTAATCTTTTTTCAAGGTTTTTAGCTTCCTTGCAATGGGTTCGAACATCCTCCTTTATCTCGGAGAAGTTTGTTATTACAGACCTTCTGAAGCCTACTTCTGTCAACTTGTCAAAGTCATTCTCCATCCAGCTTTGCCTCTGTTGCTGGCAAGGAACTGCAATTCTTTAGAGGAGAAGAGGCACTCTGATTTTTAGAATTTTCAGCTTTTCTGCTCTGGTTTCTCCCCATCTTTGTTGTTTTATCTACCTTTGGTCTTTGATGTTGGTGACCTAGAGATGGGGTTTTGGTGTAGATGACCTTTTTGTTGATGTTGATGCTATTCCTTTCTGTTTGTTAGTTTTCCTTCTAGCAGTCAGGTCCCTCAGCTGCAGGTCTGTTGGAGTTTGCTGGAGTTCCACTGCAGACCCTGTTTGCCTGGGTATCACCAGCGGAGGCTCCAGAACAGTGAATATTGCAGAACAGCAAATATTGCTGCCTGATCCTTCCTCTGGAAGCTTTGTCCTAGAGAGGCAGCTGCCTATATGAGGTGCGTGTTGGTCCCTACTGCGAGGTGTCTCCCAGTTAGGCTACACGGGGGTCAGGGACCCACTTGAGGAGGCAGTCTGTCCATTCTCAGAGTTCAAGCGCCGTGCTGGGAGAACTACTGCTCTCTTCAGAGCTGTCAGACAGGGACATTTAAGTCTGCAGAAGTTGTCTGCTGCCTTTTGTTCAGCTATGCCCTGTCCATGCAGGTGGGGTCTAGAAGCAGTAGGCCTTGTCGAGCTGCAGTGGTCTCCACCAAGTTTGAGCTTCCTGACCGCTTTGTTCACCTACTCAAGCCTCAGCAATGGTGCATGCACCTCCCCCAGCCAGGCTGCCACCTCGCAGATGGATCTCAGACTGCACGCTAGCAGTGAGCAAGACTCCGTGGGCATGGGATCTGCCAAGCCAGGCACGGGAGAGAATCACCTCATCTGCCAGTTGCTAAGACCTTGGGAAAAGCACAGTATTTGGGTGAGAGTGTCCCGTTTTTCCAGGTAGTTTGTCATGGCTTCCCTTGGCTAGGAAAGGGAAATCCCCCGACCCCTCGCGCTTCCTGGGTGAGCCGCCCTGCTTCAGCTCGCCCTCCGAGTGCTATACCCACTGTCCAACCAGTCCCAATGAGATGTACCAGGTACCTCACTTGGAAATGCAGAAATCACCCATCTTCTGTGTCGATCATGCTGGGAGCTACAGACTGTAGCTCTTCCTATTCGGCCATTTTTTTTTTTTTTTTTTGATGGAGTCTTGCTCTGTCACCCAGACTGGAGTGCAGTGGTGCAATCTCAGCTCACTGCAACCTCTGCCACTTGGGTTCAAGCAATTCTCTCACCTCAGCCTCCCAAGTAGCTGGGACTACAGGTGTGCAACACTACACCCAGCTAATTTATGTATTTCAGTAGCGACGGGGTTTCACCATGTTGGCCAGGCTGATCTTGAACTCCTGACCTCAAGTGATCTGCCTGCCTTGACCTCCCAAAGTGCTGGGATTACAGGCACGAGCCACCACGCCTGGCCCCATGTTATATTTTTAAAGATCCATCTCTGTTGCTTCAGATGGCTGTATAACTCTCCATGGTGTGCAACCACTTCATTTTACTTCTCTGCTCTCCCAAGATTAGATATCTAGGTGGTTCCAATAACTCCCCTGCCTCCTCAAATAATGCCATAACAGGCTGGGCATGGTGGCCCATGCCTGTAATCCCAGTACTTTGGGAGGCCGAAGCAGGTGAATCACCTGAGTTCAGGAGTTTGAGACCAGCCTGGGCAACATGGTGAAACCCCATCTCTACAAAAAATACAAAAATTAGCCAGGTGTGGTGGTATGTGCCTGTAGTCCTGGCTACTCAGGAGGCAGAGGCAGGAGAATCACTTGAGCCCAGGAGGTGGAGCTTGCAGTGAGCCAAGATGGTGCCATTGCACTCCAGCCTGGGCGACAGAGCAAAACCCTGTTCAAAAAAAAAAAGCCACAACAAACTTCCTTGTACAGGTTTCCCTAAGCATCTGTGGGAAAATATCTTTGGGATCTATACCAGGAGTAGAGTTTCTGGGTCACTAGAAACATCTAACTTGCCTAAATATTGTCAGCTTGCTGTCCAGAATGGCTGCTCCAGTCTACACTCACCAATGTGCACGTAGTTTTGTGTATCCACACATCCCCTCCACTGTCAACTTGGTATTTTCCCACTCTTGAGTTTTTGCCAGTCAGCTAGGCATCAAGGGATATTTTGTTGCTCTAATTTCCACATCTCTGGAAATTACCAATGATCTTGAGCATCCACCCAAATGCTTATTGGCCCTTGGCTTTTCCAGGTCTATGCATTTAGCTGCATGTAGTCCTCTATTTTCTTAAAACCTATAAGGGCTCTGACTGTTCGTATTGTTTTCCAACCCTCCCAACCTCCAGCCCTTTAAACGTCTTGGAAAGCTTTTTATCAGCTGCATGGAAGTGCATAGCTTGAGTGACCCATAAAGTATTAAGCCATTTCCCTATTAATAGGCATCTGGAGTCTTCAGAGGTTTTTCACTACCACAAACGAATTCTCCCATAACCCTCCTTAAACATACATCTTTGCACTTGTGCCAGAATTTCTTCAGATAAATTTTTAGAAGTGGTGTTTTTAGTTTAGCATGCGTGTTTGAGGACGCCATATTTAGCCATATGTAAGAGTGTCATCAAGTCTGTGGTGGAGACCAGGGACTCAGTCAGAGACCACAGTTTGGGAGGAAAATAGGTATCACTGAGAAGTGTTCCTGATTTGAGAAATAGGAAGAGACATTGAAGCTGGAGTTAGGTAATAAGGACAGTTGCCAGGAGACAATGCTGAGCACAGGTGGGTAGTCAGCCATGTTGGCTGGGACGTGCCAGGCAGTGGAAAGGGAGGACACAGGTTTCCTGAAACTGCTCTGTAGACACCATCAGGCCCAGAAGCAGCTGCTCTGGAAGGAGCAACAAGGGAATTGTGGGTCCACTGACAGGAGTAAGCAGTATTTTTTCACAGGAACATTGACCACCACCTTCCCCTGATGGCCCCAGAGAGCAAGGGTGGACAAGTGGACACCTGCCTGGTCGCAGTCTTCTTTACAGTCTGAGATCTTACTTCCTATGGAAGCGCGAGGATGTAAGTTTCTGCCATATACAGTTGGGCACGTTGTGCATTGCATAAGGTTACCTGGCTCAGAAGGTAAATGGGGACTGAAAAAATTACCCTGAGCTAATTCTTACAGATTTTTTTCCCTGTCTCTGGGCCATGAGGGAGAAGACAGTGCTAGGGCTCCCTGGCCTCAGGTCAGCTGCACAGAACTATCCAGGGGACGGTTCCCAGGATCGCTCTCTCACCAGCTATCTCCTACCGAAGAGGACATGTCTCTCTTTCCAGCACTCCCTCAGGGAGGCAGCCCACACTCCCTGGGGAGACTCCATCCTGTTCCCCTTTGGCCGAGCCTATGTGGGGCTGTGCAGTGAGAAGAAAAGTAACATTTTCTTTGGGTGCAGGCTGGGGCAACTGGGCTGAGCTTCAAACTTGTTTTCTTTGAGGAAGAATTGAGGACTAATTATATGCACCAACTGCTGGCTGTTAAAGAAGGAGACAGAAGGCCATATGAGGTGGCTCATGCCTATAATCCCAGTGCTTTGACCGACCAAGGCAGGAGGATGGCTTGAGGCCAGGAGTTTGAGAACAGCCTGGGCAACACAGTGAAACCCCATCTGCACAAAAAACTTAAAAAAATTAGCAGGTGTGGTGATGTGCATCTGTAGTCCCAGCTACTTGAGAGGCTTAGGTGGGAGGATCACTTGAGCCTAGGAGTTTGAGGCTCCAGTGAGCTATGATTGTGCCACTGCACTCCACCCTAGGTGGCAGAGAGAGAGACCTTGTCTCTAAGAAATAAAAAAGAAGCCAGAAAGAGATGGGGGGGTCTTATTTCTTTTTTAGGAATCCCCAACCTCAGTCACAGAAACAAGCACCTACAGAGACAGAGACACAGAAGTTCATGGAGACCCAGGCCCTGGGCAGGCACTCTCAGGTGGCCCAAACCCCCAAGGTGGGTGAGGACCACTGTGGGCTTGGGGAGGGAACAGCCCTTCCTTTCACACAGCAAGAGAAGTTTGGGCTACCCAGGTGCCGAGACCAGCTCGTCTGGGGAGACCCTAACCCAGTGGCTCTAGAGGAATTAAAGACACACACACACACAGAAATATAGAGGTGTGAAGTGGGAAATCAGGGGTCTCACAGCCTTCAGAGCTGAGAGCCCCAAACAGAGATTTACCCACATATTTATTAACAGCAAGCCAGTCATTAGCATTGTTTCTATAGGATATTAAATTAACTAAAAGTATCCCTTATGGGAAACAAAGGGATGGGCCGAATTAAAGGATAGGTTGGGCTAGTTAACTGCAGCAGTTATTGCTCATGCTATTGTTTGTGGCTTAAGAATGCCTTTAAGCGGTTTTCTGCCTTGGGTGGGTCAGGTGTTCCTTGCCCTCATTCCAGTAAACCCACAACCTTCCAGTGTGGGCATTATGGCCATGATGAACATGTCACAGTGCTGCAGAGATTTTGTTTATGGCCAGTTTTGGGGCCAGTTTATGGCCAGATTTGGGGGGTCTTGTTCCCAACACCAGGGGGCTCCAAGGGGCTGGAGTTTGAGGAGATCTGGACAGGGTCTGAGGTCAGCCAGGGGCTGTGTAGCGCCCAGTGTAGAGCTGTGGCAACCTCATTCCCACTCAGCTTGGCTTCACAACAGCTCACGGAGCAGTTACTTTGATGAGGGACGGGGCTGGGCACTGTAATCCCAAAATGCCTGACAGGTATTTTGAGATTGGAGACACCCCCCTGCCCCACCCTCCTTTTCCTGAGGACCAGGCAGCTCAGGCATCTGGGAACTTTTTCATGCCATGTGACCCAGAAATTCCACTCCTGGATATAGATCCCAAACATAATCTCCCACAAGTGCTAAGGAAACCTGTACAAGGAGAGATACACAGTTGGGCAATTATGACGCAATAAGAAAAGTGCTGATGAAGGTGAATATTAAGCACTTACCGGTGTGCCTATGAGCTCCCTAACGACCCAGTGAGGTGGGCCGTATTACCCCATGTAATAGATGGGGAAGCTGAGGCTCAGACAGGTCAGGTAACTTTCCCAACGCCACACAGTAAACGGTGGAGTGGAAACATCCTTTCAGCCTCATGGCAGAGCCTGTGCCCCCATCACTGCACCACACGGCCCTTGGTACCACACTGATGGAGGAAGGCGGCGGTAACGACAGTGTCCTGGGTGTCAGGGACCGGGACGTGCCCCTGGCGTACGCACTAATACCACGCCCCAGTCTTCAGGCTAATTTCACACTGACAGGGCTCTCCTACCCTGGCCGCCGCCAGTCGGTGCCCGCCCGCCTCCAGTAGTGCTGCAGCTGTCCTGCCGGCCACCTCCAGGGAAGCGGCCTTGTGCTGCCCTCTGCTGGTCGCAAACTTACAGCACCGAGGGGTTTCGCTCTTCGCCGACTTCCTTGCGCAGGCACCCCGGGTGGTGGGCTATGGCTCCCTAGGGTCCAGAAATGGGTGGATGGGGGTGGGAAAAGGAGGGAGAGTGGGGGATGTCTCCAACGAGGCCAGGCCCGGGAAGCTGGCCGCGTGTCTAATTTCTCTGGTTACACCTGTTCGTGCCCAGTGCAGCAGTCCACGCTCCCTAATCCTGGTCCATAAGGGAAGGGGCAGGACGGACAGCCCCATTAGGATGGGAAACCCAAGAGGAGTCCTTTATGCTCCCGGAATACTCCCTGAGTACTGGGGGTACAATGATAATGAAAACATCCACCTTGCTGTAGTGAACAACGGCAGCTCCCACCCCAGGGTACCCCTGTGGCCAGACGTCAGTCACTGTCCTCTTCCTCTTAGTGACTAGAGGCCATTTTGAGTGTCTGTAGGGGAGATAGACATAGGAAGATTATACGGGTGATGCATTCGAAAATAACTGTGGCTGTAAAGGGCGAGCCTGGCACCAGGAGGATCAGGAGCCAGGGAGAGCTTGCACTTGAGCAAGGCTTGGTATAATCCACAGGAGTTGGGCTTTCTCTAGGAGGAGGCCCTGGGAACAGAAGAGTCGGAGAACAGCTCAACTCTGTGTATCTGCATCTGCTCTGTTCCAGGATGCACGCCCCCTTTTCCTCAGCTTCCAATCCTACATCTTGGCAGGCTGCCAGAGATTAGGCCCTTGGAGATATGGGGTGATATTTCTTCTTTGTTGTTTGCCATTGTAAGAGGACAATCATTAGCTTTACCTGAACAGATAAAACATGACAACAGGAATATCAAATATGTTGGGGAAGGAGGTCCCTAATGCTCAGGAGGATGACAGTTCCTTCCCAATCCACTCTCTGTCCCATGTGAAGGGCATCCCCAGCCAACTCTTCTCCAGAAGCACAGTCCCAGAGTGGGAGGTGAGAGGGAGCTGCTCTCATCCTGCTATGATCTGAATGTTTATGTCCCCCCACAGTAATGTGTTGAATCCTAATCACCAATGTGATGGTATTAGGAGTTGGGAACTTTGGGAGGTGATTAGGTCATAAGCATACAGCTGTCATGAATGGGATTAGTGTTCTTATCAAAAGGACTCCAAGGGCCAGGAATGGTGGCTCACACCTGTAATCCCAGCACTTTGGGAGGCCGAGGCTGGTGCATTGGCGGAGCTCTGGAGTTAGAGACCAGCCTGGGCAACATGGCAAAACCTTGTCTCTACAAAAAATACAAAGATATCTGGGTATGGTGGTGCATGCCTGTAGTCCCAGCTGCTTGGGAGGTTGAAGTGGGAGGATCGCTTGAGCCTGGGAGGTTGAGGTGGCTGCAGTGAGCCATGTTCATACCACTGCACTCCAACCTGTATGCCAAAGTGAAACCCTGTCTCAAAAATAAATTAATTAATTAATTAATTAAATTTTAAAAAATCAAGAGCTATAAAACAATGGAACAGCTTCATTCCCTACTCCAGTCCCCAGTCACCCAGGTACCCTCCTCAAAGGCACTCAATAGTGTTAGTTTCTTGTGTAACCTTCCAGGGGCGTCCTGTGTATGCACAAACAAATGCACACACAGCCACATAGGCCACCCTCTTTACGCACACAGCAGTTCACTTAAATTGCTTAAGAGAGGGTTCCATGTACGTGGAGATCTTCCTGGAGCTTACTGGAGAAATACCAGCATCATTCCCGCTGAAGCCAAGAGCAAAATCCTGTGATTTCTGAAATGTAGCTGGAACTACTCCCTGGAGCAACCCTGTCATTTAAAAGCTGCAAAGAAGTGGAGGTGGCAGTTTAACTTTGGGCAGGCTATTATTTTAATTGTGGCTTGCCCTGCCCTAACCTTTTTGCTTTAGGATACCCATTGGGTGCTCCCTCAGCCTGTGAAAATGGCCCAGAAGGTTTGGGCAGGTACCCATGGGGTACTGCCTTAAGTCCATTCAGACTGTTGTAACAAAAATACCATGAACTATGGGGCCAAGCGTGGTGGCTCACGCCTGTAATCCCAGCACTTTGGGAGGCCGAGGTGGGCAGATCACTTGAGGTCAGGAGTTTGAGACCAGCCTGGCCAACAGAGATGGCAAACCCCATCTCTACTAAAAATACAAAAAAAAAAAAAAAAAAATTAGCTGGGCGTGGTGGCACGTGTCTGTAATCCCAGCTACTAGGGAGGCTGAGGCAGGGGGATTGTTTGAACCTGGGAGGCAGAGGTTGTAGTGAGCCGAGATCATGTCATTGCACTCCAGCCTGGGAGACAGACAGAGACTCCATTTCAAAAAACAAAACAAAACAAACAAAAACACAAACCCATGAACTGGGTAATTTATAAACAGTAGAAATTCATTGCTCACAGTTTTGGAGGTTGGGAAGTCTGAGATCAAGGTGCTGGCAGATTCTGTCTGGTGAGGGTTTGCTCTGCTTCAAATATGGCCCCTTTTGCTGAGTCATCACATGGTGGAGGGGCCAGGGAGCTCCCTTCAACTTCTTTTCTAAGGGCTCTAGTCCCATCCATGAGGGTGCAGCACTTATGACTCAACCATGTCCCCAAAGGCCCTGCCTCTTCATACCACCCCAGTGTCCACGTAGGTTAACACAAATGAATTCTGGAGGGACACATTCAGATTATAGAAGGTATGATCAGGGCAGAACATAGACCCTGCTGGGGTATGTGAGGGTGACTCTTTTGAAAATTATAATTTTATATCCAGGCAGATTGTCACTCAGATATGAGGGCATACTAAACATTTTTCTCAATATATACTGTAGGATGACCTACGCTGAAAACGCTTTTGGAGAAAGAACTAAAAAAAGATGAGACAGAAAACCTAGCTATATGTCTTTTTAAACAGACACATTTAAGATGTAAAGATACGGACAAACTGAATGTGAAGAAAGGGAAAAAGATACATTGGACAAACAAACAAAAAAGCAAGCATGGCCATATTAATATCATTCTCATGACAAAATATTCACTAAGCAGATAAAACAGGTTTTTTTTGTTTTTGTTTTTCTTGAGATAGGGTCTCTCTCTGTCCCTCAGGCTGGAGTGCAATGGCACAAAGATGGCTCACTGCAGCCTTGAACTCTTGGGCTCAAGTGATCCTCCCACCACAGCCTCCTGAGTAGCTGGGACTGTGTGCACCACCACACCCACCAATGTTTTTTTTATTATTTTTTGTAGAGATGGGTTCTCCTCTGTTGCCCAGGCTGGTGTCAAACTCCTGGGCTGAAGTGATTCTCCCACCTCAGCCTCCCAAAGTGCTAGGATTGCAGGCATGAGCCACCACACCCGGCAACAGTTCTAAACATGTATGCAATTAACATGGTTTTTTTTTTTCTTTTGAGACAGAGTCTCACTCTGTCGCCCAGGCTGGAGTGCAGTGGTGCAGTGGCGCAATCTCGGCTTACTGCAAGCTCCGCCTCCTGGGTTCAAGCCATTCTCCTGCCTCAGCCTCCTGAGTAGCTGGGACTACAGGCACCCGCCACCACGCCCGGCTAATTTTTTGTATTTTTAGT
Source organism: Homo sapiens (assembly GCF_000001405.40). Classification (NCBI taxonomy): domain Eukaryota; kingdom Metazoa; phylum Chordata; class Mammalia; order Primates; family Hominidae; genus Homo; species Homo sapiens. The sequence continues at coordinate 70,868,101 of NC_000002.12, read as the reverse complement.
AGAGACAGGGTTTCACCATGTTAGCCAGGATGGTCTCAATCTCCTGACCTCGTGATCCGCCTGCCTCGGCCTCCCAAAGTGCTGGGAGCAATTAACATGGTTTCTAATGATAACATAAAAACGAACGAATTATAGGGAGAAATGTACACATTTACTATCCTAGTGAGGGATTTCAAAACACTTCTAGATTATTGATAGGCCAAACAGATAAAAAAAAAATCCCTGTGGCAGATCTAAAATCACAATCAGATCCCAAACTTTTTGTAAGTCTGGAAGAATAGTTTCTAGCCTTCCATCTGCTGTGATTTAGGGAAGAACATAACAGTAATGGAAATGGATGCGGCAAACCAATAAATAACAGTTGGTATATCAGTATTCAGTAATCATATTGCTATGAATATGTAAACATTATTCACAGCTGAATCACAATTATATTTTCCTTTCCTATACTACTTTAAAAAATTAATAATTATTTTTTCTTTTCATTTGGTTAGTTTTCTATATGCTTTGAAATAATTCAACCTCAGACTCTGCCAACTCTCTACAACTCCTCTCAATTTCTTCAGAAAAATCTATCAATTTTCATTGCCTTGAATATCTTTCTCCTGGGCCGGTTAGATTTCCCAGAGAAGGCTCTTCCAGTCTCCTGCTTGCAGAGGAAGACCAGGTGTCTTAGGGGCTGGGGATGGGATTGAGGGTCTCAACATTTGGTAAACAAACTCAACTTTCCTTGCTTCCCTTAGCCACATGTGAAAAAAGTTGGAATTTTCATAAAAGATTTTTACCAAAGACTGAAGGAGAACAATATTTAATAGCAATAAAAGACAAAAAAAAAAAAGAGCGAAGAAGAATAAATATTCTATATTCTATAAATGTAGCCAAGCTATAAGGGTCAGGCTTTCTTTTTAAATTTTTATTCTGAGACAGGGTCTCACTCTATTGCCAGGCTAGAATGTAGTGGCACTATCATAGCTCACTGCAGTCTTGAACTCCTGGGCTAAAACAATCCTCCTGCCTCAGCCTTCTGAGTAGCTTGGACTATTGGATCATGCTATCATGCCTGGCAAATTAAAATTTTGTTGTTGTTGTTGTAGAGACAGGGTCTTGTAATGTTGCCCAGACTGGTTTTGAACTCTAGGCCTCAAGCGATCCTCCTGCCTCTGCCTCCCAAAGTGTTAGTATGACAGGTGTGAGCCACTTCACCTAGCCAGGGTCAGGCTTCTGAGCCTACCAGAGCTGACTCCTCTTTAAGATCCAGGGGCTCTTTACTGTTTCAAAACCTCCTTCTGGGATCACCATACTCCAGAACAGAATTGACTGGATAAAGTGGATTCATAATCCATAATTTCTGACTGGTTGGCTGCAGCTGCCTGGTTCACTGTGTGAGGGTGACTCTTTTATTTTAGTCTTTTATTATGCATTTTAGAAGCAAGTACAAAAGTAGAGGGAATAATATAACTCCCCCACCATATACCTATTACCCAGATTCCACAATTGACCTTATTTTATCTATATCCCTATTCTTCTCCCTGAAGTTATTTTATTATCTGTAAATACTTCCGTATGTATTTCTAAGAAGTAAGAACTCTTTTTTAAAAAGTGTAATAATTAGTCGGGCATGGTGGCTCATGCCTATAATCCCAGCACTTTGAGAGGCAGATGTGGGAGGATTACTTGAGCCCAGGAGTTCAAGACCAGCCTGGGCAACACAGCGAAACCCCATTTCGACAAAAAAAATAAAGAAATTAACTGGGTGTGATAGTGCACACCTGTAGTCCCAGCTACTTGGGAAGCTGAGGTGGGAGGATCACTTAGCCTGGGAGGTCAAGGCTGCAGTGAGTGAGCCATGATCGAGCCACTGCACTCCAGCCTGGGTGACAGAGTGAGACCCTGTCTCAAAAACAAACAAACAAGCAAACAAAAAACACAGTAATTATACCTACAGATTAGTACTAATAGCCAGTCATTGTTCACATTTGCTCTTTTGTCTCACATGTGTTTTCTTTAACAGGTACCTTGTTTCAATCAGCATCCAAACAAATGCCATACATTGTGTTTGTTTGATACATCTTTAAGGCTTTTAAAATCTGTGACCATTCATCTTACTCTTTATGTATGAGTGTGTGTGTGTGTGTGTGTGTGTGTGTGTGTGTAACTAGAGCCGTTGTCCTTAGCATTTCTCATTCTTTGGACTTACTCACCATGTTGCAGTATCCTCTGTACTTCCTTTAATCTGGCAATTAGATTTAGAGGCCTGATCAAATTGAGGTTTGGATCTGAACTCAGGTGGTTTTTTTTTTTTTTTTTTGAGACAGACGCCCAGGCTGGAGTGCAATGGCGCGATCTCGGCTCACTGCAACCTCCGCCTCCCAGGTTTCAAGCGATCCTCCTGCCTCAGCCTCCTGAGTAGCTGGGATTACAGGCACCGCCATCACGCCCTGGGCAGATCACCTGAGGTTAGGAGTTCAAGACCAGCCTGGCCAGCATGGTGAAACCCTGTCTCTACAAAAATACAAAGGGTTTGTTTGTTTGTTTTAATAGAACCTCATGAATAGTGCTGGGTACCAGGAGACTTGCTGCCGGGGTGTCCTTTTGTGCTGGAGGGCTTCTGTCCTGACTATAATGAGCACTTCTGGACAAGGCAGCAAAGGAAGAGGGCCCCTTTTTCTCAGGAGCCTTTCTGAGAATCCTGCACCTGCAGCAGCCCAGTGACTCCTGACCCCCTGGTCTCTTTTTGGTGGGTTCATAAGCAACACTGGTCTAGAAGTCTGAGGGCTTGAGTCAAAGTTCTGACCTCACTAGACAACCTCAGGAAAAGTCAGCTAACTTCTTGGGGTCAGGCTGGCTCCATTTTACATTAGCTAACTGAACCAATAAAGAGTTATTTCAATACATGGTTGAGTATAGCATTATAGCTAGGACTGGACTCTGCACCTGGGCTGCCTGTGTTGGAACACCAGACTTGCTGCTTAATAGCTTTGTGACTCTGAATAAGTTACCTAATGTATCTGTACCCCAGTTTCCACATCTAAAAAAAATGGGCCTCCTGTGAAGTCACCACCTTACAGGGCTGTTGTGAAAATGAAATGAGTTAGTGCAGGGAAGATGCTGAGGACTGTCCCTAACTCATGCTGGGTGCTCACAATGTGTTTGTTGCTGTGAAGTGACAGGTACTGAGCTAGGTGCAGAGACTATGTGGTGAGCATGCCCGGTGCCTGCTCTCAAGGAACACACACATAGTACAGTGTGACAGGGCTGTGCTGGGGGTGGCCTGGAGAGCTGGGAGAGCCCGAATGGGAATCTCACTTGATTTGGGGGCCAGGGCTATCTGACCAGAGGAATCGGCGTCTAACCTGAGATTTGAAGGAGTCAGTGAGGTGGGCCGGGCAGGGAGAGGGCATTTCCAGCAGAGGGAGCAGCATCTGCAGAGACCTGGGCGCTGTGGCACCTGCAGCCCACAGGAGCGCTTTTGGCCCAGGCAGGCTTGGGACATGAGGAAGGCGGCTGGAAAGTGGGTGGGCAGTTGTTAGACGTTAAGCCAGAAAGGAGGGCAGGGACCACTTACAGAGGGACTGGTGTGTTGCAGAGCGCTGGCTGGGGAGCTGGAGCTTTCTCCCAGTGACGCTGGGAGTGTGTGTGTGTGTGTGTGTGTGTGTGTGTGTGTGTGTGTGTGTTGCAGGTTGTGAGGTGAGCAGCAGGGTTAGATCTGTTTTGAAACAATTCCTCTGGCTGCTGTGTGAGGAGTGGATGGAAGGCAAGGCTGGGGCCTGGACACCTGACCAGGTGCCAGGGAGCAGGAATTGGTGGCTTGACCATGTGGATGGAGAGAAGTAGGTGGATGGAAAGATGTTAAACAGGTAGCATGTGGCTGGGCGCAGTGGCTCATGCCTGTAATCCCAGCACTTTGGGAGGCCAAGATGGGCAGATCACCTGAGGTCAGGAGTTTGAGACCAGCCTGGTCAACATGGTGAAACTGCATCTCTACTAAAAATACAAAAACTAGCCAGGTGTGGTGGTGGGTGCCTGTAATCCCAGTTACGCAGGAGGCTGATGCACAAGAATCGCTTGGACCCAGCAGGCGGAGGTTGCAGTGAGCTGAGATGCCGCCATTGCACTCCAGCCTGGGCAACAGAGGGAGACTCTGTCTCAAAAAAAAAAAAAGAAAGAAAGAATAGAAAAACAAAAACGCAGGTAGCAGCTGGGTGCGGTGGCTCATGGCTATAATCCCAGCACTTTGGGAGGCCAAGGTGGGTGGATCACCTGAGGTCAGGAATTCAAGACCAGCGTGACCAATATGGTGAAACCCCGTTTCTACTAAAAATACAAAAAATTAGCCAGGAGTGGTGGCAGGTGCCTGTAATCCCAGTTACTCAGGAAGCTGAGGCAAGAGAATTGCTTGAACCAAGGAGGTGGAGGTTGCAGTGAGCCGAGATCGTGCCATTGCACTTCAGCTTGGGCGACAAGAGCAAAAACTCTGTCTTGAAAAAACAAAAAGCAAACAAACAGACAAAAAACCCAAACAAACAAACAAACAAAAAACCCAGGTAGCATGCATTAAATTAGATTGTGGCGGGGAAGTGGAGGAATTACAGTGGGTTGAATGGCATCCCCTCCAAATTCATGTCCACCCAGAACCTCAGAATGAGACCTTATTTGGAAATAGGATCTTAGCTGATATGATTGAGGTAAAGATAAAGATGAGATCATACTGGCTTAGGATGGGCTCTAAATCCAAGGAGAGCTTTCTTAGAAGAGGATGCATAGAGACAGAAGAGATGGCCATGTGAAGATGGGGGCAGAGGCTGGAATCAGACACGGAGGAGCCAGGGAATGCCTGAAGCTGGAAGAGGTGAGGAAGGATTCTCCCCTGGAGATTTTGGAGGGAGCACAATGCAGCTGACAGTTTTTCAGACTTCTGGCCTTCCGAACGATGAGAGGGTCACTCTCTGTTGTTTTAAGCCGCCTGGTTTGTGATAATTTGTTACAGCAACCGTAGAAAACTAACACAGGAGTCAAGGGTGATACTTGACTGTCTGGCTCGGGAGACTGGAGCACAGAACCAGGGTCAGACTTGTTGGCTGGGGTGGGGATAGGGATGTGGTGGTCAGGTGCTGGGGCCGGGTTCAGGTATGGATTTATTGTTTTTGAAGAGTTCATGTGGCAAGCAAGCAAAGAGGGCCAGTGGTAGCTGGATTCATAAGTCTGGGGGACTGGTTTAGACTGAAAGAGAATTGGGGAGTGAGGTGGGGAGGAAGGAGATTGTCCAGGGAGAATCTGTGTGGAGAGCAGGGAAGAGGAATAAGAACGGACCTATCAGCAAGTCCAGCATCTAGGGGAGAGGTGAGAGAGAAGGAACTCCTGGAGGTTCCAAACAGGAGAAGACCAGGAGTGCGTGAGGCCACAAGTATCCAAGAAATGGGGCCTTGTGAGGGAGTGTGAGTGGGAAAGAATGTCACCAAGAGGTAAAAAAAAATCAACAGATAGGAAAATGCCAGTTGAATTTGTAAACAGGAGGGTCAGTTCACCGTGACTGTGGCAAGAACAGCTTTGGTGGAGTAGGGGAAGCATGGAGTGTCACTGCCACCTGACTCCTGTTTCTCGGCTCTCTTTGTAACAAGAACCCCCGGCATTCCTAGAGGTTCCGGACTCTCAGGACTGAACCTGTCAGGGCTTGGCATATTTAATAGTCACCAGCTGGTGGGATCGAGGCCATTGCTACCCTGGCTACATCCGGAAGACGAAGACTGATTACTCATGTGTGCTCATTGGGGACAAGGCAAGCAATTTTCTGCCTTCCATGAAGCCAGCACCTGGCGCTTGGTTCAAAGAATTCAGCAAATTTATACCTTTACTGAAATCTCAGGGGTCCTGGCCTAGGGAGTGAAATGTAGGAATGAGATGACTAATATTACTACTACATTCATTGAGGGGGTCGGGGATTCCTGGAAGGCCAGGATTCCATTATAACTATCATTCAGTCCAACAAATACCTAAGGAGGACCAGATTCACACGCATAGTGAAAACAGAACTCCAAGCGGCAGGAGCCCTTCTGTGCCCAGGCAGAGGCAATGGCGCCATCTACAGGTCACTGAGGGAGAGAGCGCCGGCGGAATTGTAATGCCAGGGAGCCGCTTCGGCAGGGATCTCAGGAATCCCGCACTCTTGTGGACTCTGGCGTTCTCGACATGAACTTTTCTTAATGACCAGATGTTTAAAGGGAAGGACAGATCCATATCTGAGCCTGGGTGTGAATTAGGCAGGGAGAAAGATCAAGCTTGTGGATGTCCATGTCCTATAAGAGCAGCGCTAAAGGGAACTTAATTTAAGGACTCTTTCCCAAAATATGACCAAAGGAGTGGTGGGGAGGGGTCTATGCTCGTGAGGGAAGAGGCAGTGGATCGCAGCTTAGGGGTATGTTTAGGGCCGGGGGCAAGCAAAATGCAGTGTGGGAAGTCAAGTCTGTGTGCCTCCGTTGTTGAAAACATTTTTTTTATTATTATTTATTTAAAAATATGTTTGAGGTAGGGTCTCACTAGGTTGCCCAGACTGGACTCGAACTCCTGGGTTCAAGCGATCCTCTCTCTTCAGCCTCCTGAGTAGCTGGGACTACAGGCATGCGCCACCATGCCCGGCTATGTTATTTAATAATACCCAACATTCGCTTATCCAGTGCCGGGCATTCTCACAAGCATTCTAAAACAGGTATTAACTTGTTGACCCTCAAAACAATCCCATAAGTTAGATGATATCTCATCCCCTATTTTATATATAAGGGAACGAGGCAAAGGGTCTGGACACTTGCCCAACGCCACGCAGTACTGGGAAACGAAGACTCCAACTCAGTCAGTCTGGTTTCAGAGCCCAGGTCTTCACCCCTGCACTTTCCTGCTTCTCTAGCATCTGCTACTAACATCTGCTCCACATCTTCTAAAATATATTCTATGTTATCTGCCTTTTAAAATGGAGCGTCAGGAACATAAACATTTATAGATGGGTTTGATTAACATGCTGATCGCCTGTGACTGCACTAATACCGGACTGAGTTCAGGAGCCACTGATGGCCTCAGCTACCAGGCTTTCTTGGGGTTCTTCAGTCTACTTTTCCCCATGGAGGAAGGAAAGCTATGGAAACCTCTTAAGCAGGGAAGAGACGTGGTTTGATTTCAATTTTAGAAACTGATTTAGATTTTCTTCAAAGGTAATGGACATAAAGACCTGGCAATGACCACAAAGCCAGAACCCTTATAGGTGTGATCTCCTGGCTTGGCCTCTGGGACTGGTTTAGGAGGAGGATTTGCAAGTAAGGAGGAGAGCGGCATGGAGGATCAAGGTGAGCTGAGATCAGGTATCTTCTCTCCTTGTCTCTGTCCCAGTCTCCAGAGGTGACTGTGTCCTGCCATAGTGCTCCACAAAGCGGTGCCACCTGGACAGTGAGCTTTATCCCTGCTCCATGCTGCTCCACTGGAAGAAGCACTGGGCGAGAAGTCAGTGGGGCTGGAAGACCCCAGTAACATCCCGCCCAGTGGAGATGCCACACTCCCCCTGTGGCATCTGCCTTTTCTGCTCCTGGGAGGATGTGCTGTGCCTTGCTCATAGGCAGGGCTGGCTGAGATGAGCCATGGGTCTTTTCTAGAGTGGACAGCTTCCTTCTTGTAGTGGTCCATTTTTCATTGCTATAAAGGAATACCTGAGACTGGGTAATTTATAAAGAAAAGAGGCATATAGTTCTGCAGGTTATACGAGCATCTGCTCAGCTTCTGATGAAGCCTCAGGAAGCTTTTACTCATGGTGGAAGGTGGAGGGGGAGCAGGCATGTCATGTGGCAAGAGAGGGAGCAGGAGAAATGCCAGTCTCTTTTCTTAAAAAGTATTTTTAAATTTCAATAGCTTTGGGAGTACAACTGGTTTTTGGTTACAAGGATGAATTGTATAGTGGTGAAGGCTGAGATTTTAGTGCACCTGTCACTCTTCACTCTCTCTCTTTCCTGCCACCTTGTGAAGAAGGCACTTGCTTCTCCTTTGCCTTCCACCAAGATTGTAAGTTTCCTGAGGCTTCCCCAGCCATGTAGAACTGTAAGTCAATTAAACCTCTTTCCTTTATAAATTACCCAGTAACCACAAAGCAAAAACCTGTAATAGATACACTAAAAATAAAAAGCAAGGAATTAAAAACATACTACCAGACATATCACTTAACCACGAAGGAAGAGAGCAAGAAAGGAAGAAAGAAAAAGAAGACTTACAAAATAACCAGAAAGCAAGTAACAAAAATGCCAGTAGTAAGTCCTTACCTATCAAAATAACATTGAATATAAATGGACTAAATCCCCAATTAAAAGACATAAATGGCTGCATGCTTTAAAAAAATAAGACCCAACTATGTGCTGCCTACAAGAAACTCACTTCACCTATAAGGGAACATACAGACTGGAAATGAAGAGTTAGAAAAAGATATTTTATACAAATGGAAGCAAAAAAAGGGGCAAGAGTAACTATACTCATATCAGATAAAATAGGCTTTAAGTCAAAAAGTGTAAAGAAAAACAAAGAAGGTCATTATATAATGATAAAGGAGTCAATTCAGCAAGAGGTTATAAAGGAGTCAATTTAGCAAGAGGGTATAATAATTGTAACTATGCATTCCAATATCAGAGCACCCAAATGTATAAAGAAAATATTAATTGATTTAAAGGGAAATATAGACTGCAATATAATATTAGGCAACTTCAACACCCACTTTCAGTAATAGACAGATTATCCAGACAGAAAATAACAAACAAACATCAGAGTTAAACTGCACTCTATACCAAATGGACCTATCTGACTTAATCCATTTTGTGTTACTATAACAGAGGACCTGAGACTGAGTAATTTACACAGAAAAGAAGCTTACTTAGCTCACAGTTGTGTAGGCTGGGAAGTATGAGGAGTATGGCATCAGCATCTGCCTAGCTTCTGGTGAGGGCCATGTGCTAGGTCAAAAGATGGTAGAGAAGGTCAAAGGAGAAATGGACACATGTGAAGAGATAAAGTCTGAGGGGCATCCTGGTGTTATAATAGCCCACTCTCAAGGAAACTAATTCATTTCCCCAAGAACTAATCTAGTCTCACTTATCAAGACATTTATGAGGGATCCACCCTATGACCCACTAAGCTCACCTCCCAACTTTGCCATGTTGGGGATCAAATTTCAACATGAGTTTTGGTGGTGACAAACCATATCCAAACATGGCACTGACATTTATACAACAACCTACCAGCTGCAGAATACACATTCTATTCCTCCACACACGGAACATTCTTCAGGATAGGCCACATGTTATGCCACAAAATAAATCACAAGAAATTCAGAAAATTCAAAATCATATCAAATATATTTTCTGATCACAATGAATAAAACTAGAAATCAATAACAAGAGGAATTTTGGAAACTGTACTAATCATGGAAATTAAACAATATGCTCCTGAATGACCAGTGAGTCAATGAAGAAATCAAGAAGGAATTTTAAAAATTTCTTGAAACAAATTAAAATGGTAACACAACACACCAAAACCTATGAAATAAAAGCAGCACTAAGTGGGAAATTTATAGCAATAAATGCCTACATCAAAAAAGTAGAAAGTGAGGCATCAACTAGAGCCATAAATTGGAGCCACTTTTTTAAAGAAAAGTAGAAAGACTGCAAATAAACACCTAACAGTGCACCTTAACTAGAAAAGCCAGAACAAACCAAAGTCAAAATTTGTAGAGGAAAACAAATAATAAAGATCAGAGCAGAAATAAGTGAAATTAAGACTAAAAACACAATACCCAATGTAATACATCAAGGAAACAAAAAGTTGGTTTTTGGAAAATATGAACAAAATCAACAAAACTTTAGCTAGACTAACAAAGAGAAAACCCAAATAAATAAAATGAGAAATAAAAAATGAGACATTACAACTAATACCTTTGATGTATAAAGGATCATTAGAGGCTATTATAAATATTTATACACCCACCTATTGGAAAACCAAGAAGAAATGAATAAATGCCTGGACATGTACGTCCTACTAAAATTGAACTTGAAGAAATAGTAAATCTTAACAGACCAGTAACAAGTAATGAGATCAAAGCACTAATTAAAAAGTCTCCCATCGATAAAAATCCTAGGACCTGATTGCTTCATTGCTGAATTCTACCAAACATTTAAAGAAGAGCTATATTAATTCTACTCAAACTATTCCAAAAGATTAAAGAGGGGAAACGTCCAAACTCATCCTATGAGGCCAGCATTAGTCAATATCAAAACCAGACACAATAAAAAAGAAAACTACCAGTCAATATCCTGATGAACATAGGAGCAAAAATTCTCAACAAAATTCTAACAAACCCAACAACACATTAGAGAGATCATCTACCATAATCAAGGGAAATTTATTTCAGGGATAAAGCCTGGTTTAACATAAGCAAATCAATAAACATGATACATCACATTAACAGAGTTAAGGACAAAAAGCATATGATCATTTCAATAGATGCTGAAGAAGCATTCTATAAAATTCAATATCCTTTCATGATTAAAAAATTCTCAACAAACTGGGTACAAAAGGAATAAACTTCAAAACAATAAAGGCCATATATGACAAATGTACAGCTAATATCACACTGAATAGGGAAACACCAAAAGCCTTTTCTCTAACATCTGGCACAAGACGAAGATGCCCACTTTCACCACTTTTATTCAACATAGTACTGGAAGTCCTAGTCAGAGCAATTAGTCAAGAAAAAGGGCAACCAAATTGGACAGGAAAAAGTCTAATTATCCTTGTTTGTAGACAAACACGACCTTATATTTATTATTATTTTAAATACACAGTTTATTTTATTTTATGAAGCTCCAGGATACATGTACAGGATGTGCAGGTTTGTTACATAGGTAAACGTGTGCCATGGTGATTTGCTGCACCTATGAACCCATCACCTATGCATTAAGCCCAGCATGCATTAGCTATTTTTCCTGATGCTCTTCCTGCCCTGAGTCCTGCGTACTCTACCCAATGCCCTGTGAATTATAAATTTTCTAGTCTGGCTGATGGAAACAGGCACCATTCTAGGCTTTGCATGGGCAACATTTTTACTTCTAATCCCTTTGAATGGTTCTTTCTCCAGCTTCAGGTGCTTTCCTCACACACATGTGCTGACTGATGCTGAATGCTCCAGATCTCTGGAATTCTGTATCTGAGCAGCTCTCTCCTGTCTGCTCAGATATAGAACTCCAGAGATCTGGATTACATGCTCTGTCCTGTGTACTCTAGCTACTGTGGTATCCCTGGACTCTCAGCTCTGTCTTCTCAACTCAGGGAGTCTGCCTGGTGCCTTCTGTTCTTCCTCTTGGTGCTGTGGCCTGGAAACTCTGCAGGTAGTAAGCTAGGGCAGTCATAGAGCTTACCTCATTTGTTTCCTTTGTTTCAGGGATCACTATTCTTCATTGCCTGATGTCCAGTGTCCTAAAAACCACTGTTTTCTGTATATTGTCTGTTTTATCTTAGGTGTGAGAGTAAACATAATCTCTGTTACTCCATCTTGGCCAGAAACACAAATCTTCATTTGACCATGTTAGTTTTGAACCAGGCCAAGCCAAATTCCCAGATGATTTAAAGATGCCGCTAGAGGAGTCCTAGGGCATCTCAGTAGATTTGCATCCAGCTTCTGTTTTCAGGATTCACTCAATAAATGCATTGATCCTCTCCACACCAGCTGGGTGCGGTTGGTATTATAGGTGAGGGTGACATGTCTGGTTCTGTGGTCCCACAATGGAATCCTCAAGGATATACACCCCTTGGGTGTAACACTGTCAGTAAATAGTCTCTCTGCCTAGTGGGGCATCTTCTTGGTCTTGATTAAGGTCTCTGGCACAGAGGCTTCTGGATAGAGGTACATCCTAGTTTCCATGTCCTTCGTCAAAACATGTTTGTTCCAGTGTTTCAGGCATTGTTATCCAAAGGCAATAAACAGTTGGTCCTAGGAGCTCTGGAGCACTTGCTCTGGAGCACAGAAAATTCTTCAGTATTTTTCTAGTGGGGGAGGGTTCAAAACCTGAGCAGCATCAGGGCTGTGGAGTCCAGGGGACACCAGGAGGCCAGGTTGGGCAACAGTTGGAACACACTTGCTGGGTTCCCAGCTAAGCCACTACTCAGCACCACCCTCACATGAGGGGTGTCAAGTTGCACTAACAGTTTATTTTAAAAGAAAACCACAACCTGAGTCTAATCATAAGGAAGCAATCAGACAAGTCCAGAATTGGGCATTCTACAAGCAATGGACATGAACTCTTTAATATGTTAATATGATGAAAGATAAAAAGAGGGGAGTGTGTGTAAGTGATGGTTGTGGTTATGAGGCTGGCCTAGATTAGTGGAAACTAAGGAGCCGTGACAACCAAATACCATGTGTGAACTTTAATTGGATCCTGGGATCAGGAAATAAACCTAACTTCTTTGGGTAAATATTTTAATTTAAGGGTTTTTGTAAATTTTTTTTTTCTGATACAGGGCCCCTCTCTGTTGCCCAGGTTGAAGTGCAATGGTGTGATCATGGCTTACTGCAACCTCGACCTCCTAAGCTCAAGTGATCCTCCCACCTCAGCCTCCACAGTGTCTGGGACTATAGGCATGCACCACCACAAATTTTTTTAGTTTTTTGTAGAGCTGAGGTTTCACTATGTTGCCCAGGCTGGTCTTAAACTCCTGGACTCAGGTGATGCTCCTGCCTTGGACTCCCAAAGTGCTGGGATTACAGGCATGAGCCACTGTGCCTGGTCTGTAAATTTTTATAACGGCTTTGATATTTTATCCACATTAAATTCCTTGGGTGTGGTAATTGTATTAGGATTATGGGGGGAGAATGTCCTTGTTTGTTTTTAGGTAAGGGCTGAAATATCAAATAACGCTGAAATGCTGCAATTTACTTTCAAGTGGTTCACTAAGAAAAGATATATGTACATGTATGTAAATACATACATACCTACATATATACATTCACAAGTGCAAAGGGCCTGTGAAGAAATGGGCTTGGCATATTTCCAAACATAAAGAAAGCCAGTGAGGAGAGTGGTGAGAGATGGGAATGTGAAGATAGGCTCCAGATCCCAAAGGGTTTTGTTAGATGATCAGGATATTTTTCTTTTCTTTTAAGGGTAATGAGACTCTTTTGAAGCAAAGGACTAGTGGGATCAGGTTTATGTTTTACTCTGCTGTTATTCATCTAATTTCTCCCCACATACCCAGGAAATGTCCTCGGGTCCCTGGAGTTGTTACACTCATGGAAAGGGTTTTTGTTCCTTGTAGGGAGGTAGCTGGTGGCCAAACATGAGGCCTTTGTGGTCCTGGTGGTTCTTGCTCCAGGGAAAGCACCAGAGCTTTCCCTATCAATCACCCACTCCTGAGAAACTGACCATAGGCCACAATCACATAAAGGAGCCATGCCCACATCAGGGAGTTGTGGCATGAGGGCAGCCAGGCCTCTCGTGGCCAGGGAAGAGGAACAGTTCATTTTGGAGTCTACAGACAGAACTTAAAAGCCACAGCAGGTTGTTGGCGGAAGTTGGTGGAAATCGACAGATAAGTTCTCAGAACGGAGACTCCTCTAAGGGGCTGGGGCTCATTCCTTCCATTTTATACTGGGGCCTTTGCATCTTTTCCCTACTCTGGGTCTCCTGGGTAGCATTTAACAGTGTCATACTCCTAGTATCTCTGTCCTTCCATCCCAAACCTATAGGCAAACCCCTCTCTTCTCCTTTCTGGAGAGCAAGGCTGGGGGAAAACCACACACTTGGATAGATCTTGGCCATGGGAGGAAAACAGTGGTGCCCTGGCATTGTCCTTTACAGGCTTACGGGAGCCTATTGTGGGCCTCTCTTCACAACCGTGTTTGGTGACATCGTGCCAAGTTGAAATCAGCTATTGTGGGGATATTTACACAATGATAACTGGCAAAAATTCAAATCAGAGTTTTGTGTCTAAACCTAAGAGGCCAATTTTAAACACCAATGAACAATTGCGTATTCCATTTGTTTAAAATTATTTTCTACTCTTTTACTTTTCATATTGAAGTTTCTCAGGAGTTTTCTTCTGGACTAATGGTCTTAACCTTGAGAACAGGCTTAATGTTAAGAATGGTGCTCATAAAACAGATCTTAGAGACATGAGGAGAAATAGTCCTTCCCACAAAACTACAGGAAAGCAGATCTATTTAAAGCAAGTTCTGAGAAGGAGGTATATTGAGAATAATCACAAAGAGCATCAGTTTTACTCTTTTGCCCAGTGGGGGGACTTGTTGAAGGTGTATAATCCTGTTCTGTTTCATAACAAAGGAGTCTTTTTTTTTTTTTTTTTTTTTTTTTTTTTGAGACAGAGTCTAACTCTGCCTCCCAGGCTGGAATACAGTGGCATGATCTCAGCTCACTGCAACCTCTGCCTCCCAGGTTCAAGTGGTTCTCCTGCCTCAGCCTCCCGATTAGCTGAGATTATAGGTGCCTACCACCATGCCCGGCTAATTTTTGTATTTTTAGTAGAAATGGGGTTTCACAACATTGGTCAGGCTGGTCTTGAACTCCTGACCAGGTGATCTGCCCGCCTCGGCCTCCCAAAGTGAGAGCCACTGCACCTGGCCAGTTACAAAGGAGTCTTTTAAGATGTCTGGACTTCAGAGATTGTTGTTATGTACTGTAAACGGTAACCTTTAACCCTAAAAGTCTGTAATTCTGATTGGTGTGTTTCTCAATAATTTGATTCCTTTATAGCAATATTTACATTTATATATATACACATATATATTTTCTTTTATATATATTTTTATATAAATATAAATATATAAATATATAAATATATATATATATATATATATATATATATTCTTTTCTGCGGTTATAACTTGCAAGGTTTTAAGTGAGCCCAGAAAGGGAGCTTTGGCATTTCCCTTGCCTACCTCCATGTGTGTCTGAGAGCCTTTGACATTTACAGACCACCATGAATAAGCAGTCTCTGAGCTGCCCACCCATTTCTTTGCCTTTAGTGAGTTTCCTCTTCTGTTATCCTTTACTATTGTTCTAAATCTTCACTCCTCTTTTCAGTTCCTCTTTGTAACTCCCACAGAGGATCTTTCTTCCCACTTTATCAAAACAACCAGAGAAGAGTGATGCAAAATAGCTGCAGAGAATCCTACAGGCAGATTTCTGGGAACAATGGTGGGGTAGGAGCTGACTAGCTAACCAAAATGAAAAGAATGAAGTAGCTAAGACCATACCAGCAGTCCTGAAACCAGGAATGTCAAAAACCTTGAGAAGTGTCATCAAGAAGCAGAAATTTGGGTTTTAGGATGGAAAGGTGAATGTATAATCCAACATGGTCTTCCCTCGCAGGGTGACAGTGGGGCAAATTCTGAAATATTTCACTGACGCTTCCACCCCAACATCCTCTACACCAAGCCCATTACCAAGTCTTGTTAATTCTGTTCCTAAATATATATGAAGCCCCCCAATTTCTCTGCATATCCACCATTTCTAATGAGCTGGTTTTGGTATATAGGAAAGTTATTAATGTGGATTATTTTTGTCTATATGAAGATTAACCCTCATCAATTTAAATAACTCTTCCAGGTTTAGGTAAAAAAATCATATCATCTACAAATAATAATGTTGTCTTCTTCCCTTCAAACAAAAGGTTGGTGCTCACAAGAAGAAAACCAAAACAAGTTTGACCGACAGGTATAAATGAAATAGAGAAACACCACATGCAGGTGGATATAAAAACTATCCTAAAGACATCAACTCTCCCTAAGTTATTTTACAGCTTTACTAAAACTCCACTTAAAATCCCAATAGGACTTGCCAAAGGGTAATTTGAAAGAGCAAGTTAAAAATGGCAAAGAAAATTTTAATTAAGAAAAGGTTAAGAAGGAGGCCTGCCATATTTTAAGATGTTTTATAAAGCAGCTATTAGTTTAGGGATATCAAGATAATTTGAAGACCAGTGAAACAGAATAGAGAGCCCTAAACAGACCCCAGAATAGAACACTTTATAAATGTCTGAGGAAGCATCTGAACGTAATGGGGAAGGTAGAGAGTACTCAATAGAAGGGTGATGATATTCTGTGGGGAGCATGGCTTCCTGTGAAGGGGGTGGTGATTCTTTGTGTGATTCATCTGGGGAAGTGGCAAGATCTCACAGAGCAAACTAGAACTGGGAAATCAGAGAGAACTTCAGTCTCTCTGAATCGTCCTTTCTTGAATTCAGGCCAGTGTTTCTCAGAGTGAGAAGTGTCATCTGTGAAGAGAGTGTGAAAGCAAAATGATACCGAAACCCCGGTATAAAAATGTTAAACATATTTAACACAGGACTTCTCAGGAACTTTAATATGATTCTCAAAAAAAAAGTAGACAGTATGAAATATTTCACCAACTTATTTAGTCTTGGACCCTTTTCTGGGAAGAACATCCTGGACTAGTGTTTGAGGCAACACATGTTGGGAAGGCTGGGTCACTCTTAGAAGGAGAGGGGATAACTTGGTGGGTATATTACACAGGGTTTATTTTAAAAATTTATTATTATTATTATTATTATTTGAGACAGAGTCTCACTCTGTCACCCAGGCTGGAGTGCAGTGGTGTGGTCTCAGCTCACTGCAGCCTCCGTCTCCCAGGTTCAAGCGATTCTCCTGCCTCAGCCTCCTGAGTAGCTGGGATCACAGATGCCCGCCACCACACCTGGCTAATTTTTGTATTTTTAGTAGAGACGGGGTTTCTCAATGTTGGCCAGGGTAGTCCTGAACTCCTGACCTCAAGTGATCTGCCTGCCTCCACCTCCCAAAGTTCTGGGATTACAGGCATGAGTCACTGCACCCAGTCACAGTGTTCTCTATTGGAAACAACAAGCCTATGTCTGCATAACTTAAGCATAAAGGGAATTTATTCAGAGGGTGGCCATTTGCTCTCAGATTCAATGGGAAGACTTGAAAACGAGGCAGAACCAAAGAAAGAGTGCATTATTGTCTCAATCACACAGATGGTGGCGTCTGACTGCCTGAGCCTGGACAATATGCCTGAGATCCAGCTGCCAGGCAGTTAGAAAGAAGAAACAACTCTTTTTGTCTTCTCACTGGGAGTTGGGGGTCCTGCCTACCATAGATTTTTGAGATTCATCTTTATCAGTAAGGGTATTCTGGACAGGCCAAAAAGACAACTATCTTTACAGCCCAATACCCATACACATACTTTTCCTTGTGCTGACATTTCCTCAAGCTGTTGTCACCTGATCTGGAGCAGTTGTATCTTACCCAACAGAAAACATACGCTCTTTCTAAGAGCAGGCACCCCCCGCCGCCACACTGTCTTTTAAGTTATTGCATCCAGCTTTAAGTCTAGGATTACTGAACGACTGATTTTCCTCCTCTTTTTCTTTGAGATGGAGTCTCCCTCTGTCACCCAGGCTGGAGTGCAGTGGTGCAATCTTGGCTCACGGCAACCTCCGCCTCCCAGGTTCAAGAGATTCTCCTGCCTCAACCTCCGAGTAGCTGGGATTACAGGCACCCACCACCACACCCAGCTAATTTTTGTATTTTTAGTAGAGACGGAGTTTCACCATGTTGGCCAGGCTGGTCTCGAACTCCTGACCTCAGGTGATCACCCGCCTCGGCCTCCCAAAGTGCTGGGATTACAGGCACGAGCCACTGTGCCCAGCCCCTCCTCTAGTTCTGTTATTATTCCATTTGGATATTTGAACAGTTATATCCAATGGTAAATGAGAGAGAGAAGAAAGAAAAGCAAAATGAAATTAAAAATATAAAAATATATATAATACAGAAAGGAAGAAATGCAGGTAGTCCTTTTAGTTCTTGTTTCTGCTATGTTCATGAAGCCATATGACTTCCCTCCGTGATTATTCATTTATTCTTTTTTCCTTTTCCCTTTAGTTAGCACATCAGCTATCTGGGTCCTTTACTTGATAGGGTGAACCAAACCTTCACATCTGAGGGAGCTTAGCCTATTGATCATCCTGTTTGTTAAGAGCTCCAGAATTCCAAGCTTTGCAGGCTGAAATAGGTAGATATGAGATATACATTGCTTGGGTCCTATTCATAACCCTCCCTGCCCCCTGTGTTAGTAATTTATTGCTGCATAACAAATTACCCTAAAACTTAGTGGTTTTAAACAACAGATATTTATCATCTCAGTTTTTGTGGGCAGGTATCCAGGTGCAGCTTAGCTGGGTGCATCAAGCTCAAGGTCTCTTATGAGATTACAGTCAAACTATTGGCTGGGGCTGTGGTCCCATCTGAAGACTTGATTTGTGGAGGAAGGTCATGATTCCAAGCTCACAGGAAATGAAGGCAGGGATCATTGAGACTACCTACTATACCCTATTTCTGTGTCAGTGAACTTTCTTCCTTCAAATGTCAGGATCAACTATCCTATGTAGTGGACATGGAGATGTAATTTCCAGATTCTCCTTCAAAGAAGAGCCTACACCAGGTGCAGTGTCATGCATGTGTAGTCTCAGCTGCTCAGAGGCTGAGGCAGGAGGATCACTTGAGCCTAGGAGTTCTGGCCTGTGTAGTGCACTGATTGCACCTGTGAATACCCACTGCACTCCAGCCTGGGCAACATGGTGAGACCCTGTTTCTCTATTAACAACAACAACAACAACAAAAGAGAGAGACAGAGAGAGAGAAGAGCCTGGGCTACTATTGAGCCTATTACCCAAATAGTGAACATAGTATTCGATAGGTAGTTTTCCAACCTTTGTCCCCCTCCCTCCCCACTTTTGGAGTCCTCAGTATCTATTGTTTTCATCTTATGTCTGTGAGTACGCATTGTTTAGCTCCCACTTAGTTTTCATCTTATGTCTGTGAGTACGCATTGTTTAGCTCCCACTTATAAGTGAGAACATTTGGTTTCTTCTTTCTGTATTAATTCACTTAGTTAGGTTAATGGCCTCCAGCTGCTTTCATGTTGCTGCAAAGGACACGATTTCATTCTTTTTAATGGCTGCACAGTATTCCGTGGTGTATATATATCATTTTTTCTTTATTCAGTCCACCATTGATGGGCGCCTAGGTTGATTCCATGACTTTGCTATTGTGAATAGTGCTGCAATAAACATACAAGTGTAGGTGTCTTTTTGGTAGAGTGATTTCCTTTCCTTTGGGTAGAATCCCAGCAGTGGGATTGCTGGACCAAATGGTAGTTCTACTTTTAGTTATTTGAGAAATCTCCATACTGCTTTCCACAGGGGCTAAACTAATTTACATTCTTACCAACAGTGTATAAGTGTTCCCTTTTCTCTGCACCCTCACCAATATCTATTATTTTTTGACTTTTTAGTAATAACCATTCTGACTGCTGTGAGATGTGGTTTTAATTTGCACTTCTATGATGATTAATGATGTTGAGCATTTTTATGTTTATTGGCCATTTGTACATCTCCTTTTGAGAAGTGTCTGTTCATGTCCTTTTCTTACTTTTGAAATTTCACTCTTTGTTATGTAGAGTTCTGTGGGTTTTGACAAATGCATAGAGTGATGTACACCAACACAGTACCATGCAAGGCATTCCATCACCCTTAAGGTTCCCTTGTGCATCTACTTTTTAGCAACCACTTCTCTTTCTGTCAGCTCTTGTCAACCACTAATCAGTTTCCATCCTTCCAGTTTTTCCTTTTTCGGGTGTCATATGAATGGAATCACATAATGTGTTGTCTGTTGGGTCTGGCTTATTTCACATAGTAAAATGCATTCATCTATGTTTTTTTAAATTATTCTTTAAGTTCTAGGGTACATGTGCACAACGTGCAGGTTTGTTACATAGGTATACATGTGCCATGTTGGTTTGCTGCACCCATCAACTGGTCATTTACATTAGGTATTTCTCCTAATGCTATCCCTCCCCCAGCTCCCCACTCCCTGAGAGGCCCCGGCATGTGATGTTGCCCACCCTGTGTCCAAGTGTTCTCGTGTTCAATTCCCACCTATAAGTGAGAGCATGTGGTGTTTGGTTTTCTGTCCTTGCGATAGTTTGCTGAGAATGATGGTTTCCAGCTTCATCCATGTCCCTGCAAAGGATATAAACTCATCCTTTTTAATGGCTGCATAGTGTTCCATGTTGTATATGTGCCACATTTTCTTAATCCAGTCTATCATTGATGGGCATTTGGGTTGGTTCCAAGTCTTTCCTATTGTGAATAGTGCTGCAATAAACATACGTTTGCATGTGTCTTTATAGTAGCACGATTTATAGTCCTTTGGGTATATACGCAGTAATGGGATCGCTGGATCAAATGGTATTTCTAGTTCTAGATCCTTGAGGAATCACCACACTGTCTTCCACAATGGTTGAACTAATTTACACTCCCACTAACAGTGTAGAAGGGTTCCTATTCCTCCACATCCTCTCCAGCATCTGTTGTTTCCTGACTTTTTAATGATTGCCATTCTAACTGGCGGGAGATGGTATCTTGTTGTGGTTTTGATTTGCATTTCTCTGATGGCCAATGATGATGAGCATTTTTTCATATGTCTGTTGGCTGCATAAATGTCTTCTTTTGAGAAGTGTCTGTTCGTATCCTTTGCCCACTTTTTATGGGGTTTTTTTTCTTGTAAATTTGTTTAAGTTCTTTGTAGATTCTGGATATTAGCCCTTTGTTAGATGGGTAGATTGCAAAAGTTTTCTCCCATGCTGTAATTTGCCTGTTCACTCTGATGGTAGTTTCTTTTGCTGTGCAGAAGCTCTTTAGTTTAATTAGATCCCATTTGTCTATTTTGGCTTTTGTTGCCATTGCTTTTGGTGTTTTAGTCATGAAGTCTTTGCCCATGCCTATGTCCTGAAACGGATTGCCTAGGTTTTCTTCTAGGGTTTTTATGGTTTTAGGTCTTACATTTAAGTCTTTACTCCATCTTGAATTAATTTTTGTATAAGGTGTAAGGAAGGGATCCAGTTTCAGCTTTCTACATATGGCTAGCCAGTTTTCCCAGCACCACTTATTAAATAGGGAATCCTTTCCCCATTGCTTGTTTTTGTTAGGTTTGTCAAAGATCAGATGGTTGTAGATGTGTGGTGTTATTTCTGAGGCCTCTGCTCTGTTCCATTGGTCTATATATCTGTTTTGGTACCAGTACCATGCTGTTTTGGTTACTGTAGCCTTGTAGTATAGTTTGAAGTTAGGTAGCGTGATGCCTCCAGCTTTGTTCCTTTGGCTTAGGATTGTCTTGGCTATGCGGGCTCTTTTTTTGGTTCCACATGAACTTTAAAGTAGTTTTTTCCACTTCTGCGAAGAAAGTCATTGGTAGCTTGATGGTGATGGCATTGAATCTATAAATTACTTTGGGCAGTATGGCCATTTTCACAATATTGATTCTTCCTATTCATGAGCATGGAATGTTCTTCGATTTGTTTGTGTCCTCTTTTATTTCATTGAGCAGTGGTTTGTAGTTCTCCTTGAAGAGGTCCTTCACATCCCTTGTAAGTTGGACTCCTTGGTATTTTATTCTCTTTGTAGCAATTGTGAATGGGAATTCACTCATGATTTGGCTCTCTGTCTGTTATTAGTGTATAGGAATGCTTGTGATTTTTGCACATTGATTTTGTATCCTGAGACTTTTCTGAAGTTGCTTATCAGCTTAAGAAGATTTTGTGCTGAGACAATGGGGTTTTCTAAATATACAATCATGTCATCTGCAAACAGGGACAATTTGACTTCCTCTTTTCCTAATTGAATACCCTTTATTTCTTTCTCTTGCCTGATTGCCCTGGCCAGAACTTCCAACACTATGTTGAATAGGAGTGGTGAGAGAGGGCATCCTTGTCTTGTGCCTGCTTTCAAAGGGAATGCTTCCAGTTTTTGCCCATTCAGTATGATATTGGCTGTGGGTTTGTCATAAATAGCGCTTATTATTTTGAGATACATTCCATCAACACCTAGTTTATTGACAGTTTTTAGCATGAAGCGCTGTTGAATTTTGTCAAAGGCCTTTTCTGCATCTATTGAGATAATAACGTGGTTTTTGTCATTGGTTCTGTTTATGTGATGGATTACGTTTATTGATTTGAGTATGTTGAACCAGCCTTGCATCCTAGGGATGAAGCCGACTTGATCATGGTGGATAAGCTTTTTGATGTGCTGCTGGATTCGGTTTGCCAGTATTTTATTGAGGATTTTCGCATCGATGTTCATAAGGGATATTGGTCTAAAATTCTCTTTTTTTGTTGTGTCTCTGCCAGGCTTTGGTATCAGGATGATGTTGGCCTCATAAAATGAGTTAGGGAGGATTCCCTCTTTTTCTGTTGATTGGAATAGTTTCAGAAGGAATGGTACCAGCTCCTCTTTGCACCTCTGGTAGAATTCGGCTGTGAATCCATCTGGTCCTGGACTTTTTTTGTTTGGTAGGCCATTAATTATTGCCTCAATTTCAGAGCCTGTCTATTCAGGGATTCACTTCTTCCTGGTTTAGTCTTGGGAGGGTGTATGTGTCCAGAAATTTATCCATTTCTTCTAGATTTTCTAGTTTATTTGCATAGAGGTGTTTATAGTATTCTCTGATGGTAGTTTGTATTCCTGTGGGATCGGTGGTGATATCCCCTTTATCATTTTTTATTGCATCTATTTGATTCATCTCTCTTTTCTTCTTTATTAGTCTTGCTAGTGGTCTATCAATTTTGTTGATCTTTTCAAAAAACCAGCTTCTGGATTCATTCATTTTTTGAAGGGTTTCTTGTGTCTCTATCTCTTTTAGTTCTGCTCTGATCTTAGTTATTTCTTGCCTTCTGCTAGCTTTTGAATATGTTTGCTCTTGCTTTTCTAGTTCTTTTAATTGTGATGTTAGGGTGTCGATTTTTGATCTTTTCTGCTTTCTCTTGTGGGCATTTAGTGCTATAAATTTCCCCCTACATACTGCTTTAAATGTGTTCCAGAGATTCTGGTATGTTGTGTCTTTGTTCTCATTAGTTTCAAAGAACATCTTTATTTTTGCCTTCATTTTGTTATTTGCCCAGTAGTCATTCAGGAGCAAGTTGTTCAGTTTCCATGTAGTCGTGTGGTTTTGAGTGAGTTTCTTAATCCTGATTTCTAATTTGATTGCACTGTAGTCTGAGAGCCAGTTTGTTGTGATTTCTGTTCTTTTACATTTGCTGAGGAGTGCTTTACTTCCAATTATGTGGTCAATTTTAGAATAAGTGCGATGTGGTGCTGAGAAGAATGTATATTCTGTCGATTTGGGGTGGAGAGTTCTGTAGCTATCTATTAGGTCTGCTTGGTGCAAAGCCAAGTTCAAGTCCTGGATATCCTTGTTAACCTTCTGTCTTGTTGATCTGTCTAATATTGACAGTGAGGTGTTAAAGTCTCCTATTATTACTGTGTGGGAGTCTAAGTTTCTTTGTAGGTCTCTAAGGACTTGCTTTATGAATCTGGGTGCTGCTGTATTGGCTGCATATATATTTAGGATAGTTAGCTCTTCTTGTTGAATTGATTCCTTTACCATTATGTAATGGCCTTCTTTGTCTCTTTTGATCTTTGTTGGTTTAGAGTCTGTTTTATCAGAGATTTATTTATCAGGATTGCAACTCTTGCTTTTTTTTGCTTTCCATTTGCTTGGTAGATCTTCCTCCATCCCTTTACTTTGAGCCTATGTGTGTCTCTGCACGTGAGATGGGTATCCTGAATACAGCACACTGATGGGTCTTGACTCTTTATCCAATTTGCCAGTCTTTGTCTTTTAATTGGGACATTTAGCCCATTTACATTTAAGGTTAATAATTGTTATGTGTGAATTTGATCCTGTCATTATGATGTTAGCTGGTTATTTTGCCCATTAATTGATGCAGTTTCTTCATAGCATCAATGGTCTTTACAATTTGGCATGTTTTTGCAGTGGCTGGTACCAGTTGTTCCTCTCCATGTTTAGTGCTTCCTTCAGGAGCTCTTGTAAGGCAGGCCTGGTGGTGACAAAATCTCTCAGCATTTGCTTGTCTGTAAAGGATTTTATTTCTCCTTCACTTATGAAGCTTAGTTTGGCTGGATATGAAATTCTGGGTTAAAAATTCTTTTCTTTAAGAATGTTGAATATTGGCCCCCACTCTCTTCTGGCTTGTAGGGTTTCTGCTGAGAGATCCGCTGTTAGTCTGATGGGCTTCCCTTTCTCGGTAACTCGACTTTTCTCTCTGGCTGGCCTTAACATTTTTTCCTTCATTTAAACTTTGGTGAATCTGACAATTATGTGTCTTGGCGTTGCTCTTCTTGAGGAGTATCTTTGTGGTGTTCTCTGTATTTCCTGAATTTGAATGTTGGTCTGCCTTGCTAGGTTGGGGAAGTTCTCCTGGATAATATCCTGAAGAGTGTTTTCCAACTTGGTTCCATTCTCCCCATCACTTTCAGGTACACCAATCAAACGTAGATTTGGTCTTTTCACATAGTCCCATATTTCTTGTAGGCTTTGTTTGTTTCTTTTTACTCTTTTTTTCTCTAATCTTGTCTTCTCGCTTTATTTCATTAATTTGATCTTCAATCACGGATATCCTTTCTTCCACTTGATCGAATCAGCTATTGAAGTTTGTGCATGTGTTACGAAGTTCTCGTGCCATGGTTTTCAGCTCCATCAGGTCATTTAAGGTCTTCTCTACACTGTTTATTCTAGTTAGCCATTCGTCTAACCTTTTTTCAAGGTTTCTAGCTTCCTTGCAATGGGTTAGCTCATGCTCCTTTAACTCAGAGAAGTTTGTTATTATCGACCTTCTGAAGCCTACTTCTGTCAACTCGTCAAAGTCATTTTCCACCCAGTTTTGTTCTGTTGCTGGCGAGGAGCTGCGATCCTTTGGAGGAGAAGAGGTGCTCTGTTCTTTAGAATTTTCAGCTTTTCTGCTCTGGTTTCTCCCCATCTTCGTGGTTTTATCTACCTTTGGTCTTTGATGTTGGCTTGGTTTTGGTGTGGATGTCCTTTTTGTTGATGTTGATGTTGATGCTATTCCTTTCTGTTTGTTAGTTTTCCTCCTAACAGTCAGTGCAGGTCTGCTGGAGTTTGCTGGAGGTCCACTCCAGACCCTGTTTGTCTGGGTATCACCAGCAGAGGCTGCAGAACAGCAAATATTGCTGCCTAATCCTTCCTCTGAAAGCTTCATCCCAGAGGGTCACCCGTCTATATGAGGTGTCTGTCTGCCCCTACTGGGAGGTGTCTCCCAGTTAGGCTACACGGGGGTCAGGGACTCACTTGAGGAGGCAGTCTGTCTGTTCTCAGAGCTCAAGCGCTGTGCTGGGAGAACCACTGCTCTCTTCAGAGCTGTTAGATAGGGATGTTTAAGTCTGCGGAAGTTGTCTGCTGCCTTTTGTTTAGCTATGCCCTGCCCACAGAGGTGGAGCCTGTAGAGGCAGTAGGTCTTGCTGAGCTGTGGTGGGCTGTGCCCAGTTTGAGCTTCCTGACCATTTTGTTTACCTACTCAAGCCTCAGCAATGGTGTATGCCCCTCCCCCAGCCAGGCTGCAGCCTCGCAGGTCGATCTCAGACTGCTGTGCTAGCAGTGAGCAAGGCTCCGTGGGTGTGGGGCCCTCTGAGCCAGGCACAGGAGAGAACCTCCTGGTCTGCTGGTTGCTAAGACCGTAGGAAAAGCAGTATTTGGGCAGGAGTGTACCGATTTTCCAGGTACCGTCTGTCATGGCTTCCCTTGGCTAGGAAAGGGAAATCCCCCAACCCCTGTGCTTCCTGGGTGAAGTGACACTCCACCCTGCTTTGGCTCGCCCTCTGTGGGCTGCACCCACTGTCCAACCAGTCCCAATGAGATGAACCAGGTACCTCAGTTGAAAATGCGGAAATCACCCTTCTTCTATGTCGATCACGCTGGGAGCTGCAGACCGGAGCTGTTCCTATTTGGCCATCTTGGAATGGACCCATCCATGTTATTATATAAATAAATAGCTCTTAAACTTGGAAACATTTTGACCATTGTTTCTTTGAATATGTTTTCTGTCCCTCTCCACCCGCTTTGAGGACTTCAAATCCACGTATATTAAATTGCATGAAGTTGTCTCAGACTTCCTGATGTTCTGTTATTTTTTCTCTCTGAGCTTCATTTTGCATAGTTTCTATTGGCATATCTTCAACTTCATTGATCTTTTCTTCTACAATTTATAACCTGCCATTAATCCCTTTCAGTGTATTTTTCATACCAGGCATTGTAGTTTTTTCAGTCATTATAAGTTCAATTTGTATCTATTAAATGTTTCATGTCTCTATTTAACTGTTTGAACACAAGAAACACAGTTATAATGTCTATTGTAATGTCCTTGTCTGGAAATTCTAACATCTGTATCATTTCTGGGTTCGTTTCAGTAGATTGGTTTTTATCCTTATTACGGGTTATATTTTTCTGCTAGTCTGTTCTATGAGCTCTGTTATGGATTGAATTGTGTTTTCTGTTCATTTACATGTTGAATCCCTAATCCTCAATATGACTGTGTCTGGAGATAGGGCCTTTATTATAAAGCTATACTAATTAATATTGTAGAGTTTTGTTATATCAATAGAAAGACAAATGGAACACAACAGAAAGTCCAGAAACAGACCTTTAAAGATATGAAACAAACTCAAACATATTATGAAACACATGATGAAGATGGTACTTCATAATCAGAGATAAAATTATGCATGGTTTTAAAAAATGGTATCTGGACAGCAGGCTACCCATTTAGAAATGGATAAGTTAGATTCCTTTCTAAAATCATGGAATACTTGAACAAAACCATAAGAGATAAGAAAAAAATGGAAAATCATGAAATCCAAATGTATCAAATATAAAAAGTGAAAATGAAGTTACAATAGAGCATGAAATAAAAATAAAAGTTATTATGCAGATGTAAGTTTGATTTTAAGGTTATCCATAATATATTATTACACAAAAAAAACTTACACACTATAGGGTATAAGTCTAGTTTTGTAAAAAAAAATGTATATGCTTACATAACGCATTGGACAGGACTCTTTGGTTGCAAGAAACAGAAACTCATCCAATTAAATTCAAATGAAAATAAGAGATTTTCATTTTTGTGTTCACATAACCAAACCAAGAAACACAGTGTCTGTGGGGAATGGAACTCAAGTTCAACAGGATCCAGCACTCAAAGGCACCAGGACTCACTTTCTGTCTCTTCATTTTTTGTTACAGCTTCTGTCTCTGTGCTGGTCTTATTCTACTGGGGTCTTCCACATGACAGAGGAACTGGTTACTAGCTGCCCTATAGTCATATCTTTAGGTCCCTCAGTTTAGGGAGAGAGGAGAGCTACCTTCCTACCCAAACCCTGGGCACCCATCATTGCAAGTTGTCACTCCTACACCTGCGGGTATCTAGGATCAGCAGCCCCATTTGAATCACAAACTGAAAAAATTTCCCAATGGAGGGGGATTTTTGGTATCAGAAATGCAGGAGAGGTTGGGCGCAGTGGCTCACGCCTGTAATCCCAGCACTTTGGGAGGCCAAGGCAGGTGGATCACAAGGTCAGGAGATTGAGACCATCCTGGTTAACACGGTGAAACCCCGTCTCTACTAAAAATACAAAAAATTAGCCGGATGTGGTGGCAGACGCCTGTAGTCCCAGCTACTCAGGAGGGTGAGGCAGGAGAATTGCTTGAACCCTGGAGGCGGAGGTTGTAGTGAGCCGAGATCACGCCACTGCACTCCGGCCTGGGCAACAGAGTGAGACTCTATCTCAAACAAAAGAAAACAAAACAAAAAAACAAAAAAGAAAGGCAGGAGAGGTGGGGAAGGATGCTAGGGAAAATAAGCAGGAATTGTGTTGTGAATATGTATATAATATATGCATAGTTATGATTAGACACAGCTATGGCTATAGATATAGATGTGTATACATATACACGTGGGTGGTTAGGAAGACTGAACTATGGGTACAACATTTGTTTTCTCTACGATGGTTTTGTTGTGTTTTGTTTTGTTTTGAAACAGAGTCTCACTCTATCACCCAGGCTGGAGTGCGGTGGCACAATCTCAGCTCACTGCAATCTCCACCTTCCAGGTTCAAGTGATTCTCCCGCCTCAGCCGCCCGAGTAGCTGGGACTACAGGCACCCACCACCATGCCTGGCTGATTTTTGTATTTTTAGTAGAGACGAGTTTCACTTATGTTGGGCAGGCTGGTCTCAACCTCCTGACCCCAGGTGATCCACCCACCTTGGCCTCCCAAAGTGCTGGGATTACAGACATGAGCCACTGCACCCAGCCTATGGTGGGTTTTTTTCTTACTTGGATTTTTTTCTATAATTAATTATCATTAATTATATAATAAATAAAAGATTTAAAAAGAAACTATGCACATTTTTTTTCCCAAAAGCCTTTCATTACTTTCCTGACATAGATTTGCCCTTCCCACTGAGGCTATAGGCATGAGTTCTTTGACTTATGACGTAGTCTGGGGCAGCCTCCTCTGCCGGGTACACAGCAGCTCTTCCATGTGGCTAGGTTGCCAGCCTATTTACATATCACACTATTTATGATGGCACTGGGTGAAATACCCTGATCAGTAGGGTCTGGCTTATTGTCACTGTTCCAAAGAGACCTGTCCTCATATAATGTCATAAAAGAGGAACCCGTTATCAGGGTCCAAGGAGACCTGGGAAGGCCCCTATAGTGTCGTCAGTCATTTTTAGTCTCGGGAGAGCCTTCCCTTCTCCCCAGCATTAAGGATGTCATATTTTTTCAACAATAGGAAAACCATTCCTGAGGGCAGGGTCTGTGGTTGTCTTTTTCCTTGCTGTGTCCTGGTACCTAGTGCACAGCAGGACTAGAGGAGTGAATGGTGCCACCTATGCTCCTTGGTTTCTCTGCCCTATCCCCTGTGCCCAGGGCGCATGTCCGGAGGGTGGCATGGAATCCCTTGATTTTTTGGAGGCTGTGGGCCAAATCCCGCATCACATCACAGGAGTCCCTATGTAAGCCAGGTGTGACCAGCTGTAATCTCCTCTCATTTCAGAGTCATTCTCCCCTCCTCCCTCTCTTCTCCTTCCCTGTCCCCACTCCGCAATTTGGTGTTCACTCTACTTTCCTCCATGACTTGACTGAGGGACTTGGGTGACTCCTCCCTGGAGATGACTCTTGGCACTGCTGGAGCATTTCATACAACCCAGGTCTCTGTTCCAGTCTTGTTGATTAAACCCATGGTTCTCCTCCAAGCATAAGGCTGGGCCCAACCATAGTCTCAACCAGAGAAAGGGAAAAAGTGACCAAGCTGTTTTCTTCCTCCATCCTTA
The DNA here is from genome assembly GCF_000001405.40 of Homo sapiens. Classification (NCBI taxonomy): domain Eukaryota; kingdom Metazoa; phylum Chordata; class Mammalia; order Primates; family Hominidae; genus Homo; species Homo sapiens. The sequence continues at coordinate 70,838,827 of NC_000002.12, read as the reverse complement.
TCCAGAGAAAATATTAGAACCCCAGGAACACAGGAAGAGGAGAAACTAAAAAAATGAGCACAGACTTCCCGTTCTCATCACAGCGGTGATTTTTTTGGTCACTAGGTCTGGCCAGAGTTCCTCTTCTGTTTGGAAGAGCAGGGCATTGTCTGAGTGCCCGGGAGAACTGCCCACCTTCCTGACTGGAAAGTGTGGCCAAGGCACCTGCCTGCTTCTCTGTCTTTTCTCCTGCCAGGCCAGGTGCCAGATAGAGCATCCAGAGGTTTGCACAGGAGAGGTGCTCAGGAAAGACCTGTAGATGAGCATGATAATAGGAAGATGGCTTCTGACTCCCTCCCTCTCCACAAAGTGGGAAATGAAACTTCCTATGGTTTGGGACTTTTACATCCACCTCCTCTGAAACCCCAGAAGGCCCACAGCCCAGGATTCCATGCCTTTGCTCAGCTTCCTCATGCTGGAACAGCCTTTCGCCTAGCGGTAGCTATTCTACCTACCTCAGCCTGCATTTCCATCACTTGGAGTAAATGCTCCCTGCTCCAGCCCCTTCCTATGCCATGGGCCCAGCCGCTAAGGCTTCCTCATCCTTTCCTGGGACCAATGAGAGGGCATCTGGGGGGCTCTATAAAGTATAACTCATACCACAAACCAGCAGAGAAAACCCAACTTCCTGACCGAGCGGAAATGGACAAGACACTTCCCAGGCACACTGTGTGGCGGCTTCTTTCCCGCAAATGCCTCAGGAGGAGACATGGACCCCTGCAAGGCCCCTTCTACCAGGGTCTTGAGTAATTTGGATTCTTCTCTATCCCCAGGCCCAGAAATAGGACAGGCTATGGATGAAGGGCCAGGAGCCAGGAGCAGAAGGGCAGAGATGATTCTGGAGTTAGGCTGGGTCCCAAGCATGAGAGTCCAGAAGTGGAACATTCTAATCCTGTCTAAGCCCTGATGGAACCAAGGCTCTGCAACCACACGAGCCACCTGAAGAGAGTAGGAATCTTCATGGACACCCAGAGGCAGGCAGTGATGTGGAGCCAGGCCCTCATATTCGGGACTATCAAATGTTAAAATTTAGAGCAGACAGCAGGCCTGGAAGTTACAGACAGGCTGGGTAGGGAAGCGATGGGACAGAACAAATGAGACACCATCTTTGCTACCCAGTTTCCTTCCCAGAGCTTCCCAGTGTGGGGTCCTCTCTGGGTTCCCTCATCCAGTCCGAGAAGCCACTCCAGCCTGAGGCCCGGTTAGCTGGAGAGAGAGCATCAAGGGCCTGTAACTACAATGAGCTGCACATAGGCATGGGCTGAGCGTGCAGCCACTATCCTCCCAAGTACCAAAGGTGGCAGTAGCCCCTGAAAGCATAGGTAGATATTTCCTTGGCCCTGTTAACTTAACCTCTAATCCTGGTCCCTGATACAGGCTGTCATCCAGCTCCACTGGCTCAGCCTCAGCAGGCCCAGGACAGCTTTCTTTTCCTGCGGCCAGAGCTTTTGTTCATTCCTGGGTAAGGAGTAAATCACACTTCCCCTTATGCTTTTGCATTGAAGATGAATGAGAACTTCTGGAGACAGTGGAAAAAAGCAGCAGCTTCTAGAAGGCAGATCCCAGGCCCCAGACTGTGTAAATGTCTGAGTGGCATGATCAGCTATCAAGTCTCCAAGTCACTTACCATTCACACATCCATCCATGCATCCTCTATCCATCCATTCATCCATTCACCCATCCTCCAATTATCTGGACCAATTTCCTTCTTTTTTCTTTCCTTCCCTCCCTCTTTCCTCTCCTCTTTCCTATATTCCAAGAAATATTTGTCTAGAGTCTGCCATGTGCCAAATTTCTCAGATTTGGCAGACTTCTTCAAAGCATGAGAAGCCGCCCAGGAGAAAATTTAGTCCTTCATTGAGCCCAAATCAGCTCTTCTGTGCCCTGAGCTTCTTGCACATATGGAACTCTCTATTTAGGACTACAAAGAAGGAGAGAGGAGGTGCGGACAGAGAGAGAGGAGAGAGAAACAGAACGATTCCTAGTCTGAGGTTGCTGAGCGCCCCTACTTTTTTTGAAAATCTCACATGGTGCAGGAAGCAGGGAGGAGAACCCAAGTCTTAGGTTTACACTTTGAATCTCCAAGTTGCATATTATAAAGGGATATTGTATCAGCCAAGATGCATTAATAACAGGAAGCAGGATATTCTATTGCAATGGTTGCCTATTTGGTATCTCTGCTTCCAGGCTTCTCCCCACCAGTCTGCTCCTCACCAGGATCAGAGTGATGTTTCTACAGTGTCCCTGTCCTTGTCTCTCTCCTGCCTGAAGTCCTTAATTGGCCCCATGTCACCCACAAGCCAGAGGTCCAGCTCCTTGACATGATCAGAAGGATCTTCATCATCAGACCCCAGGTGCCTCTTCAACCCCGTGTGCATCCCCTTCCTGTTGGAATGTATATTTTACATTCCAGCAATATTGCAACTATTTACAATTTGCCAAGCACTCCATGCTATCTTATGCTCCATCCTTTGGCATATGCTTATCTTTCTACTGGATTTTTTTTTTTCCCATTACTCCATTTCATATGCTTCTTTGAACTGGGCATATTTGTCTCTTGTGCTCATCACCTTGCAATTTATTTGCTCATGTCTGTCTTTCCTACCAGACTATGAGCTGCTTGGTGCAAGGACTGCGAGTTATTCATCACTGTGGCCCTATGCCTGGTAGAGCATCAGTACCTAGAAGGCACTCAGCCTGTATTTGTGGGGTGAATGGATGGGTGGATGGATGACGAGAGTCTTACAAGAGAAATGGGATAGGTTTGGGACAAGATGGTTAATGTATCCATGTAACAGACCCCCAGAGAAGACAACAAATGGCCTCTTCCTGAAAGCTCAGACTTCTGAGGATGGGAGTAAGCCAGACAAGGTATCTAGTCAGGAATAGGGAAGTTGGGATGATATGGTGACCTGCTGTGGGACTGACTTCCTGTTTCCTCTAGATAAGAGCCCTTGGAGAGACAGGCAGCCAGAAGCACCTGTGCTCCCAGGATAAGGGTGAGCACTCAGGATGACTGTGGAGAAGGAGGCCCCTGATGCGCACTTCACTGTGGACAAACAGAACATCTCCCTCTGGCCCCGAGGCAAGCCACATCGCTGCTGAGAACCTGCTCCGTGTTCTGTGTGCAAACCTGCCCTTTGCTGCTCCTTCAACACACATTTTCTTCTTCTTCCAACAGAGCCTCCTCCCAAGTCCGGTCCATCTCTGGTCCCGGGGAAAACACCCACAGTCCGTGCTGCATTAATCTGCCTGACGCTGGTCCTGGTCGCCTCCGTCCTGCTGCAGGCCGTCCTTTGTAAGTCCTCATGTTTCATCGTCTGGGCTTAGCCCCTCTCTGTGGCCAGCCGGCTCCCTTCAGATCGAGACCACTTCCCTGCTCTCCGGGTTTCTCCTGCCTGTGGCTTTTTCATTTGTCTCCTTCCTCCTCTTTCCATGTGCAGTAACAGGCTGTGCTGCCCCCAGTACGGTGAGCTGATGCTCTTTCCCTCCCAATTTCTGGGAGATTATTGGGATTAGCATTTGCACATTGGTGCTCAAGGATACATTCTTTTGTCCTCAGGAAACATTGATCTAGTTTTACATCCTGTGCTATTTTCTCCCCGTCCACCCCCCACCAATCTGAGCTCTGCTCCTTGGATCTAGAGCCTTGTGGACAGTCCTTGACAGTGCAATGTCTCCTGACCCTGTGAAGGACCGAGCCTCATGTATCATTGGCCCCAGCTCACCAGATGGAGAGCCTGGCCAACGAGCCAACAGATCTCCATGACTCAGTCCCCTCTCCCCAGGACTCGTTGGTGCTGTCTTCATTCTCCTGTCCCTGTGAAGATCACATCTAGGGAGGCTTCCTGCTCATTTGATGTTGCATGGTTTATCTTTCTTCCTTTTCTGGCTCTGTCAGGCTTCATGGCCTTTGCTGCTGGCAGAGCCTTCTTCCTCCTGCCAGGGCTCCAGGAAGCAGAGCAAAGGGACCCAAGAAGCTGTTGGGTTTTTTTTTCTCCCTCTGTGGCCTCGGGACATATTTGGGCTTAGACTTGTAGGCTCTGAGCAGAGTCCCCCTTGCCCCATCCTAGACCCCTGGCCTCTAACATCGCATTTTCCTCAGGGCTCGCCTTTGAGCCTCTTGGTTTATCTTTGATCCTCTCTCTGGTACCCAGGCCTGGGACCTGAGCAGAATGTGAAAGTGGGTGGGGCAAGGGAAGGGGAGAAACAGTTTTGTAATCTCCTCTTCCATGTTCTCTGGAGAAGCCACTTCCAGATTAGTGGCTGGTTCTTCCCATGGTCACAGAGGGGCCCATGGACAGATGTGGGGGAGTGGTGCTGTCCTAGCAGATGGCCACTGCAGGGGTTTCTGAAAACAGAGGGATGGCAACCAAGGGGTGGGGTCTAGGGGGAATCAAGTTCTGGGGACAGTGGTGGGGCTCATGGAGGGCACCCTTTATCAAATGTTCCCTGAACACTCAGAAAATTCAGGAATGGTTTCTAACTCCTGCTTCTGCTTGCCTGTGAAATCTTTTCACAGAGAGCCTGTGTTTTATCAATCTCCCCATTATCTGTATCCACCTGTGTTCCTGGCACATGGTAGGTGCCCATTGCACGTTTGTTGTACGTTAATGAATGATTGGAGGGTTGGGGTGGCCCATTGGACTGTCTTGGTTCTTTGGGAAGCTTCAGCCTATTCCTTCCCTTCCTTTGATCAACCTGACAACACCCCCACTCCTGTCCCTGGGACTCCCCTCAGCTGACCTCCTGACTTTCTCAATCCCAGATCCCCGGTTTATGGGCACCATATCAGATGTAAAGACCAATGTCCAGTTGCTGAAAGGTCGTGTGGACAACATCAGCACCCTGGATTCTGAAATTAAAAAGAATAGTGACGGCATGGAGGCAGCTGGCGTTCAGATCCAGATGGTGAATGAGAGCCTGGGTTATGTGCGTTCTCAGTTCCTGAAGTTAAAAACCAGTGTGGAGAAGGCCAACGCACAGATCCAGATCTTAACAAGAAGTTGGGAAGAAGTCAGTACCTTAAATGCCCAAATCCCAGAGTTAAAAAGTGATTTGGAGAAAGCCAGTGCTTTAAATACAAAGATCCGGGCACTCCAGGGCAGCTTGGAGAATATGAGCAAGTTGCTCAAACGACAAAGTAAGTGACTCAGAAAATTACATTGAAGCTGACCAGTGGCCCATGGGATCTTACCTGTCCCAGACCTGAGGCCATTGGGCTGGTGGGTTGGGGAGGAGAGTGGGGGCAAAAGAGGGGCAGCCATGGGCTAGGAAGTTAAGGAGAGAGGGCTTGAGGTTGGGGAGGACTTAGGGGCTGTTAGGAGAAAAGAGACCAGGGTCCAGCTAGAGCTCCCACACAAAAGTGCAGAATGTAAAAGCATTAGGGGATGTCCACCCTGGCCCACACCTAGTCATTTCCCATCAAGTTCCTTTCTAGAGTCCAGGGGCTCAGCCACTTGTCATGGCCGATGGAGGGTTGCTTCCTCATCATGGGGAAGACACTCTTTGTCCAACCTCTTGCATTATAACCTCTCCAGTCCCAGAGACTCTATTAGTCTCTGTCTGACTTTCAGGATTTGAAAGAGTGTCCCTAATCTCCTATACAAGGACCCAAGGACACCAGCGCACAGCTCCATTTGCTGCTGTCTCTGAGACCTCATTCAAGTGCCCCCACCAAGCCAGCATCCCAAGAAATCAAGAATACCAGCGTTCACTTTTACCTCTTGTTCTCTAGATGATATTCTACAGGTGGTTTCTCAAGGCTGGAAGTACTTCAAGGGGAACTTCTATTACTTTTCTCTCATTCCAAAGACCTGGTATAGTGCCGAGCAGTTCTGTGTGTCCAGGAATTCACACCTGACCTCGGTGACCTCAGAGAGTGAGCAGGTGAGTGCTGTGCCTATGGGCTCTGTGAAGGGGGCGTATGAGCACTGGGCCAGGGAGGATGGGCAAGATTATACTGCGTGAACAAAAATCCCCAAATATTGATGACCTAATGAAGAAGGATTGGTTCTCAGTAGCATGTCGAATAAGGGCCGGCAAGGGGGCTGTGCTCACTGTGGCTACTCAAGGACCCAGGCCCAAGGAGTCTTCATCTTAATATGTCTCCACAATTGCTGGGGCAGGAAAGGGGAACTTGACATATTGTGCAAAGCTTCTGCCCAGATTTAACATACCTCATTTTTGCTTACATTTCACTAGCTTAAGTTATGTTAATTAAGTTAAGTAAGTTATGCAGTACTCCTGGATTGGGAGGATCCTGGATTCCAGTACTCCTGGAACAGGGCAGAGAGGATCTACTTTCCATGTGCCCAGAAAAAAAGAAATATTTGTGAACAGCCTTAATGATTCCACATGACTCAAGAAGTCTCCTGCCTGGTGAGGCAGAAATTGGGCAGGCCCTTTTCATCTGGGAGGTGGGATAGCAGAGCAGGTCAGAGCCTGGGCTCTGGCGTAGTTCTAGAGCCTGAACCTTGCCATCTAACTAGTCCTAGCAGCTTGGGTGGAATACCCAACTTCACTGGGCAAACTTCACTGGCCCTCACTTGATGAAACATGCATGGTGATGGCACCTGCCTCAGAGGAAAGGAGAGAATGCATATGGACGACTCAGCACAGTGCCGTATGTGGATTCAGGGCTCATTTAATTCAGGTATTATCATATGAACCATTCTCTTGCGGTCCGTGCTCTGGAGTTCAGCTGAGGCCTTCCTGTGCTTCAGCACCTGCTTCCTGAGTGGCAGAAAGGCTTGAGTCCTGAGCTTGTTAGCTGCAGAGCAGGGACACATCATAATCTGGAAGATGAAATCTGGGCTCTGGGCAAGGGCAGGAAGAAGCTTGAGAGGCCAGTTTGTGCAGCGCATCTGTGGGTCAGGGCTGTCACTGAGCGCAGGTGAAGAACACCCAGAGACAGATGATCAAGCTCCAAGTGTGGCCGCACCTCTGCTTATCCTGTCTTTCCTACAGGAGTTTCTGTATAAAACAGCGGGGGGACTCATCTACTGGATTGGCCTGACTAAAGCAGGGATGGAAGGGGACTGGTCCTGGGTGGATGACACGCCATTCAACAAGGTCCAAAGTGTGAGGTAAGCCCCTGGAGCCCTCCGTGCCAGCCTGACTTTCCCCGGCCATGGCCAGGGCATGAAGGGAGTGGGGGCGATGTTCCCCATGAGACAGGGTTTCTGATTCTTCCCTGTCTTAGAGTGACAGGAACATTGCAACCAAGATCGAGCACAACCCTGTCACCAACTGGCTGTGGACCTGAGCCCTCCACGCCCTCTGGGGTTTGGCAACAAGGCCTTCTACCTGGCCAGCTTCAGGGATCTTGTCATGAGTCTAGGTCTTCACAGTGTGGGTTTGTGTAGGGACTTGAAAGTGGTGGGTTGGTTTGGCCTGGACTTGGGGCATGTGAAAGCTTAGAGGTCGAAGTCTCACCAGTCCCCTTCCTCTGAGGCTTGGGTGCAGACATTTGCTATGCCATTCCCTAGGACAAAAGCTTGGGTTGAGTTAACTCATTTCTTCACTGGAAATAAGTTCTTTTTGATTTTCCACTTTGTAAATCCATCTTTTTCCCCGCTCTTGGTAGGTTCTGGATTCCAGGTGAGCCCAACAATGCTGGGAACAATGAACACTGTGGCAATATAAAGGCTCCCTCACTTCAGGCCTGGAATGATGCCCCATGTGACAAAACGTTTCTTTTCATTTGTAAGCGACCCTATGTCCCATCAGAACCGTGACAGGACAGGCTCCCAAGCTCACTCTTTGAGCTCCAACGCTTGTTAAACATGAGGAAATGCCTCTTTCTTCCCCAGACTCCAGGATGACTTTGCACGTTAATTTTTCTTGCTTCAAAATTGTCCCACAGTGGCATTCTGGAGTCCGTCTGTCTTGGCTGGAAATTCTCTGACGTCTTGGAGGCAGCTGGAATGGAAAGGAGAATTCAGGTTAAAGTGGGAGGGGTGGGTAGAGAGGATTTAGAAGTTCCAATTGCCCTGCTAAGGAGGATCAAGACCCGTAATCCGGCATAACACCCTGGGGTTTTCCACTCTTTCAGAGAAACCTCAGCTTCATCACATCAAAGTTACTCCAGAGCAACCAAGCAATTCTCCTGATATTGTCATCCAGGGCTTTTCTTGGCCAAACCCCCTAGAATTTCCATGTCTCTGCTTAGCTGTGCTGGCAGCTAGCAGCTGGCTGTGTTTGCAGTGCAAATAGCTCTGTTCTTGGAAATCCTGCTCATGGTATGTCCCCAGTGGTTTCTTCATCCACATCATCTAAAGCCTGAACCCGTTCTTCTCTGGTTCAAGTCAGTGGCTGACACGGACTTGTATCTCCTTCAGAGCTCGGCTGGCACCCAGCCTCCCTTCTCCTTCCACTCCCTTAGTACACTGGAGTGCCGAGCCCTGCCTTCCACCCAGCGTCCATCCAGCCCCTGTCCTCACCTCTCCGGCACCTCCTCCTCCTTCTGCATTTCCTATCTTCCTGTGTCTTGTGCATGGGAAGCAGCCTTCAGTGCCTTCATGAATTCACCTTCCAGCTTCCTCAGAATAAAATGCTGCCTGGGTCAAGGACTCACTCCAAGTGCACTTTTTCATTTCTGGTTGTCCAGGTGAATATGTGGGAAAGGCAGTCTCCTCTGGTGGACATGAAGTTCTAGGGTATCCTCAGGAAACATCTGGGGAGTCAAAAATAACAAGGACTGGGGAAGTTCCAGTCCTGGAAATGCCACAAAATGTGACCAGTACTTATCTCTAGTTTTTATTAAAGTAGAGCAAGGTCTCCAATGTCACGATCTTGGTGATCTTTCTTCTTGTTTACTGCACAATCTTCTAGTCTATAGCTCAATTCCCAAGAACAAGTCTCAGCAGGTTCCCCACTCTTCACAGAGACCCAGTTCCACAGGCATCAGTTCCAAATCCCAAGTCCAGTGGCTGAAGCTGGAATCCAGGCAGCAGCCACCACAGAGAGGAGAGGAGGGTGGAGTGAGCACAGGTCTTCATTAAGGTCCTCAGGAAAAGATGCTTCCTTAAATAACTGTAACCAGCAGTGTGTTGTTCTGGGTGCAAATGGGTCACAGCTGAGGGCACAGGCTTGTATTGTAAGACCTGAAATACCACGTGCTGCTGTGACATTTTATGCCTCACAGGGCCCCAAAGACCTAACCCTGAGTTCCCTGCCTCTCACCAGATATATCCTTGCCCTCGGTCCCCACCTGGCTAATTTCCTATCATCTGGACCAGCTGCATGCCACCCAGTTTTCTACTTAATGGGTTTCACTTCTCTGCCAGCCTGAGAAACTATTCAAACAAGCCAATCACATCCTCCTACAGGAATCCGGGGCATCTCATCCTTTTATTACTACAAGGCCTGCCTCCCACAGCCCTGGCTGGTTCACTCTGCTCCTGAGGGTGACCCCATGTGGCCCTGTGTGGCTTATGATATCTTTCCCCAGTAGACTGTATTTGTGACTAGTAAACTGCTGCCAGTCTCACCTGCACAGTGTCAAATGTCTTGTTTTGGCCATCTTGTCCTATTTAGAGCAGGGGATCCCTCCCTCACCAATGGAGGAAATGGGAGGTGACAAGAACAAGGCTGGTCGGGGATCTCTGGTTGGTTTTGGCAAAGAGATGAGCTGGGAAAATCAGACCATTTCTCTGGGAAAGAATTTGAACCAGGAAATAGCAAGAGGATGAGGCTGTTAACAAAAGGAAGTTGAGCTGGAAGGCACTGAGTTAAGAGAAAGGCTGGAGGGGCCGTCACGTGGCATTGGAAGAAACTAGCAATGAGCAGAAGCTATGAGGCAGGGGAAAGACATGAATACAGGCCTGGCATGGTGGCTCATGCCTATAATCCCAGCACTTTGGGAGGCTGAAGTGGGTGGGTCACCTGAGGTCAGGAGTTCGAGACAGCCTGGCCAACATGGTGAAACCCCATCTCTACTAAAAATACAAAAATTAGCCGGGCATGGTGGTGGGCACCTGTAATTCCAACTACTTGGGAGACTGAGGCAGGAGAATTGCTTGAATCTGGGAGGCAGAGGTTGCAGTGAGCTGAGATCCCACCACTGCACTCCAGCCTGGGCAACAGGGCAAGACTTTGTTTCAAAAAAAAAGAAGTGACTGCAGAGGATTATAGTTGGCAGAGAAAAGAGAACGGCTCAGAGGAGTCGCAATGGAGGTCCCGGAGGGCAGCCTGAAGGGCTCCGGCTGCTCCCGTTCCCAGGGCTGCCTCAGATCCTCCCAGCCCTTCTGATCCTCCTGGTTTCTGTGCATGGGGACCTTACGAGGCTGTGCTCCTGACCCCAACCATTGCTTTTTCTTGAAACTGAAAGAGCCTGAGTCAGTGAGGATGTGTTTTTATCTGGAGTCTGTGCCCCAGCCTGAACCCAACAAGTGCAGCATTGCCTTGGCTTCCTCCCTTGAGGAAGCTGGGACACCTGTCGCTTTGCTTTGTCTTGTGACTTTGGCTCCCTCCCCCACTGTATGCATGCCTTGCTTCTCCAGGGAGGTCGCTACATGGGCACCTGCCCTTCTGCTGGCAGTGTGGCCTCGCCCAGGAAGTCCCACCATTGATAGTGCTCTAGTCCTGTCTCTAGCAGGTCTTGGGGTGTTATCAATACCTGGGCAGCTCCTCGTATCATGGACCCCACAGTATTTCTTGTGAAATTCTGGGGATTTTTCCATTGTCAGGTGAAAAGTTGGGAGCCAGGGACAGGTGAGAACTTTTTCTCAGTCAACTTGGGTATTTATTGTATTACATTAGTTGTTTTCTTTCTTTTTTTTTCTGATTTGGCAGGCTAACAATGCTTGACATGCCCTCTTTCAATGTTGCAATAAAATACTCTTGAAAAATTTATCCTTTTGTGTTTGAATATAAAAGAAGAGAAAAAAATACTTGAATCACCCCCACTGACCAACTAGTCCTAATGCTCGTGAACATGTACTATATTTTATTTTTCTGTTTTTATGCTTTATTGATCTATCTATCTATTGAATCACTTCATTTTCTCTTTGTCATTCTCTCTCGCTTTCTCTTTCTCTCTCTCCTCTTTTTCTCATATTGTATGAGCTATGCTTTCTTTGCTTTAATTTTCCCAGTGCTTTGGAAGATAAGCCATTATTTGGGTGGGGTGTGTGTGTGTGTGCGCGCACACACGTGTGTAGTTGCCTAGCACTTCCCCTTTTTCTTACAAAGCACCCTGGCTTCTGGGATTATTGGCATTATTCCTGGCATTGTTGCCCTGGTTGGGGCTGGGCCCTGGGCATGGGGGCTGCCATTGGCTCCCTTGGTGACCCCACCTGGCCAGGGCTCCAGGTAGCCCCCAGCAGGGCAATGCGTTGCCTCCCTCACAGATTTCAGGCCCTCCTTTCTCTCTGCCTCTCTGTTCCCATCCCAGACCTCCAAGAACCTCCCCTCCTATCTGTCCCAAGGCAACTTTCTTTTTTTTTTCAGGTCTCAGAATGAATCTCTGTTTTTGGGGGAGAAAACACAGGCTACCCAATTTATGATAAACTCAGTGTGTTTTCAAAAAGGAAACTTTTATTGTTCTGTGGGAGCCTAAAGCGAAAGGATTTCGTAAGGCTTCCTGAGGAAGAGGCACATAAGCTGAGCCTTGAGAGATGAGCAGAATTTAGGCAGAGTGGGATGGGGACACAGACGAGGAAAGAGAGAGAAAACAGAAAATGCAGAGAAGGAGTGTGACAGGCCTGAGGCACCAAGAGAACTCCAGTCTAGCTGGAGTGTGGTGTGAGGTGAAGCAGGGGACAGGCAGCTGTTGGAGGGCCTTCAAAGCCAGAGGAGGGGTTTTGGATTTTATGTGAAGGACAAGGAGGAAACATTGAAGTGTTTTAGGCAGATGAGTGACATCTGTTTTTTACTTAGTGTTGAAGAAGCGTGACAAATGATTTGTTACATTTGAAAGCTTAAATGCTTCCAGGAATAACAAGATCTACAGACATGCAATAGAATTATGTCACTGGAAAACATTTGTCACACTCTTGTGGTTCTTCCTTTATCCTGAACAGCTTCTTGGTTTAGGTATCTTCCTGTATTTTGAGTTCACCTTTTAAAGTTAGAAGCAGAACTAGCACTTACAGCCTTCCTTGCAGAAAAGTGCAGGCATGAGGCTAGATGCTTTGGGAGGCCCTTTGGGAGCCAAGGCAGGAGGATCACTTGAGGCCAGGAGTTGAAGATCTGCTTGGTCAACCCAGTGGGACCCCGTCTCCACAAAAAATACAAAAAAAATTAGCTGGGTGTGGTAGTGCGGACTTGTAATCCTAGCTCTTGGGAGGCTGAGGTGGGAGGATTGCTTGGGCTCAAGAGATTGAGGCTGCAGTGAGCTGTGATCACACCACTGCATTCTAGCCTGGGCTACAGAGCAAGACCCTGTTTTAATTTAATTTAATTTAATTTAATTATTTATTTATTTTTAAAGTGCAGTCATGTGACCCAGGGACCACCGGTCAGATTCAACCATGTGAGACCTTTGATTTGTCCTGGTGTTTTTTCAGAGCTCAGACTAGATTTAGTGCTGCCGTTATTGGAGCATTCCTCCTGCCAGCATAGACTCTAAAGCTTGACTCTGGTCTTCTGAGATTCCATAATTACTACTTATGTCTTTTTTTAATTTTGATTTTTTTGAGACAGGGCCTCCCTTTGCCACTCAGGTTGGAGTACAGTGGCACAATCACAGCTCACTGCAACCTTGAACTCCTGGGTTTAACCAATCCTCCTGCCTTAGCCTCCTGAGTACCTGGAACCTCAGGTGTGCACCACCATGCCCAGCTAATTTTTTTTTAATTTTAGTAGAGATGAGGTCTTGCTATGTTGCCCAGGCTGGCTTCAAACTCCTGAGCTCAGGTGATCCTCCTGCCTCAGCTTCCCAAAGTGCTTAGATTACAGGTGTGAGTTGCCATACCCAGCCATCCCTAATATCTTTTAAATACCTTTTTAGGCTGGGCTCAGTGGCTCATGCCTGTGTTCACAGAGCACAGAACTCAAGGAGAATCACTTGATCACAAGAGTTTGAGGCCAGCCTGGGCAACATAGGGAGACCCTGTCTCTAAAAAAAAAATACAAAACTTAGCCGTGTGTGGTGGCGTGTGCCTGTAGTCCCAGCAAATCAAGAGTCTGAGGTGGGAGAATTGCTTGAACCTGGGAGGTCAAGGCTGCAGTGAGCTGTAATCACGCCACTGTACTCCAGCCTGGGTGATAGAGTGAGACCCTGTCTCAAAAATTTTTTTTAAAAACTTTATATTATAGAATAGTTTCAGCTTTACAGAAAAATTGTGAAGATAATACAGAGAGTTTCTATATACCCACCCTTTCCCATTTCCCCGATTGTTAACATCTTATATTAGTATGGTACATTTGTCACAATTAATGAGCCAATATTTAACTGAAGTCCATACTTTATTCAGATTTCGTTGGTTTTCCCCTAACATCCTTTTTCTCTCCTAGGATCCCATCCAGAATACCACGTTACATTTAGCCATCATGTCTCCTTGGGATCCTCTTGGCTGTGACATTTTCTCAGTCTTTCCTTGTTTTTGAAGACTTTGACAGTTTTGAGGAGCCCACTGGTCAGGTACTTTGTAGATTGTCCCTTAAATGGAATTTGTCTGGTGTTTTTCTCATGATTACATTGGGGTACTGAGTTTCAGGAGGAAGACCATGGAGATAAAGGGCCATTCTCATCACATCCTATGAAGGGTACATACCATCAATAGAATTCATTACTGTTGGCGTTGACCTTGATCTCCAGGCTGGGGTAGTGTTTGCCAAGTTTATTGACTCCAGAATTACTCTTTTCTCCCTTTTCCTGTACTGAACTTTTTGGAAGGAAGTCACTATATGCAGTTCACACTGAAAGAGTAGGAAGTTACACTCTACTTTTCTCAGAATGGGATATTTACATAAAATATTTGGACATTTTCTGCCCTAGAGACTTATCTATTTGTTTACTTACTCAGACATTCATTTATGTCAGTATGGACTCACAGATATTTCTCTTACACTTTGGGTTATAATCCAATACTATTTTATTTGTTTTTTTGTTTTGTTTTTGCTCAAATTGCTCTGGCTTTGGCCATTGGGAGCTCCTTCATTGGTTCCTGTGTCATTTTGACATACTTCCCTCAGTTTTTTTTTTTTTTTTTTTTTTTTGGTAACTAAGCATCTCCTTACTTTCTGGTACTACAAGATGCTCCAGGCTCATCTTGAGTATTTCCTGCCCCAGTTCTAGAGTCAGCCATTTCTCTAATGAGCCCTGGTTTCCTTTTTTTGGAGAATGGTGTTAGAAATCAAAACCTGGGGGCTGTGTGGCTGTTGCTATTTGAACATCATTGCCTCTCCCAGCTGAGAGAGCTAAGTAATATTTGTGTGTACATCTAATTTTTTTTGAAAAGATCATTATGCTTGCACCATGGTGACAGGACTTGAGAGGGGGTAAGAGGAGAGGCAGGGAGAACAGTTAGGAGACGAACGGAATAAAAGCCAGGTGGTTTGCATTCAGGCCTGTAAATGTGTTGAATTGTTGTTGCTGTATTTTGTAGGGTGTAAAATCAGGACACTTTGTACTGCTGAATACAAGTGCTCACATCATGTCAAGAAGCTGTCCCTACTATTAAATAAAATGTCCTGGATTAAAAAACATAAAGAAGAATCCGCCTCTCTCCCTCTCCTGGCTCTGGCTCCCTCTGGTTTGGCTTTAGTCCCACCAAGTAGACTCTTTCTTTCTTTCTTTCTTTCTTTTTTTTTTTTTGGAGTCTTGCTCTGTCACCCAGGCTGGAGTGCAGTGGCACAATCTCGGCTCACTGCCACCTCCGCCTCCCAGGTTCAAATGATTCTCCTGTCTCAGCCTCCCGAGTAGCTGGGATTACAGTCACCTGCCACCATGCCCAGTTAGTTTTTGTATTTTTAATAGAGACAAGGGTTTCATCATGTTGGCCAGACTGGTCTTGAACTCTTGGCCTCAAGTGATCCACCTGCCTCGGCCTCACAAAGTGCTGGTATTGCAGGCATGAGCCACCGTGCCTGGCCAGTTCTTGTATTAATGCCCATTTGTTTTTGTCTGGCCAGAGAACAGAAAGCCTCTCAGTGAAGACATAGCAACCCCCTGGTTTTTCTGCCCTGCTGGTAGATGGTGTTCCTGTGGGAAATAGAAGAGCTAGGGCCCGGAGGGTGGGTGGGGAGGCCAGGGAAGAACTATGCCCCTCTCCTGGCCCAGACTCTGACCTTCCAGTTGGGCAAGGGATCCGTAGAGTTCTGCCTTCGAGGTTCCCTCAGCTCTCAGGCCTCAGGAGGAAATAGGTCCTGAGTAGGTCCAGCCTGGGCCCTTCCTGTGTATGGGGAAACAGAAACCAAGACAAGCCCTTTCTTTTCAGCCACCAGCCCTGGGTGTCTGATGGGCCTCTAGGGAGGCACCTCCAGCAGCTTCCATCCCATTCTATGTGGCGGTGAAGGAGTCTGGCAGACACCACTGGGATCTCAGGCAGCGCTGTTGATAGTCCAGAAATAGGTGCCTTCACCCTTCATTCCTGCTGTGCCCTCCTCTCTAAGGTCAGTTTTCAACAAACAGGAGGTAAAAGGCAGCAAATGGTGGCTCTGCACTCTACACATTGGGCCCCTAACACTGCACAGTTCAACACACACACACACACACACAAACACACACACCCCCACCATCATGAACTGGGTGTGGGCAACCGCTCCCTTCCTGTCTGCAGATCCCCTACCCACGGGGCGACTTGCTTGCCGGGTTGACATCAGCCACGCATGGCACAGGCTCCTCCTGGGCCAAAGCTGTTCTCCTGGCCCGGCCTCAGAGGAGGCACGTTCCGTGTGGCTTCTCCACCTTTGTGGTTGGTCTGCAGTGTTGTTAGTTGGCAGCTGGGGACCTATAAGAGGCTGACCCCAGGATCTGTGCAAAAGACATGAGAATGGGACATAGGAACAGAGGGTGAAAGTAGCAAAGAAACAACACAACATGGATGGAACAAGCCATTTGCAAGGTTGTGAGTTTGTTTAAGAGTTGCTATGATGGTGTAATATGTAATTAGACTTTCCAAAGTGAAAGAAAATGTGATTTATTTCAAAAAGATTGTGACCGTTTGAAGTAATGGAGACAAGAAGGAACCAAAGAACAGGAATCTGCTGGTAACCCCAGCACTGGCTTTTAGAGGGGTTCCTTGACCAGCCATGGGAATATTGGTTCTGTTCAGCTGGTAACCCCTGTGGCAGGGACAGGGACATCACGTTTGCACAGCTCCATGGCACTGTCCACTGGGATGCCTCATGCCTTCTCTTCTAATGCTAGGCCCACCCAGCAGCAGGAACCCCTGAAGCAGTATCTGTTCCTCCTGGAAGGGATAGGGCTCATTGAAAGCCACACATTGGCCCCAGCCTGCTCCATCAGATTCTTTGGAGTTAGTCTTGAGAACCTGGTCACCTCAGGAGGCATGGATCCAATCAGCTAAAGTTGGGGCCTGCTTGGTATTTTCTGACACCACTTCTGACACCAAATGTGTGCTTTTTCCTGACACCAGCCGATTCTCTGACACCCGCTGGGCATCCAACAATTCAAACAGATTCTAACACTAACTTCCAGAGTTAGCACAGATCTCACAGGGTAAGGCCTCAGTCCCACAAGACTGCCCCCCTTCAGATGCTAGCTACAAGTGAGGTAGTGACCCCACTTCTGCCTGGTCAACTACAAATTTGGGGGTTCTGGCTAGGCAAGGTGGCTCATGCCTGTAGTCCCAGCACTTTGGGAGGCTGAGGTGGGAGGATCACTTGAAGCCAGGAGTTCCAGACCAGCCTGGGGTATAAAAAGAGATCCCATCTCTACAAAAAAATAAAAATAAAAAATTAGCCAGGTATGTTGGCACACACCTGTAGTCCCAGTTATGCTGGGGTTATGCTGGATGTGACAGAGGCTGGGATGTTGGGGCTGAGAACTGAGGATCACTTGTGTCCAGGAGTTCAAGGCTGCATTGACTTATGATCGTACCACTGCACTCCAGCCTGAGTGACAGAGGGAGACCCTGTCTCAAACAAAAAATTAGGGGGTTTCTGCAACAACCTCTCAGTTTTCATAATTCACTAGAACAATTCACAGAACTCAGAAAAACACTGTACTTCCTATTCTTTTATTGTAAAGGACAAAAACAGCCTGATGAAGAGGTACACAGGGCAAGGCCCAGTGGGGTCCCAAGTGCAGGAGACTCTGTCTCTGTGGAGTCAGGGCATGACACCCTCCTGGCATGTGGATCACCAATCCCTAAGCTCCTTGAATCTCATTTTTTAAGAGTCGTTATAGCCCAGACCCCAGGCCATCTCCCATACCTGGAGGTCTGGGAGTAGGGAATGGGAGTGGGTGGCTGAAAGTCCCAGTCTTCCAAAGTCTAATCCCATGTTTGGTCTTTCTGGGACCAGCCTCCAGCCTGAAATTATCTAAGGGTCCACCCTGTGTCACCTCATTAGCATAAACCCAAGTGTAGTCCTAAGGGGCTTATTATGAATAACAAAAAACACTCCTGTCACCCAGGAAACTCTAAGCGTTTTAGGAGTTCTGTGTCAGGAACTGAGATGAAGACCAGATATATTTTTTACAGAGTTGTCCCTTGGTATCTGCAGGGGATTTGTTTCAGGACTC
The DNA here is from genome assembly GCF_000001405.40 of Homo sapiens. Lineage (NCBI taxonomy): Eukaryota > Metazoa > Chordata > Mammalia > Primates > Hominidae > Homo > Homo sapiens. Next base: position 70,821,132 of record NC_000002.12, on the reverse strand, counting down.
CCATGGGTACCAAAGTCCACAGATGCTCAAGTCCCTTGTACAAAATCATGTAGTATTTTTATATAACCTCCGCACATCCTCCTGTATACTATAATTCAGTTGTGAGTCCCCAAGTGGCTGGTCACCCCGCTTCCTCCTTTGACCTGCAAATATCGGCCGCACTGACCTGGCCCCTCTTTTACCTGACTCCTTTTACTTAAGAGGTTCTGAGGCTAGAATTAAAGGTCAGCCATAGTCATAAGGATGTTTTCTGTGCAAAGCTGAGACCCCCTTCCTAGGTGCCAGTCCCAGCCCCCAGAGAAGAAGAGGTGTGTTTGGGGTTATGCTGGATGCGGCAGAGGCTGGGATGATGGGGCTGAGAACTGACGGGAAGGTGCTAATGGGAAGAGGAAGAAAATAGGGCAGATGGGTATCTGGGAGCCTCTAGGGGAGGGGCCCACTGGGGCGGGTTTCTGCAGAGTCAGGCAGGGAGGGAGGAAGAGCTGGGAGGGTGGTCAGGAGCATATAAGTGTGGGTGTCTCAGCTTTGCTTCCACTGCCATTGGTCCACGGGACGGCCCTTCCAGGAGCCAGTGGCTGGGAGCAGTGCTGGAGGATCAAGGAAGCAGAGATGGACGGTGAGGCAGTCCGCTTCTGCACAGATAACCAGTGTGTCTCCCTGCACCCCCAAGGTGAGAAAACTGGGGCCCCAGCTCTTGCCCAGTGAGGGAGTAGCCTGCCTGTCCTTTGGCCCTCTGCCATAAGGCAGCTTATTGCTGTCTTATTGCTCTCCCCAGACCCTTGTCCTTGGGGATGCAGACCTGGCAAGAGAAAGGGGATGAACTTTGAATTCAGATGGTCCTGGCTTGGAATCCCGGCTCTGCACACTGAGCTGGTCCTGTGAGGCCTCCCTCCCTTCCTTTCTTCTTTCATTCAAACTACACTTTTGTTGCTCTGTGCTCTGTGCCAGGTTCTGTGCCCTGTGCACCACCAAAGCCTCCTTGAGATTTGGAGATCGGTGGTCTCGGTCTCAGAGCTCCTCAGCTCTGTGTTGCTACCATATCCACATCTAGCTCTGGTGAACAGCCCAAAGTGTTTTGTCTTCCTTCTCCATAACCACCTGCATGATAAGCATGGCAGGAGTTATCATCCCCATTAGACAACCCAGGAAACAGAATCAGAGAGGCTGTGTCTCAGCCTGCACAGCACCCTCTTACCTTGCACAGCACCCTCTCACCTTGGACACTGCCTTCTCCCCTGCAGAGGTGGACTCTGTGGCAATGGCTCCTGCAGCCCCCAAGATACCGAGGCTCGTTCAGGCTACCCCGGCATTTATGGCTGTGACCTTGGTCTTCTCTCTTGTGACTCTCTTTGTAGTGGGTAAGCCCCCAGGTGACCCAAATCTCACTAACTTTCTCTCCTTTCAGCACAAAGTCCCCAGGGGCCCCAGATGCACACTCTCTGGGCCTCTCTGCTCCCAGAAAGATCATTCCACCTCCAGCTCCAGGCCCAAGCCACAGCTTCCCTGGGAACAGATAAAGGCCACTGTCCAAGGGGGAGCCTCCCAAGAACTGAGGTTCATGAGGGAAACCCTGGGAGGGTCTTTGCTGCTATCTCCCCGGTTCTGGAACTCTACCTCTGTGTGGGACAGCGTATCCTCCCAGGCTCAGGGCTGGGGATTTGCTGACCTGGAAAAATGGAATGTCTCAGTTCAACAGCAGACAAGACCTGTTCCGAAGCCTGTGCAAGCCGTAATTCTGGGAGACAACATTACTGGGCATTTACCTTTTGAACCCAACAGTGAGTAGCCACAGTGGGGGTGGGGTGCAGAGGGAACTGGGGCCTTCAGATGCTCAGACCCTAGGATGAGCTTCTCTCCTGGTACCCTCTGACCACTGAATGGGCTCCACCATCCTCACAGAAAGAGATAATTTTTTAAAAACACAGTTTTATTGAGGTCTAATGGTGTATATATTTAAAGCATACAATCTGTTAAGTTTTGACATATGTGTGTGCCCCTGAAACCATCACCACAATCATCATCACATAGTCATCCTCCTCACCCCAAAGTTTCCTTGTGGCTCTTTGTAATTCCTTCCTCTCCCTTCCTCTCCTCATCCCTGGGCAGCCACAGATCTACTTGCTGTAACTATAGATTAGTTTGCTTTTTCTAGAGTTTTATAGATAAGAGATCATAGAGTATGTACTCTTTGTTCTTTGCTAGTCATGTGATTTGCAAATATTTTTCTCTCAGTCTGTGACTTGTCTTGTCATTCTCCTAACAAGATTTTAATTTTGATAGTCTAATTTATCATTTTATTTCTGTTATGGATTATTCTCATGATCTCGTATGTGAGAAATCTGCCTAATCCAAGGCTACAAAGATGTTCTCCTTTGTTTCTGGAAATTGTACAGTTTTTAGTTTTAGTTTTTGTTTTTGTTTTTTGACGGAGTCTCGCTCTGTCACCCAGGCTGGAGTGCAGTGGCGTGATCTCGGCTCACTGCAAGCTCTGCCTCCCAGGTTCATGCCATTCTCCTGCCTCAGCCTCTGGAGTAGCTAGGACTACAGGCGCCCGCCACCACGCCTGGCTAATTTTTTGTATTTTTAGTAGAGACGGAGTTTCACCGTGTTAGCCAGGATGGTCTCGATCCCCTGACCTCGTGATCTGCCCACCTCAGCCTCCCAAAGTGCTGGGATTACAGGCGTGAGCCACCATGCCCAGCCCGGTTTTTAGTTTTACATTTAGGTCTCTGCCTCATTTGAGTTAATTATTGTATAATGGTGTGAAATTGATTGTTCCAGCACCATTTGTTGAAAAAGTTATCTTTCTCCGTGAATTGCCTTTGCACCTTTGTTGAAATTCGATTGTCCATATGTGTGGGGGTCTACTTCCGTATTCTCCATTCTGTCGCATTGATTTGTTTGTCTATCTTTACAAAGCAGAATCTTTGACTGAACTCCCAGTACCTTGAAAGGTCCCCTCTCTTACCTTAGCACAGTAACTGAGGTCTCACACATCTACATAGGCAGTGCATGAGAAATAGTACATGGATGCTCCAGAAAGGGTCCCTGCCATCTTGGGTTTTTCTCCCTATTCCTGAGGGGAGACTGGAATCAGAAGGGGATCATGGATGTGTGAGATTAGGTCCTAGTTCATGAGGTGAACAAAGGATGCTAGCAGGACCAGAGGTAGATGCATGTGAGGTTGGTGGGAAAGACCTTGCAGATTAAAGGGGCTGTGGGGTCTCCTTCAACGACCCCAGCGCAAGGCCTTTTACTCAGGTTTCCTGTATCCTCAAACTGTTCTGTAGGGACCCTTGCCCTATGTAACACTGGGGGTGCTGGCTCTTTAAAAGGCCATCTCAGCTGAGGTCCAGTGTTAGTTACCTGGAGGGCATGGCATGCCTCTATCATAGCCCTGTTGATTGAACAGGGTACTTCCTCCCAGCACACCTATTTTGTTTTGTTTCTGTTTCTTTCCTTTGTGTTTTCTTCTCCATGGAATTTGCCATCATAAAACTTATGTTTGTGGTGGTTTTTATCAAGTAACAATGGTGAATCAAGAGGCTCTATGCTTGGTGTACAAATATAATGTAGGACTAACCACAGGCTTTATTCATACCTATTTTCTTTCCCATAATGACCCATCTGTGGTGAAATTCCAGTAAAATTAAACTTCAACAGCTCTAAATGATAAAATCAGTTACTTTCAAGTTGAGCAATTATAACGACAAAATAATCCAAGCCTTACCAGCATGACTCCTGGTGGCAGCTGGCTTACAGCAGGCAAGCATTTCAATCCTTCTGACCCCTTCATTTGTGTGTAACAGTGAATTAGATCTTTGTTTCTTGGCCCACATTCTCAGGTGGACCGTCCCCAGGGTCTGGGTGGCTGTGTGACCAGGAGGGTGCTTGGGGGAGCACTGAGGGCTGTGCAGTACCCATTTCCCTTGGAAATGTTAGAAACACTCTGGGTGGCCCATAAAATGCTACCCTACATAATGGGCCTCTTTGGCTGCCTTCTTCACTTCCTCCCTCCAGATCATCACCACTTTGGCAGGGAGGCAGAAATGCGAGAGCTTATCCAGACATTTAAAGGCCACATGGAGAATTCCAGTGCCTGGGTAGTAGAAATCCAGATGTTGAAGTGCAGAGTGGACAATGTCAATTCGCAGCTCCAGGTGCTCGGTGATCATCTGGGAAACACCAATGCTGACATCCAGATGGTAAAAGGAGTTCTAAAGGATGCCACTACATTGAGTTTGCAGACACAGATGTTAAGGAGTTCCCTGGAGGGAACCAATGCTGAGATCCAGAGGCTCAAGGAAGACCTTGAAAAGGCAGATGCTTTAACTTTCCAGACGCTGAATTTCTTAAAAAGCAGTTTAGAAAACACCAGCATTGAGCTCCACGTGCTAAGCAGAGGCTTAGAAAATGCAAACTCTGAAATTCAGATGTTGAATGCCAGTTTGGAAACGGCAAATACCCAGGCTCAGTTAGCCAATAGCAGTTTAAAGAACGCTAATGCTGAGATCTATGTTTTGAGAGGCCATCTAGATAGTGTCAATGACTTGAGGACCCAGAACCAGGTTTTAAGAAATAGTTTGGAAGGAGCCAATGCTGAGATCCAGGGACTAAAGGAAAATTTGCAGAACACAAATGCTTTAAACTCCCAGACCCAGGCCTTTATAAAAAGCAGTTTTGACAACACTAGTGCTGAGATCCAGTTCTTAAGAGGTCATTTGGAAAGAGCTGGTGATGAAATTCACGTGTTAAAAAGGGATTTGAAAATGGTCACAGCCCAGACCCAAAAAGCAAATGGCCGTCTGGACCAGACAGATACTCAGATTCAGGTATTCAAGTCAGAGATGGAAAATGTGAATACCTTAAATGCCCAGATTCAGGTCTTAAATGGTCATATGAAAAATGCCAGCAGAGAGATACAGACCCTAAAACAAGGAATGAAGAATGCTTCAGCCTTAACTTCCCAGACCCAGATGTTAGACAGCAATCTGCAGAAGGCCAGTGCCGAGATCCAGAGGTTAAGAGGGGATCTAGAGAACACCAAAGCTCTAACCATGGAAATCCAGCAGGAGCAGAGTCGCCTGAAGACCCTCCATGTGGTCATTACTTCACAGGAACAGCTACAAAGAACCCAAAGTAAGTGGGAGAGGGGAGTCGCGTTTGGGGAGGGCACAGTCTCTTGAGAGGGTAGAGTCTTCCATCTCATCAGCCTCTTTTTTACTGCAACATGCATCTCCTTGACCAAATCCAGGGAAATGGGCCCAAGGAAACTGGGCAGTTGTAGAGATGGTGTGAGGTGGGAAGTTCCTGCTCTCAAGTTGCTTATAACCTGGTCACGGTGACCAAATGAACACGGGAAACCAACTGTAAATGGTGCACGTGTGTGATAAGGACGGCATGGGCTAGTGGGCCACACAGCCTTATTTCTGACTTCCTGATACCCCAAATGGTATGACCTTGAGCCTGTTACTTACCTTCTCTGAGCTACACTTTTCTCATCTGCAAGGGGGAGACAATAATATTTGCATCACAGTGAGGATCCAATGAGTTCACACATGTAAGGCCTTTAACAAAGTACCTAGCATTCATGCCCTCACCCGATGCTTTATTGAGGCCCAGTGGTGTGCTGGGTAAAAAGGTGAATAAGGTGTGATAGGTACCCTTGAGAAGCTTACAGGCTAGTAGTACAGACTTGCATGAAAGACATACAGACAGGTATAAGGCTGATAGGTTAGAAGCAGGTACTGAGAACTGGGGTTGGGGGCAGAACAAAAAGAAGGGAAAAGGAATCTTCTAGGGGGAGGGAAGAGATCTGTGGGGAAAAGATCAAAAGATGCTTTGTGAGAAGATGGCTCTTGAACTTCATCCTGAAGGATGAGTAGGTGTTTGCCAAGCAAATAGGGTTTGCAGGCATGGAGACACAAAATCATGAGATTCTGGAAACTTCAGGCAGTTCTCTTTGACTGGCCTGTGGACAAGAGGGCAGCTGAGAGACAGAAGGGAGTGTTTGGGGCAGCCACTGAAGAAATGGGGGCTAACAAATGAGGGCTTGGTGGGCAGCAGTGACGTTCCACTTTACTGCTTTGCCCGGTTCCTGGTCTGGGGTCAGAGGCCCCACTTCTTCACACATCTCCTAGTGCCCCAATGTCCTTATTCCTCCCAGCTCTCACTGCTGCTTTAGCTGGGCCCAGTGTTTCTCCACTTTGGGGGCACACTGGAATCGCCCAAGGAGCTTTGAAAATACTGATGCCTGGGGACCCACCTCCAGAACTGTGATTTTTTTTTTTTTTTGGTGAGGGTGTCTGGCATCAGTATTCTTTTTTAAATGCCTAGGTGGATCTACTGGCATCTGGGCTGAGAACTATTAGCTTAATTTTTTTTCTTAAAGGACAAAGAACTAGATATCTTAGGCTTTGGGGCTGTACGATCTCTGTTACAACTACTCAACTCTGTTCGTAATTATAAAGCAAAAGAAAAAGACAGTAAACTAATGAGCATGGCTACGCTCATAATAAAATAAATTTTATTAAAAAGACACTGCTGACAGGCTAGAGTTTGCCAATGGTTGGTTTAGATGACTAGTTCTGGGCATCAGAACCCCCAGAGGGCTTGCTGAAGCAGATTGTTAAAACATAATTTTGGATTCAGTAGGGCTATGGTGGTCCTGAAAATTTGCATTTCTACCACGTTGTCAGGTGATGCTGATGGTCTGGGACCACACTTTTCGAACCCCTGATTTATACCCATCTCTTACTGGGACTTTCGCCATTGTGTTATCATTGGTGTTTCTGTCCTCATTAGGAGTACCTTCTTCTGGTTCAGCTTCCACCAGGTTGACGTTTTTCCAGTGCAAATCTGGACATATTACCATCCTTCTCAAAACCTTGCAGTGCTTCCCATTGCTCATAGGGAAAAAAAAATCCAAACTGTTTCACATGGGATGTACCATTTAGTGCTGGTGAACCTGTCCAAATTCATCACTCACCCATCCTTTATGTCCCAAGAATACCAAGTAGCTTGAATAGATCAGGCTGTGCCCGGCTGTTCCTGACCTTTATGCCTTTGTGCTGATCCTTTTCCCTGCCTGGGGTGCTCTCCTTAACATTGAACACCTGGCAAACTCTTCCTCAGTCCCTTAAGACTCAGCTCCAGACGGGGCACAGTGGCTTACGCCTGTAATCCCAGCACTTTGGGAGGCCAAGGCAGGCAGATCACCTGAGATCAGGAGTTTGAGAGCAGCTTGGCCAACATGGCAAAACCCCATCTCTACTAAAAATACAAAAAAAATATCCGGGCATGGTGGCGGGCACCTGTAATCCCAGCTACTCAGGAGGGTAGGCAGGAGAATCGCTTGAACCCGGGAGGTAGAGGTTGCAGTGAGCCAAGATCGCACCATTGCACTCCAGCCTGGGCATCCATAGCAAAACTCTGTCTCAAAAAAAGAAAGAAAGGAAGAAAGAAAGGAAGGAAGAAAAAGAGAGAGAGCGAAAGAAAGAAAGAAAGAAAGAAAGAAAGAAAGAAAGAAAGAAAGAGAAAGAAAGAGAGAGAAAGAAAAAGAAAGAGAAAGAAAGAAAAAAAGAAAGAAAGAAAAAAAGAAAGAAAGAAAGAAAGAAAGAAAAGAAAGAAAGAAAGAAAAAGAAAGAAAGAGAGACTCAGCTCCAGTAACATCTCATCCAGGGTGTCCTTCCTGAGCCCCACCTCCTGCTCAGATGAAACAGACCATACCTTCTTCCGTGACTATTCTACTGTGCATGTGTTTTTTAGTCAATGCATCTTCAACACCTTTTTTCCATCTGTCTCATTTATTAGGCTCTAAGTTCCTTAAGGGCATCAATCATGTCTGATTGATCTTTGTACAGTATGGCAGTGGCTAGCTGGAAGAAGTTAAGGAACGTTGCACAATGCACGTTGAACAAAAGAACAATTTGGTGATTAATTGAGCTTGTGCGGCACCATTTCAAACAGCTGTGGCATAGATGACGCCAAAGAGCAGGCTGTTGTGGCAGGGAGGGAAGAAAGAGCTGACAGAATTGGGGCTTGTGCTCACAGGATGAGCTATAAGAGTTTGAAAAATGGAAGGCCAGGCAGACCAGGTGATGACCAGGTCCCAGGATGGCCATGGGTGTGGCAGTGCAAGTGGATGGAGATGAAGACAAGGTAATGAGTAAGGCTATGGGATACCTGTAAAATCCCCAGGGAAGATGGCAGGAGTTGGGGTGGAGAGGACTGTCAGGTGATAGCAATGAGTTGGGAGAGAGGGCAGGATAGCCAGGAAGCAGGTATCTGGAAAGAGAGAGCTGCCTGAGCCTCCCAGGAGTGCCCAAGCCAGGCGTCTTGAGGGCTGCTTCCTGGAGTGCTGGGTAGTGAGATGGCAGTGCAGCCCCCCAGGCCTTTCTCCTGGAGCACTGCACATCAAGAATTTCATGGGCTTGTGAACCTCAGTGGGCAGGCCCTAGAGAGGTCAGAAAAGTTCCTTCTGGGACTCCTACCAGCAGCTCCTGGTTCTCTTTTCTCCCCAATCTTTGCTCCAGGTCAGCTTCTCCAGATGGTCCTGCAAGGCTGGAAGTTCAATGGTGGAAGCTTATATTATTTTTCTAGTGTCAAGAAGTCTTGGCATGAGGCTGAGCAGTTCTGCGTGTCCCAGGGAGCCCATCTGGCATCTGTGGCCTCCAAGGAGGAGCAGGTCAGAGCTGCGAGCATGGGGTGTTGTTGGTGGAATTGGTGTGGAATAAGGGACTTTGGTGTTTTGGCCTTCCTGCTCTCAGTGGGTATGACGGAGACCTCCATGTCTCCTCTGCCAGGCAGGGAGCAAATATTGAGTGAGTTCTGATGAGCATATGCACTGGAGGTAGAATCCCTGACAGCAAACCTCCATGTCTTCCATGAATGAGGGAGACACCAGAGGTCAAGAGACATCAGCAGGGAGGAAGGCCAAGGGGAGGTGGCATCAGGTGATGCCCTTAAGTGCTAGGAGCACACTTCCCTTCTCTTGCATTTGTTTTTCTCTCAGGCTTGTTTCCAGTCATCTTTTTTTTGGAGACAGTGTCTCGTTCTGTCATCCAGGCTGGAGTGCAGTAGCCTGATCATGGCTGACTGCAACCTTGACCTCCTTGCTCAAGCGATCCTCCCACCTCAGCCCACTGAGTAGGTCAGCTCCCCAAGTAGCTGTGACTACAGATGCACGACACCATGTCTGGCTAATTTTGGGGAGTATTTTTTTTGTAGAAATGGGGTTTCGCCATGTTGCCAAGGCTGGTCTCAAACTTATGGGCTCAAGTTATTCACCGAAGTGGGCCTCCCAAAGTGCTGGGAGTGAGCCACTGCATCCAGCCTGTCTTGATTTTAATGTCAGTTAATCCAGCTGCTGTAGAGGGCCCATGAATAGGAGACCCAGGCTTCTTGGGAAGACCAGGCACACAACTATGGGTCCGAGGACCACCAAACGCAATACCGTCCCAGGTGGCTCACTGTCGTGGTCCTTATCAGAACTTGCCAGGATTACTAACAAAGAACCACAATGTTTGTGGTCCAATTTGACTTGCAGAACTGCCTACCCCCCTGTTGGCTCGCCTGAGACCACTGTTACTGGCCTGAGAAAGAACATGCAACTTCGTAAAACACATCTTCTTAATAAGCTATGGGAGGTGCTGGCACTATGGTCATGGCAGAGGGGATGGCAGTGCTGAGGCAGAACAGGCAGGGCACCAAGGCACAGGATATCTATAATTGGCCTGATGAATCCTTTGATAAAATGGACAGTACACTAGCTGCTCAACAGTCTATTCAACAGAACATAAGAGCAGATTGCTCCAATATTGACAAAATTCTTGAAGCACCTAAAGGCCAAGATGAAGGTGTATGGAAGTATGACATTTAAGACAATTGTGCCTTGAGCTAATTGGACTTGCTGTCAAACTTCAGCGTGAATGCCATCCAGATACTTGTACTCAAATGACAGCAGCTGAACAATGGATTTTTCTTTGCATAGCTCATAAAACTCCAAAAGAGTGTCGTGCTATAGACTATACTAGACACACACTTGTTGGTGCTGCATGTCTTCTGAATGGCAATAAATATTTTCCCAGCAGGGTTAGCATAAAGGAATCATCTGTAGTGACACCAAAATCAGTATGCCGTAGAATTTACAGAATATTTTCACATGTTTATTTTCATCATTGGCAGATATTTGATGAATATGAAAATGAAACATTTTTGTGCCATTGGTTTATTAAATTTGTGATGAAATATAATTTGATGTCCAAGGATAACCTGATTGTACCAATTTTAGAAGAGGGAGTACAGAATTCAATTTCTGGGGAAAGTGAAGCATGAAGGGAATCAAATGGGAAAATGTACTGATCACATAATTAACATTAATTACGTACTGTATATATCATTTTAGACACATCAATCGTGTATCCATATTATAGCTTCTTTGTTTAGTATAGGTTTTTGTATCCTGTGTTTGCCTTTTAAAATGGGAAATACTTTTTTTTTTTTTTTTTTTTTTTGCGACAGAGTTTCGCTCTATTGCCCAGGCTGGAGTGCAATGGTGCGATCTTGGCTCACTGCAACCTCCGCCTCCCGGGTTCAAGGGATTCTCCTGCCTCAGCTTCCCAAGTAGCTGGGATTACAGGCACCTGCCACCATGCCCAGCTAATTTTTGTATTTTTAGTAGAGACGGGGTTTCACCATGCTGGCCAAGCTGGTCTCGAACTCCCGACCTCAGGTGATCCGCCTGCCTTGGCCTCCCAAAGTGCTGGGATTACAGGCATGAGCCACTGTGCCTGGCCTAAAATGGGAAATACTTTTTAAGTTATTCATAAGCTGTATATTCATCAGTGTGGCACTCATGATTTTTAAATAAGATTAGTATTATCTGTTTATAATGCCTGTTAATGAAAGAATTTACAGTTTGGTAAAATTGCTGCTAAACAATCATTAGATCACAATCCTCATCAAGCAAACCCATCTATTAAAAAAAAAAAAAAGAGTGAGAGCTTGAGGTTTCACACAAGCCATTTACTAAAGAAGTAGAAATGTTTTCCTTTGGTTTTACCCTGAGTTTAGATATCCTAAAAAATTCTATAGTACACAGTTTTGTCTTACCTCTTAACTTTCCCCAAATGAGATAAAAGTGTTTTAAAATTCTGTTTACAGTTTTTGATATGCATATATAATTATGTGTATATCTATAAGCAGGTTCTCCAGGTGGCCTGGAAAACTGGCTCCCCACACACAGGGGCAAACTGACACTGCCTTTTCTCTGCAGGCATTTCTGGTAGAGTTCACAAGTAAAGTGTACTACTGGATCGGTCTCACTGACAGGGGCACAGAGGGCTCCTGGCGCTGGACAGATGGGACACCATTCAACGCCGCCCAGAACAAAGCGTGAGTCTAGCCACCATCTGGCGCTGTCCCAGGCACTGTCTTTGGTGGACCTAGCTACACACTGTGTGTCCCTTCCCAGTAAGTGGTAGTGTTGTGTGTATATGTGTGTGTGACGTGTGTGGTGTGTATGTGGTGTATGTGTGGTGTGTGTGCCATGTATGTGGCATGTGTAATGCATGTGGTGTGCGAGGTGTATGTGTGGTATGTGTGTGATGTGTGTGCGTTTGGACACACAGGTGTGGTCATCGCTCTCACCTGGACTCCTCCACAGAGGGTCATTAGGAAAGGACAGGTCCTGAGGCTGGCATGCAGCCAGTGAGTGGGTCTTTCTGTTTTTTTCCCCCTGCCCTACTCAGGCCTGGTTCCAAGGGATCCTGCCCACTCAGAAAGTATATTATTGTGAATTCTGGGATGGGAGCTTGCAGCTTCATAGACACCCCTCCCTGTCCCTGGATCCTCAGTAACTAAGAGCAACCTGAGCACAGACACCCTCAGGGTACTCCTTCTCCCAGCCCTGTCCTCATCCTAGGGCCACTAGGGGATGAAGGACCCATCTCAAGTCAGCTCCCTAGACTCATCCCATGTCAGCTCCCTAGGAGCCACAGCACCAGGAAGGGATGCTGCCTTCATCTAACAGTATAAAGCCCTGTTGTCTTCGGGTTTTGGGAAAAGAATCAGTCTGACAACTGGCGGCACAAGAATGGGCAGACTGAAGACTGTGTCCAAATTCAGCAGAAGTGGAATGACATGACCTGTGACACCCCCTATCAGTGGGTGTGCAAGAAGCCCATGGGCCAGGGTGTGGCCTGAGGGCAGGCCAGAGCTGAGGGGCTGCTCCTGCTTGCCAATACTGACCCTCCTCCTCGATGCCTTCGGAGCCTCTGAGCTCTGCTTGTTCTCTGGGACCTTCCGTTGGCCTTGTGGACTTCCTGCCTTGTTCTTTGATTCAGCCCTTTCAAACATGCTTACCTCGAGTGACCCAGTGACATCAGTGGCTTCTCAAGGGAAGAGCCTTGCTGTGCCCCTGTAGCCTCAGCACCCAGCACAGGCCTGTCAGACAGCAGGTCCTCAATAAATACTCGCTGGATCAACAAAAGCTTCGTGCTGGCTTTTTCCTTGTGGCGGCCACTACCCTCTCTCCTCCCTGGATTGGTTCTCCTTCCCTCAGCGTTCCTTCTGTCTCAAAACAAGCACACTTTTATTAAGGGCTTTATAGCTAGTAACTTTTTGCTAGTTTGTTGAAAACAGCAGAGGTTGAACACAAACTACAGGGACTTCATAGGGGTACAAAGTCCTAGCAGTCCTAGCTCTGTCGCCCAGGCTGGAGTGCAGTGGTGCCATCTCGGCTCATTGCAACCTCTGTCTCCCGGGTTCAAACAATTTTCCTGCCTCAGCCTCCTGAGTAGCTGGGACTACAGGGACGTGCCACTATGCCTGGCTAATTGTTGTGTTTTTAGTAGAGATGAGGTTTCACCATGTTGGCCAGGCTGTTCTCAAACTCCTGACCTCAGGTGATCTGCCTGCCTCAGCCTGCCGAAGTGCTGGGATTACAGGCACGAGCCACCACGCCCAGCCTATTTTTTTCTTTTTAACAAAATACAAAAAAATTTTTTTTAGAGACAGGGTCTTGCTCTGTCTTCCAGGCTGGAGTACAGTGGAAAGAAGAGTGAAGGGCACATTTTGACTGACTTTGCTTAGTCCCAGCACAGAAGTGTTGAATTAATCTTTTCAAAAAATGAAGGCAATATTAAAATGCATCAGATCAGATGTGCTCCTAGTTTCTATTCAGGAGATGTGATAAGGTCGCTTATTCCGCAGTTAACAAGGCTGTTTTACACACGTTGTAGAGCAGAAAATCATAAGCGACTTTAAAAAATATTTTTTAATTAATTATTTTTTAGAGGCAAGGTCTCACTCTGTTGCCCAGGCTGCAGTGCAGTGGCATGATTATAGCTCACTGCAGCCTTGAACTCCTGGGCTCAAGTGATCCTCCCACCTCAGCCTCCCGAATAACTGGGACTACAGGTTCATGCCACTGCACCCAGCTAATTTTTAAAATTTTGTAGAGATGGGGGTTTCATCCTTTGTTTCCCAGGATGGTCTCAAACCTCTGGCTTCAAGCCCTCCTCCTACTCAGCATCCCAAAGTGTGGGATGATAGGCAAGAGCCACCATGCCTGGCCTCAAAAGAACTTTAAAAGGCAGTCCTTATTGGCAAGGTACTTCCTGACTTTGGGATAAAGCATCAATGGATGCGTATCTTGTTGTACAACCAAAAGACTGGCAGCTGGTGTTTACCTTTCCCCTTCAAGGATCAGGGGTTACCAGCTTTACAGATAAGGGCAGTCCTGATCATATAAACCCAACTGTATTTGGACAAAACAGTAGAGTTAGTCTATCCCTTTTTGCTTTAAATTCCGGTGTTTGCTTTTCTTCTTTACTAACAAATGTCCTTTGTGGCATTTTTCCCCCTCAGAATAGGGCACTTTCATTTACATTAAAAGCCTGTTCAGGCTGGGCACAGTGGCTGATGCCTGTAATCCCAGTACTTTAGGAGGCCGAGGCAGGTGGACTGCTTGAGCTCAAGGGTTCGAGACTAGCCTGGGCAAAATGGCGAAATCTCATCTCTACAAAAAATACAAAAATTAGCAGGGTGTGGTGGCTGTGCCTGTAATCCCAGCTACTTGGGAGGCTGAGGCATGAGAATCACTTGAATCTGGGAGGTGGAGAATGCAGTGAGCCAAGATTACGCCACTGCACTCCAGCCTGGGTGACAGAGTGACACCCTGTCTCAAAAAAAAAAAAAAATTTAAAAACCCAGAAAACGAAACAAAACAAAAACAACAAAAAAAAACCTGTTTAAGAAGATACCGTTTCTCTTGAATGATTTTCCAGAAACTTGTCTACCGCCTCTTGATTGACAGAAGCTGCTTCTCCTGTCATGTGGACATTTTAAAAGCCACACCTCTTTCTGAAACTATCAAACCATCGTTTGCTGGCAATACATTCTCCTGCTTTAGATTCTTTACCTTCCTTTTGCTTTGAGTTGTCATTAACGGATTTTGCTTTTTCTCAAATGGTGTTCAAGTCTGCAGGTATGCCTTTCTTATAGCAATCCTGCACCCACATAAAAACTGCATTTTTCAATAAGAGATTAAAAAGATATTTTGCAAAAAGTGCAAGGTTTTTGTGCCTGCTGGTGTAGCTACAGTGATGGTTTCACAAATATCCTTTTCTTTATTTTACAATTGTCCTTTGCAAGACTCAATTGTCTTGGGATGGCAGACAACCACAGCTGCAGACCTTTATAAATGGCACATATCAAGCAATTCAACTTTTTTTGGTAATGTCAGGACTTTTCTCTGCTTTTTGGGAGTGCTTCCAGACTCACTAGTGCCATCTCATATGGAACCCATGATGTTATTCAAGGTTTATGATATTGCACTGAAAATGAAAAATACATGAGAACTAAATCAGTTTTTACTGCCATATGCAATTTACTGGAGTGAGGAACTGCTTATGGGAGACGATTAGCATCACGTAGTGTCTTAAGTGGATACTTAAACACTTGAGCTCACCGTGGTAGCAACAGGAGGTGACTGCAAAATTATTACAATAGTACAGTATGTACCACAGCTAATTTATGCAGTTTTCTTTTAATATTGCATCTTTAAGTTTGTTTACATTTCTCTTAACTGCAAATGGCACCGTGTACGGTCTGTGTTTGTGTGCATATGTTTTGATAAATGTTAATTTTTTATAATAGATTTGTATATATTTTATGTTAGTGAATGATAAAATTGATTTAGCATCTACATATATTTTATGCATTTATGACAGACCTAACTTTGTCTTATTTTTTAAAAATTATTTCGGCCGGGTGTGGTGGCTCATGCCTGTAATCCCAGCACTTTGGGATGCCAAGGCGGTCGGGCCATCTGAGGTCAGGAGTTTGAAACCAGCCTGACCAACATGGCAAAACTTCATCTCTACTAAAAATAAAAATAAAAAAATTAGCCAGGGGTGGTGGTTCATGCCCGTAATCCCAGCTACTTGGGAAGCTGAGGCATGAGAATTGCTTGAACCTGGAGTGGCAGAGGCTGCAGTGAGCCAAGATCATGCCACTGCACTCCAGCCCGGGCAACAGAGCAAGATTCCATCTCAGAAAAAAAAATTCTAGGCTACCTGGTTCATCTGCAATTTTTTTTATATTGTGGCAATCTCCAAAAATTTTTTCAAAATATTTATTGAAAAAAATCCACATATAAGTGGACCATGCTATTCACACTTAGGTTGCTCATGGGTCAATTATACATACAAATGTTTGTATGTATATATATTTTTCTTTGTATGTTTTTCTATTCTTCATTTTAGGGTTTTCCTAGCTTTGTGTCATCAGGAAGCAGTATTAAGTAACATGGCCTACTTTCACTACTCACAATAGCAAAGACTTGGAACCAACCCAAATGTCCATCAATGATAGACTTTATTAAGAAAATGTGGCATGGCCAGGCGCAGTGGCTCACGCCTCAATCCCAGCAGTTTGGGAGGCTGACGCGGGTGGATCACGAGGTCAGGAGATCGAGATCATCCTGGCTAACACGGTTAAACTCCGTCTCTACTAAAAAAAATACAAAAAATTTAGCCGGGCGTGGTGGCGGGCGCCTGTAGTCCCAGCTACTCAGGAGGCTGAGGCAGGAGAATGGCGTGAACCCGGGAGGCGGAGCTTGCAATGAGCCGAGATCGCGCCACTGCACTCCAGCCTGGGCGACAGAGTGAGAACGCTTTTGAAAAAAAAAAAGAAAATGTGGCACATATATACCATGGAATACTATACAGCCATAAAAAAGGATAAGTTTATGTCCTTTGCAGGGACATGGATGAAGCTGGAATTCTTCATTCTAAGCAAACTAACCCAAAGACAGAATACCAAACACCGCATGTTCTCACTCATAGATGGGAGTTGAACAATGAGAACACATGGACACAGGGCGGGAACATCACACACCAGGGCCTGTTGGGGGGTGGGGAGCTGGGGGACGGATAGCATTAGGAGAAATACCTAATGTAAATGACAAGTTGATGGGTGCAGCAAACCAACATGGCACATGTATAGCTATGTAACAAAACTGCATGTTGTGCACATGTACCCTAGAACTTAAAGTATAATAAAATATAATAATAATAATAAAAATAACATGGCCTACTTTTTTGGAATTTCCTGAGATTCTCTTTGTGGCCTAGTATATGCTCACTCTTTATAAATGTTCTATAGGTGTATTTATTAGATTAAGCTTATAATTTTCATTATGCAAACATTTTACATTCTCATTTATGTTTTGTCTACTCAATCAATCAGTTTCTCTGAGAGGATTTTTTAAAACTCTCTCATGATGTTTATCATTTTGTCACATTTTCCTCTTATTTTTAAGAGCCTTTATTTATATACCTATATATTATATATATATTATATATATATTTCAGTTACATTTTTTTCCAAGCCGAACTGTATCCAGCTTTATTAAAGATACTTTCCATAAACAATCATGGTATTTCAGGCAGGACATGGAAGACAATTGTTAACAGTATGCAACAACTTTCAAACTCCCTTCTTCAGTGGACTGCCAAAAATCAGAAAGCCACTATAAAACCCAATGAAGTCTTCATCTGATGCTCTGAACAGGGGAAGTTTAGAGTGAGGGTTGACATTTCACATTTAGCATGTTGTTTAACAACTTTTCACGAGGTGACCCTGACTTTCAGGAAGTGAAATGAAAATGGCAGAATGTATCTGAAGATCCACAGTCTAGGAACGGAACCACTGCTCTTTAGACAGGTGCCATCTCAGTGGCACCACTGGAAAGTCCAGATTGCCTGACACACTGGTAACCAATGACTGGGGATGAGGTCCCAACAGATGTCTGGGCTTAAGAGAGTTAAGTCTATGCTGAAAGATAGAAAGGGAGAAGAGGACATAAAAATGAATTGCTTTTTCCAAACACAAAGCTTTAGTGCCAAGGTACTCATGTGTATCAAAGTCAGGGAATCCCTCCTCCCGGGAGCCAAGAGGAAGTCTCCCAAAACTAGAAGGGAAAGGTGTTTTCCTCACATCACTCCAGCTTTGGAGACATTCTATTAGTGACATATAGCCCTTCCCCCAGAAAAAACAACGAAGTGTTCTGTGTGCTAACAACATAATAGCTTTAAAAAACAAAGTAAAACAAAATTCTGCATTTTTATAAAACTTGATAAAAAATAGTATTTCAAACTGTACAGTCACCAGAAGTACACAGTTATCAAAAATGCACACACTTCACTTGGCCTCTCCATCACCTTCAGCTTCCCTGGCCTGGTCTGTTATGGCATCTCCTTTTTCTGCAGGGTAATTCCCCTCCTTGCCAGCATCAGCTTTTCCCTTTTTCCCTTTAGGTACCTTCTCTCCCTTCTTTGCAGGGGCCTTTTTAGGCTTGGGCTCTGGCTTTGGAGGAGCAGGTTTAGCAGACAACCTTGTGGATCTTCTCTGAGGTGTGTCCACCTTGGCTTTATCTCCTTTAACATCCCCTTCGGTCTTCCTCTTGGGCAAGGTGGCGGCGGTGACAGCAGTGGGACTTAGATGCTGGGCCCGGGATGCAGCGGCGCACAGGCTTTGATCGGTCGGGGGGTCATTCTCGCCTCTTCTTCTTCCATTTCAGTTACTTTGTTTAATGTCTAAAGATTCATAACTAACTCCACCCAACCAACCCCCACTGTTTTTTGAGACTGGGTCTTGCTCTGTCAACCAGGTTGGAGTGCAGTGGTGAGATCTTGACTCACTGCAGCCTTGACCTCTCAGTCTAGGTGATCCTCCCACCTCAGCCTCCCAAGTTGCTAGGACCACAGGCGCATGCCACCACACCTGGCTAATTTTATTTATTTTTTGTAGAGATGAGGTCTCACCATGTTGCCTAGGCTGGTCTCAAACTCCTGGGCTCAAGCAATCCTCTTGCCTTGGCCTCCCAAAATGCTGGGATTACAGGCATGAGTCCCTGTGCCTGGCCCAAGATCCAATAACTATTGTTTTGTTGTTGTTGTTTTGTTTGTTTGTTTGTTTGTTTTTGAGATGGAGTCTTTCTCTGTCACCCAGGCTGGAGTGCAGTGGTATGATCTCGGCTCACTGCAATCTCTGCCTCCTGGGTTCAAGCGATTCTCCTGCCTCAGCCTCCTGAATAGCTGGGATTACAGGCATGTACTATGCCTGGCTAATTTTTGCATTTTTAGTAGAGACAAGGTTTCTCCATGTTGGCCAGGCTGGTCTCGAACTCCTGACCTCAAGTGAGCTGCACACCTCAGCCTCCCAAAGTGCAGGGATTACAAGCCCAGCCACCAAGATCAATTAACTATGAAATCTACTTCGGGAATTTTACTTTATATCAATAATTATTCCTTCAAGGAATGTTCATTGCACCTCTACTATGTACCAAGCACTCTTCTAGATTTTAGGGGTTCAACAGTGAACCAAACAGACAAAAATCCCAGCCCTCATGAGGCTAGCATTCTAGCAGGGAGCAGAGGTAGTTAGTACATTCAGCCCCTTCTCACAACCCCAGGAAGGAGTCCTGTGGAGAGGTGATGGTGTGGAGCAGCAAGGAGCTGTCATAATCAATCCAGCCAACCTTGCCCTGCCGTCTAAAGGTAACAAAGAAGTGGCTGGACTGGGGCGGGTAAACAGGAAGGACTCCCTCCTGCCAACTCCTCAGGGTCAATTCTCATGTCCCCGCTGCCCCCTTCTCTCCTTCAGGGGAGGTTCCGAAAGCTGCAGTTTCCTCAAGAGAGAGGCAGAGGAATGAAGTTCTCCATAGACTGACTGGAACCATCTGGGGAGACAGAGTGCAGTTGTCGGGTGACCTGGGGGACGTGGCCGGCTTGTCTCACTGGAGGGCCTGCCCGCCCTGCCTCCACTGTGGGAACTCTGTACAGCTGCCACTCTCTGTGACCTTGGGTTGTTTTGGTGGCACTAGCAGGCTGTGACAGACAACTGCCACCACACAGGGTATGATGTTGACACTCAGGTGCCCACAGCCTTCTCTCCCAGAGATTTTTAGTCTTTCCGGGCATGAGGCTCACCGTGGAGTCTGGGGTCCCACTCATTGTGCTTTAGGGGACAGCCTGACTCTAGCATAAGTAGGAGAAGCTATAGACATTACAGTTGTTACGAAATGACTCTCAGACCTGGTTTTCCAGGGGCAGGGAGAAGTTTCTCACATTCTGGAGGAAGATGTAACAGCATTTTGAGGATGAGGGATGTCACTGGTTTAGAGGAAAATCTACACTTGCTTAGTCAGTAATTTTGATGTCTACCAACAAATGCCCAGCCCTTTTCATGCACTAGATACACACAGCATTCACTGCTCTGACACATGAATTTGGGCCTGGGACCAACCCTTCCTGTGTGCCTCCACCATGCCTCTCAGAAGGACCCTCTCTTTTGTGTATTGTTCTCACTTATAAGAGCCAGTTATAAATTTTTCCACCTTGCCAGCCAGCAATTCCTGCTGCAGCTTAGGCAACCAACTCCAAGGACCTCCCCATCCCCAGTGAGAGTCCCAGGCCCCAATGAGAGTCACGGAAGAGTAAGGATGCCTTGGCTTCTCTTGGGAGGCACGAGGGTCCATGTGCTTTAGGATAGCCAGAGGGTCCATGCCATCTGGCTTCTTCCTGCAGGACAGGGCCCCAAGCAGCAGGCTGTCCATAGTGCAACCCTGCCTCACTCCCCAAAGCAGCTGCATCTCACTGCCTCTTGAATCTCCCCAAAGCCCTGCTTTTGTTGCAATCTTTGACTTCTTAGACCTGACAAGCATTTTCCACTCTCCACCATACAGGTGCCAGGACTGGGATCCCAGGCCCTCTTCAAGATGACCCCAATGAGCTTTTCATCACACTTCTGCCATGGGGTCACTGGAACTGAGCCAAGCCCCTTAGTGTCTCCTCAACCAGCTCTGATTGTAGCTTCTGCATTGGTGCTCTGACCACCCCTTAGCCTGGGTCACTTAGGATTTGTCTGTATGATAACCACATTTCTGGACTTTCTATTTGGTTCATAAATCATGCTACCATTAACTAACAACATGGTGGGGGTTATGGGAGGCAGGAGAGCTTGGAGGTTATAGACCCAGGCCCTGAGGCCAAACACTCTGGGTCCGATCCCATTTTCATTCCTTTCTAGCTGGGAAAGCTGGTTCATTGACTTTCATGTTTCAGTTTCCTCTTCTGTGAAATGGAAGTAACTACAGTACCTCCTTCGTGGGGGTGCTGTGACAATTAGGAAAGTCAATGCATAGGACGAATTTAGGATAGTGCATGGGACACGGATCCCACTGTGCAAGCATTAGTCGTGATTGTTTTGCTGATGGCCTACTTCACTCCTCACTTCACTTCTGAGGAAGGCTCTATTAGAACCCTCACTTTACAAATGGGGAGATAAAGCCCAGAGAGTTTGGATGATGATGTGGTTTGTCTCTGTGTCTCCACCCAAATCTCATCTTGAATTGTATTCCCATAATTCCCACCTGTTGTGGGAGGGACCCGGTGGGAGATAATTTGCATCATACTGTTCTCTTGGTGGTGAATAAGTCTCATGAGATCTGATGGTTTTATCAGAGGTTTCCACTTTTGCATCTCTTCATTTTCTCTTGCTGCTGCCATGTAAGAAATGCCTTTCATCTCCCACCATGATTCTGAGGCCTCCCCAGCCATGTGGAACTGTAAGTTCAATGAAACCTCTTTTACTTCCCAGTCCTGGGTGCGTCTTTATCAGCAGCATGAAAAGGGACTAACATAGTAAATTGGTACCAGGAGTGAGGTGTTGCTGAAAAGATACCTGAAAATGTGGAAGCGACTTTGTAACTAGCTAACAGGCAGAGATTGGAACAGCTTTGAGGGCTCAGAAGAAGACAGGAAAATGTGGGAAAGTTTCCAACTTCCTAGAGACTTGTTGAATGGCTTTGACAAAAATACTGATAATGATATAGACAATGAAATCCAGGCTGAGATGGTCTCAGATGGAGATGAGGAACTTCTTGGGAACTGGAGCAAAGGTGACTCTTTTTATGTTTTAGCAAAGAGACTACTGGTATTTTGCCCCTGCCCTAGAAATTTGTGGAACTTGGAACTTGAGAGAGATGATTTAGGGTATCTGGTGGAAGACATTTCTAAGCAGCAAGGCATTCAAGAGGTGACTTGGATGCTGCTAAAGGCATTCAGTTTTGAAAGGGAAGCAGAGCATAAAAGTTTGGAAAATTTGCAGCCTGACAATGCAATAGAAGAGAAAATCCCATTTCCTGAGGAGAAATTTGAGCTAGCTGCAGATATTTTCATGAGTAATGAGGAGCCAAATGTTAATCCCCAAGACAATGGGGAAAGTGTCACCAGGGCATGTCAGAGACCTTTGTGGCAGCCTCTCCCATTACAGACCCAGAGATCTAGCAGGAAAAAATGGTTTTTTGGGCAGGGCCCTGAGTACCTGTACTGTATGCAGCCTAGGGACTTGGTGCCCTGCGTCTCAGCTGCTCCAGCCATGGCTGAAAGAGGCCAACATAGAGCTTTGCAGTGGCTTCAGAGGGTGCAAGCCCCAAGCCTTGGCAGTTTCCACGTGGTGTTGAGCCTGCAGGTGCACAGAAGTCAAGAATTGAGGTTTGGGAACCTCTGCCTAGATTTCAGAAGATGTATGGACGCCTGGATGCCCAGGCAGAAGTTTGCTGCAGAGGCAGGGAACTCATGGAGAACCACCGCTAGGGCAGTGCAGAAGGGAAATGTGGGGTTGGAGCTCCCACGCAGTCCCTACTGGAGTACCACCTAGTGGAGCTGTGAGAAGAGGGCCACCGTCCTCCAGACCCCAGAATGGTAGATCCACCTACACCTTGCACTGTGTGCCTGGAAAAGCTGCAGACATTCAATGCCAGACTGTGAAAGCAGCCAGGAAGGAGGCTGTACCCTGCAAAGCCACAGGGGTGGAGCTGCCCAAGATTATGGGAACCCACCTCTTGCATCAGCATGACCTAGATGTGAGACCTGGAGTCAAAGGAGATAATTTTGGAGCTTTAAAATTTGACTGCCCTGCTGGATTTTGGACTTGCATGGGCCCTGTAACCCCTTTGTTTTGGCCAATTTCTCCCATTTGGAATGGCTGTGTTTACCCAATATCTGTACCCCCATTGTATCTAGGAAGTAACTAGCTT
Organism: Homo sapiens; assembly: GCF_000001405.40. Taxonomy (NCBI): domain Eukaryota; kingdom Metazoa; phylum Chordata; class Mammalia; order Primates; family Hominidae; genus Homo; species Homo sapiens. The sequence goes on along the minus strand of NC_000002.12, from coordinate 70,798,526 downwards.
GCTTTTGATTTTGCAGGCTCATAGGCAGAAGGGACTTGCCTTGTCTCAAATGAGACTTTGGACTGTGGACTTTTGGGTTAATGCTGAAATGAGTTAAGACTTTGGGGGACTGTTGGGAAGGCATGATTGGTTTTGAAATGTGAGAACATGAGATTTGGAGGGGCCAGGGATGGAATGATATGGTTTGGCTCTGTGTCCCCACCCAAATCTCATCTTGAATTGTACTCCCATAATTCCCACGTGTTGCGGGGGGGACCCAGTGAGAGATCATTTGAATTTTGGGGTGGTTTCCCCATACTGTTCATGTAGTAGTGAATAAGTCTCACGAGACCTGATGGTTTTATCAGGGGTTTCTGCTTTTGCATTTCCTCATTTCTCTTGCCACTGCCATGTAAGAAGTGCCTTTGGTCTCCCACCATGATTCTGAGGCCTCCCCAGCCATGTGGAACTGTAAATACAATTAAACCTCTTTTTCTTCCCAGTCTCAGTTATGTCTTTATCAGCAGTGTGAAAATGGATGAATACAGATGACTTGCCTGAAGGTCATACAAACGCCCTGCTGCAGAAGGTCCCCCTTGACAGCCATGGCCCTCTGCCTGTAGCCCCCACTCTCTGCTTCATTTTCTCAGCTCTTCTGCAAGGCCACTGCAGCTCACATGGCTGTAAGCTTCCCAGGGCCTCTTCACGAGGCTGTAGGTCTCTCTTTATGTCTTGTCAGGGCTCTGAAGCACAGCAGCACCAATGAGAAGCTCTTGAGCTAAGGGGCTCTGGGAAGGGAAGGTCTTTGGCCAGTTTCCTGGAGACAAAGCCCAAGGGCAGAGTCTCTGTGCCTGTTCCTTTTCTCTGTTCTCTGTTCTCTCTCTGAGAGGCACTTTTGAACTTCTTTTAACCCTGCTGGTGGTGTAGACAATACACTAATCCCAGCTCATGTTTGGTGGGGGTGGAGGAAGAGAAGGCCCCCAAGGGAAGTGAAATAATCCACATAGCAAGCAGGCAGGACCTGTGTGCCGGGACCCAAGCAGCTGGAAATGTGAGGCTGTGCTGAGTGTTCTTGGGTTGGAGGCCACTCAGACTTGGAGGAAAGAGAGCTGCAGTGAACGTGAATGTGACAAACGTGCAGTGAATGTGACAAAGCTGAGTTCTAGACTTGGCTCTGCTACTGACCGGCAGCGTGACCTTGCCCGGTCATTTAACTCTATCAATTTTCTCATGTGCACAATGGGAGGAAAGTCTAATGCCCAGGATACAGTGGGATAAAATTATAATGCTGTGTCAAAAATAATATATCATCATAACAATGTGAATTTATGTGAATATGAACAACATGAAATTGCCAAATCGATTTGGATGGGAATTCTGGGCAATATAGGCTTGACTATAGTCTTTGGTCCCTGTTTAAAATGCATTCTTGGTCTTCCTTTACTAAAGCTGCTTTTTTAGCAGCTCTTTCTTGTCTTGCCTGAGCTAATGGGAGAAAGGTGGCATGTGTGAGCCACAATGTGGTCACCGTGATAAGGGATGCTGAGTGCCCAGGAGGGCAGACCCAGCAGGGGAGAGTTCTTCTCAGCTAGGCCTAGGGTAACTAACGGGCAAAGACTGACAAGGTGGACCGGCTGGAGATGGAGCGAGGGCAATTTCTCTGTGTCTCGTAGGAGAAGATAATGTGGATTGGCTGCCTCCACCTCATGCCTTTTGGCACTGCAGAAGCTTCATTTTTCAGAATTAGGACCCAGTGTTCTGAATGCCAATTAAGATGATTTAATTAGAAACTGTTGTAGGACATTGAGAGGGTGAAAGTGAGGCAGAGCTCACCTTCCTGTCCTTTTGTATATTTTCTGTGGAAAGCAAGGAGATGGGGCCAGGCGTTTCTCCACCACCGTGTCCTAGGCCCCTTCCCCACATTTGTGGGGTTGATGGCAGTGGCAGTGGTGTGTTCTCAAACTCAGAGCTCCTCCTGCCTCTCCAGCCCTCTGATGGTTGTGTAAGCAGCAGGATCCTGAATGAAATCCTTTGGCATCTGCTTAGAATAGCTAGAAGAGCTTCTGAGCCTACACTGAGCCTTGCTGGGGGGAATGGCCTGAGGTCTTTGCTGCTGCAAGGCAGGCTCCCTGCAGAGGCCTCTAAGGGGACAGCTCAGGAATGACACCCCACCTACCTTATCTCTCTCAATCCCTTCTGGAAGGGGTGGGGTGGGGTGATGAGGCACCTGGGGTGGGAGTTCCTGAAAGGAAGGGATGGCTTGTTAAAGAGGTACTGCTTAAAAAAAAAAAAACAACAACCCTGAAACCCTGGGGGTTTTTTTTCACTCTGCTTAACATGATTACCTCTTCCTGGCTTTAGGAATATCATTCATAGGCCCCTTTGCACAAGTAAAACAGGCTAGAGTATTGAAAGCCTAAGGGAAAAACAAACAAAAATGTCCCCCTACCCAAAGTCAGAAAAATTCAAATGCTCCAAATCCAGGGGTCCAAACTGAGATTCTGCTTCCCTGGCCTGCTGGAAGCCTCTGCCTGGAGTGTGTCCTGATCACTGCTAAGGTTCCCCCTCTTTCCTTCCTGTCCCTGCCCTCCCCTTCCAAGGCAGGATTCGGGAGGAGTGTTGTTTAATTGTCCCCAGGTAGACAGAGCAGTCTTGACCTTTCCTTAGCCGCCCACAGGCATGGAGGGAAACAGCTTTTCTAGCAAGAGAAGTGACAATAATGGTGACATTTGTTAGCATTCAATATGTGCCAGCCTTAAGTCATCATCTCACCCAGCCTTATGTCATCAGGCAAAGGTGAAGAGTTCCTTCTTACTGCATGCCTTCTAACTCTCCCTAAGTGAAAAAATAGCTTTCTTAATTTTAAATGAAAAAAAAGTGTTATTTAAAGCCAGTATTAGGGGAATTTTCTCTTTAAAATGGCATTTGACCAAGAGTCTTCTCATTTCCCTCTAAAATACATAATAACACACAGAAAAAGGCAAAACTGACAGCAGCAGCAGAAACCAAGACAGGTAGTAACTCAATTGCCAGAGAAATTTTACCGACTACCTGTAATAGTCATGGAGCTGAGGTCAGAAACATGATTTGAAGCAAGCACATGTCTTGCTTTTTGAAACAGAGCAACAATAAGAAATTGGTAAAAGGTCCTTTAGCCTTATCCTGCTTTTTGCACCATTGACTCAGAGACCTAGTGTCTGTATCAATCAGCAAACTAGACAGGGATCCCCTTTCTTCAAGGCATTGTGTTTTGAGATAGCTGTGTGTCCCCATCCTTACTCCAAGGGTGGACTCCATTCGGCTGGCATTGTACTGGACTACAAGGTATTTAGGACTCAGGAAACAAAAAAGCAGTAAAGAGAGGATGTTATCAGTTGCATCCCAAGAGGTCTGGTCCCACAAAGGAAGAGCAATAAGCAGGAATAGCAAACACAAGGAGAGCAATGCATTCTGGGACCTAAAGATGTTCACATACTTCAGGCAGCCTGGAACAGGAAACTCCCTACTAGACCCATAGAGCAGTATAGGATGAATGCAACTGAGCCAGTACTGTGTATATCAACCATAGTATATCACCAGCATCTAAGAGGACACTTATCCTTCAATTTTCCATGGCAGAGAGATCTTCCTACTTTCTATGTAAACTTAGGTAAGCTTTTTCATTCATCTATTTATTTATTCACAAATATATATTATAGGGTCAAGCAGCTATGGCAAAACGTGAAAGATTTTACCTGAATAAGCAGGTTCTTATTTTACCCATGTCAAAGTAGCTTTTTTACTTCATTGCAAGCATCATTCATTCATTTGCCTTCTCACTCATTCAACAAATGTTTATTGCATGTCTACTGTGTGCCAAGCCAGCACTCCGTAGGTGCTGGAGATGCTGTGGCCAGTGATCCTCCTTCAAGGAGCCAAAATAAGAGAAATAAATGATCTCGCAGAGGCTTATGGGCACTACTGGAGCACAGAAGAGGGGCACTAGGACAGAGACTCCTGTTGTCAACCAAATGCGTTCTCCCCATTGAACAGAATTGTAGCCAGGCACATGGCTCCCCAGTCAGACTACATTCCCCCACCCTTTCTTGCATCCGTGTGTAGCCATGTGTGAATTCCTGCCAATGGCATGTGAGTTGAATCCTATGTGCCACCTCTGGTCAGGCCTTAAGATCTCTTCCGTGCCCTTCTCCTGGAACCCAGATACGGTGGCTACCGAGCCTCAGCCATGCCAATGATGACAATGCTGTAGGGGAGTTGACCCTAAGGGATGGAAGAACAATAATTTGGAAGGAACCTAAGTCCCCAAGTGACCTTGAGGAGCAGAGCTGACCTAAACCTTTCACACTGTTAGAGGATAGTGAAACTTTTTGTTCATTAGGCCATTGTATTATTGGGTGTATGGCAAGGTATCAGCCCTAAGTCACCATCAGGTGTAACACTTTAGCTTAAATCAGTTCACATGATTGCTTTCCCTGAGAACAATGACATAACGTATGAATCTAACAGACCAGAGGCCAGAAAGTTAAGAGTTGGAGTTTATGGAAGAACACAGGTATGAAGGAATCAAATCTGGTGTGCTCACAATGGGTTCCTAATGTACACCACCTTGTTCACTGCAAGGTTTGGCAATAAAATAGAATAATATCAATGATGTCCTTTATGATGCTTTCAAGGAAAGTTAAGTAAATGGGTAAGCTATCTCCATTTTAAGCTTTTTCCCACACTTTTGGCCCTTGTTGCTTTCCATCTGCCTGCCAGCAGACAACACCAAATGAACTTAGCGCAAACAAAGTATTTTCCTACTTAAAAATATATTTTAAATTACAGAAGTGGCCCGTGTTTATTGTGAAATAAGCTATATAGAGGATGTGATGTGCAGTCACACTTCCCCATTCCCAGGCCATGCTCAAGGAACCTCAGTCAAACATTTGGTGTGTCCCCTTCTTTCCTTTGACCTTTCCTGGGAGGCAATGTCAGAGTGGGAGCTGAAGAAGGGTGGGGCCTAAGAGGTGGCTGATGTGGTTAGAAAATTGGTTAGGTACAGGGATTGAGCAAATAAGTAATTACACTGAGGATAATGTGAGTCAAGCTTCTCATTGTTGGAGAAGGGAGTTACAAAAGCAGATATGGGGTGAGGAGTTACAAAAAAGGAAAGCAGAGAAACTAGAGGGAACCTGAGGTGTTGGGTTGGAGTTGGAGGTATTAGTGTGAACTCATGGTTTTAAATATATATGTACTTAGATACACAGATATAGTTATTATATGCATTATATTATATTAGAGGATATTATATGCATTATTATAATATAATACATGCATGTGTACTTACCTACATATGTGTCATATCTGCAAAAAGGGCTTAGAAGCAATGACATCCCAAAAGGAATGAGCAAGCAAGCACACAGATCTTGGTTTCTAAATCCTACCTTCCACTAAAAGAAGAATAGACTGATCCCTGGGCTGGGGCTGGGAAAATTCAAGAAGAGCCTTCCTGGGACAAGTGAGAAAGTGCACAAAGAATGAGGGAGTCATATGAAAAGGACAGAGGAGCCAGCTTAGAGGGCCTCCCATAAGCCAAATCTGAGACAATTTGAGCATTAACATAATGATGTAAATAAATTATATCCTGTGACTAAAATAGAAATTCATGAGCCCATGCTGACATAAATACAAAATGAATAAATAAATGGGAAGAAGGGAAAGCTCTTTTTCACAGTAGAATGCCAATCATTTGCCTCTAATTGTAGTGCTGGTTGATTCAGGTAGGAGTCAACAATGGATGAGAAGGAGTATCTCCTCACAAAATTTTTTTTTATTTTTATTTTTTGAGACGGAGTCTTGCTCTGTTGCCCAGGCTGGAGTGCAGTGGCACAGATCTAGGCTCACTGCAAGCTCCGCCTTCCGGGTTCACACCATTCTCCTGCCTCAGCCTCCTGAGTAGCTGGGACTACAGGCACCCGCCACCGCGCCCGTCTAATTTTTTAATATTTTTTAATAGAGACAGGGTTTCACCATGTTAGCCAGGATGGTCTCAATCTCCTGACCTCGTGATCCGCCCGCCTCAGCCTCCCAAAGTGCTGGGATTACAGGCATGAGCCACCGTGCCTGGCCCACAAAATATTTATCAATTTATGGTGAAAAAACCTGACACCACCACCTTGACCAGGCGATTAAGGTTAACATCACCAGTGGTGGGGCAGATCAACCTCATGTACTTCCTGATGTGATGCACTGAGAAGAGCCCAGCATCATTTATATGGAGCCCCTCCATGAAGGCATGGCTGGGGTCTGGACATGAGCAAATAGTGGACAACCCCAGGTCGAGGGACATACTACAGAATGAAAGGCCCCTACTCTTTTAAACTGTCAAGGGCATGAAGACAGGACAAGATGGAGGAAATGGTCCAGAATGAAGGAGAGTAGAAATATGACAACAGAATAAAACTTGTACTCCTGGATTGGATTCCAACCAGAAGAGAAAAAGACATTGTTGAGACAGCTGGTGGTACTTTGATGGGGTCCATGGATTGTATGGTAGCACAGTACCAATGCTTACTTCCTAGTTTGAGTGGTTGTGTTGCGGTTATGTGGAAGAGAGGCCTTGTTTAGGGGGAATACCCACTGGAGTATTTAGAGGTGATATGACAGCATGTCTGCAACTTAAAAACTTTAAAAAAAGAATAGATCAATGGATGCAGCTAGACGTCATTATTGTAAGGGAACTAACACAGAAACAGAAAACCAAACATTGCCTGTTCTCACTTTATAAGTGTGAGCTAAACATTGAATACACAGGGACACAAAGATGGAAACAATAGACACTGGGGTCTGCTTGAGGGGGAAGTAAGAGGGGGGCGTGGGTTGGAAGGATACCTATTGGGTACTAGGCTCACTACTTACGCCACGGGATCATTCGTACACCAAACCTCAGCAACACACAATTTACCCACTTAACAAACCTGCACATATACCCCTGAACCTGAAACAAAAGCGTAGAAAAAATATTTTCTCAGACCAAAGAAAAAAAAATGTATTTCTATGCTTGGAAGGAATGATTTTACAGAGGGCTTCCAGAAACATGTCTGATTTTCAGGTGCAAGATCAGAATGTTCCAGTTATATTGATAACCTCCAGAGAAACAAACTCTCATGAGTAATCTACTCAAAACAGAAGATGTAGTTAATTATTTCTAGAGTACTAAATTGTACTCTACTATTAAACAAGTTTGGGATCGCTATTTTCCAGCACATTTTCTGAAGTAACAACTGTGTTTGGCTGTGTTGACAATAAAGGTCTGTGTGGAAAAGGGGGAAAATGAATAAAGCGATGTATCCCCCCACTCGCGAAAAAAGAAAATAGTTCAAATAGAATGGAAAAAGAATAATGAAAATGAGAATATTCACAGCGAGAAAGAGGGCAACGGAGCAAACGTGAAAACTTAGCAAGTAGAGAGCGTGGCGAAGGGGGTACAGGAGCTCTTAGAAACTCTTCTTGCCATTTTCCCCGCAACTTTTATTTCAAAACGAATTCTTAAAAAAGTTTTGTGGATATCCATCACATTTTTCTGTATACACATAGCCAGAAGCTCAGGCCCCAAGACAGATTGATTAAATGGGAATTTGGGGGACTGGAACCGTGGCATGTGGATTGAGAAAAACACCACTACCACGCTCCCGGCGGTTCCAGGTGTGCAGCCGGGGCTGCGCTCCAGCGCTCCCGAGTCACACCTGTGCGGCTTATTCAACGCGATGCCTGGACGCAGCCTCCAGAGAGGAGGCCGGGATTGGAATACGCAGCCGGGGAATGGTTGCAGGTGGTCCAGCTCCCGCCCCCGCCCCGCCCCCGCCCGGGCCTCGTGCGGCCCCGGGTGCGCAGGTGAAAGCCCGGCCTCAGCGGCCTCGGCCCTGCCATGGACCCCGCGCCCGGCGTCCTAGATCCCCGCGCCGCGCCGCCCGCGCTCCTGGGCACCCCGCAAGCCGAGGTGCTGGAGGACGTGTTGCGGGAGCAGTTCGGGCCGCTGCCCCAGCTGGCCGCTGTCTGCCGGCTCAAGCGGCTGCCCTCGGGCGGCTACTCGTCCACTGAAAACCTCCAGTTGGTGCTGGAGCGGCGGCGTGTGGCCAACGCCAAGGAGCGTGAGCGGGTGAGGGATCCCTAGGGTCGACGTCCGTTCCCCCCTTCCCTGCTCTACCACCAAACACCTGGTCAACACCCGGGGGTCCGCTCACCGCCCACCCCCGCTCGAGGCGACTTCGAGCTCCCGAGGCCTCCCACGCCCCCAGCTTGTCAGGAGAATGGCAGTGGCCTCCTTCTTCTGCACCTCCGTGCAGCTGCTCGTTGGCGGCCGCTGCGGTGGCCGCCTCGCCCGCTAACCCTCCAGGATTTGTGCAGGACCCGGGTCTGGGAGGGGACAGAGGAGGGGCCCTGACAACTTCAAAAATGTCTCCCTGGGCAGGTGCTTTAAAAGCTTCGCGCCCAGGGGGTGCGCCTTCATCTCACACCGTAGGCGCTGGTGGGTGCTTGGGACGCGCAGGGATCCCCTTCGCTCCTTTTTCTTGCTCTCTGCATCTCGGCCTCGAAGCACACACGAGGGTGAGGAGAAAGGGGGGCCTGACGGAAGTGACTTTTCTTTTTTAAAGTAACGAAACACGACGTCCCAGTGTGCACCCAAGACTCCCACTCAACTCTGTCAAGATAAAGTGAGTGTTTCCCAGTCGAGCCGCAGCAACTCGCAAACGGGAAGGGTCCTGTGGGCCGTGGTTGGAGCGGCACCTGCTGGTAGATTTTACTATCTAACGAAACTCAGCCCCAAACTTGGGAGACATGGTCTCCTTCCTAGCGTTTGCAGTCTACGGGTTTGGTTGCAGCAGAGGCGAATCCAGGAGAGAGAAGGGTGAGGGGTAGAAGAGGGAGCAGAGCGCACGTTCAGGACTGGGACTGGGGAGAGAAGTACCGCCCGGGGCTGTTCCTAGGCCTTTCAGAAATGTCCCAGTGAATCAAGTAGGAGCTTTGCAGGGAGAGGGCAAGCGCAGAAAGGACGACAGGAGAGTAGGAGACTTCTTTAAGTCTCCTCTTTTACCAGTACTAGACTCTTGATGGACAGAACCCTGTGATCTGATTCGGTGGCCCTACAAAGAGATTATGATCTAATAGTTTAAGTGGTCCTTCCCACCAGGAAGGAATTGTCTTCTCCAGAGAATCAGTCCTGGTTTTATCCACTAAAACACGAATAAGCTTTATTATTCTTTATAATGATAAGGTTAACACACTTGGAAAAGACAGAAATGAGTGAAGAAGTTAAGAGACACAACACAGATATAACTACTGTGAACATTTTTGTGTATATCCACCCAGTCTTTTTCTAGTTTTGTGTATTCATATATATATATATATAATTTTTACAAAATATTCAGTACATATTTGTGTAATTTTTTCCACTTAACATTATCAAAAGCATTTTCTTATATTCTTAAGTATTCTTTCAAAGAATAGTTTTTGACTGCATAGTCTGTCCAAAAATGGACCATAATGTATTCAGTCTCTTATTGTTAGGCATGTTTGCTGTTTGTAGCTTTTTACCGGTACCTATCGGTGTAACTCTATGTGCGTGTCTGATAATTTCCTTAGAATAAAATGCTACAAGTGAAATTACTGAGACTTAAGGCATATACAATGGAATGGCTTTTGATACAAGTTACCCAATTGCTTTCTAGATAGGTTTACTAATTTTTATCCCTTCTTACAGGTCTAGGACTGTTCTCTTTTTCAAGCTATCCCTTATCCTGGGTATGATAAAACAAAAATGTTACCACCTTGATACATAAAAAATGGTATCTAATTTCTGTTTTAGTTTGTAGTTCTTTGATTATTAAATTCTTTTTATACACTGAGTGGTTGTTGTATTCTCCTGTGAATTGGCCAACTATGTCCCTTGTCTGGTTTGCTCCAGGGTAGGATATACTCAATATATATTGGCTTTGTGGCATAGTGGGAGCCAGTTCTCCCAAGGCCTGTATCTCCCAGGGGGATGAACATCAGAATTATAGGCCTTCAGAGACAGGGATTAGACTCTGGAGAAGAGAGAAAAATAAAATATGAGGAGCCTTTGAAGTCTCACCAACTCTCTGGATTCTCACCCTTGCCTCTATATCATTAACTCAGTGGGGAAAGAGTTTGAAGAGCTGATGGCTCAGTGCTTGAGTTGACAAGTATTTGTACATTTGATTCATCACCAGCAATACCACTTCTTGAGGACTTTCTATGTGCCAGGTTTGGGTGAGGTATCTTATTTGTACATTATATCACTTAATCACACCCCCCAAAAAGCTTTAAGATATTTTCCATTTTGCAGATGAACAAACAGGCTTAGTGATGTGAAGTATTCCACACACTCTTGTAAATGATAGACCTGGATTTTAAACCTGGGTGTAGTTAATTCATATTTTAGCCACTCCTCTACTGCCTCCGCATTATGATACAGCGGGTATGCTCTCAAAAGAAGAGGAGTGAGCTCAGCATGAACATGAACACACCTTGCAGCCCATCTGCCCATAGTACCAAGTTTATGCCATTCCCTCTTCCTTTACTATGAACTGCACTGCTGGTGGAGCACTGACTCTTTGGGGCATATGCCTGTTTAGATTTGCCACTCAGACAAGGAGGCAGTGGAAACAACCCCCTTCTGTAGCTTGGGGAGATGTCTATACAAATTGGCTTCTCTGTGTGTTACTGTGCCTTTTTGTTTTCTAGATAAAAAATCTCAACCGTGGTTTTGCCAGATTGAAGGCACTTGTGCCATTTCTTCCCCAAAGCAGGAAGCCCAGCAAAGTTGATATCCTTAAAGGTGCGACTGAATATATACAGGTTCTCAGTGATCTTTTGGAAGGAGCCAAAGACTCAAAGGTAAAGGTGTAAGATTTTAGAATAATGATAGCCACCATTTATTAGGCCTTTTCTATGTACGAGACACTGTGCCAAGTGATATATGTATACTTTCCACTTAAGGTTTATAACCTCTAAGCTATTTTTATGACCCTTATTTGACAGAGAAGGAAACCAAAATATAGTTAAGGCCATACAGCTCTGAAAAAGTCAGGACTGGGATTTGAACCCAGAGCTACATGAGCTTTAGAGTTGAGTCCCTGACCATCTATACTTGCCTATGGTCACTATCCAGGGCACCTAGCTCCTGACTGTTGAATCTTTGATAGGATTTCTACAGCTGGACATAGGAGGGGGCTTTCCTAAAAGCACTTTGGTTGTTTCCCTACAGTAGAATGCACATCAGACAGGACACAGGAAGGAAGAGGCATTTCTTTTCCCCAAGGAACCTCTCTTAGGAGAGACCCTCCCTAAGGCCAACTGAAGAGCTCAGCAATGGTCTGGTGATACCAGTCTCATGGGGTTTTGCAACCATTCAGCAGGAATGACACAAATGGCCCTGTAAACTGTGAAGTATCATAATGTCACCACCATTATGAGAGTGAGATAGCTCAGAAGTGTCCATTAGGCAAAGTAAAGTGTGGACTGGTTTTATGGACTTGTTCCAGGGAAAGGCAAACATTGATGGGCTGAAAATGAATCAGTCATCTGGGGAAACAAAATAGGAAGAGAGAAAAGGCCTTAGAAATGAGCCCTAAGCAACTCTGTTGGTAGGAGGAAGGAATCATCATTAGAATGTGGCAAGAAGGTAGAGGAACAAGATGGGGTCATAAAGTTGAGGAGGAGAGAACCTTAGGAAACTAAAGGTGAGGAGTGTGAGAGGTTACAGAGAGGCTGAAGAAGGCCAGGACTGGGGGAAGCACCATGTCTAGCACTTGAAAGGTGAAAGAGAATTGGGCTGGGCATCAACTTGGAGGAGATTGAGGGTGCATGATTGGTAAATATCTGGAATCCAAGCAGATTCAGAGGAAAGTGGCAAACTTCAAGTCCATTTAACCTAGAAGTCTGCCAGGCGCGGTGGCTCACGCCTATAATCCCAGCACTTTGGGAGGCTGAGGCAGGCAGATCATGAGGTCAGGAGATCGAGACCATCCTGGCTAACATGGTGAAACCCCATCTCTACTAAAAATACAAAAAAATTAGCCGGGCGTGGTGGCAGGCGCCGGTAGTCCCAGCTACTCAGGAGGCTGAGGCAGGAGGATGGCGTGAACCTGGGAGGCGGAGCTTGCAGTGAGCTGAGATGGCGCCACTGCACTCCAGCCTGGCAACAGAGCGAGACTCTGTCCCCCCCCAAAAAAAAGAAAACCTAGAAGTCCGAGAGTGGAAAGAAGAACCACCCCCCACCCCACTCCCTGCACCCCCTGCCAAAAAAAAAAAAAAAGGCAGAAAAGTTGTTAGATCAAGTGAAGGTCTTTCCTATGTAGAAATTTGATCATGTTTAGGAACAGAAGGAGAGATACTAGAGAGAAAAGAAACAATTATCCTAGAAATTTGGGGCAGAAATCTCCAGGTGTATGATAGTACCTTTGAATATTTTTTTCTTCTCCATTAGTCCTAGCCAGGTGACTGCTAGGAAGCTACATTCTGCGATGGCAGGAGTGAATTGTCCTGTTGGTCAAACTGGATGGTTGGGTTTTGGTATGGTCACAGTGTTTGGACATGTGTAGGTGGCTACCTTAGTTTTCTCTTGCATGTCAATTGTGTAACAGAAGTGCTTTGTTCATTGTAAAACATACCATCTGTTCCATGCCATAATATTTTTAATGCAGTTACCTATTGCATAACATTTTAAGATGATAGGAGAACAAAATACGGTCAATTGAACAATGCTTTTCTCTCCATAATGACTTAAGCATTGCCCTTATCATTTAAATGAAACCTCATCAGTTAAAACTTTGAAATATATTAGTTTAAGTCATCAAAATCTTTCTGTCATATTATACTGTTTGACAACTAAATATGGTTTCCAGAAACAAGACCCAGATGAGCAGAGCTATAGTAACAACAGTTCTGAATCACATACATCCTCGGCAAGACAGCTGTCAAGAAACATCACCCAACATATCAGCTGTGCTTTCGGCTTGAAGAATGAAGAGGAAGGGCCTTGGGCAGATGGTGGCAGTGGTGAGCCAGCACACGCTTGTCGCCACAGTGTGATGTCTACGACTGAAATTATCTCCCCAACCAGAAGTCTGGTAAAATATTCCTTCTTAAATACCCATACAGATATCAGAACCTTAAAATGTATACTTTGAGATATGAGTCATTTTTCCATGCTAAAACATGATTAAAACAAGATAATTTAATGAAAGCCTTTGGGTGGGGCAGTGGGGTTTACTAGTTTGGGAGATTATTTTGTTTCTAAATTAACTGGTAAGCGGCTCCAGGGAAGGGGAAACTCCTCCAGAACCACCCAATACAGACCTAAGCTTATCTTTTAAATGAAACTATTTAACCCCAGAACCACCCAATACAGACCTAAGTTTATCTTTTAAATGATCCTATTTAACCCCAGAACCACCCAATACAGACCTAAGTTTATCTTTTAAATGATCCTATTTAACCCATCAAAAGGTTTTCTGGACTCTATGGTCTCCAGAAAAAGAAGTAAGTAGCTTGCCATACATAAAGATGCATGTTTGGTGATACTTTTTTTTTTTTTTTGTGGTGGGGGGTGGTGCTGGTTGTAAGACAACATTTTAAATGAAATAACAAAGGAGTTTATTGTCTGTTATTACTTTGTCAACTAAAGAGACAGCTGGAAGTGGCAGCATGCTTCTCCAAGTCCAGAAGTGGACTTTTTGCCCTTGCTGTGAACTGGTATTCATAAATGAGGCCCCTGCTCTATCCTACTCTGCAACACAATTACTATTGAAATAAGAAAGGTGTATAGGAATGTGAAGTAAGCATGCTGTAACAAACATGTTGCATGGTATGATATAAGGGACAGTGGGGGCTGTGGAGTCACAGATGGTGGTTGGAGGGAGGCAGTTGAGGCGAGCAGTTGAGAGTAGGCTCTGGGAACAGACTACTGAGGTTTAAACCCTGGTTTTACCACTTGCTAGCTGTATAATCTTGCATGAGCTACTAAATGCCTCTAATCCTCAGTTTCTCCATCTGAGCAATGGGTATAATAATTGTACCTACCTTGTATATAAGATAACTAACTCCAAATGATATCATGTCAGCAAAGTATCTGGCATAATACCTGTCACGTCACTTGGATAGATACCAACTTCTCTTGACTCATGAGCAATCAACATTGATTAGTGAGCAATAATGAGCCACAGGTATTCTAGCTCTGTAGCCAGTGTTTTGAGTTTTCTCACTTGGCTCTCACCAATGTTGTGCTCTGATTTGAGGTCCTACAGGCTTCCTGCTGGCTGGTGGGGGCAGGGCAGGGGTGGGGAGAGAGGTGGTGGGCGGCCTTGGCTTCCATTTCTGATTAGATTAATTGTGTTCTAGGATTCATTTGTGCATATGCTCAGTGTAGATTTTCATATTCTGACCACTTGAGATATAAGATTTCGCTGGCCAGTCAACCCATAGGAGACAGAATTCCTGTTGCTACTACATGAGCTGACATGGAATGACTAAAAGCAACAACAACAAAAGAGTGGGGCCAGGCGCAGTGGCTCACAATTGTCATCCCAGCACTTTGGGAGGCCGAGGTGGGCGGATCACCTGAGGTCAGGAGTTCGAGACCAGCCTGGCCAACATGGTGAAACGCCATTGCTACTAAAAATCAGGCGTGGTGGCGGGCACCTGTAGTCCCAGTTACTCACTCAAGAGGCTGAGGCAGGAGAATCGCTTGAACCTGGGAGGGGAGGTTGCAGTGAGCTGAGATTATGCCACTGCATTCCAGCCTGGGTGACAGAGTGAGACACCATCTCAAAAAAAAAAAAAAAATGACCTGAGCTAGACCTTGAGCCTGACTATCTAAGAAGAGTAATGCTTCTGCAAATGCTAGTATCAAGGTGAAAATCTTACTTGCACTTAATCCTCATTGATCCTTGTCAGGTAGGTGTCATCATGTCACTGTCATGGTGAGCCACCTGGCTACACCTTCCTGCCAGTCCTGTTGGACCTGGGCTGGGACAGGAGCCTCTGCAGTAGCAGAGCAGGCCTGTGCTTGGCAGTACTAGTAGCAAGTACATTTGATGGGAGGTCCTTGTTTTCCAAGGATAATTGAACCTGGGCATAGGCCACGTATAGTACACTAATTTAGAGTGGGGACTAACGTTTCCTAGTAAAAGCCAGAGATGTTCTGACTGGAATTTCCTTCAAAAAAGGGAGTAAAACACTTAATATTTAGTCTTTTTAGCCAACCAAGTTTGTTGTTAATTGGAAGAGTGCTAATTTGTAGAATGAACCAAGGAAGACTCGACGTTTGAGATTTTTATAGACAGTGCATGTCACTTCTGTCAAGTATGACTTCTGAGGCCTGATTGTAAAGAGTGCCATTTTTTTGCAGAAGCATTCTAGTATTTCATCAGTTTTGTCAAGGATTTTTCATCCTTTCACATTCAAATCATTTTTTTTTTTTTTTTTTTGAGACAGAGTCTCGCTCTGTTGCCAGGCTGGAGTGCAGTGGCACCATCTCGACTCACTGCAACCTCCGCCTCCCGGGTTCAAGTAACTCTCCTGCCTCAGCCTCCCGAGTAGCTGGCTCACACCACCACACCCAGCTAATTTTTGTATTTTTAGTAGAGATGGGGTTTCACCATGTTGGCCAGGCTGGACTCAAATTCCTGACTTCGTGATCTGCCCACCTCAGCCTCCCAGAATGCTGGGATTACAGGCATGAGCCACCATGCCCAGCCATTAATTTTTAAAATTAAAAAAATTAGTCTGAAACAATAGTCAACTTATAGAAAGGTTGCAGGTGCAGTACAAAGAACTTTTTTCCTGGCACATTTGAGGGTCAACCTGATGTCCCATCACCCCTAAGGCTTCAGTGTACATTTCTTACAAACAGGACATTCCCCTGCATAGCCACAATGCAACCACTAAGTCTGGGGATTAATGTTGCGGCGTTACCGCCATACAATCCTCAGGTCCCATTCAAGTTTCACCAGTAGTCTCAATAATGTCTCTTCTAGCAAAAAGACCCAGCTGAGAATCATGAATTACATTTAGTTGCCATGGCTCCTTCAGTCTGGAAGGAGAGTTTCTTGGTGCTTCTGTGACTTATAACCATGACACGTTTGGAGATTACAGGCCAGTTGTTTTATAGAGCGTGTCTTGATCAGCATTTGTCTGTTTCCTTTCGATTAGATTCAGATATGCATCGTCGGCAGGAATAACAAAAGTGATGCTGTTTTCTACTCATTGCATCCTATTACATGGGGCAGATTTTGATTTATTCTATTTCTAAGGATATTCACTTTGATCACTTGCTTAAGGTGGTGACTGCCAAGCCTTTCACTTTAATCTTTTTCTTTTGTAATTAATATGTATTTTGTGAGGAGGTGCTTTGAAACTATGTAAAGATCTCATTACTCATCAAACATTCTATATTTATTTATCAAATCTGTAATTTGGAAGTAATTATAGATTCACAGGAAGTTGCAAAAATAGTACAGAAAAGTGCTGTGCATCCGTAGCCCAGTTTTCCGCAATGGTTGCATCTTCCATAACTATAGTATAATATCAAAACTGGGAAACTGACATTGGTACCACGTATGCATAGTTGTATGTTGTTTTATCACACGTGTAGATTCATGGAATCACCATTGCAATCCAGATGCAGAACTGTTCCATCACCACAAAGATCTTCACGCTGCCCCTTTATGGTCACACCTACACTCTGCTCCCAACCCTCCATTCTTCCAAACTCCTGGACATCACTAATCTGTTCTCCACCTCTATAATTTATCTTGAGAATGCTATAAAAATGGGACCATACATTATGTGACTTTTACAGATGGTCTTTTTCCACTCAGATGATGCCCTTGAGATCATCCACATTGTATAAATGGTCTGTTCCTCTGCTTTTTGCTGAGTAGTCATCTGTGGTGTGGATGTACCACAGTTTAACTGTTCACGTAAATATTTTAGAACATTTTGGTTGTTTTTATACAGACATTTTTATATTAGTATGAGCTCATGGTTTTCTGTTTAATTCAGTGGATTATTATATACTATCATTTTTTATTATTTTATTGCTCCAATTGTCCCCACTGTGGCCAGCGAAAGCTCCTTAAGCTGGCAGCCTTTCTGTTTGATATGTCATCACGATTATTTGATCATTTCCTTTTTGGCAGAAGGTGTTCCAAGCTCATCTTGTACTTTTCTATCCCAGCCCTGGAATCAGCCACTTATCTGAGGATGCCCCTGTGTATAACCCATCTCCCATCTCTGTTGCCATCCCCTCACCACATGGCTGT
Organism: Homo sapiens; assembly: GCF_000001405.40. Taxonomy (NCBI): domain Eukaryota; kingdom Metazoa; phylum Chordata; class Mammalia; order Primates; family Hominidae; genus Homo; species Homo sapiens. The sequence goes on along the minus strand of NC_000002.12, from coordinate 70,781,220 downwards.
TCTCCTCACCCACTTGAACTTTAACACTCATGGCAAGCTGTACCTCCGCAAAAACCTCCTTCTTGGCTCTGACGTTCCACGCCGGTCCCCTCATATGTGGATTCCTCCTCTCCCTGCTCTCGCTAAATCACCTGCACACACAAGTGCCTGGCCTACTCAGCTCAGGTTTCTCTACTCCATGCTGAACTGCCCCTTTCCATGGACTTCTTACCCAGCTTGGGCTCTGAGTCCCCAGGCCAGGCCTCCACTCCTTTCATGGGGCTGCCGTTCTCATCCTGATTGGGCTGTACCATGTTTGCACTGGACCACACCCCCCATGTGAATATGCCCCTCATCTGCTGGATCTCTGATATCCTGCGCTGGGCTGCCTCTGTATGTGGGTGCCATCTCACCCTGCTTGGGCTCTGATACCACTTCACTTGGGTCACTGTGGCTTCTCACTACCTAACTGTGACCCAACTGATGACATTAGTACTGAATTGTTTAGGAGGGAGAAGAACTCGCATTTTCTTTGAAGTACCTACTGTGCAGCCGTCTTTCTGGCTAGTTTTCTCTTTGTTAACATTTATCTCTGAGATCTTTAATTATATGTGAGTTGAGCGATTATTCAATATCACCTTTATTAACTGTATAAAAAGCTTGCATTTTACAATCAGGAACCAGGGTGGGCTCAAGATAAAAAGGGTCCAAGGAAGTGATGCTCAGGCTGACCTTTATTTGACAAAAGGATCCTCGTAAAGATTCAGCCCAGCTTTCCTGAAGCGGTGACTCCATAAGGTTTCAGGATCCTGTCCAGACTAGAGACCTAGTGACAGATAATGTGACTCATTGGACAGAAATGCTCATATCCAGAGGAGCTTAAGATTTGGGAGGCAGGCCCTCTCCAGCTTCAGTTTGCAGGAGTGGCACCCTTTTCCCTACCCTTGATGAGGACCCAGGGAATGAAATCCTGGTAGTGGCAGGGATGGGCGTTTTGGGGGATTTGGAGATGGGGTCAGAGCAGGCTGTGCAAGATCAACAACATTCCTGGGAGGCAAAGTCCCAAATGAAGTGCATGAGAATCTGCTGATGACAGGGATGGAGATTAACGTCTGGGGCCAGAGCCCCAGAAGTTCACTCGGGGAATGAATTGGCAAGTATTCGTGCAGACAGAGAGGGCCGTGAGCCATGAGAAGCCACAGCATGTGGTGTTGGTAGGGAGAAAAATTAATTTCAAGGTCCAGGAGAGGCCTGTTTAAAATTAGAGCTTCAAAGTGTAGGTTTTTGCCATATTGGGGTTGGCATTGCTAGATGGCAGGCTGTTCGCTGTCTTGCCATTGTATATTCCTTCTATTTGCCACTCGTGGTTATGGTTCTGGCATTTCATATTATGCATGGCTCTAAATTTTGTTCAGAGTTGCCAGTGACACTGTAGAGACCATGTCTCTAGACAAAGACCACCCTCAATTTTGGAGTGAGATGCCAAGAGTGCTGGGGCTTGAGGGCCTTTGGAAAGGGACATATGGAGAGACATAGTATCTGTTACAGGGGCCTTGGTATGCTGCCAGTATATATTTCCAAACTCTGGCATGTCATGGGAATGTTCCTTGAAAGAGTTTCTGAGAGAAAGAATCCTGTGTGGATGGTAGACTCCTACCACCCCTGTTCCAAGTTGCGGTAATCTGTGAAATTACTCACTGGGGACATTTCTTCCTATAGCATTTTAAGCTCTGAAATGAGACGGTTTGGCTAGTTGGGATGAATTCATTAGCACCTTGGGAAAGACCTGAAGCCTCTTTCTTCTGTCTTCCACCTCACATTCCCCCAGGTAGTGGCTCTATACGATGGTAAAACTTCTACCACAGTAAGTGATGGGTCTCGCTTTGCTTGAGAAGCACAGTCATCTGCCCTGGGGTTCACCAATAGCCCATGGGGCATATTCTGATGAGATTAGTCAGCCCAGCATTTTCCAAAGTTGTTTCCCATTTAATGGGGTGGGTGCCTTCTGGTTTGTCCCAGTCCTCCCCACTCCTTCCTGCACCAGAGTAGCATATTTCACCTGGTAAGGTGTTGGGATTTTCTGCCCTGGTCTAAAGGCACAGTGGCTCAGAGGAAAAGCTGCTCCGGCGACTGCATTTATAGCCCTGGGATTTTACTGTGCTCTCTATACTTTGGGGATTTAGGGGCTGGTGCTGTGATGGTGCCTATGCTTGTGGTTCTCTGGGATTTTGGAAAGAGCCTTGCTTTTCAGATTATCATAGGAACAGGGACTGAACTCTAAAGCTGAGTGAGCAAGGATTTCTGTTTACCCCATCTCCCTCACCAAGCCTGGCTCAGTGGGTGGAGGAATGTACATTGGATAATACGTCAAATTCTGCAGCCACACTGCCAACAATTGGAGTGTGCCTGCCTTCTTAAAGATATTAAGCAGCAAACTGGGTTTCTATTCTCCAGACTACCCTCTTCTTGGACCTTAAACTCTTTGGCTTAGATGAGACCAACAGCCAATTTTTAATGAGCTGTGACAATAAAGACAACATTTATAAACTTTGGCAAGTTTTTCTATTCTCATACTTAAATATTACGTTTCTGAAATTTTCCAGCTAATTCTTAAAAACAAACTAAAATAAATGTTCTAAAATGCAGTAGACTATAGGCAGAATATTGTCATCCTTTAATCCTTCAGGTAAATTTATATGAATTTGTCTCAAGTATAAAAAATTCTAAATATGAAAAAAATTAAAATTTATTTTAAAAATAAAGCTTCCAAAGCTAGGTCTGAACTATAAAAAGAAAGAAATGTTGATCACTTGTATAGTGGAAAGACTCGATCAAGATTAGAAAAAAAAAGCTACTCATACATATTTTGTGTCAGAGACTGCTCCTGGCAGTGTATACATATTAACCTATTTAATTTTCACAACCACCCTGTGCTATACAAACAATTATATCCATTTTACATGTGAGGAAACTAAGGAACAGAAGTAACTTGCCCAATACCTGCAAGTCAGTGAAGTGTTGGGGTTGGGGGGGATGTGGGTGATAGTGTTAAGTCCTTTTTAACCACTTTCGTTCTAACAAAACTCAACTTTGAAATGTAAAGGAGGGTGGACTAGAAAATAGATAAATGTTTAAGGCTAAGTTAAAGCATTTGATTGCGGTGCTTTACCATCCACAGTGATGTACATAATAGGTTTCAGTATCCAAAATGCCTGACCATGACTTGAGCGGCTTTATTTTTCAGTCATGGGTTTATTTTTTCTTCAAGTTGAGAGTTTCAGAAAATTGAGCAGAGACAAAATGATCTTGCCACGTTAGTAAAACCACTGATGGAAATACACTAAAATCCTTCCCATTTCTTTTCCTTTGCAACTAAAATAAAAAATTATCATCAGGTACATAACATTGTGTGCCTGTTCTTGATTTTTCTATCACTGGCATGTTTATGTGACCCATTAGGTGGGACAATTTTTTTACTGTTGGCCACTATGTTCTCAGTTTTTTGTTCTCTTAAACGTGACAAATAACCGATGTGTTTAGCCCTTTCTGTATTTTGTATTGTTTTTGCAGGATAGATTCCCAGAAGTAGAACTGCTGAGTCACAGGTAGGTCATTCTATAACCTGATGCATAGTGCCAATTTATAACACCACTGGCTGTATAATAAGAGTGCTAATTCCATCACATTCTTAGCAATGAGCTCTATTAAAAGAAGGAATCTTAATGGGTAAAAAAGTAGTATCTTTAAATTTAAACATCTTTGATTACTAATAAAATTAATTTTTTGCATATTTCTTTATTTCTTTTGTAAACGGTTCTTATTTTTAACTATTTATAATGGAATGTTTTCTCTGTTTCAGACTTCCACAAGTATGAAAAATGAAAAGGCCCAGGGTTACCTTCTAGAGACAAATAAATGCAGTCTTGAAAGTTTTGGAGTCTCTCTTTTTTTTTTTTTTTTGAGATAGAGTTTCACTCTTATCACCCAGGCTGGAGTGGCACGGTGTGATCTCGGCTCACTGCAACCTCCGCCTCCTGGGTTCAAGTGATTCTCCTGCCTCAGCCTCCTGAGTAGCTGGGATTACAGGCATGCGCCACCACGCCCAGCTAATTTTTGTATTTTTAGTAGAGACAGGGCTTCTCCACGTTGGTCAGGCTGGTCTCGAACTCCCGACCTCAGGTGATTCAACCACCTCAGCCTCCCAAAGTGCTGGGATTACAGGAATGAGCCACTGTGCCCCGTGGGAGTCTCTTTTTTAAAAAAGAAGTTTTGTAGTAATTCCGAGTTTAACAATTACCCTTTTAAATAGCCTTGCCTCTCTCAAGTTTACTCCACTCTGCCTTCTCCTTAACTTCATGCTTTGAAGAAATAGGCTTCAGGGGCTTCATCCTTTGCTTCCAACTCACTGTCATCCTCTGGGGACCTACATCTTTTTTTCATTGCTTTGAGAAATAAGTGACTGTTACCCTTCCAATAGAAATTAACCTTAATAGAAATGAAGACTTAAGCTAAAAGAGTTGTAAACATTGGCCAAGGGGAGTGAGAGTTTTCAAGGGTTTCTAGATACCCAGCTAAGGCCAAATGGCACCTTTTGTGCAAGGTAGACAGCCAAACACCTTGAGCACAAAGACTTCGTCTTTATAACCATTGCTCACAAAGACATAGTACTTATTATATGCTGGATTCTGTTCTCTATGCTTTCCATGTGTTAACTTGTTCTTACAACAAGCGTAAGATAATGGCATAAGTATCCCCATTTCACAGATGGGAAAACCAAGGTACAGAAAGTATAATTAGCTTAGCCTGCCTTAACAAATACCATAGACTGGGTGGCTTAACAACGGAGATTTATTTCTTATAGTTCTAGAGGCTGGAAAGTCCAAGATTATGGTCTGGCATTGTTCAGTTTCTGATGAGGGCTTTCTTCCTGGCTTGCAGATGACTGCCTTGTCACTGTGTCCTCATATGGCAGAGAGATAGCTAGCTTTGGTTTCCCTTCTTCTTATAAGGGCACCAATCCTATTGGATTAGGGCTCCATCCTGATGACTTCATGTAATCTTAATATCTCCTAGAGACCCTGTCTCCAAATACAGCCTTATTGGGGGTTAGGCTCTCAATATATGAATTTTGGGTGAACATATGCTGTTCATAGCATTCTGTCCCTAGCCCTTCCCCCAAATTCATTTTATCACATGCAAAATATATGCATTCCACCCCAGCAGCCCCCAGAATCTAAACTCATTCTCACTTTAAAGTACAAAGTCTCATTTAAATATCTTCTAAATCAGGTATGGGTGAGACTTGAGCTATGATTCCTATCTTTCTCCAGCTGTGAACCTCTGAAACCAGACAAGTTATGTGCGTCCCAAGCACAATGGTGAGACAGGTGTAGGATTGACATTCCTATTCCAAAAAGGAAAAATAGGAAACAAAGTGTTAATGGGTCCCAAGCAAGTCCAAAACCTATTGAGGCAAATTCCATTATATCTTAAGCCTCAAGAATAAATCCTCTTTGCTTTGATGCAGTGTCATCCTTGTGGCTTGGCAGGGTGACCTTCCCTCGGAAACTGAGGAGGAACTCAGCTCTTCTCCTGCCTGTGCCCCCTCCTCCAAAACATACACACACACACTGAGTGGCCACCCTGATCTCTGAGTTGCCTTTGGGGTCATTTCTTTCCTTTGCTTAAATAGTGCATGTTTGTAGCCAAATAGTGATATGGTCTAGTCCTATAGAATCTGAGAAGGCTGACAGCTTACCTTCATTCTTTCCCATTTTCTCTGTCCCCTTTCTTTCCAGCTATCAGGGTCTTTCTGGTATAATCCCGTCGGTATTCCTGGCTTCAGCTGAGATGGCTAATTAAGTATATGAGTCACACTCATGATCTGTTATCAAATGGTTGCTCAGCCACACCCTTAGTGATCTCTTCAGAGTAAGCTTTCTTAATTTTTGCAATATGGATAGGTTAAGAAATTTTCCAAGTCCCCAAGTTCTGGTTCCTTTTTTTTTTTTTTTCTTTTTAAGACAGAGTCTCTATCACCCAGGTTGGAGTGCAGTGGCACAGTCTTGGCTCTCTGCAACCTCCACCTCCTGGGTTCAAGCGATTCTAATGCCTCGGCCTCTTGAGTAGCTGGAATTACAGGTATGCACCACCATGCCCAGCTAATTTTTGTGTTTTTAGTACAGATAGGGTCTCATCATGTCCGCCAGGCTGGTCTTGAACTTCTGGCCTCAAGTGATCCACCCACCTCAACCTCTCAAAGTGCTAGGATTGCAGACGTGATCCACCACACCCAGCCTCTGATTCCTTTTTGCTTTTGATTTCTTCAGTTTATCTCATGTTTCCCGAATTTTACTATAAGCAGTAAGGAGGACCCAAACTGCACCTTTAATACTTTGTTTAGAAATCGCTTCTGCTAAATATTTAATTTTATCACTTGCAAGTTCTACCTTCCCAAAAGCACTAGAATGCTATTCAGCCAGATTGTTTGCCACTTTATAGCAGGATCACTTTTTTTTTTTTTTTTTTTTGGAGATGGAGCTTCACTCTGTCACCCAGGCTGGAGTGCAATGGCACAATCTCAGTGCACTGTAACCTCCGCCTCCCAGGTTCAGGCAATTCTCATGCTTCAGCCTTATTTCTACCAACATTCTGTTTCTGATTATTCTCTGAGAAGATGAATGCTTCTCTCCAGCTCTCCTCTTTTCTTTCTGAATGCTTACCAGAAATATCTTTAACATCCATATTTCTACCAACAGTCCCTTTATGGCAATCTAGGCTTTTTCTAGCATAAATCTTAAAACTCTTCCATTTTCTATCAATTACCCAGTTCCAAAGCCACTTCTAGATTGTTAGGTATTTCTTACAGCAACATCCCACTCTTGGTACCAAAATCTGTATTGGTGGTCTCAAGAGAAAAAGAACCAACAGAAGATTATGTATTTATTGCAAGAAATTGGCTAATGCCTTTATGGAAGCTGAGAAGTACCAAGATCTGCAGTGAGCAAGTTGGAGATTCAGGAGAGCCAATAGGATGGTTGCAGCTTGAGTTCATAGGTCTGAAAACCAGGAGAGCCAATGGTTTAAGTTGGAGTCCAGAAGCCACCCACACTAGGAGGACAATCTGCCTTACTTGGTCTGCTGAGTCAAATGTTAATCTCATCCAGAAATACCCTCATAGATAACTGGGATGTTTGATCATAGCCTTTTTCCTTCCCCCACCTTAAAGAGTAGCTTTGTTTGCTTGTCTACTGGGCTTTGGGTCCCTTGTCTTCATCAGGGGGAATGGTGTAAATGAAGAGAAGGAAGGAGAACAGAAGTTGAGACTAGCTGTATTAGTTTGTTCTCATGCTGCTAATAAAGACATACCCAAGACTGGGTAATTTATAAAGGAAAAGAGGTTTAATGGACTCACAGTTCCACATGGCCTGGGAGGCCTCACAGTCCTGGTGGAAGATGGAGGAAGAGCAAAGGGACGTTTTACATGGTGGCAGGAAAGAAAGAATGAGAACCGAGCAAAAGGGGAAACCCCTTACAAAACCATCAGATCTCATGGGACTTATTCACTACCATGAGAACAGTATTGGAGAAACCACTCCCATGATTCAGTTATCTCCCACTGGGTCTCTCCCACAAGTGGGAATTATGGGAGCTACAATTCAGGATGAGATTTGGGTGGGGACACAGCCAAACCATATCACCATCTTTATTAGAGAGGAAAGAGAGCTACCTACAGAAGAAAAGCTCTGGAAGGTAGGAGAAGGGTTAGGAATTCCTGGGATAACTTCCACTGGTGTGGGACTACATTGAACAAAGAGGACGAGAGAGAATTTCCCCTGCTCCCTCTCCTTTCCGTCTATTCAATGACTTGCAGAACTTTTCAAGGCATTGGCAGTGGGATTATTTCTTTTGAATGTGGCATTGTAATGGAACTGGGTCTCGGGGTAAGGATGAGGAAGCCCTTACTGATGTGAGTTGTACACACCCTAAGCGGAATTCCTCAGAATCAGAATGAGAGCCATCTGCTGGGTCTAGCTGCCTGAGGGGCATTGGGTAGTAAGAGAGTCATGGTACCAGGAACAAATCCCTGGGTCTATCTGAGGCATCAGCTCCAAGTTTCAAGACAGACTCTGAAAGCTTTAGCACCTTCTAGGAATAAGAACTGCAGAATAATAAATCCTGCTGGGCAAGCAGTGATCATAAAAGAAAATTCTTGTGGGCTGGTAGGAGGAACTAGTGCACTTAACATCGGGTACAGGAAGGCCTCCCCCAGAGGGACTTACATGTTATCAGGGCTCAACATGAAGAGCTCTATCCACAGCTCTCCAGGTCTGGACCTAACATGAGGGTGGGAACTGGAGTCTGGGGCTCTCTTGTCTCTGGAACCACTCTGGTTATTTCCTGGTGTGGCTGGGGTTACACTGTCTGGCTGTCTCAATAGGTAATAAGACCATAAGTGCTTTCACTTGGCGTCCCATTTTGTCTACATGACAACCTTGGCCAGGTGGAGGATGTAGTAGTTTTCTGGGGCTCCCATAACAAAGCATCCCAGATGGTAATGGTAAACCACAGAAATGTGTGGTCTTACCATTCTAGAGGCTCAAAGTCTGAGATCAAAGTGTGGGCAGGTATGATTTCTTCTTGGAGTGTATGTAGATGGCCACCTTCTTGCTGTGTCCTCATATGGTCATCCCTTTATGCCAGTTTGTGTCCAAATTTCTTATAAGGACCTCAGTCATACTGGATTAAGGCCCACATATATGACATCATTTTACCTTAATTACTTTTTTAAAGGATTTAGCTCCAAATACAGTCACATTGTGGAGCACTGGGGGCTAGGACTTCAACACATAAATTTGAGGGGGATGAGATTCAGCCCATAACAGAGAGCAAGTGCTGTCACCCTCACTTTATAGCTGGGTAAGGGAGAATAAGGGGTCAGGGTCTTTCCTAAGTCCACACATTCCCTGGGACTGAGATTGGAGCCCTAGGCCCTGGACTCCCAATTCACTTCTGTTTCCAGAGCAGCATCAGCCATAGAGGTGAACTTTCATTTATTGGGTATCTTCAGAACATCTAGACTTACAACTTATCAGTGGTCTTCCTTTGAAAGCACTGTCTTCCTTCCCTTGCCCCATCTTAAAGTGGGTTCCCCTAAATGTAGATTACGATTTGAGTGTAAGTTGGGAAGCAAGCCCGGGAGGCACCTGTAAGGGAGTGGGAAAGTGATATAGGGAAGAAAAGCCCATAAAAGATGCGTGAGTGAGCAGGTAGGTTACTGCTGTGGGCAGCTGGGGCTCAATCCTGCTGAGGCTCTCTGGGAGACAATGGAGAACACTGAGGTATTCTCCCAACTCTCAGGGATGAGGGAGCCAGGCTGTTTATCCACAAACTCCTAATGGTCATTGGTTGAGGGCTGATCCCAGGGGTGTTGATTTCTCCAGCATTTCCAGCATGCCCTAGAAAAGGCCATTGATAAGCATGCCTGGGCCTATAGAGTGCTAAGCCCCCGTATTAGTTATCTATTGCTGTGTAACAAATTAATGCAAACTAAGCAACTTAAAACAACACATTTATTATCTCATGGTTTCTGTGGCCAGGAGTTGAGTCTCGGTATGACTTAACTGAGTCCTCTGCTTCAGTGTCTCTCACAAGGCAGAAATCAAGGTGTCAGCCAGGGCTGGGTTCTCAGTGGAAGGCTTAACTGGGGGAGGATCAGCCTCTAAACTTATGTGATGGTTAGTGGGATTCATTTCCTCTAGGACTTTTTTGGACTGAAGTTCTCAGTTTCCAGCTGGCTATTAGCTGGATGTCACCCTCAGTTCCTTGCCATGTAGATCTTCCAAACATGGCTACTAATGAAAGCATGCAGGTCAAGACGCCAACTGAGACAGTCTGCTAGCAAGACAAAGAATCTTATGTAATGTAATCACGGAAGTGAACATCCCATTATCTTTGCCTTATCCTGTCGGTTAGAAGTGAGCCACAGTCGTGCCAGCACCTAAGGAGAGGGTAATACACAGGGCAATGGATACCAGGAGATGGGGCTCACTGTTGCACTGCCAGCTTCTCTCTCTACTAGTTATTCTTGGCCAGAAACATTTTTGTCAGAAGACTTGGAAGATGAGAAATTTTACTGCAAATCAGTCAGAGAGTCTAATTTTAAACTATCTGGCCATGGAGGGTTAGCCAGCTGTGATTTTTCCCCGGTCTGACATGGGGGTCTCTTGTGTTTTTCTGGCCCCAGTTAAGGGCCAGGCATCTTGGGCTTGTTGCAGTGGGAGCTCTGAAGTCTCCTGGTCTCCCATTGACAGTTGGAGCCAACTACAGTTGTGGTTCCTTTTCCTGGATTTTGAAGTGAATTTGAAATTGAGAATTTCTGGAACTTCAATTAAAATTTCATATAGGCTATGAATATGGGAATTAATGAAGTCTTATTTCCTCTCTGACATTTGGACAATTCCTAAAGTCCCAGGATGGCACCACCTTCTCAGTATGCAGTATCAGATAGACCCTGGGAGAGGCCGGACATATATATATAAAAATATATGTAATATATATAATATATATTGTGTATATGTAATATATATAATATATACATATATAAACATAAATATATATATGTATCTCCTGTGATGACTAGGGGAGCAGAATCATTTTTTTTTTTGCCGGGGGGAAGGAGAATGTATTAGTCTTATCAGCCTTTCAGTGTCTTGTACCAGCTCTGCTTTAAAAAGTTTATTTTTGGCCAGGCGTGGTGGCTCACGCCTGTAATCCCAGCACTTTGGGAGGCTGAGACGGGCAGATCACCTGAGGTCAGGAGTTCCAGACCAGCCTGGCCAACATGGTGAAAACCCATATCTACTAAAAATACAAAAATTAGCTGGGTGTGGTGGTGCGTGCCTGTAATCCCGGCTACTCGGGAGGCTGAGGCAGGAGAATCGCTTAAACCTGGGGAGAGGAAGTTGCAGTGAGCTGAGATCATGCCACTGCACTCCAGCCTGGGGGGCAGCATGAGACTCTGTCTCAAAAGAAAAAAAAAAAGTTTATTGTCCCCTCTGGGAGGCCATGCAGTGTAGTGGTTAGGGCCCACAAACTCTGGAGCCACAGCACTTGAGTTTGATTCATTGCTCAGCCACCCACTAGCTGTGTGACCTAGGGCAAGCGACTTAACATCCCTGTGCCTCAGTCTCTTCATCTATAAAATGGGGATGATAATAGTACCACCCTCACAGAGTTTTTGCAAGGATTATGTGAAAATGCATGTAAAGCTCTCAGAACAGTGCCAGGAACCAACAAGGGTTTGCTAGGATTCATGTGAGAAAACAAAATAACACACTAGGAAGAGAAATTTTGGGGGATGGAAATGACTGGGGTGACTTATGAAACCTGCTATTTCTAACAAAAATTCTCCATTCTTTTTGGGGGTTCTATTAAGATATAGAGCCCACCTTACCTGTGACTTCTGAGCTCTGGAGAAGGGGTTCCCTGTTTCTCAGATCTCATCACCCATTAGCACCAAAAGAGCTATGGCTGCCAGGAATGACTCAATAAACATAACACGTCCTGGCTTCTTTGACCAGACAGACCTAGGTCCTGGGGTGGGGAGGGGAAGGGGTTTCATCTTGTGTGGCTGAGCCTGTTGTAATTCTTCTAGCAGGTTTTGACAGGAGAATGGGGAGAAGTCTTGTGGACTCGGTGATTCTGAATGAGAATGAGTGAGAAGCTCTGAGTGTGGAAGGAGGGTGCAGGGACCAGGTATGCATGTATGTTTCTTGGAAGGGGGGCTGAAGCAGAAAGACAAGTTTATCCTGGCATCTAGGGTTGTCGTTAGCATTTTCTTTTCTAAATCAGTAGTAGCTCTCAGAGTGGTGTTTCTAAAGTGTTAGTGTGCAAAGGAATCACTAGGGCTGCTTGTTAAAATTACCAATCCTGAGCCTACCTCCAGAGATTCTGGTTCCACAGCAGCACTGTGGTGGGGGCCAGTGACTTTTGTGGGGGTGTCTGAGGGCTGTGGTGCCCCAGAACCTGGAAGGGCAGAGGGGCCATGATCAGGTTTCAGATCAGTGGCCAGAGGCTTTTCTGGAAGCTGTACATTTTCACAAGCACATTTTCAAAAGCCCTTGGAGAGGATGTTGATTGAGGGGAGTTTTGGGGACTGGTGGAGATTATGGGGGTGAAAAGTCCAGAGCTATCTCTTAACACCCCTACTCTCTGAGGGCCAGGCCTTGAAAGTATTGGAAATGGGAGGTGCCTTAGGTACACTGTCATTTTACAGAGGAAGACAACGAGGCCCAGAGAGGTTAAGTGGGTTGATTAAGGTCTCACAGCTAGTTAAGAGCAGCTCTGAGACGGCAACCGAAGTATTCTGGTTCCCTATCCAGTTCCCCACTCACTACACACCTGTTCCTTCTGGGGCGGGAGACCTGAGGAAGGAAAGGAGTGAGAGGAGAATGTAGTGAGAGTTGGAGAGCGTTGGGTCCACAGCCCCCAAGGGCAGGGCCACAACAAAAATGTTGTCCTGGTTGAAAAGGAGTGAGAATCAGGACAGGGAGAATTTTGGTTTGGAATTCAGTCAAACAATTGCTATTAAAATCACTAATAGAATTATCTTCCGAAGGCTAGCTGTCCTTTCCAGACGAAAAGAAATATTCCAAGTCTAAGACTTTTGCTTTCTTCCTTCCAGGGAGAATACATTCCCCCAAGGGAGCTCTGTTTCAGATTTTCTCCCTAGTAACAGACTCCCCTGCTTAGCTCTGGCCATCCCGGGTAGTGAGTGGTGCGGGGCGGGGGTGGAAGGGGGCTGGAAGCCTGGCTAGGGGGGTCTGCGGCGGCGCGGGCGGGGGCGCTGCGGGGAGGAGGGGGGCGCTGCGGGGCGGTAGTGGGGGTGCTGCGGGGCGAGGCCGCTGCGGGGCGGTGGGGGGCGCTGCGGGCGGGGGCACTGCAGCACCGCGGCCCTCGGGCGGCCGGCGCGGCCTGCTGGAGGGGGCGCTGTGGGCACCGCGCAGCGGCCTTTTGTCAGCGCGCAGGGCCAGGAGAGCTCTCATTTCCTCCCAGCCTCGTGCGGGAAATGGCTTTAATTCTGACGGCAGGGCTGTGAGGGACTAGCGGGAACCCGAGCCTTTTGTCAAGGAACTGCGGCGTCGGTGGCCAGTCATCCCCGCCGCCGCGGAGCCGCTGCACTGCTGGGGGATCTCCCAGCAGCTCTGACGAGCGCGGGCTGCAGCATGGGCAGAAAACGCTGCCCTGCAGATTAGCTGGGTGGATTTTTTAAGCGCACCCCACCCCCCAAACCCATAAAATAACAAAACCAACCCGCAGTGGCCGACCGGAGATAGCTAAGATGCCGCGCAGGAGGTAAGGGTCTGGGGAGCGGGCCTGGTGGGCTGCCTGGGGTCGCTGGTCTCCTGGCGCGGAGACCCTGGCATCCCTCGGCCGGGCGGGAGCCGCTTGGCCCAGGTGGGGCGCGTCTGTTGCCGAGCGCGTCGGTGCTGCAGCCCTGGCCGGCAGCGGTGTGTTTTGCGCCTAAAGGTTTCTGGTGATGATGTAGCATCCGAGGCTCTTAGGAAATCGGGGCTGCAAGCACTGGCCCCTGCTTGGGGATGGTGGGACCCTCGCCCGGAGCGTAACGCCTGACAGGTGGGGCTTTCTTTTGGGTCCGAATGGAGGGGCGGCAAGCCTCGCCTCGCCTAGCCGGGCGGGGCCGCTCCTCCCCTCCCCTCCCTCCCCTCCCCTCTCTTTCCTTCCCGCTCGGCCGCCGCCCTCCGGGGTAGCGGTGCGAGGCGGGCTTGGCGGGGCTGGGCGCGTCCCCCGGGGCCTCGCGATCGCTGGCTGCGCGGCGCTCAGCCGCAGTGGCCGGCCGAGCAGGTGCGGCGTCGGCAGCCGCCTACATTGAGATCGGGGCAACCGGCACGTGAGCGGGCCTCGTGGGTTTTGATTTTATGCGGCTCCACCACTTTGGAGGGAAAAATCCCACTGTACCCGAGGGGGTCTTGCCAGTCTGTTTCTTCCATCTTCCCTCTCCTCTCCCTGCCTCCCCTCCCTTTCTGCAGCCGGGGCGGAGGCCATCCCCGGTCCCGGAGGCGGGAGTCGGTGTCTGCTTATTTTTAAATCACACCACAGCCTACCTGGTGTTGGGGGGAAGGGAGGGAGGGGCAGACTGCTTTAGGATGCAGATCAGGCTCTCGGGTCTGGCCTATTGTCTTGCCTTTTCTCTTCCTTCCTTTTCTCACCCCTAATCTCCATCTCTTGCCCAAAACTAAAAATAGAAAATAGGAAATAGAAATAGAAAATAAAAAAGCAAGCTCCAGCCCACACCCTATCAAATTCTTTAAAAAACTGTCATTTATCTCTGACACATGATTAATACCCATCTGTTTCCTTACACCCACTCTTCCCTCTTGCTGTTTGTCGTCTAAGATTCAACTGACTCAGATGAGCTTTATCGATAATAGAAATCAAATCTCAGTTTCCTAAATGCACATTTCGTGCTTCCCGAGTAACCCAAAAGGAGTGGTTGGTCTGGCATCCTGGCAGAAGCAAAGGGATTGGAGAGGGTGCAAGCAACTGCTTTCATGTCTAGTTTGTGGATCTAGCTGGGATTCCTGAGATGTTTAACTTGTGCAGTGAGGGGTGTTCTCATTAATGGCATTAGAAAATTATGTTCCGTTTTAAGAGAAAAATAGCAAGTCAGCATTTGAAGTAAAAGTGTTTTAAATGAATCTGACCAAAGAAGAGAACTATGACGTTTCAGACTTGCAAATAATATCTCCATTAGCATATGAATAATATATGTTAGAGACTTAAAAGGGGGGTTTAGACCATTTAATATTTTTACTTTATAAGGTTCTACTTTAATTGTGTAATGTGATCAAACTTTTCTCTGTAGAGACTTTTCTCCTATAGATCAGGATCTTGCCCAGCCTTTCTTCCCTACTCCTCCCTGCATAGGGCACAAGTAAAAGCAAAGTTTTCATTATTGGTATGATGTCAACACATTTTGAAAAACCACTAAAGATAAATTATTCTTTGATCCAAAATCCATAAGAATTTTGTAGTAAGCCCTATGTTCTTTCTTGTCCACCAAATTGCCTAGCCTTATTAGAAATATGCTTGTCATATACACAATGTACAACAATGCCTGACATGATATGCTGTGGTTTCTAGGCTTGGATTGAATTTGTTTTAAATATTAGTATAGTGTTGGAATTAGCAAATCTCAGCTATTCTTAAGGTTAACAGTTGAGCAAATGTGTTTGCTGGCAGTGGGTTTAGTGTTAAGATTTTAAATATATATAAAAAAGACTAGTAGATATATTTATTTATTACCACCTCTTCCACAAGGGATTTAAGATAGTTTACAGGGATTCATAAATATGGCAAGGCAGCCTAACTTGGAAGTAGTTGGGAAAGAAAAAAGGACACTAAGGGTGGAGTCATAAAATGGTCTTAAGCGTGAGGCTGATACAAAAACATGAGCATGAGACCTTCTACAATGGCTACGGGCAGGAAACAAAAACAGCTCTAAACTTTCTTGCAGCATAAGCAAAAAAGAAATTGACGAACCCATGGCTTATATGTTTTATTTATTTGTTAAACTCATTCACACACTTCTTCACTCAACAAACATTCAGTGAGGACTTACTACGTGCCAGGTTCTGTAAGACGTACTGGGAACAAAGGGATAAAGCAGATAGACGTGGTCTGTGTCTAATGGGCGCTTAAAGACAAATGCAAGAAATGGACACTCATCAAGAAATCTCTCAAATGAATATATAATTACAAATTGTGATAACAGCTATGTGGGAAAAACACAAAACACAAAACATTATATGGCCAGAACATAAAAACACAACAATTCTTTTTTATTTTTTATGTTTTATATTTTTTTGAGACACAATCTCATTCTGTTGCCCAGGCTGGAGCGCAGTGGCATGATCTCGGCTCACTGCAACCTCCACCTCCTGGCTTCAAGTGATTCTCACGCCTCAGCCTCCCGAATAGCTGGGACTACAGGTGCGTGTCACCACGCCCGGCTAATTTTTGCATTTTTAGTAGAGACGGGGTTTCGCCATGTTGGCCAGGCTGGTCTCAAATCCTTGGCCTCAAGCGATCCACCTGCCTCTGCCTACCAGAGTGCTGGGATTACAAGTGTGAGCCACTTTGCCCAACCAACAGTTCTTGATTCCGAGACCAGAAAGGAACTTTTTCCTAATGTGACATAGTGTTTGAAATGATGCCTTCGATCACCTCCTCATCAGACACAAGGACAAGTTTCATAGGGTTGTTTTTCACAATGGCCCTCAGCATGAGCTAATGATATCATGCCACAGGTCTCTCAGCCCCCTGGGGTTCTGAAGATATACGTATTTTGAAAGATCTGTGTATTCTCTGACATTAGTGGTTTTATTCCAGTGATAATCTTTTTTGCGGAATCTTGCTCTGTCACCCAGACTGTTTGAGTAGGGATCTTGCTCTGTTACCCAGGCTGGAATGCAGTGGCATGATCATAGTTCCCTGTAGCCGGGACCTCCTGGGCTCAAGCGATCCTCCCACCTCTCCCTCCTGAGTAGCTGTGACTACAGGCATGAGCCACTATGCCTGGCCTATTCCAGTGATAATCATAAATAATTAGCAGTAAAAATGTGTTCTGGATCATCTTGATGGCAAGGCTGAAACTGATGCTGGAGTCTGCGTTTGCCTTTGTATCTTTCCATTTGAGCCATGGGCAGGCCTGGTGGCTCCAGCCACAGCCTGGGTGAAGGGAAGGGGAGTTGGAATAGTGGAGAGAGTGAGTCTACACAGGACACACACAACTTGCCAACTCCAAAAGAACAGCTCCTGGCGACCACTGCTCTATTGGCAGGGATTGAAGATCTCACGCCAGTTCATCTTTGTATGGATCAAGTTTGCAGCAATTTATTAGCAGCAGATGTAGTAAAAACACAACAGAAAAGTTGCTGTTGTGGATTTTAACAATATTTGAATTAGATCTTCATTTAATGCATATTTAGTAACTCTCCAATAGGTACCTTACATCTAAGAAAATGAGATGGGGCCGGGCGCGGTGGCTCACGCCTGTAATTCCAGCACTTTGGGAGGCCGAGGCAGGTGGATCACCTGAGGTCAGGAGTTCGAGACCAGCATGACCAACATAGTGAAACCCCATCTCTACTAAAAATACAAAAATTAGCTGAGCATGGTGGTGGGCAACTGTAATCTCAGCTACTCGGGAGGCTGAGGCAGGAGAATCACTTGAATCCTGGAGGCAGAGGTTGCAGTGAGCCGAGATCACACCACTGCACTCCAGCCTGGGCAACAGAGCGAGACTCCAACTCAAAAAAAAAAAGAAAAGAAAATGAGATGGGTAATTTGTTCTGATGGTTAAGTGACACCAGACTGTCTGACTTCAAAAATTATTTTTCTACTTACTAGCTGTGAGAGTTTAGGCAAGTTATTCAACCTCTCTCCTGCTCAATTTCCTATAATAATATAGGAATAAATATATGGCATTGATTGCATGGTGATATTATAAGAATGAGTTGTTACATGTGAAAGACTTACCTATTGCAATAAATTAATTTTATTACTTTGATATTTTAAAGTGGATAGTTGTATTTGTACATTGTTTTGGCATTTTAATAATATAAAAGCTGTAAAGCATAGGTGTTTAGAACTGGTATTTATGAGTATACATATTTAAGTTACATTTTAATAAAAGTGACTTAGGTCAACCATGAGGTCATGAGAAATTTTTTCTGCCAAAAGGGATGTTTATATAGTTTAAGCATTTTGAACTATGTACAGGGACACACACAGATTCTTGGAATAGAAATTTGAATCTTTAGAAGAGATTGCAGCCACAATATTTGACTCCACATACATTGGCTGCTACAATTTTAGCCTGAAAGAATTTTAAAGCAATAATATGAAAAACTGCCTGTCTTCAATGACAACCACCACCAAATCTTCCAAACTCGAAGAGCACTCATGGAATGGCAGGCTTTTAGTAAAGATTTCATCCCGGTCTGTCTTCCAAGATAAACTACATAGGAAAGCTTTGCCAATGTTACTGAAAGAGATGAAGAGAAAGTGTATCCTCTGTGGAGTCTAAACTTCAGTTGTATAGATTTAAATGAGTTTATTGATTATGTTATTCAAATTTATTTTAAACTTTTCTTTGTACCTAAGTGATCTGTCAAAGAATACAAAAGATGTTAGTCTCAAATGATATTTTTGGCTGGGTGTGGTGGCTCACGCCTGTAATCCCAGCACTTTGGGAGGCCGAGGCAGGTGGATCACCTGAGGTCAGGAGTTCCAGACCAGCCTGGCCAACATGGTGAAACCTCGTCTCTACTAAAAATACAAAAATTAGCTGGGTGTGGTGGTGGGCGCCTCTAATCCCAGCTATTCCAGAGGCTGTGGCAGGAGAATTGCTTGAACCCGGGAGGCGGAGGTTGCAGTGAGCCGAGATCACACCATTGCACTCCAGCCTGGGCAACAAGAATGAAACTCCATCTCCAAAAAAAAAAAAAAGAAAATGAAATTTTTGACCGCTTTCCTTTTGCTATGTCCTTTAGCATGCCCTTTAAATCCATATAATATAGTTATATTTATATATTTATTTGATATATAATTATGTAATTATATATATAAACATGTATTTGTGTATATTTTATATGTTTTTACATAGTTATATTTGATGCTGTATTACTCAGGGCCCTGATTGCCCAGGACTGATGGGTTTTCTGGGATGAGGGATTTTCAGTGCTAAAGCTGGGACAGTGCCAGGCAAATGGGGATGACTGGTTATCCTCTGTGACACAAATGTTGTGACCCTTGACTCTCCATTGTGGGGTGAATCTTCCATATTTCCAGACCTGCTTTGTCTCATTGTATTTTTATTTTTGTCTTAAATTTTACTGTGTGATAAGAAATCTGGTCCTGCCTTCTTTCTGTTTCCATTTCCCTGGTGTGATGCTCATTCTCTTTCTTCTTAAGCTTTCTTCTTTTACGTCATTTTGATTTTTGTCTATTTTAAGCATCATAATTGGATTTTTAATCCAATTGTGACTCAATTTACATTTATTATATGTGATACAGTCACAGATCTTCTAAAATTTTATTTTACATTAAAAAAATTCCAAGCTATTTTTCCACCCCCTTTCTTAACTTAAATGTAGTGTAAGAGTCCCTTGTTCTTTAGATAAAAGGGAAATTTTCTGCCCATTTTTTTCTACTAGTCTTCATTAACATTAAAAAATATAGTTGTGTTGGCCAGGCGCGGTGGCTCACGCCTGTAATCCCAGCACTTCAGGAGGCCAGGGCGGGTAGATCGTGAGGTCAGGAGATCGGCCATCCTGGCTAATATGGTGAAACCCCGTCTGTACTAAAAATACAAAAAATTAGCCAGGCGTGGTGGCGGGCACCTGTAGTCCCAGCTACTCGGGAGGCTGAGGCAGGAGAATGGCATGAACCCGGGAGGCAGAGCTTGCAGTGAGCCGAGATTGCACCACTGCACTCCAGCCTGAGCAACAGAACGATACTCTGTCTCAAAAAAAAAAAAAGTTGTGTCTATTTGTTCTTTCATAAATAATGAGAGATTTAGTATACTTTAATTCCTTCCTTCCTTCCTTTTTTTTTTTTTTTTTTCTGTCACCCAGGCTGGAGTGCAGTGGTACAATCTCATCTCACTGCAACCTCTGTCTCCTGGGTTCAAGTGATTCTTGTGCCTCAGCCTCCTGAGTAGCTGGGATTACAGGCACCTGCCACCACGCCCGGCTAATTTTGTATTTTTAGTAGAGACCAGGTTTCACCATGTTGGCCAGGCAGGTCTCAAACTCCTGATCTCAGGTGATCCACCCACCTCGGCCTCCCAAAGTGCTGGGATTACAGGTGTAAGCCACTGTGCCCAGCTTTAATTTCTTTTTTGTTGCCCATCTACCCCCACTAACTTTTTGCCTTAAAAACATTTTGGCTTTTAGATCCAGATTATTGTCTTTAAAAAAAAAAAAAAGTAATGCATGCTTTTGCTTTCCAGAATTATTTTTGACATTTATGTTTCCTAACCATACTAACAGCTGCTATCTAGACTGAGAGTTACATAGGTTACAATACTCAGTCCATTTCCTATGCTCAATCTTCATTTTTACTTATTCCTTGATTAGTTGGAATCTTTTTCAGGAAAGATAGTATATTCCGGTAGTTCTTGCTTGCCTAAGAACTTCTTTATGTTGCTGTTTCACAGTAACATCATCCTTTTGGGGCATACACTTCTTCATCTTAATCTTTTTACCTAAAAACTCCAAATATTATTCTTTTGTCTTCTGGCATTTTGTATGATGGAAGATAAGTTGTGGCCAACTTTATCAAAATAACTATGAAAGTCCACAAAAGTTTTGTTTCTTTCCCTTGTAATGACTACTTTATTTAAAAAAACCTTAAAATATATAAAACATAACACAGATATAGGAAAGGACATGAAACAAATGTGCAGTTTAGTGAAATATTATAAAGTGAATGCCCGTGTGACCACCATGCAGGTCAAGAAGCAGGACACAGCCAGCTCCCAGAGCCCAGTGCACCCTTGAACCACACCCTGCTTCCCCCTGGAGGTAACAACTCACCTTCCTTTTATGGTAACCATTTTCTTGCTTGCTTTTATAATTTTATAATCTAAATTTGCATCCTCAAACAAAGTACATCAGACTTGTTTCTCTGAAACTTTAAAAAATTAGAACTGTACCATTTGTATCTTATTCATTGTTATAACATCTCCATGGTGACTACTTTGATGCTTCAAAAAATATATATCAAATTTATTCCAAGAATATTTGGAGCCCTACTTTGCTTGGTGCTCTAAATTGGGGAATCCAGCACAGCCAAGAAGGAAGTGGTTTGTGTAAGACAGTGGTCAGTTTTAGACAAGACGAGTTTGAGGTGGGGATGGCCAGCAGAGAGGCAGACGTATGCATGTGTCATGGCTGGGACCCGAGATCTGAGTTGCAGGTTCAGGGTTATAAACACGCACGTGTAGGTTTCAAGATGGCACCATGGACCTAAATATTTGCCTTTCTTTTCTTCAAAGTGTCCAAAGACAAATATAGTAAGGAAAACATCGATTTGAGTTTTAGAGAAGAGAACAAACACTGGGCCTAGATTCTTTAAGGACTCTGTAAAAGTTAGAGTACAGATGGTGCCAGCCAATATCACCCAGCCCATGAGTATCAACAAGGGGCTTTCCTGGGAAGAAGCAGTGGTGTCCTCTCAGCTGAGTGCTAGTATCCCCAGGCTCAATGAAACAGGGCTAGATGGGCTGTGGTATGGTCAGTGGGGTGGGGATGAGGGATATAAATCTAAGGGCCGTGGGAAATCTATCAGCACTGCCACCTTGAGTGGCAGATCCCCATCTTAGTCTGCCTGTGTTGCTATGAAGGAATATCCAAGGCTGGGTAATTTATAGAGAAAAGGTTTACTTTTCTCATGATTCTACTGGCTGGAAGACTGGGCAGCTTGTGGAAGCCTCAGGCCACTTCCACTCCTGACAGAAAGCAAAGGGGAGCTGGCGTGTGCAGAGATCACATGGCAAGAGAGGAAGCAAGAGAGAGGGGAGGAGATGCCAGGCTCTTCTTAACAACCAGCTGTCATGGGAATGAAAAGAGTGAGAACTCACTCACTACTGCAAGAATGGCTCCAAGCCATTCATGAGGGATCCACCACCATGACCCAAACACCTCCCACCAGGTACCCCCTCCTTCAACATGGGCTTTGGAGGGATCAAATATCCAAACCACAGCACCCTCAGTTCCTCAGACATGTGCTGAGGGAGCTCCCAGTAAAGTGGGGATTTAATATATCCAGCTTCAAACAAGGTTGATTCTGATCACTTCACCAGATGCAGCTAAAAATAAAGATACAAAAGTATGTAAATAAACGCTATTCCACCCAGCAGTAAATACCTGTAATGTATTTGATCTAACATAGGGCCTCATCCTGCAAGCTTCCAGGGCAGGATCTGGAGGCCAGGGAGCTTAGGATCTAGGTACCTGAATACAAATTTCAGTGCTCCATTTAATGCCTGGAATGGTTTTCTCTGTGCCTTTTTTCCAGCTGTGAAGTGGCTGAAAAAAACTTTCTAAGCCAAGTAGTAAATCCCTGTGGCTTCTATCAGTAGCAGCTCTAAGGACCATTTGACATCCTTCACCCCATCCCCATGGCTCCCTGAATTGATGACAATTCTAGTAGTTTCCATGAGTCCAGGCTAGACTTTGGTTTCCATGTCGATGTTGCCTTCCATTCTGCCTGGGCTACTTTGCTTGGGTTCCTGTTTCATATGGCCACACTGCCCCTGGCTGAAACTCTGGATTACTTTAGAGTCCCCCCACCTTCTTCCCTGCTTCCAGCCCAGTCTTCCTCCATCCATAGTTTATTATTATTGTTTTTCTGAGACAAGGTCTCGCTCTGTTGCCCAGGCTGGAGTGCAGCAGTGCAATCATGGCTCACTGCAGCCTTAACCTCCTGGGCTCAAGCAATCCTCCCATCTCAACCTCCCAAGTAGCTGGGAGTACAGTGTATGCCAACATGCCTGGCTTATTTTTTTTAAAATTCTGGTAGAGACGAGGTCTCACTATGTTGCATAGTTGATCTTTTTAAAACAAAAATCTAATCTCATCATTTCTCTACCCTCCGGATAAAGCCCAAGCTCCTTACCTGCCTCAACTGCTTTTCCTCTTTTTCCTTTACGCTCTACCCTCTAGGTAGGCTGAACTACTCCATTTTTCTGAACATGCTTTCCCACCCTCCCAACCCTTCCAAAACAACTCTTTCCACCTCCTTATATGCCCTCTCCCCACCTTTTATCCAGCCAGTTAGTTCTTTTAGAAAGCCAATAAAATAGGCAAACTTCCAGAAAGCCTAATTAAGATACAAAGGCAAAAAAATTCACAAAGCTAGAAATGACATATGGAGCAGCATGGAGAAAAGATGTAAAATCTCAAGAACATTGTGCATTATTGTATCCCATCATCTGTGAAAATCTTGATGAAATGGACTATTTCCACTGAAAATATGCATTACCAATATTTACTCAAGAAACAGAATGTCATGTTCCCAGATGGGAAGAACCGATGTTATAAAGATGTCGATCCCTCACAGTTCCTGCCGCGTGAATGGCAGCCTCCCTGGTAACCAGAAGTGATGGAGATTTGTTCCTATTTTTACGTTCCTTCGGTAATTTTCTGTGGAATTTTGAAAGGGTCGTTAAATGTTTGTGCTTGATTGTGAATCATTTTATTGAAGGGAAAATCAATACAAGGGCATTTGAATGTTATTTTTAAATTGTTTTTCTCAAAGAACAAATGAAGTTATTAAACTTTGAAATGCATGGAGGCTTTATGAAACAATTTCATTTAACAATGGATGTGATTTTCTGCTTGTGTTATTTTATTGAGTATGAATTTTATCATGTTTGCTTTCTTTACTCGGCATGGAGTCTCCATAAGAATATCTAGGGGTTTACTTTCAAAAATCTACCGTGAAAAGACAGGACAGGAAAAGTGAGGGCGGGTTTGATTCTTTCCTGCTTTCCTCATGTCAGATGGCAGAGCATCCATACTGATTATCTCAGCATCCCTTTTTTTAGAATTTATTCTCCTTCCCTCTTAACACCATATTTCTCTTAAATCTTTCCAACACCCTCATTTGTGTCTTAAATTAGCTACGTCTGTTACCATAGTTATGCAGTATCCAGCTTAACCATTCCACACTCATTCCCACCATACTGTGTGTGAGACTTCCTCTCTCTTATTTCATAAAATATATCATTATTTTTCTTTATTCGTCTCCTGTCCCCAAACTTTTAGTTTTTAAGGCAACACTTGTTCATACTTAATGAATCAAATAGGACTGAAGGGCTTCTAATAAAAGGCAACAATCCCTGTACAAATCCCCCCCCCCCACAAATCCCTTATCCACAGGCAAACCAATTTTAGCTGTGTTTTTTTGTTCTGCTGTAGATACCTCTGTATCCCAAAATAATATGCATGTACTGCTGTTTCTGAATGTATCAACTGTGATCATTGTCTAGTGACTTTCTGCCATAAAAATTAAGGTTGAACCAGCCGGGCACGGTGGCTTATCCCTGTAATCCCAGCACTTTGGGAGGCCGAGGCAGATGGATCACTTGAGGTCAGGAGTTCAAGATCAGCCTGACCAACTTGGTGAAACCCTGTCTCTACTGAAAGTACAAAATTAGCCAGGTGTGGTGGGGCATGCCTGTAATCCCAGCTGCTTGGGAGGCTGAGGCAGGAGAATCGCGTGAACCTGGGAGGCAGAGTTTGCAGTGAGCCGAGATCACACCATTGCACTCCAGCCTGGGCAACAAGAGCTAAACTCTGTTTCAAAAGGAAAAACAAACAAAAAACCCTCAAGGTTGAAGCTTACTTGCACTACAACTCCATCTCTTCACCTCTCTTCTGGCCATCCCCACAACTCCAGACAATAGATTCACTACAACCAGATTTCCCATTCCATCCACTGTTGATCGTGTCACCTGACTCTATGCCATAGATAAGGCTATTACCACCACGTCTCCTTGCCTGCTCCCTCCTTCTCTAGCTGTACATTTACTTTTGTACTATCAAAGTTGATAAAATACTCTATTTCCTAGCCATCGTTGGTTTCTATGATTTGTCTATAAGGTAATTAAAACAAATGAAAACTCCTAACAGTGTTCAGTATCTGACTGAGTTGATATTGCTTACTGCACAATAAGTAGCATGCTAGGATTTCATCTTTCTTAGGACTCCAATGTCTCAATCCAGGGTGAAATTCACATGAATTGTTATCTGGGGCTCCGTAAGTGACCCACAGAGATAGGCTTTAATCTGCGGGCACCAACACCACCATAGTAGGGCTCTAGTTCTCTCCTGCAGTGTGTGCAGTTTCTCTAAGAACACCCATCTAGTGATTGAAGCTAATAAATCCAAAAAGAACTGTGTCTGCATGCTATTTTGAGATAAAGAGTTAACTCAACTGAGTGCCTGACTGGGGACCGCTGTATGTTGGGGGAGGAAAGGGGGTAGGCAGGATCTGCTGCTCTGTATAGAGACCTGCAATTTGTGCTTGTGTTCAGCCTCTTTTATTTTTCTTTCTTTCTCTTTTTTTTTTTTTTTTCTTTTTTTTGCTGAGATGAAGTTTCACTTTTGTTGCCCAGGCTGGAGTGCAATGGCGTGATCTCGGCTCACTGCAACCTCTGCCTCCCGGGTTCAAGCGATTCTCCTGCCTCAGCCTCCCAAGTACCTGGGGTTACAGGCATGTGCCACCATGCCTAGCTGATTTTTGTATTTTTAGTAGAGACAGGGTTTCACCATGTTGGCCAGGCTGGTCTCGAACTCCTGACCTCATGATCTGCCCACCTCGGCCTCCCAAAGTGCTGGGATTACAGGCGTGAGCCACCGTGCCCGGCCGTAAACATTTTTTAAAATAGATAAATTTGACCTGGATAGCAGCCCCACTGTTCATTTTTATGAGGAGAGGGAGGGAGGGCTAAATAAAAAATATTTAAGAAAATGTGCATTTACATTTGCTGGAGGTGTACTAGATGATGAGTAATTGGTCACAATGGTAGGTAAGTGTATCGTTCAACCCAGCTCATCAGTCAGTCAACAAGTGTTTACTGAACACCTTCTATGTGTGGTTACTGTGCAGTGCTGGGGATGCCACGAGCCAAGAGTTTACACTCTAGTGAGGAGAGACAGACACTAAGCATAAAAACAAACAGGTTCAAGCATTGATACCCATTATGCAGAAGATAAACTCATTTTAACCTGAGGGAGGAGGCTGCTTTAGCCAGAGTGGTCAGGGAAGGCTCTTTTGGGAGGCAGCAGTGAGCTGTTGCAGGTGGGTTCGTGAGACGGATCAGAGGATAAGCTAGTGCTGGCTGATTGCAGGCATTTTCATTATGCTATTTGAGGCCACATCATTGGCCGAGAGTGGAGCGAAGAGGGAGTCAGGGAGATTTGAGATGAGAAGGTGGGAAATGATCCTGTTGAAGAGTCTGTACTTCGAGAGAAGGGCAGGTTGCTTGGCAATGTTAAGAAATCATCTGAAAGGTGTAGAGGGTAATTTGAAGTGAGTCCAGTCCACAGAGTTTTGTGCAAGGGTCAATGGCCCAGATGCAGGCAGGGGCAAGGTCACATAGGGTTTAACTAAGGGTGGGACTCTGTGAGGTAGAAACAGTGGTGGGTGAGAGGGCAGAGGAGTTAGAGGTGTTTTGCAAGGGAATGGTTATCCAGTTGGATAATTTAAGCTACATGAGAAGAGATGGGAAAAGTAGAGTTGGAGATAGATAATTAAAAGGTGATTAGCAGGTATCAGAGATGTTGGAGAATTGCTAGGAGGTGGGGTGCCAGAGCTGGGCTGGAAGGGGATGGTCAGAGTAGGATGTTGACATCCACACATTGAAAGTGGTGATCTTGGTAGCAGCAAGATCTAGGGTATGACCACGGGAGAGGGTGACTGAGGCTGGGGTGGAAGGAGAGATAAGTGGCATTGGAGGCCACGAAGATGTGATGGTGGGTGTCGGGTGGATCACCATGTAGATGTCAACGTCGGCAGGAATGAGTAAGGAGAGTGGTGGAGGGGAAGATGGTTAGCCAGGAGCTGGAGTCCTCGGAGAATGAGAGGAGTGGCTGGGCAGTAGAGGAGAGTAACAAGGAGGAGTGACAGGAAGTCAAGTTGGAAGACTGTGCTTCCAAGGTGATGGGGTTTTGAAGGAGTGGAAATAGATAGAGGTGACTATAGGGCTGGAGGAGATGTGCACCCAGGCCCTGAGTACCTGGGATGTGGAAGAGAGTGCTGTGGGGCAATAGTGTCCTGTGGGAGAGCCACATTTTAGCTTCTTCGTTTGTGGATCACAGAAGTGGGCTTTATGTAGCTGAATTTGGAAGTGCTGCGAAGAATTATGTGATTGTTCAATTCGATTGGTTTCCAAGCAGGAAGGAAGGTAACCAAGGAGGCATTATTGACTTTGGGCTTGTTCAAAACTCAGTTAAAGGCAATTAACAGTACTTGGTGTTGTTTACCAAAGCACTTGTCTCAGGAGGGATCTCCTAGCAGTTCTTGTGAATTGTAGGAACTCCCTCCCTTGAGGCATCTTGTGTTTTCATGTCATTAATTCCTGCCTCACCCCTCAGCCATAAATCTCATGGAGGGGATAGAAGGCTTCTGTCTTTTTGTATCATCATCTTGCTGTGGCTCTGTGATGACGCCCTTGTCTAGCCTTGTTCTGCTGACGGTGACCTTTAATGTAATAAAATGCTTACAGGAATAATGAGAATTGATGGAGAAGATGCACTTTCTTGTGATTTATGCCTCTATGCATTAGAACATGAGGACATTTTGGAGGAATGAAGCATGTTATGGGAGAGCGTAGGCTTTTTCAGATGCATGGCTGAAAATCTCAAAAAAGCATCCTGTGCTACCTGGCAGTTCTAAGGCATTTACTTTATCACTTTCCAGAATGACGAATTCACTCCTCTTTTCTCCAAATTTCCTTTCCTCTCCACCCCACCCACCTTTCTGGGTGCCTCCAGCTTCATTGAGAAACAGAAACAGTGATCCCGGAGCTCTCCTGTCTTCCCACCCCCCAACCCCTGACACACATCCCTGACATGCTGCTCTGGGTTGAGTGGCCCCTGCTTCTATCAGAGGCCATCTTTTCTTCTGGGCTCTGGGACCTTTTCCCTCTCACCATCTCAAAAACACCACCATGGCAATTGGCTTTTCTCTTTTCTGCATCATCAACCTCTTTCTTCCTTCCCCCCTCCTCCCATTTCTCCCTTTATGTTCTCCTTGAAAGAGTTGCCTTTGCTCTGTATCTCTTCC
The DNA here is from genome assembly GCF_000001405.40 of Homo sapiens. Classification (NCBI taxonomy): domain Eukaryota; kingdom Metazoa; phylum Chordata; class Mammalia; order Primates; family Hominidae; genus Homo; species Homo sapiens. The sequence continues at coordinate 70,753,359 of NC_000002.12, read as the reverse complement.
TGTTCCCCACTGTTTATACTTGTCCTCTTTTATGGCACTGAGGCTATTCTTGTCAAGATCATTGAAGATGACCTCCATATTGCCAAATCTAATGGCCTCTTCTCTGTTCTTATCTTACTTGACCTGTCAGCAGCACTCAACACTGTTGACCACTTCTTGAAACATTTGGATTATCTGGCCTGGAATACTGCCCTTTTCTGGTTTTCCCTTACCTCACTTGCTGTTCCTCCTTTTCTTCTGTGCAGTTCCTTTTCCTCCACCAGACCTCTAAGTGTGAGAGAGCTTTGCCCTGCACCACTTTGTCTTCCTTATACACTCTTTCTGGTGAACTCTTTTGGGCCTTGGCTTTAGACTTCATTTTTGTGCTGATGAATCCAAAGTTCCTATCTCCCCAGAACTCTACTTCATTGCTTCTGGAACTTTACTGTACACACTGATCACCTGGGGATCCTGTTAAAATGTAGATTCCAGTCTCATTTGTCTGGAGTGGGGCCTGAGAGTTTGCATTTCCAATAAGCTCCCAGCGATGCTGATGTTGCTGGTCTCCGGATCTTACTTTGGGTAGTGAGGCTGAAAACCTGTATATCCAACTGCTTCCCTGACATTTCTACATGCATGTCTTACAGGCGTCTCAGACCAACCCTAAATGACCCTCTTAGAGCTCTTGATTTCTTTACTCAAACCCATTTCTCTCTGCATTTTCCTTGTGTCATCATCCCAGTTGCACAAGCCAAAGATTTTGGAGTTGTCCTTGGTTTCTCTTTCCTTCACTTTTTCATCCAGTCTATCAGCAAATTCTGCTGGCTCAGTCCTCCAAAACATATCCCAAATCTTTCTACTTGGCTCCATTATAATAGTAGTAGCTGATATTTATTCAGTACTTCCTGCATGTCAGGCTGTGTTAATGACATATATTTATATTTATAAGTATTTAAAGTCTAATCATCACAATAACCCTGTGAGGTAGGTGGTATTATTATTCTCATTTCTTGGATAAGAAAAGTGGACACATAAAAGGCAATAAATAATTATTTGCAGATGGAATACATGAATAAACTTTATAACTTATAACTAGGTAACCCTACATAGACCTGCAGTTAATGACCTAAAAAAACCCAATTTATTCTCTTGGTTTATTTTTCTCCCTTGTTATGAATATAATACTCAATAATGCCATTGATATGCTTAGAGAATTAGGGTTTCTGTGTCCTTGTTAGGCACCAATGACATTGCAAATGTCCATTGGCAAATGTCCAAAGCGCGTGTGTGTTACAGAATTTGTAGTGTCTTTGGCTTGAAACCATTTTTGACAAAGGCTATATGCATTTAAGGCACTAAAAATGTTTATGTTTGATAATTACAATGTCTTGATGTGCTTTGCTGAAACATTGTGTCTTGTGTGCCCTTGTGAAAAGCGGCGACTCTTGTATTTCCCATCATATCCTTGCATTTTCTGGAACTGGGGAGATATCTTGAGAGAATGACTTCAAGCTCCAAGATGTGTTCCTTTTCTTAAGTTTCCTTTATCTTGATTGATTTTGAGAATATTGTTCTCTGTGCTGGTTATCACAGTTACAGTGTATGATGATAAATGATTGGTGCTCTGGATAAAACAACCTAAATAGTCAAGTAGATGGAAACAAGCTCATATGACCAAAGTCTAAAAGAATCGAGTTGTTTCGATTGGAGAAGAGCAGTTAAGCAACTACTTTCTTATGCCGTTTATTGTAAAGGAAATCTTTAGTAAGCTTTTTAATAAAGTAAAGACATCTTTTGTAATGTGAATAATTAACCTAGTTTTAGGAGTGTAAGTTTCTTTTAAGAATGGGAAAGGGAGATACATTCATTTTTGTCCTAGTAGTTTCTATCACAACCCTCCAAAAGAATCTCTCTCTTAGGACTTTTAATATGCTAAGGCAAACATAACACCAAACGTAACACTGTATTCCTTTTTCTAGTTTAGTTCAAAGAGACATCCTAGGAAGTAAGATTTTTCTATATAAGTGGACTCAGAAAAGCTAACAAGGTACCCTAAGCATTAGTAAGGGCCTGCTGCTCCGACCTCATCCCAACCAGCCCTGCCCATCTTTAGGTTTCTGAGTAACAAGCGTCAACTGTTATATACTGAAACATTCCCTCTGGAATTCCAGAGTGTCAAAGTGGAAGGGATCAAACAGATCTTCCAGTCCAACCTCTTCATTATAGAAATCAGACACATGAAGCTGAGAAAAGATAAGGCACTGATCCAAGGTGAGGCAGATTAATTAATGGCAAATTCAAGGCTCCTGAAAAGTTTTTCTTTAGGGCATTTATATTCAAATGTCAGCGTCTCCCATTTTTAAAGTCAGAGTTTTCAAGATGCTATTTGATTTCAAGGAAACGTGACAGGAAGCATATCAATTTTTTATAAGAATGTAAAATATGGTAGAGGAGCTAGGGTGTGGGGAGGCAGTTTCTCTACATGGCCAGGTCTCAGTGTTGGCCCTTAATTCTCATTCCTGGACACAGGAAAAAATTATAGTAATTTAGACATGGTTATAATGCTACAGAGTATATTAATTTCCCAGGGCTGCCTTTACATGGAGATGGCTTAAATGGAGATCTCCTTAAATGGAGATGGCTTGACATAACTGAAATGTATTCTCTCTCAATTCTGAAGGCTAGAGGTCTGAAATCAAACTGCTGACAAGGCCGTGCTCCCTCTGAAGGCTCTAGGGTACTCCTTCCCTGTTTCTTCCTACCTTTGGAGGGTGGCAGTAATTCTTGGCATTCCTTGGCTTGCAGCTACATCAATCCAGTCTCTACCTCTGTCATCACATGGTCTTTCCTCTGTGTGTGTGTGTCTTCTCTATGACTTTGATGACTAAATCTTCCCATTCCTTATAAGGATGCTGACCATTGGATTTAGGACCTACCCTAATCCACTATGACTTCATCTTCACTTGATTGCATCTGCAGAGATCCTGTTTCTAAATAAGGACAAATTCACAGGTTTCAGGTGGATATGAATTGTTGGGAGACACTTTGGGGACATGAATTTTGAGAGACTTTTATGTTTCAACATTTGCTAAGAATTTATGTTTGTACCTCCTGGAAAGGCATGATGTTTCCCTGGTTGAGAGAAAGAAAAAGAAAGAGCGAGCATGAGCACGTGCACACTTGGAGCATTGTTTCCTAAGGTATATTTGGTGGGACATTATTCCCAAGAGATGTAACATGAAATAAGTGTCCATGGCCAATAGAATTTGGGAGACACTGTACTCTGCCCCCCTCTCAAGAGCATCATCAGGCACCTACGATATGAAAGGCTCAGAAAGGTCCTGTAACAAGGACCTGTGTATACCCTACTGATCCCCAAACTGATTGGACAGGAAAGTCTTTTGTCTGTGTGACACTCTATATTGGTTAAGAATTGCCTCCAGCTGCATGAAGCAGAAACCTAGCCGTAGTGGCTTAGCCAAATAGGGACTTATTTCCATTCCCCAGAAAGTCCAGAGGTTGGCAACCCGGGGCTGGTGCAGCGACTCCTTATGGTACCAATGTGCCAGGCTCCTGTCTGCCTGCTCTGCCATGCTTAGCAGGTGGTATTTTTTATCCTGAAAGTTTGCAGCTACTCCATTTCCAGCCTTTAACTACCTTCTAGACAGGGAGAAGGAGGAGGAAGAGGTGAGGGAAAAGGATAGTATTTCCATCAGGAAATTAGACTTTCTCAGAAATTCCCAGAAGATTTGTGCTAACACGTTATTGACCAAGACTGTATCAAATGGTTGCTTCTAGCTTTGGGGAAGGCTGGGAAATGCGGTTTTTTTTTTAGCTGGCCATATTGTTCCCTGATAGGGAGGAAGAAGGGGAGGTGAATATTGCCTAGCTAGCAGTGACTGCCACACATATAACTTCCCCTGGCATTAGTGACCAGGAAGTTGCCCTTGTTAAACATTTGTCCTAACTGTCCTTCACAAGAGAGTGCTTCCTATGCAATTCTAGGTTTTTAGCATTAGCCTCTGATATGGTTTGGCTTTGTGTCCCCACCCAAATCTCATCTTGAATTATAATCCCCTATTCCCCGTGTGTCATGGGAGGGACCCTGTGGGAGGTAATTGAATCATGGAGGTGGTTTCCCCCATGCTGTTCTCCTGATAGTGAGTGAGTTCTCATGAGATCTAATGGTTTTATAAGCATCTGGCATTTCCCCTGCTGGCTCTCATTCTTTCTCCTGCCGCCTTGTGAAGAGGTGTCTTCTGCCATGATTGTAAGTTTCCTGAGGCCTCACCAGCCATGCAAAACTATGAGTCAGTTAAACCTCTTATCTCTATAAATTACCCAGTCTCAGGTATTCCTTCATAGCAACATGAGAACGGACTAATACAGCCTCCAAGTTTGATCCTGCCAAACAGGATCTGTACTGAGTTAGTTCAGTACAGCTCAAGCAGTTTAAGTGTGCCCATACTTATATAGCTCAATGCTGCACTAAGTGCCTTTAAAATTATTTAATGGCTTGAACTGTGTTGCACTCCTAAGCTAATTTCATTTTCTTTAATGTGCAATAATGGCATTTGGGACTTACCTCTCTACAAACCTCCAAAATCCTTTGGACATATAGCTGCCACATTTAAAGTAATATACTTGAAATGCATTGTAGAAGCAATGCTTTCTTCTGGCCAGCATTTTAAGTGGTGAAAAGACAGAAGCTTTCACTTTCTCAAAGAGTGGCTCAGAGGACCTTGTCAGTGGCAGGGGTTTTCAGTGATCACTTCTGTGGTCACACGTTCTAATCACCAGGGGAGCCAAAGAGCAAGTCTCCATTCCCAGGTAGGAAGTGCTCTGCTTTGGATCTGGATAAAATGGACCTGCTATGAGGAGCCTATTGTGGCAGGAGAAGCCATAAAGATCTTTGTCTTTTAGTTCTCCTTGTTTTACCTTAAGTGGTCAGAGAGGCCACACAAGACCAGAGGGAAGGAGTCTAGTTACTGCAGCATAACTCAGCTTACTTTGATGAATAATAATGTCAATGATAGCTACACAGAGACACAGAATAGATTCCAAAAAAGGATTCCTTTTTTTTTTTTTTTATCAGTGTTTGAATATGTGACATTTCTAATTTTACCTCTAAATACTTGGAGTGAGGAGGAGGGCAGGACCCACATGATAAGGCAATCATGTCTTCAAACTTAAGAACAGAAATTTTCTTCACAAGTGAGGGCATGGTGTCCCAGGAGAAAAACTATATGGAGGTTGTGCCATCTCCATGCCCTGCTGTGACCACAAGCTCTTTTTTTGGTTCTGGGTGCAAAGATTAAAAAAACACTTGTTTTTCCTATCAGCAATAATATGTCAAGATTTTTAAAAACCATTAAAAATTTATGCCATTATAAATTTTCAAGGAAGTGCAGGTCACATAAAGCCTCATATCCAAAGGTGGAAGCTGAAAAGAGCAAATGCCTTTGTACCATTTCGATTGTTGACCTACTATACAAAAAACAATTGAATTTCAAATTTTAATCCCATTGAGTGCAAAGGAAACAATTTGTTTTCAAATTTCCACTGAGTAATATTTCAGAAAGGTCAATCTGAGATTATAAGTGGCTCCCAAGTCACTAGTCCCTAAAGAGATACTGTCGCTGAACACAAAATGTGTGTAGAAGATATAAAGAAAAGGGTAATGTAGCAGAAGACAGGATGGGTTTCTCTTGCCTGAGTGACTATGCTGTGGCATGATGGGAAAGCATGACTCATAATGGGTGAACACATAGCATGATAGGAAGGCATATAGCATGATGGGAGAGCATGTGGCATGATAGAGCCTGTGGCATGATGGGAGAACACATGGCATGATGCGAGAGCATGTGGCATGATGGGAGAGCACACGCATGATGGAAAAGCACATGGCATGATGGGAAAGCACATGGCATGATGGGAGAGCACATGGCATGATGGGAGAGCACATGGCATGATGGGAGAGCATGTGGCATGATGGGAGAGCACTTACCATACAGCTCTGGATTGTAATCTTGAGGTTCAGCTTTCTTGTTTAAATCCATATTGGACTCTTAGGCTGGGCATGGTGGCTCACGCCTGTAATCCCAGCAGTTTGGGAGGCCGAGACAGGTGGATCTTGAGGTCAGGAGATCGAGACCATCCTGGCTAACACGGTGAAACCCCATCTCTACTAAAAATACAAAAAATTAGCTGGGTGTGGTGGCGGGTGCCTGTAGTCCCAGCTACTCGGGAGGCTGAGGCAGGAGAATGGCGTGAACCTGGGAGGCGGAGCTTACAGTGAGCCAAGATCAGCTCCACTGCACTCCAGCCTGGGCGACAGAGCGAGACTCTGTCTCAAAAAAAAAAAAAAAAAAAATCCATATTGGACTGTTAGCTCCTGGAGTGCAGGGACCATTTGCTAAATCTTTGCTGTCTCTCAGCACTTAGCCCAGTTTTCAAAAACTGTGAGAAGAGTAGACATTTGGATAACAATGATGCCTAAGTAAATCTATCCAAAAACATTTGGCTCAGATGCTAACCTGGCAGGCCCAGGCTGTGGGTCAGTGGTGGGAAGGCCAGGCATGGGGGCTGTTGCTATCTTGCCAGAGTGTGGATGAGACCTGAATTCTGAGGAGGCAGAGAAATCCTAGAGGCCAGTGGACTCAGTGAGTATCCTAGGGCTACACAGCTGACAAACTAATAAATACAAACTTGACTCCAATTGTTTTCCCTCCCGGCCCAGTGTTTTCCCATCCTACCCTATTGGGGAAGTGGTAGAGTCAGACTGCGTGAGTTAGAATCCTAATTGCCCCCAAGTACTAGCAATGGGAACTTGCACATGTCTACTCACCTCTCCTACTGTTTCCTCATCTTGGTGGTACCTACTTCAGTAAGGTTATTGTGGGGACTAAAGGGTTAATGCTTGGAGTTAGTGCCTGGTCCCATGAATGTTCCATAAGTATTAGCAGCTGCAAGCTGTACTACTGCTGATGCTTTTAATGTTTGCATATTCTTTAAAGCTCCAAAAGGAAAAGGAAGCTGAGTAGTATGCTAGGTACTGTAATCAAAGAGAACTATTCGAGAGATTTACCATGGTAAATAATTCCACCACCCACTGATGAGCGCCCTCAGAGCTCATAGAAGAGGCCTATTAATTCTGCTCCAGAGATCAGAGAAAATCTCACAAAGGGGTTGACATTTGAGCTGGGCCTTACAAAGCAAGTTGGAATATTCTTGCTTGGTTCGATTCCTTCTTGGAAGAATCCCTTTAATCACAAAAGGTATTTTATTTATTGGGTGCTATTTTACAAGTCATTATCATAACGACAGTCTCACTAGCTCATTATTGAGTTCTGAAAAAGGGATATCTATTATTTACAACTTTTCCCTGTCATTTCCATAACCTGTAGGTTTTCAAAATAGATTTGTTTCACAGTGAATTTAGATAAAAACAGTCCTTATTTTGACAATAACTTACATTGAGTGATATTTATGTAATACATACAATTAATCTGTTTCTCTAACTGTTGGCTACAGGGGTTGGACTCAATTTATCTCCTCTCTGCAGGGTCTTTTGTTGTCCTTGGATACCACCTCACATATGTCCCTGAGTATATAAACTCATTAATCATAAAGATGGTGACATTCCTTGGAGTAATTGGACATTATATAAAAAGCATCTGCTGTGCTTTCTCAGGAAAGAGGGGCAAGCAATCTACTGTTCCTAGCTGCTCTCCTGGGAGGGTTTTTGGTGAGGCTATAGTCTGGCTTTGGATGGAGATCTCCTGCCCCTCCTGCTTTCCCAGCACGTGCCATTTTTCTGTTTTGTGTGGGGATGTTAGAAACACTGTGAACCTCAGAGAGGCGGCCTGCATCTCAGGAAGAGACCAACCCCTTCACATCTAAGTACAATGTTCACACTCTGAAGCCCTCCTCTCACATCTTAACTTGTTCCCTCTCCTCTGATTCTGTACTTTGTGGTACTGTCCAGAAAGGAGTGTGGGAATAAGAAACAAAAACAACAACAACAACCCTACAGCAAGAATGGGGTTGGGGTACTTTAATAGTTCACCTTGAAATCTTCTTTTTTTTTTATTTTGAGACGGAGTATCGCTCTGTCGCCCAGGCTGGAGTGCAGTGGCATGATCTCGGCCCACTGCAAGCTCCGCCCTCCGGGTTCACACCATTCTCCTGCCTCAGCTTCCCGAGTAGTTGGGACTACAGGCGCCCGCCACCACGCCCGGCTAATTTTTTGTATTTTTAGTAGAGACGGGGTTTCACCATGTTAGCCAGGATGGTCTCGATCTCCTGACCTCAAGATCCGCCCGCCTCGGCCTCCCAAAGTGCTGGGATTACAATCGTGAGCCACCGTGCCCGGCCGTTCACCTTGAAATCTTAAGTTCAGTTCCATTAACTGATCCAATGCTCGAAAGAAGACAATTAGAGGTACATTCAAGTCACCACCAAGTCCTGTGTTTTGTTTTGTTTGTTTTTGTCTCCTAAACATCCGAAGCCTATCCACTGTTCTCCAGCTCCCCCAGGCCCTGATTCCAAGCCCGGTCTTCCCCACCTGAACATCTGCTGCTGCCTCTAACTGACCCCCACACGCCCACTAGTGACCCATCCCCTATTCTATTTTTCAGTGTGAGCATTCAATATGAAAATGGGACCTTGCTATCCTCCATTTAAAGCCCATTAATGTTTCCCATTATTCTTAGAAAAAAGGCAGAATTCCTCTGTGCTCGAATCTCATAGACCTTACCCTTTGCCACTCAGCTTCAGCCACAATGGACTTCTTTCAGCTCCTTCAACTCATCAAATGCTGTCTAGCTTTCGAGCCTTACATTAGCTGTTCCCTGCACTAGGAATGCCCTTTCATGTCATTTATATCTCAGCCTTCCACCTCTTCAGAGGTCATTTTCCCTTTTTCTCCCTGTCCCAGCATGTCTGTATGTATTGTCCACACATACAGCTATACAAACACATAACACACAATTTAGTTCAGAACCGTTTGAATGAAGTGCAGATATCATGCTATAATAAATACTTCAATGTGTGTTTCCTGAAAACAAAGACATTCTGTTACATAATTGCCCAATACAATTTTTGGTAATTGTAAACTAGACAATTAACATCGACAAACCTTTCATAAACCAGGCAATTAACATTGGTACAATCCTACTATCTAATCTATAGGGTTTATTCAAATTTTGCCAATTCCAATTATTTCCATGGTGGTTACCAAATGGTGACTATGTTGCCCTATTTTAATTCTTGTCATAGTTCTTATTACTCTGAGTTTTAAGAGTGTAGGATGTATTATCCATTTAGGATGTAAACACTAAAAATAAGCTCCTTACCTGGCCTGTTTACTCCTGTATTTCCCCTGGCACCAGGAACAGTGTCTGACACATAGAAGATAAGTATTTGATTGATGAACAAATGAGTAAATGGCTGACTGGATGGCTATGACCTAGCATGATTTGGCTGCCATGTGTCATCCCTGCTGTCCCCTCTAGGCTTCTCAGCTCTGCTCTGGCCACACTGGCCTTCCTTTAATTCCTCATGCTCTGTATGCTCTGATCTACCACAGGACCTTTGTACCTGCTATAGTAATCTGGCCTGGAACACTTTTTTCTTCCTATTTCATTGTTGACTCTTGTTTTTCCTTACAAGACTTGATGACTTTAAATACAGTATAGCCACAGCTTCCAGGAAGCCTCTACTCTAGGTTTTTCAAACCAGATTTATTTTTAAATAGACCTGGCAAGTATTTCAGAATTTTACAAACTTCTTTGAAATGTTACACACTTGTTGAGAAGAAAGAGCATTTTCTTCTCTTCTTCTCCCACTGTTAAGTGTTTTGAAGCAGATATTGTCCCTAATAAATTACCTGACTGGTGGTAACATACAAAGCAGCCTGGAGAGAGGAGACAGCCATAAGACGCTGCCTCTTCCTCTGTGAAATGCTGAACTTTTCCTTTCGACCAGAGGTGCCTTATGCTCACATTTCTTTCATGGTAATCCAGCTCTCAGAGAAGTGGAGTAAAAATACAACCAAATTATATTTTGCACATGTCCTTTTATGAGTCATATGCTACTGTATGTATTATCCAATTACACATGCACAGTACTGTGTGGGGTGATACATGGAGAGCCATGCCCTATTCCTCATGTCCACTGAGGAGATGTTCAATGATAATTTTGACTCCAGCCAATATTGACCGTACTGACAGGCTATGGACGCTGACCAGTCTATCATAAGATGTGACTTTGCTGTGATAATTTTGACCTCCTTAGCTAATTCATTAAATACAGTCTTGGATTCTTGAGTGGACTGTGCTATGCAACAGCAGTACTAATATTTTTGAAGCAAGATTCTCACTTAACACATCTGTAACATAGGATCCATAGGATAGGATTTAATAAGATTTTCAAAGAGAGTGTATATTTTTCCCTCATGGGCAAAGTTAAACATACATTGACAAACTTAAATATCACATAACTTAAAAAAACATAACATTAAGATGTATGTAAGTATAGCCAGGGACCTCATTTGTAGGCTCCCTAGGTGCTGTTCAAATGGTGTTCTATGGCAGGGAACATAGAACTCTTTTGCCAGATTTATACATACAGAGCACATCAAGGACTTGAGTGGATTGTATTGCCCTAAAAGGTCAGCCCCAAAGACAGATAATGGCTACAGTACTTTGTTTTCTTTGCGGCATTCCTCTTATTTCATTCACTGTTGTTCTATAGGCAACAAGAGTTGAAGAATCAATAGGTACCAGTTGAGCCTGACTTGATGTTTCACCTTGAGCTCCATCACTTTGATTGCAGATATCGTCATATTTTCTTTTAGAATTCCTGTTCTTCAACCAGCAGTCCATTTCTTTTTTTAAGGGAAATGATTTCACTTCATCTAAAATAAATAATATGTATAAATATTAAAAGTTAGCTAAGAACACCTACAACTTAGTTCTGCCTTGTCAAGAGCTGATTCCAAGCAGATGTAGCTGAGCTGTTTCTGGTGTGTCACTGGGCCCAGTGAATATTTTCTCTGGTAATGTACTTGATTATACATTTTCATGTGAGCAGACACAAATGGGTTTTACTCTCTAAAAAATAACTAGCTCAGAAATAGCACTTTCTTAACCAAAAACATGTTTTGGGTAGTTCTTAAATCTGCATAGGCAGGGAAGCTTTATTCTGACGTCAAGGAAAAGAAGAATTAGCACAAGGTATTGGTAGTCTCAGATGTATTTGAATTAGGAATATTAAAGGTGTAGTATATAATGGCCTTTTAAATAGTTAAAACAGATTGGATCAAATGCTTGTAGAATCCCTGATGTACCTCTTGGAAACTTCCAGGTTCTTGGAACACAGTTTGAAAACTTCAAATCCAGTCCAACATCTTCATTTTATTATTGATTAGAGAAATGTCAAAATTGGTTAATGGATTTGCCTGGGAGCCCACAGCTGGGTGGGATGTGTGGGGGAGGAGCTGGTATTGTGACCGAGGCTGCTGATCACAACAGGCCAACCTATACTGCAGTACCAAGACACCATATGATTTCAGTGGCTGAACACAACAGAAATTTATCTCTTGCTCCTGTTGCATGTCCATTGAGTTTCAGTGTGTGTGTGGGTCCTGTCCCATGTCTTCCTTACTCAGAGATTTAGCTGATGGAGTTGTCATCATCTGGAAATTGCTGGTGACTGCAGCAGGAGGAAGGCTTTAACATGCTTCTTCCCAGAAGAACGTTTGTTCATATTTTATTGACTAGAAAAATACGTATGGGAATGCTGACCTGGAATGTGGTGGGGAAATGTCATCTTCTCCTGTACGCCAAAGTAGAGAGGAAACATATACTGGTGAACAATAGCATCCATCACACTTAAAAGCTTGCCTCCCAAAGGAGCTGCCCTCTTCGTTAATACATTTGCTCTCACTGTCCTTTCTCCTTTATTCTCCCAGAGCACCACTAACACGAAGCTCTTCTGCACATCAGACTCTTAATCAAAGGATTGGGCATATCAGAAGGTAATTATAGTGTAAGGCTGTAAACAACTTTTAAATTCAATGTCAGATGTCAGTAATTCTCAAAATTTATTGATCATTCACTGTTACAGGGAGTTTCTCACTGGCTGTTTCTTTCTATAAGCTACTGTTCTTTGCCGTGTTCTTGTCTTGATGCTCCTGACTCTCTTTCCGTCTCCCATTATTTTCCCACTGCTGATATTTGGTAACTTTCTCTGCAGGGCAATTTATCATTTCTTTTTTTAAATCATCCTCTCCCACATCAAGATTTGTGAAATTTGACAAAGGAGCAGGAACTCACTTTTCACATTTTAAAGGACCCATCAAAAAATTTCTTAGACCAAGGCCGGGCACGGTGGCTCATGCCTATAATCCCAGCACTCTGGGAGGCGAAGGCAGGTGGATCACTTGAGGCCAGGAGTTTGAGACCAGCCTGGCCAACATGGTGAAACCCCGTCTCTACTAAAAATATAAAAATTAGCCAGGCATAGTGGCACACGCCTGTACGCTCAGCTACTCGGGAGGTTGGGGTGGGAGAATCACTTGAAGCCGGGAGGCGGAGGTTGCAGTGAGCTGTGATTGTGCCAGTGTACTCCAGCCTGGGTAACAGAGTGAGACCCTGTCTCAAAAAAATAAATAAATAAAAATAAAAATAAAAAATTTCTTAGACACACACACAAAAACAACAAAAAGCAAACAAACAAACAAAAAAATCCCCACAAAAAACAAGACAACAAAAACTCTGCCATCTCCCTGAGGATAAATGATGCTTCTCCTAGAATGAAGAAATTGTTAGCTGAGGTGTTTTGTTTTTAACCAGCATTTTACTCTGCTCTGCATGCTTGCAGTGAAATTGCTTACTATAATGTAATTTTTGCCACCCAAATCTATTAGGTTTCTGTTTGTATTGTGAGATTGTGGATAGTGAGGAGGGATACCTTTAAGTCTAATTAGTCAACCGATTCAGGTTTCTTGTATTCTCCTATCCTCTTTTTTAAGCCTCTTTGTCAAGGACTGAAAAGCATATTAAAGTAATCCATTATTATTATGATCCTGTTATTTTCTTACTGATTCTCAACAGTTTTTGCTTTACATATATAGTCCAGTGCTATGTTATTTAGTACATAATTGTTCAATAGGATACTTTCATTATGGGGTTTACTTTTTTCAAATATAAAAATATTTTGAATCACTTAGAGCTTTTAACCTTAACTTTTATTGTCTCTGATATAAATATCATAAGCCATAGTTTGTTTATTTTTTCCTGGTGCATATTTATTGATCTAATTATTTTATTATCTATTTTAGTTTTTTAACTTTTATTTTAGGTTCAGGGGTACATGTGCAGGTTTGTGACGTAGGTAAACTTGTGTCACGGGGATTTATTGTGCAGATTATTCCACCATGCAGGTACTAGGCCTAGTATGCAGTAGTTATTTTTTCTGATCTCTCCCTTCTCCCACTCTCCACCCTCAAGTAGGCCCCAGTGTTTGCTGTTCCTTTCTTTGTGTCCATGTGTTCTCATCCTGTAGCTCCCACTTATAAGTGAGAACATGCAGTATTTGGTTTTCTGTTCCTGTGTTAGTTTGCTAAGGATAATGGCCTCCAGCTTCACCCATGTGCCTGCGAAGGATGTGATCTCATTCTTTTTCATGGCTACATAGTATTCCATGGTGTATATATGCCACATTTTCTTTGTCCAGTCTGCCATTGATGGGCATTTAGGTCTTTGCTATTGTGAAAAGTGCTGCAATGAACATATGTGTGCATGTGTCTTCATGGTAGAATGATTTATATTCCTTTGGGTACATAACAGTAATAAGATTGCTGGGTCAAATGGTAGTTCTGCTTTTAGCTCTTTGAGGAATCACCACACTGCTTTCCACAACGGTTGGACAAATTTACACTTCCACCAACACTGTATAAGTGTTTTCTTTTCTCTGCAACCTTGCCAGTATCTGTAATTTTTGACTTTTTAATAATAACCATTCTGACCTGGTGTGAGATGGTATCTCATTGTGGTTTTGATTTGCAGCCCTCTAATTATCAGTGATATTGAGCTTTTTTTCATATGCTTGTTGGCCACATGTATGTCGTCTTTTTAAAAGTGTCTTCATGTCCTTTGCCCACCTTTTAATGGGGTTTTTTTCCTGTAAATTTGTTTAAGTTCCTTATAGATGCTGGATATTACACCTTTGTCAGATACACTGTTTGCAAATATTTCTGCCCATTCTGTAGGTTGTCTGTTTACTCTCCTAATAGTTTCTTTGGCTGTGCAGAAGCTCTTAAGTTTACTTAGATCCCATTTGTCAATTTTTGCTTTTGTTGCAATTGCTCTTGGCATCTTTGTCATGAAATCTTTGCCCATTCCTATGTCCAGAATGGTATTACCTAGGTTGTCTTCGAGGGTTTTTTAATAGTTTTGGGTTTTACATTTAAGTCTTTAATGCATCTTGAGTTGATTTTTGTATATGGTGTAAGGAAGGGGTCCAGTTTCAATCTTCTGCTTATGGCTCAGCTAATTATTTTAAGTAATATTTTATGACTTGATCATAGATACATCTCTTTACAAGTAGCCTAGAGGTGGATTTTGTCTGACTCCCACACCCATCCTGTCACAGGCACTTTTTATGTGTGTCTTCAAATCTCTGGCTGCAATACAGCATTGGAATCCACATCTGTCCCTGGCCATGTTGCATGACCAGCACTGCGGTCCTGGTACAGATGAAGCATGAGGCAATACAGGTGTGAAATGGCTGTGGCCTCTCAAGGAGTAGCTTCCATATCACAGTGGGAAGGTTGCTCACTTTTCTGGAGGGTACAGACCCTGAGCTAGGAGGCAGGCAGGCAGTGAGGGTGGAATAAAGCTTTATCTTTCAGCTGATTAGCTTTCTCTCCTCCAAGTAGCAAAGACAAGTGCCTATATGAATCCCTCTTCATGCTTCTCTTTTCAGTCTCATAGATCTCGATGAGTAAATGATCATTCATCATTCTGGCCCTAGGCTAATTGTCAGTCTTCATTTTTGAAGTTCTTATGTGTTATGATCTAATTTTGTGTGTGAATTGACGTTGGTTTTTAGTGAAAAGTTAGGTGAGGTTGACTCATGGATCACTAGCCAGACAGCATCCTGAACTGGAATTTCTTAGGATATTTATAATCATTTGAACATCCTGTTCTTCCCTTATTGGATTTTTGTTTTGTTTATAGATATGTCTCCCAAGTAGTGTTTAATTTATTTTAAGAATTAAACAAGCTGCAGAAACAACACGAGGCCTCATGGTGTACTGGGCTTTGAAATCAGATGAACCCAGATCCATTGTTCAGCTCTGCCACTTATTGGCTGTGTGCTCCTGAGCAAGTTGCTGAAACTCACTGGGTCTCAGTTTCCTTTTCTATAAAAGGGGGATAGTAATTTCCACTCTAAAGAGTGGTAGTGAAGATCAGGGGCAGGCTGTAGTGTTTTACCCATGACTTGTGCTCCTTTGGCCTCATGTGAATGTGAGAAGCTGAATCACAATCAGAAGAATTTTTTGGGAGATGGAATCAGAACAGGGGGACTTGGATGAATTGAATGTTTCAAAACAGTATCAAGCCTCTTTTTTAAATTTATTTATTTTTATTATACTTTAAGTTCTAGGGTACATGTGCACAATGTGCAGGTTTGTTACATATGTATACATGCGCCATGTTGGTGTGCTGCACCCATTAACTCGTCATTTACATTAGGTATATCTCCTAATGCTATCCCTCCTCCCTCCCCCCACCCCATGACAGGCCCCGGTGTGTGATGTTCCCCTTCCTGTGTCCAAGTGTTCTCATTGTTCAATTCCCACCTATGAGTGAGAACATGCAGTGTTTGGTTTTTTGTCCTTGCGATAGTCTGCTGAGAATGATGGTTTCCAGCTTCATCCATGTCCCTACAAAGGATATGAACTCATCCTTTTTTATGGCTGCATAGTATTCCATTGTGTATATGTGCCACATTTTCTTAATCCAGTCTATCATTGATGGACATTTGGGTTGGTTCCAAGCCTTTGCTATTGTGAATAGTGCCACAATAAACATACTTGTGCATGTGCCTTTATAGCAGTATGATTTATAATCCTTTGGGTATATACCCAGTAATGGGATGGCTGGGTCAAATGGTATTTCTAGTTCTAGATCCTTGAGGAATCGCCACACTGTCTTCCGCAATGGTTGAACTAGTTTACAGTCCCACCAACAGTGTAAAAGTGTTCCTATTTCTCCACATCCTCACCAGCACCTGTTGTTTCCTGACTTTTTAATGATCGCCATTCTAACTGGTGTGAGATGGTATCTCATTGTGGTTTTGATTTGCATTTCTCTGATGGCCATTGATGATGAGCATTTTTTCATGTGTCTGTTGGCTGCATAAATGTCTTCTTTTGAGAAGTGTCTGTTCATATCCTTCACCCACTTTTTGATGGGGTTGTTTGTTTTTTCCTTTTTATAATAGATGCTCCCTCCTTCTCTCCTGGACTAATGATTCTGCTTACCTCCAAGCTCATATTATTCGAGCATTCATTCAACTTAAAAAAAAAAAAACAGCAACACAGTGGGGAGAAATAGATTCTCATTATGTCCAATACAGTGTGAGGAAAAATAGATTTCTCTTCAGAAACCATTAATAAGATCTTCTGAACTAGGCAGCTTCTTGAAAAGTATATGAAAAGTTCTAGAAGTTATGTAGTAAGCTAAATAACTTATCTCAGTACAAAGCACTGTGTCCTGTGTCATGTCTTACTTGGTTTAGAAATTTCAACTGAATGTTGTGGCAGACTTCAGGGGACTGTCATGCTTATACCATGAAACCTGGAGGGTCATTTTGCAAAAATACTTAAAAATTCTAAGTCAGTACAGGTGAGGAGCTATCATAAGTTTTCTGTCTACTCAATAGGAACAGAACCAGTTTAAATGTTGTCACCATGTGAGAAGTCATATCCAGAAATCCCAGTTAACCGGTGCTGTGTTTCTCCTTTATGCTGATGACATTTTAACACTACTTGATGATTAGGACTCCAGGCTTCTGCCTAGCTGGCTCAGCCCTTAATCCAGTGCCAATCCAACTAGTACCTCTTTGACTCTCTCCTTTATGCCATCATACCTGTCCAGTTCTCCTTTGTGACATAGTCTTTATGTGATGGGAGACAGGTCATACCCTCTATCTGATTGTTCTCAGCCTTTCTGCCCCCCACCCCCGGCAGTTAGAGACTCTGGATTTGAGTATAGGGCTTCTTCCCTTGCCCTGTTGTGCCCTCCTGATGGGGGAATGGCATGACTGCCTGGTCAGGCTTCTGCGATGGAAAGTGGGGGAACATGGGCTGTGTGTGGCGGCTCATGCCTGTAATCTCAGCACTTTGGGAGGCCAAGGCAGGCAGATTATTTGAGGTCAGGGGTTCAAAACCAGCCTGGCCAACATGGTGAAACCCCATCTTTACTAAAAAAAAAAAAAAAAAAAAAAAAGCCGGGCATGGCTGCGGGCACCTAAGGCAGAATTGTTTGAACCCAGGAGGCGGAGGTTGCAGTGAGCCAAGATCACGCCACTGCACTCCAGCCTGGGCGACGGAGTGAAACTCCATCTCAAAAGAAAGAAAAGCAAAAAAAAAAAAGCGGGGGAATAGAGATAGAGACTGGGCTTGGAAGGAGAGGTGAACATGGGTGTGGGGATCAAGGAAGAATATGTGGAATGAGGTTTTACATTTGCACAATGACACTGAGTTTGTTAGGAAAGAGGGAGGAGGGAAAGCAGGCAGAGCAAGCAGGCTGGGGCAGAGGAAATTTTAGGGGTGTGGAGGTCGAGGTTTGAGGAAAAAGGCATGGAGGTAGCTGTGTATGTGGGTGCAGCAAAAGGGAAATTTTTAAAAGCTCCCCTGGAGTGTTTGAGAAATTCTAGCAAAAAAAACTTGAGATACTTTAAATTTGGGTTGTGCGAACTGTGCCCCCCATGTGATGGAGTTTTGATGTGCTAATACTGTCAGATTAACATCTAGTCCAAGTAGCTGAGGAGTCATTTTCTTTTCACTTAATCATTATGCAAATCTCTGCCTGCAAACATCCTGTGTGTTCACAGGGTTTCATTCAGAGGGCACTCTTTTTTTTCCCCTTCTTTTCTCTGTTTGGGTGTCTCACTGTACCTTCCTGTGCTGACAAAAAAACAATCACCATCATCATTAATAATAATAATAAAGCAATTATAATAACTGTGACAGTTGGAAAAAGCACTAGGAAAAGTGAAAATCGAACTAATACTGTTTGAAATTTTCGAGATAACAGTTTAACATTTTTTTTCCTCATAATTATTTCAAAATTCTGAACACTTTCTGTAGGTGATTTCACAGTGTCTAAAATAAGGATTCACTCATGAAGACAAATCCTCACTAGCCCCTAGTACACACAAGTTCTTCCAGGGCTATGGGAAATAGAAAGATGGGCCAGAACTTGATCTCTCAGGGCTCTTGGTTTAGAAAGACAGATAACACACTTACTCAAATAGGTGCAATGCAAGCTAGATGGTGGTAAATTCAGAAAGGGTACAGAGGTGGTCGGCTTGGGGAATTCAGAGAATTAAGCACATGGTTGTTTTTTGGATAAGACTGTCCTGAATGGGTGTCATGTCCAAGCTCCCTTTAATTTCATGCCCACCCTCTTCCACAGAGCATATCCCCAAAGATACTGGTCATCCTTTCTCCTCTCCTGCCAGTGGCTGGCTCACTCCTCTGTCTTTCTTCCATTTCAGTTCTCCCTTCCTCAGAAGTAGTGACATTGGGGTCTTCTCTTCCCTCCTTCCAGACCAATGTGCTACCCCTAACTCCCCTAAGTGCCCTGACCTGGGAGCATTTTACCAAGGCCTTTTACCCCAAGAGGCTTCCCTGGGGCAGGCCAGAGTGCCAGGTCTGGTCCATTGGTGATGCCAGTGGGCTACCTTTGTCATCTAGAGCAACATGTGTGTGTGCTTTGAGGGGGTGAGGGGTGGGGGTAGATGTTTTAGAGGGAGAAAGTGCTGGGCCAGCACTGAGTGGCCAATCCTGCTTCCCTAAGCCATTCATATAAGATGGGTCAATCACTTGGCCATTGTCCTAGATCCATGCCAATTGTCCTTTCCTTTTCTATGTAGATAAACTCATTTTTCCCCCATGTGTCTGTTCATCTGGCCTGTGCACCCACCCGATGGTTGGTTTGAGCCATTAATAGAGCCCCCAACTCCAGTGATGTGCTAGAAATTTTGCTAGAGAAAGGGTCTTCAGTGTCCCCGGGGAGAGGGGGGTGGAGATAGCAGGTCCCGGCAGGAGAAGTGGGCGGAAGGCACTGCTGAGGCCAGACCCAGGCTTTCTAATTCTAGAGCTAAGAACGGACTGGTTTCCTTGACAACAGAGATGAAGTCTGCTCATCTGCTGCTAGGGGTGGGCTTTTGTGTGTCTGTGGAAAGCACTGGGACTTGGGGACAAGAAAGGCAATCCTTTCTTTATCAGTACAGCAAGCCATTTCTGAAAATTCGCCAGCTCTTACTGTATTATTAACAATATTAAAACCCTCCCAGGTGGCACAGTGACATCAGTTATGTAATCTGTAAATTGGGAATCCAGATATAGAATCTTCCGTTCCCTTCTGCCTCATTGCCTCTGATCCTTGATACATTTTACCATACCCAGAACACCTTTTTGATAACATGTTTTGTTAGCCAACAGGTACTCAGCCAAATCTGCATTCACTCTTACCACTTTCAATGGCTACATCAAAAGCATTCCTTCCTTCCTTCCTCAACAGGCAATGATTTGTGTGGCCTGGCTGCTGGGAGGAAATTAAACTCAGCGCTTGATAAGCTGATGTTGGCTCAAACCTGCACTTGTCTGATGGCATCTTCAGAAAAGCCTCTGCAATCCAAACCTTCATGCTCAGTGCAAACCAGAAAACTTCCTCTAAAAACTGGTTCATTTGCTTTAACCACCAGGCCTGATTTCAAGGCAGCACATCCTGATAGTGGCATGGTGTTTTATGCATGCACCGCCTTCCCTTCCTTTGCATTATTAAAGCCTCCTTAAAAAGCAGCCGAGGGATCACTGGGGAGAAGACGAGCCAGCAGTGATTTTACATCTCTCTGCAAGAGGCAACATCTGCCACCAGAAAAACTCAGGGAAAAGATTCTGCAAAATTGTAGCCTATGCCAAATCTAATAGAAATGGCCCTTGGACCCTGGGCTTATAAAAGTAGCTAATTTGTTCAAACGTGGCTAATTTTTGTAGCATGTAATCCTTGAATGCTAAATAACCTAGATGGGAAACTGTGAGAGAGACTCATGAGCCAAGAGTGGCTGTGATGAGATGGGAATTAATTAGCAGGGGAAGGCAGATCAGACAGATGTATGAACAGACAGATGGAGGCCAGAACCCTACACTGTTTCCCCCAGGCATTTCAGCAACTCTTTCCCCTTGTGAAGTTCGCAACACTGGGGCTCAAATTTAGCTCCTGCACATCCTCCTCCCCCAAATAACCAGTGGTGAGCTGTGGCATTCTAAAGCCCTCCAAACAGTTCCTTTGTTTCCTTCATCTCCCCAAAGGAAAGACACTGACTTCTCCAGGCAAACAGTGGGCTTGGTTCAGAGGAGACTTTAGCTGGCCGAGTTCTTTATGTAGAGGCAACAACCTCCCAGCCCCCGGGGACCTTACTGCTCTGGCTCTAGACAGACAGGATCCTCTTCTCCATGCTCACCTCTGACATCCCTGAAAGCCATCTGAGGATGGCTCAGGGAGATCCGGGACCAGACCCTGGTCTCGTAGTCTGTCCAGTGCTTTTCCCTCATGATGCAGTGCCTAGAATGCCAGCTTAGTGCCTTGCCTTCTCTGTATAGGGCAGGGGTCAAGTGCATACCCAGGAATTAGGAGAAACTTTCTACTTCATATATATGTGATCTCAATTGATCCAGATATCATTGCATTCAAATGTTTCTCAATTGGACAGGAATTAGTTGTGGACTTACTGTAAGCTCAGCATTCAGCAAGGTGCATGCATCTGGATCTGTGTAGACGAGCTTTAGGAAGGAGTGTTGCTGGCTACATCCAGAGCTGTTTTTGGTGGACAAAATGGTTCTGCAAACTGTGAAGACCTAAAGGCTTCATACTATATATTTTCGTACAACTTCATGCTTTGGTTCCAGCCCACTCACTTTGTCCTGCCTTCCTTCAGAATCATGCCTGGGTTCTCCCCTGCTGCCTGTGCCACTTCATCCTCTCAACTCAATGAGAAGGGAGGGGAAGATTGAAAATATGACCATAAACATTACCTTGGGGCATCAGGTCCCACAGAATATCAGTGGTTTCATTTTGCTTGTGGTGCTTCAAAAATGAAAGGTGGAAGGCACCCCAAAGAATTTCCATTTGTTGTCTTCTGGTGCAGAGCCTGCCACTCATTGGAAGGTTTGGTTAAGGGAAACTTAAGGTTGGTTGGTGCATTGTCTACCTCCTCTTGTGGGACTGCCTGACATGACACATATGGGCTGGCCATATAGCAGGTGCTGCCTAATGAAGGCAGTGTCCCTGGGGAACAGCAGAACTCAGCAGTCCATCGCTGTGGGGTCCGTAGAGGGATTTGTCTTTTCTCCAGCAGCCCATTTATAACTCCAGCAAGAGATCTGTGCAGCCACACATGATCATTGGGCCTTGAGGAAATGAGGGGATTAGAAGGGTCTTGAGGTGTCCTCTGCTTGCACTTTGGTGTGTACATGCACCGAACCAATTCCTGCTGAGCACACCTCTTAACGCTATTCTGGGTGCTGGGGATATGGTGATGCACAAAGTCAGACAAGGCTTTGTCTGCTTAAAACTTCCAGTCTAGTGACAGGTGAAAGCACAGTCTAGTTCTTTGCTATTTTTAGGATTTCAATAAAGAAGTGTCCCCCAATGAACTTTCTCCTAATCGCACATGGTCTTTGCCATTTCCTTTGTCCCATACTTTAGTGTCAGCCTTCTGCTCACATCTCCTTTACCCTAAAGAGGAAGCAATCCTGAGACAGTAGTAGGTGTGGACAGTGGCATCCTGTCCAGGCAGGGTAGTCCTGTGTAGACCCTGGGTAAGCAGACATTTCTTCCTCCTTTTCTCTTTGGTGTCCCATCAGTTTCTAAGTACCCCTTTTCCCCACTTGCCCAGGTGTCCAGGGCTCCCCATTACAATAAAGCAAGGCAGCCTGCATCCTCCTGATATATTCCCCTAAGCACTCCATATTCTTTGGGTTCTCCAACCTGTCAGCCCCTGATGTCTGCAAAGCACCAGGAAGAAAGCTGTCTCATTTGGCCGCATTGATGTATGAAGGATTAAAAATTTAATCACATGTTGCTTAATGACAAGGCTGTGTTCTGAGAAATGCATTGTTTGGTGATTTCATCATTGTGGGAAAATCAGAGAGTGTACTTACACAAACCTAGCCTGTTACACACCTAGGCAATATGGTATAGCCTATTGCTCCTAGGCTGCAAACCTTGCAGCATGTGACCATACTGAATACTGTAGGCAATTACAACACAATGGTAAGTATTTGTGTATCTAGACATAGAAAAAGTACGGTAAAAATATAGTATTATAATCATATGGGACCACCATCACATATGTGGTCTGTCATTGACCAAATCATGCAGCATGTGACTGTATCTGATCAACTCTTCCAGGAGCACTGACTTTTAAAAAGAGGAGACATATTAGTCAAATCAATCTTCAAATGATTGAACTTCAGGCAAAGAGGAGTAGGGGAGGATGTGTAAGTGGCCTGGTAAGATTTGGGGCAGAGAGGCCAGCCTCACTTCATGCCTGTAGGTTAGCTTGCCTTGCCTCTCAGGCTCACATAGACTGTGGCTATTTTGTCCTGCAAACACAGGACATAACAGGTGTGTGTAAATGTGTGCCTGTGTGTCCATGTCTTCTTGTTAGGTCAGTGTTTAACTTGCATGCATCTGTGTGACTAATTTTGGCCCATAGGCCCATGACGGGTGGAGGGGGTCTGCCTTTTGAAGAACCTCTGTGTGCAGAGGCCCGATGTGGTATCATGCTCACATGTCCCCAGCATCCAACCCCAGAGCAGTCACTTTCATCTTCTCACCACTCCATTCACACTGGGGGAAGGGCTGAGATATCTCATGTATAGCATCCCAGGGCTGCAATTTGGGAGCAAAATAGGATTCATTTTCTTGACACTATATTTCACCATTTACAAATGGTAACTATTGCCTGTGGGACTCTTGAGAAATCATGAAGTGTTAATTAGCAGAAGCACTGTGTGTTTAAAATATATGGCACTCTTAAGTAACTATTACTTTAAACCTACTTTGCAGAGTTGAGAAACCATCTGGTCCAAAAATGTGTGGACTTGAATTTTGCTACATATATTAAAAGAAAGTTTTAAATGCTTTTAGAAATGGTCATTTCGTATTATGTTAATTTCCTTAAATATGGAAATGCAGGCTGGAAATGCAAGCCTGGAAGCAGGCAGTGACCTGGTTGTGGTCACAGTCTGGTCTACTCTAGTTGACATCTCCATCTCTCAGAAACAAGGTTTAAATAGTTTCTGATGGTCCAAGGGGGTATTTAGAAAGTGTAAAGGACTGGAACTGCAACTGTGGTTTTTCCTTAGAAGCCACACATTTCAAAACTGTTGATCCCAATGACTCTGGATTCTTTTGGATTAAAACTAAAAATGAAGCATGTCCTGCCATATTTTGCAGAGGTGTGGAGGACAGAAACTGAGAAACCCAGGCCAGTCACTGACAACTAAGTACCCGTGAGTCTTTTTTGGACAAAGCACACCACTCTTGGCCTTGGTTTCTTCATAAGTTCAATGAAGGGGTGGGGAAGAGGTTGGGCTATGTTTCAGTCAGGGCCTAACAAGGTAAATAGAAATTTCTTCAAGTGTTCCAACCGAGGGAATTTAATGCAGAAAATTTACGCAGGTAATGAAGGAGCTGAAAACCAACCAACCAACAAACAAGGCTTGGGGAAGTGGCTCAGAGACCTACCCTGAGGCAGAGGGAGGAAGGAGGTAGTGTTATTCCAGCCCAGGGGTCAAGGTCACCTTGCAGAAACTGGAAGGAACATGGTGCATGGTGGGCCTCTGGCAGAAGCTGGGGCCACGGAGGAGGTATTTCTTGAGACAGTGCATGAGGGAAGGAGTGCCCTGGCATCTCCTCCCATCTTCAGGCAGTGCCTCTAATTGCCCCCAACCCAGCATGGAGCCAGCTGCCATGGGAGCCTGCAGGGGTCAGCAGGAAAGGCTGAGGAATGGTTAGGCCAGTGAAGGCCCAGGCCAGGCTGCCTTCGAAGTCCCTGTAACTCTGACATTCAATGAGAGCTGGAAGCTCAGCGTATCTTTGAGAGTTTGCCGGTGGAAAACCATGCCGACAGGCCCTAGTGGTCTTCAGTGAGGCTTCCCTACTCCCGCACCACCAAAAACAAACATTACCAAGGTGCCTTTTCTGCACTGGACTTGCCTATGTGGGAGGAAGACAAGGCAAGCCCTCAAGGAAGGTGTCTGTGTGTGGGTAGGAGGAGGATGAGAAAGAGGAGATAGAATAGGGCTTATGCTTGTGGGTGGAAAGGGACAGATGAGGCCAGACCCAAAGGTACAGACGTCAAAGGGCTTCTCCCATGAGCGGGGATGGTTACTGTCTGTGCAAAAAGTATATATCCCATCATAAAATAACTCGCAAAAGGGCAATGTCCATAGCATGTTTTTCTAGAGCATTTAATGTATTTTCACACACAGCACCTTTTTCAGAGAGTGTCTTCAATCAATACCTGTCAAACTGGATTGATTTGGTATCCATTCACCTAGTGCACCTCTTCTCGAAGGAGGGCAAGTGGTATTGGCAGGCACACTCTGACATCAGCCCAGGACTGACTCCTCACACAGGCATCTCAGCTGTTGTGAAATTTGAGGTGCAGACTGACCCCCGCTGTGGGCTTCAGGCTCTTTATCTATAAAGCGAGGGGGTTGGGTATATGCTAAGGGCCTTCCCGACTCTGTCACACTGGAGCCCGGCCCAGATCCTGGCAGACAGGTACTGGAAATGGCCTTTTAAGGCAATGGGAAAGAGAGCACATATAGGCCGTGGCCTATGAGGTCCAGACAGAGAGCACTGCAGTGGCCTCAGGGACGGACAAGAGTGACCAGCAGAAGCTCCTTGTAGTGACTCCAAACATTTACTTGTATTTCTTGAATATGACATGGGGAGAATGCGGAGCACAGCAGTGTTTCTTCTAAATCCACTTTTCTCTGCCTTGCCGTTGCCCTTGAACCTCGCAAAGCTTCTCCTCTCTCAACAAAAGGCCCCTACAAATCCACGGACGTCCTTGAAGGTCCCATCCTCCTGTTCTTATCCTGTCTCTCTTCCCTGGCAATTCTGCATTTTATTTATTTATTTATTTATTTATTTATTTATTTATTTATTGACAGAGTCTCCCTCTGTCGCCCAGGCTGGAGTGCAGTGGCACGATCTCAGCTCACTGCAACCTCAGCCTCCTGGGTTCAAGCAATTCTCCTGCTTCAGCCTCCCAAGTAGCTGGGATTACAGGCATGCATCACCACGCCCAGCTAACTTTTGTATATTTTAGTAGAGACAGGGTTTCACCATGTTGGCCAGGCTAGTCTTGAACTCCTGACTGCAAGTGATCTGCCCACCTCAGCCTCCTAAAGTGCGGGGATTATAGGCATGAGCCACCGCGCCTGGCCAATTCTGCATTCTAAAGACCCAAGGAGCCAGTGAGTCAAGGCAGGCTTTTCTGGGAGTTCAGGGAAGAAAAGGGTCTGAGGGAGTGGAAAATCCGGAAATACTCATACAGGAGTCATTTTTGTCCTGACTCATCTACAGAGATGAGTATAGCAGGAAAAGAAGGCAGTTTAGTGGTGAATGGGAGGCACTGGAGCCCAGGAGAGGGAGAGGGAGAGGGAGAGGCAATTAGGCGTTGGGGAATGGAAGGATGGATGAGGAAGGGGAAAGTTCTGCTGGACCCCAGCCACAGAGGCAGGGTCACATGTTGGGGAGTGTTGGGGCTGGTATGGGCTTTGTCTGGAGTAAGCGTTTCATGTAAGAGTGGGAGATGATTTAATGGTAGCTCGAGGAGCTTGAAAGCCACAAGATAACTTTATCCTGTTGTCCTGAAAGAAATGGCACAGTGCCAGTCTTCCTGCTCCGAGTCTATGGCAGACACTGGAAATCAATCCTAGCATTCTTCCCACGGAGCGTGAAGAAGGACTCAAGCCCTTCTAGGTAGCCACTACTGATCGATCAAAGCCTGAACATGGTATAAAAGCTTTGTGACCATTTGGCTGTGGCCCACAAGAAGTCATGGATGGTTTTTCTGGAGCATTTTGAAATATAACCCTGTGTGCATTGTGGGGTTGGGGACTGGAGAGACAGCAGTGGGAGAATCCAGTGAGAATGTAGGCTAAGGGCTCTCTGTATCTCCTACCAATTCCTGTGTTGGATTTCGTAGACCAGCTTTTTAAAAACGTTCTTGACATAGGCTGTTTTAGTGGGTAAAGCTACCTCCCCAAACCTGGGGCATGCATGCCAGGGGCCTCTCCTCTCTTGTCTACCAAAATGAGCTTCTCAGAAGAGCACGGGCTACATTAGAGGTGAACTCTTGTCTTTTTGGATCAAGTGTTTTTCGCCCATAAAAGCATTAACACAAAAGTCCTGATTTATACATTTCCATCAAGTTCATTGAAGTTAGGAACCTGGGATTCTGTCACCAACATTTCCATTCTCCCAGGAATTGTTCTGGGCCCTCCATAAGGCAGGGATCATAAAACCTTTTTCTCACCCCTAGCAAAAAGGATGAGACTACTTCTTGGTTGACCCTGTTAGGGAGTGATGAACTGGAGCAGTCAAAACTCATTAGCACTGCCTGGGTGAGCTGCTATTCAATTCAGAAGCATTGATTGATCCCAGGGACAAGTGCCACTAAAGGTCAATGGCTTCCTTCCACTCTTTATCCCACAGCTGAAAGCTGGGCTCTCATATGCTGTCACAGTGGCCCAGCATTGTGGCTGACTGGATCTACAACCTCTGCCCCTTTGTTTCCAGTGGTTTCCTTTGTCATCATGGTGCTGCTGATGACAATACATTCTTTTTTTTTTTTTTTTTTTTTTTTTTGAGATGGAGTCTCGCTCTGTCGCCCAGGCTGGAGTGCCGTGGCGGGATCTTGGCTCACTGCAAGCTCCGCCTCCTGGGTTCATGCCATTCTCCTGCCTCAGCCTCCCAAGTAGCTGGGACTACAGGCGCCTGCCACTACGCCCGGCTAATTTTTTGTATTTTTAGTAGAGACGGGGTTTCACCGTTTTAGCCGGGATGGTCTCGATCTCCTGACCTCGTGATCCGCCCGCCTTGGCCTCCCAAGACAATACATTCTTAAACTTTGCTACTCAAAGTATGGTTTGTGGACCAGCAACACTGGCATCATTGGGGGCCTTTGAGACATGCATACTCTCAGCCCTCACCCCAGACCTGCTGAATCAGAATCTGCAGGTTAGCAAAATCCTCAGGTGGTTTGTATGTACATTGTGGTTGGAGAAGCACCATGACAGTTTTGGAGGCCAGAAGTCCAAACTCATGGTGTCGGTAGGGCTGTGCTCCATCCAGAAGTTCTAGGGGAGAATGCTTCCGTGCGTCTCCCAGCTTCTGATGGCTCCTGGTGTTCCTTGGCTTGTGGCTGCCTCACTCCAATCTCTGCCTCCATCTTCACAGGGCCATCTCCTGTGTGTCTGTGTCTTATAAGGACACTTGTGAAGGGATTTAGGGCTTACCTGGATGATCCAGGATTATTTCATCTTGAGATGCTTAACTTTATTACATCTGTGAAGATCCATTTTCTAAATAAGATCACATTCACAGGCTCTGGGAGTTAGGACATACACACATATATATATATATATTTTTGGCAGGGGGTTGGGGAGGAATATTCAACCCAATACAGATTCCCTTGGAACATTCCCAGACAGCATTCTTCCCAGGTCCTCACTTGCGCTCAACTTCTTCAGCTAGTCCAGCCTAGTTTTCTGATTTACCCACACTGACTGTAAACTGTCAAATAAGACCAGCATTATTGAATGCTTCTTCTATGACAGGCATTATCCTAAGTGTTTTACATGGATGAACCCATTTAATTGCAACAGCCCCTTGGGGTGGCTACCATAATTACCACTCTGCTTTACAGATGAGGAAACTGAGGTACAGGGTGGTTCGGTAACCCTCGCAGCTTGTAAAAGTACACCCAGGATATAAACTAGGCAGACTGCACAGTCTTTGTTCTTCACCCTTATGGGATAATGCTTCTGAAATTATGAAGGGTTTAAAAGGTTATCTTCCTGACAGAAAGAAGAGGCAGTAGAGGAGAGAGATGGCATCAGGGGCCTTTGTTCCACTTTCTGGAGAGGCTTGGGTGCAAAGAGGCTTGGGTGTATCAAAAATATCTTGATACAGTGTGGGCATCTGTCCTGTCCACACCCAATACTGTGTAAAGTTTGGGGTCCCCCAGCTGTTGGCATGTGTAGGATGTAGAGCACATCTCCCTCACCACTGAGTGGCTGGCACCTAGTACAGTGCCTCGCCTCTGCGTCAGAGGAGCACAAGCACAGCCGTGGCCAGCAGCAACCCCAAGTCCTGCAGCCTTGAGAGGGGGCCCAAGTCAAGGAGAATCCAAAGCAAAAGCAGAGAGCCTGGCAGGGGGGCCTAGAGCCACAAGAGTGATGGCAGCAGGCCTCCTTGTGGGGAGCTTGGGGGAGCAGCCCAGGGAGCCATGCAACCTGGCCTGAGCTCCGGGAAACCCACGTGCATAGTGTGTGTCGGGGAGCAGTGTGAGGGTGGGCGGGGGCAGAGACATACCTGCCCTGGGCAGGTGCACTGCTTCATTAGGAAGCTGGCAGCTGAGCCAAGTTCTGAATCCCTCATGAAGAGGCTACCCAGAAATGCAGGAGGAACATTTCTTATGACAGAGGTACTGCAATGGTCACCATTTAGAAATGAGCACGCAGTGGTGGAGGGGCTCACCAAGGCCACAGAGCTGCTAAGGCCCTCGCTCCACAGCACGGGGTGGGTCCTGGAATGACAGGCTCATGGCAGAACAGTGCTGGCACAGTGTCTGGACAGAGAAGGCACTTGAAAGTATGTATATTGAGTCCACCCCAACACCTTTTTCATTTAACACGATGAAGGTACATGTTTCCACAAGACAGCTTTTAAGGCCTATGTCATGTGTACATCATCCAAGAAGGTCGTTAGGTGGATATTCACTGTGGCCTCATCACTGGGCACTTTTGGTCCATACCCTGCCTTGGGCTAATACATTCCATTTGTTTGCTAACCAGTATATGAAGCCTCATTGAATGTGCTTGAAATGCCCTTTTCTAAGTGGTGAGAGGTGGGGTCTCCCCTTGCATTTACCCTCCTTATACCGTTCATGGTTTTTGGCCTTAGTTTGTAGCCCTTTGCCATTTTTTTTCTCCAGGCCAAAAATCTGACCCCATTCTTTGAGTTCCAAGCTCAAAGAAGATCCTCCTGCGGTGCAAGTGTGTCAGGAGACGGCTGGGCACAGCATTTTGTGCCTATAATTACTGGCTGGGTCAAGGGGGTCAGGGAATTAGCTGAAAAAACCTGTAACCCAGTCCAGACATTCTCACCAGGCATGCAAGCAGTGTTGTAACCAGCACTGGGGGCTGCAGATTACCTGCTCAGACGGAAAAGTGGAGCCCACCATTTAAAGTGCGTATCAGCTAAAAATCTACCTATGTCTTGTAGTGCAGAAATTGAGCAGCAGACATAACCTGCCTGATTTTATTCAGCTCAGTTTCAGATTCGTTGATGTTCCCTTGAGAACATTTGATGGAGCAGTCAGCCCAGATGTGTGCTTGCTGACTAGATAGAATCCAGACTGTGATAAAAAAAAAAAAAATTCAATTGTTGTAATGTTAAGAATCCATATGAGGAATGATTTAATAGTAGCACCTAACATTTGTGGAGTCCTTACTATTTGTTGGGCCCTGTGCAAAGCCTGTGCTTTCATATATTATCTTAGATAATGCTCTGAGGAGGGACTGTTCTTCTCCACATTGGACAAAGAACCTGAGGTTTAGAAAAATTAAGCAACTTGTTCAAGGTCACATAATTAGAAAGAGGCAGAGCTGGGATTCATTCCTAGGCCCTTAATGCCATTCAGAGCCTGGATTTGTAGCCATGGTCCTGTATGGTGGAACCAATTCCCTGGGTCCTTCATGTAGAGAAATAGTTTGGGGCCTCTATGAAGTTAATTACCTCCTCCCCACCATAGTTTTTAATTTTCTCTCCTACTCCCAACTTTGGGAAAACATAGGGCAGAATCAAATGGCAGATTTGGGAGTGTTC
This sequence comes from Homo sapiens, assembly GCF_000001405.40. Classification (NCBI taxonomy): domain Eukaryota; kingdom Metazoa; phylum Chordata; class Mammalia; order Primates; family Hominidae; genus Homo; species Homo sapiens. Next base: position 70,722,943 of record NC_000002.12, on the reverse strand, counting down.
TTGTAGAGAGAATATAGGGGATGGGAACTAGCATTGATCGAGCACCTACTCTGTACTATGTCCCCCTGGAGAACAAAAGCCCTTGTGGTTTTCATGGTCTGAGCCTAATCAGAAATATAGGTGGTGGGTCAATTTCCATTTTTATCTCATCTTGTTGCCTCTCATCTTAGTCTGGTCTTGCCTTATGACATTAAGCTCTTATTTCACAGTACAGGAAGTTGCTTCCTCAGCAGAGGTACTGAGATATACACTGAGTGAAAACCTGTTTGGGGGCTATGCACATCAGTCTGCCTTGTTGTAGCTCTCAGGACACTGTACTGGGCAGAAGCATGGATTGACAGCCAACAAATCTGGTCTACTGATAAGCCCTGAATCCAGGTGTCAAGGGGCTCTCCCAAGGCCCTCATGGCCTATTTCTCTTGTCTCATCCTTCAGCTCCCTGACCCAGTAGATGATCTGCCACCCACCATGTAAAAGGCAGTCCCAAAATGGTGACATCAACTTCTAAGTTGAGTTCCTTACTTCATTGATTCTAAGACACACATTTCCCCAGCATTTCAACATCTTTGAAGTTGGGATGTGTCCGCCAATCAATGATGACTTATAATGATAGTTAGCAATGTTTTTTTTTTCTTTCTCAGTAATATTTAAAATAATTGGTGTGCCAATCAATCAGAGATATCTTAGAATTGAAGAATACAGTCATGCCAATGCTCGTTTTATTTTTACCCCTCTATCAAATCAACACCTGGGCTTGGATCTCTCAGCCTTCACTTCTGAGACCTACAACAAAGAAAGGTGTTCTTTATGCTCATTGGTGTGACTCACCTCCCATGCCATTCCTTTAAGCAGGAGATGTCCTAGAAGTGAGGCTGGCCTGGGTCTCCAGGATCTGCTAACCCTGTTATCAAATTGTTATCATGATGTTTATTTTTCATTCCCTCCTTCCTCTATCTTATTAATAGTTTTATGGCATTGCAGGAAATTGCAAAGCAGGGGGTCATATTTTAAGATTTGTGGGCTCGCCTAAGTATTTATTTCCTTAAGTCTGATGTTAGTCGCCAATCACTCCACCATCCAGAAATGAGTTTGATTGAATTTTAAGTTTTCTATAAATGGAGTACCCATTTTATAATCTGCATGTGGGATTGGGCTGGTTTCCTTGATACTTGTCCTTTTGTATCTCTAATTTTAATTGGACTAATCATTAAGGTAATTTCTTTGTTCATGTTAGTACAGAAATTGCCTGGAGACATTAAAAGTCACTATTAATTATGTGTGCACCACACTTGATTTCCAGAAAACACGTGGCTTTCTCAACACATTTTGCCGGAAGCTATTTTCCCTGAAGGTTGTATCTTAGGGGACTTGATTTCACCTTATTTGAGAATAAAGGAAAACAATTAGAAATATCTTGAGAAAATACACTTCAGGGGAAGATAAATGATCTGTAGGACTCAAAAGGAGCATTTAGCTCTGATAATAACCTGCTGTAGGAACCAGAAGAATGTCAGAAAGCTGGTATCCTTAGTATACATGGTTCAAAAAGACATGGCTTCTAAGACATAGAGTCATGGGGGGAGAATAGACTAAGATGAAAGATCTGAGGTGAAAATGGATATAAAGTAAGGATAGTATGCAAAGTGATAAAATGTTTAATATCAGCATTAAAATCCATGTGAATTTTGCTGAATCAAAATCAGTGAAGTGGGAAATACTGACAAACTGTGAGAATGTAAGGAAAATGTCAACAACAGAATCAGTGAGAAGATAACAGTAGATTTAGAGAGCAGAGATCCAACATATAGATAACTGATGGTCCTGCAGGAGACACTAGAATAAGACTATTCTGACCTAAAGGGTGGGAATATGTTTTTCAGGGTTGGTGACCTGCCATAACAACAGCCTCAGAATCTCCAATCAAATAGATGCTCAGTGGGCTGCTTGCAGTGACTTCCCACTTTCTTCCATTTGGTGGCTGCGTCATTTCCTAGAGCCTGGGAGTTTCCACTGAATCCTCTGCCTCCAGCAGGGAGGCAAGGGAGGAGAAAGGGAGTGGAGAAGGCACCTCCACTCTTAATTGCCTTGGCTGCAGGGGATGCCATCATTTCTGCTTACTTTCTGCTGGCTTACATTCCCTAGGGTTCTGTCCAGACAAAAGCAGGCCTGGGAAACATGGGCGCCCAGGAAGAAGAGGAAATGGGTTTGGGGAGCACATAGCATTGTCTCTGACACATGGATATGCAAACATACACAGAAATATACAGAAGGTGAAATAGCTCTTTCCTTAATATCCCCGTAATCCAATAAGTGAAATGGGAAATACAAACTGTCAGAATGTAGGGAATATGTCAACAATAGAACTAATGAGAAGAAAAATGATAGATTTAGAGAACAGAGACCCAACATATGGTTAATTGGGGATCCTGCAGGAGACGCTAGAATACAGAATCATCGGGGAGAGGAGTGGACAGTCGAACAACATCTCTCCTATTTTTGCCATCCTGTTCTTAACACCCTATCATGGCCTGAGCCTCACTGCTCAGCTTTTGAGATGTCTCCACATGGAGATTCCGGAGGCCAGCAGTTCCCCATGTGAGCCTTTAGACCTCCCACCCTTAACATACTCCCTCTGCTTCCCACCATCTCCTCTCTCTGGGCCTACTAACTTTCCTCCTTCCCCTCCTCCACACCAGCACTCCCGAGTCTTGTTTCAGTTTTGAACGTTCACAGCTTCCCCAGTCTGGAGAGGGGAGGGATAGTGCAGGATTACCCTCCAGTTTAGATGCAAAGTGTTCCTATTTTCTCTTATGCCCAAACAGTGGGGGGAAATGCCCAGTAAAAAAAACCCCACAAAACAATTTCAACCTTAATTTGCCAAATGAGCATTTATTCCCACCTCTTATCTTATGGCTTAGGATATGGTTTATTCTATTAGACAAAAAAGGATACATACCCAATAGCTGTTTCCTTGATTTCTTGGTGGGGGGTGGTTGGGGATGGGGACAAGACAATCCTGTCACATGATCCAGTGAGTTACACTTCACCTTCCTATTGAAGGACAGATGCTCTCAGATTGGGCCAAAGAGCAGAATCAACTGTTTCATGTTTGAATTTGATTGAGGTGAAACTTTTCAAAATATAGCTCCACTGACTTGCCTGAAGGCCAAAGGCAGGCAAGGTGACTGCTTAAAAGTATCTGTGACTGGATTCCAGGACAGCCTGAGGTGGAACAGTGAATCAGGACAGTCAGCTCAATTAGACAGCCTTTTTGATGGGCTTTTATCTGCATAGTTTCCAAGTTTGACCTTTTTACTGAAGGCACTGAGTGTGGGAAGACTGAGCCCAGCCATCCTGCTAGCTCAGCACTGTCTCTCCATCACCAGGGCTTCCCCAACAACCCTTTCTTCCCTTTCATGAAGGCATGAGGTCCACATGGTTTTGTGATCAGTGGCAGAGGCTGCTGATGAGTGGGTTAAAGCCCAGTGCTGGAGCCTTGAGGTTAGGACCCCCTGGTGACCTTCATGAACCTATACCAGAGCACTGTACCCCAGTATTGTAATCGTCTCTCTAGAGCCGCCTCCCATGCCCCTGTCCTGGGCCTTTTGAGAAATGGGATTACGATTGCATCCCTTCACATCCCCAGTGGTGAGCCAGGTCCTGACCCATGGCAGATATTTTAGTGGAAGGATTGTATTGAGTCCAGATGAAGCAAGTCTCATAGGTGGCTGTACCCACACTGCAGTGACTGGCAGCCCTGGGAGTGCAGGTGGGTGACCCACCACCAGCTGTCACCACTGCAGCCCACCTGTCCTCTTGAGGGGCCAGCAGGATCTTCTTTACCTAAAAGCTAAGTTCACTTTGTCAGAGTGAGTACCAGAGGTGCCTACTCTCTTCCTTGCCTCCTAATCCCCATTTCTGTGCTGGGGAAGAGCTTGGTTCTGAGCCCCGCATGCCAGAAATAGGAAGTAGAATCATCCTTTCTGGTGCTGGCCAAGTCCTCAAGGCTTCTGCCAGGAATATAGAAATTGGGCTCTGGCCACTTGCTGATGTCCATTCCCCCACCTCCTACCAGGCCCCTGGCATCTGCTCCCCTTTGTTCGAATGAGGGGCAGAAAGTGTGGTGAAGTAACAGGAGAACAGGCTCTGGAACTAGAGGGGTTCAAACCCAGGTTCTGCCTTTCACCAGCTCTGTGGCCTGAATCAAGTCACCCAGGTTCCTGCAGCCTCAATTTCCTCTCCCGAAAAACCAGGATGCTGGGTCCTTCACTGCAGGGCTGGGCATAGCACTGGGCACTTATTGGAGTTTCACAGCTTTTGTTGATTGAATAATGTCTTTCTTCAGGATCTAACTCAGGACCTTGGTCCTCATTATGTGCACCCAAGGTTTCCAGTCTCCCTTCCCAACAAGCATTAAACACATTCATTTCTGATCACCTCAGCATTCATTGTTGGGGCCCTGTAGTGTGTTGCCCTTAACAGTTAATTACATATCTGCATATATGTGCATGTATCTATGTATGTTTCACTTGCATGCAAGTTTTTCAGGAATACGAACATGACTGTGGGCCTCTAGCAGGCAGGGCCATGTCTCATTTCTCCCAGCCATCTTCCCTCTCACATCCAGTTCTAGTTCTTGCTCACTCCCGGGCACCAACAGATACTTGACAAATAACTGTTTATTTAGTTAGAGGGTATGGGAATGATTCCAAGTCTGTAAGAAAGAATACTCAGTCCATTCATGCCACAACAATCCAATTCCTGGATAGAAGAACAGAAAAACGTTGCCTACCAACTATTAGGTTTGAGGTCGTTTGCTGGAGGACTTTTAAAATTCACTGGACTTCACTAGGAATGTTTGCACCAGGGATGCCCAGAAATAAGTACTTATGGGGTCTGCAGCAGTGAAGGAGTTAAAGGATTCTTCCAACTAAGGGGGTGTCTGGAGATGGACATAGACTTTACCATCGCTGTCCTGCCTCTTTCTCTCTTTCTTCTTTTCAACTATTTTTGGCTTAAATGATCACAGCAGTTAATACCTAATCTAGAACTTTGTAAAATTCAGAAGCATTTGAAAAAATGATGATAAGCTTTCCCCATAATCCCACCCACCAGAGGCATGAGCCTTCTCTTTATCTGAACACATCAGGCAGGGTGCGGTCCAGTCCCTTATTCAACTGTCTTCATTTATTCTGTAAAAGTAGCAGCAGCTCAGCCCTGACCATCTCCTCTCTCACTTGTGGGAGTCTCATTTAGGGATCGGTAAGTCTGGCTTCTGACTTCTAGCCTAAGTCCTGGAGCAAATGCTATGCCGTCCTTGTGGGGAGCTGATCCGTGGGGCCGGGGCCTGGGGCTTTCAGAGGCCAGGACTGCTGAGGGACCCATGGCCATGGCTGTTGGGGAGCACCTGGGAAGTGGCAGCTTGCGTCTTTCCACTTTGAGCTCTGGGTGCTGAGCCACACAGACTGTCTGTTCCTGTCTGGAGACTCCCCCACTGAAGTGGCAGGAGATGGCGCCTGCCTCTGCTTAGGGCACATGAAGCTTAAGCCGATTTTAACAAAAAGTCAGACAACTCGGGCATCTATTACTCCCCTTGTAGACCTTTTGTTTCTCTTATAGCCACAAGGAACGATCCATAGAAATGTGATTTCATACTCCAGTGGTTACATGTACTTGGTCTTCAGTGGGACAGGGAAGAAGATGCTTGGTGACAGGAAGCGTGTCTCATGATGTGTAGTCTCCAGCTGCCCTCCTACCAGGGCGAATCCCAAGCAGGGACTCTGCTGAGGGGCTGCAGAGGTGTGAGGAAGTGAGCTTGCCAGGCCTAGAGGGAGCTCCTGGGTTCCTCTGTGCAGAGAGGAGGGTCCCAGCTGAGGGAGGTGAGGGGGTGCTCAAGGGAGGAGGTGAGAGAGACAGAGAAGAGAGCAGGGCTGAACATGGGAGAGCCAAGGAGGTTGTTGTGTGTGATGCATGGTATGTAATATTACCTTCCTCTCTGTCTCCCCATAATTAATGTCGGATTTGTTAATGTAAGAGTTGCAATCTGTTGCTGGGTTCTGTCTCAAATTAGGCAAGAAGGGTGGCTGAGGGGCCAGCCACTCAGTTATATACCAAGACAAGAGGTGATTTGGGCACTGAGGCACCTGCCATGCACTCCTCCATGAACACTCAGCACCTTACCCTTCAGGGTCTGTCTCCTCACACTGTACCGTGAGCTCCCCTCAGTCCTCACTTGCTGCTGGGACCTCAGGGCTGGACAGGGCTGCTTCATTAAGCTGGCCCAGCTCTTCCCAATTTACCTTCAACTAACATTTGTTCAGCACCTAACTGGCACCAGGCCCTATGGCAACAGGGAGGATAGAGAAACGCAGAGACACAGGCCGCCTGCCAGGAGCTCACGGTAATAGATTGTTGCTGCCAGGCTGCAAGTGGAATGGAAGAGGCAAGTAAAAGTGATGTGAAAGCCCAGGGCGGGGGTGTAGGGGGCAGGCTGCCAGAGGAGAGGACACATGAAATGCAGGGAGGAGGTGAAGAGAGGAGGGTGTTCCTGGCAGACTCCAGCCCCAACCAAGAATCTGCTTTGTGCCTCTTGGGTCCTGGGAATAGCCCCTGGAGAGCAGGGCAAATGCAGAGAGGTCAGGGGGCTGGGAATAGAGGTGTCATCTGAGTCTCAGCCTCATCCTACAGGGTAGCTGTCCTCAAGGAGAAGGGGCTGGCAGAGAGAAAAACGCACAGCTCCCAGCTGGGCATCGATGGGCTTGGATTGTTAACATGGGGTGTGCATTTGGTTTGACAAAGCCCATTTGGATTTAACACTTTATATTTGGAAAATGTGAAAAGTATACCTGCCATTTTGGTAATAAAGGCTAAATTTGACTAGGTTTTGGTTGGAAAAGCAGGGCTTTAAAAAGAAAAAAAAAGGTTAAGGAACACGGCCACTAGAGACAGAGATGGATTTTTAGCAGGGCAGTGACAGGCATGGGCCAGGAAGGACTGTGGACCAGAGATCATTAAAGGATGGAGAGATGGAGGCATGATTCAGGGCCTGGCGCTGCGGGTGGAGAGATATTTAGGACATAAAACCAGAGACCTCAGTGACCAATTAAATGTGCAGGGCAAAAAGAGGGAGTCAAGGTGGGATCCCATGGTGGGATGCCTGGTTGGTAGGGGGCAGAGAGGAGGGGGCTGGGGAGGCTGCGGTGTGTGGTGAGCAGGAGTGATGGTCCATTTGCAGGTTGATTTTTAACGAGGCTGCAGGACACAGGAATAGGCAAAGGCCCCTGAGTGTTTTAATGTCCGGGTTCACAGTTCAGAGGGCAGCCAACAAGGACTAGAATGTACTGCCCTAACTCCTGCCGCCTCACAGCCCAGCTTGACTGCACACCAAGAGCAGGGGGCAGGTGGCTCTGAGGGGCTGTGCCTCTGGTGCTTTCTGAACCACCCAGGGGGTGTCAGGCATCTGTTTTCACTACATGGGGCACCATGGCTCACACTGTCCCTTGCATCTCTGCTCTGCCTGAGGGATGTGGGGGCTGGAAGCTGGAGAGAGCTAGGTTCTCAACGCATGTGCTAGGAAGCTGAAGTCTGCACAAGAGGTGATGCTGTGCTTGGTACAGCAGCTTCAGCAGGCTCAGAGGGTTCTGTCTGGCCAGGATTATCTAAACTCCCCCAGGATGGCAGCCCTGCTCTAGGTGCTGGGGCCTCTCTAGAGCAGCCCTGGCATTAGGCCTCTTTCTCTTCCCTTCTCTCATTAAAACTTGCTGATCTGGTGCCTGTCCTGCCTGCTCAGCCCAACTCCCCAATCAGAGATTTGACAGTTTCATTGCCACAGGACAATGGTTTCTAGCTAATACAATTGCCTCAAATACCTCTCAGGACTATTTTCATTTTAATTAGGGCGTAACACCATAACCCAAGGAATGGTGCTCTGGTGGGGAATTTCAGCAGCAATGGGGGTTGGGGTGGGAATTATTTTGTTCACTGTATATTTACATTGGGGGTCAATGTTTGCTTTCTTACAAGAATGGTGCAGGCTACTTCTAGGGGCAAAGGATGAATTCTATTAGCACACACAAAAAATAGCTGAGATTCTGAAAATTCAAATCTTAGCAGGTTGTGGCCACAGGGCAGCCTCAGACCTTCTGGGGAAGGAGAGGAAGCTGGTGTTTGAGGCTGCAAGATTGGTTCTTAGGGAGGGCAGTGGAGATACATCAGCAAACCCCACCCTGAGGCCAGCCCTGGAAGGGAGGCCATTGGAGAAAGGCAGCATCAAGTGGTGGCTAGGACCCTGTTCTAGCTAAAAATAGAACCTCTGGGAGAAGGAGCTCAGCCGGCACTGGATGTGCAGAGCACAGTCTCATTCTTAGAAGCAACCTGTTCCTAAGTAGATGGGCGAGCATCAGGACTGGGCTCAGGGACCATCTGGCACTGAAACACTGAGCCCCAGGCCCCCTGGCTGGATTGAGGAGGAGGCTGAGCCTTAGTGGGTGTGCAGGTATCCTGGATTCCCACAGGCACATTGTACCTACCAAGATGAGTTCTCCTTGTCCCTCATTGGTGGGACGAGTCTCTTCGAATGCCTCCACTCTGGACAGCATTGGGTCAGGGATGAAGTGAGCTGCCAGTGAGCCAGAGCCATGGGCAGGTGGCGGTAGGGTGGGGGTACTCAGGGATGCTGCCAGCCCTGGGTGAGACAGCCCCCAGCAGCTCTGGGTCAGAACAACAGGATGTCCAAGTGAAAATGGAAAATGATCACTTGTCATTACTTGTCTTTATTCTTAAACATTTTGACAATTAATGCTTTGAAGACCTTGATTCCTAGGAGTTTTGGAGTAGTAACTCACCCTAGTTTGTAAGGTATTAACAACTTTATATTCCTCCTTCAGTAGTACTTTAGGACCTTTTATCCAGGTATTAGCTGGGGCCTTTCTTCCCCTTGAACTCTGGGTGAAATGGCCTTGAATTCACCCATGGACAGCCTGTGCAAATCTAAAACTCTCCCATTTTCCTGGGATGCGATATTCTTCAGGCTGCTTCTGCGTCTTGGGCTGCATCCAAACATCACTCACATTAGCATCTGTGAGTTTAGCAGCTGTTAGTGAAGTGTTTTGGGGGTCTCAGGAAGGGAGATCCTCCCAGCCCAGCAACTCGCCACCACGTCTGGGCTCGTGCAGGAGTTCCACATTCTGCGCCCTCCACCAGGCCAGGGCAACCGCTTTCCCTGGAGGCCTTGCCAGCCAGCACTCAGCAAAGAAATTCTCCAATTCTTCTCTTTAAAAGGAATTTTGATCCCAATTGTAAAGATAATGCAGCTTTCTTTACCTTTTTTCTTTTGAGACAGAGTCTCACTCCCTCCCCCAGGCTGGAGTGCAGTGGCGCGATCTTGGCTCACTGCAACCTCCACCTCCCGGATTCAAGCAATTCTCCTGCCTCAGCCTCCAGAGTAGCTGGGACTACAGGCACCCACCACCACGCCCAGCTAATTTTTGTATTTTTAGTAGAGATGGGGTTTCACCATATTGGCCTGGATGGTCCCGATCTCTTGACCTCGTGATCCCCCCACCTTGGCCTCCCAAAGTGCTGGGATTACAGACATGAGCCACTGTGCCTGGCCTCTTTACCTTTTTAAAGGCATAATTTGCTTTTAAAATAAAAATTCATTTCAAGTTCATTTTAAGGAATTTCCCAGAAGCTCTTATAAATCAGGTGAAGAGTCATGGTGGTGCAGGCCCTGACACTTGTCGTGTTTGTGTTTTGCAGTTTCCACCTGGATGTTTGAGGTTGTGTAGATGTGGCCGGCACCCTTGAGAGTGGAGCTAGGGGGTGCAGACTGAGCAGTGAACAGAAGGAGCCTTGGACAGGGCTGGGCCAGCCTCCCGGTAAGTAAGCAGTAGTTTCTGGTGGTGACGGGGGTGATGCACACTTTTTGGCTGGGCCCATCACGTGAGGTACAGACAAGGCCCTTTGCATGAGGATGAGCTTCCAGACACTCAGGTCATTGCTATGAAGTCCCCTTATCCTGCTGACTCAAGACCTACCATAGAATCTGAAGGACCTTAGAAGTCACTAGTCCACCACCTGCCCGTGGTTCAGCAAGGACAGAAGCCCCTTTACAGCATCCTGTGCTCACTCTGACTCCCAGCAGGGAGAACTCCCCACCTGACAAGGCAGCCTGTTCCACCTTCCCATTACTGAGCAGCTCTTGCCCTTAGGAAGTTCTCCCCCATGCCCTCAGCTGCAATCTGCCTGTATGTAACAACCACCTGGTTTCCTAGTTCTGGCCTCTGAGGTTCTAGAGAACCAGCCTAATTCTTCTTCCACATGGCAGCCCAGCAGATGTTCTGGGACAGAATGATGGAGTGGAGAACTGCAGGATGTGGGGCTAGAGACAAACCTGGTTGAAATCATGATTCCACTGTTATCTGTGTGACCTTGAGCAAGTTTGTTAATCTCTTTGTGATTCAGTTTCTTTTTTTTTTTTTTTATTTATTTATTTTTTTTGAGACAGGGTCTCCCTCTTTCACCCAGGCTGGAGTGCAGTGGTGTGATCTCAGCTCACTGCAACCTCTGCCTCCCAGGTTCAAGCGATTCTCCTGCCTCAGCCTCCCAAGTAGCTGGGACTACAGGTGCACACCACCATGCCCGCCTAATTTTTGTATTTTTAATAGAGACAGGGTTTCACCATGTTGGCCAGGCTGGTCTTGAACTCCTGACTTCAGGTGATCCATCCGCCTCGGCCTCCCAAAGTGCTGGGATTACAGACATGAGCCACTGCACCCAGCCTATCTTTATTTTGTTCAAGTAAAACTGGAACAATAATATCGACCTCATAGATTGGTCCTGGGGGCGAAAATACATCATGAATAAAAGTTGCCTGGTAATATTATGTCACCAATTCCCTGTCATCAGTTGGCTGTCCTACAATTCAATTCAATTCTGACATGAACTACCCTAAGTTGAAGGGCACACAAGCTAACTACTACAAGATAAAGGACAAGGTCACCAATATGACCATCCCCACCTCAGGCACCAGCCACAACTGGGGTCCCCAGGTCACCCATGCTTCCAACTGACTTGGCTATAAATTTAGGAGTTCCCATGACCCCTCTTCAGGTTCAATAATTCATTAGAATGAGTCACAGAACTCACCGAAAGTATGGTACTTGCAATCATATTTCAAAGGGTCCAACTCTGGAACACCCACATGGAAGAGATGCATCCATAGGTCAGAGTGTAAGGTGGGGCGCACAGAGCTTCCGTGCTCTCTCCTGTGGAATCCAGGCCCATAACTCTCCCAGCACATCAATGTGTTCACCAACTAGGAAGTTCCCCCACACCTTGCTGTCCAGAGTTTTTTTTAAAAATCAAGGGGCATTTGTTACACCTTGCTGTCCAGAGTTTTTTTAAAAATCAAGGGGCATTTGTTACAGAGGCATGAGTGGTTAAATCATTTGCCACTTGTCTGGACTCAATCTCTAGCCCCTCTCCCCACTTTGGAAGTGGCGGGATTGGTGGGGGGTGGAGCTGCTGCTACAGGCTTCTAATCATGTGCTTGGGTTTTCTGGGGTGGCTAGACCCTTCCTTGAAACCAAGGGCCTATCATAGGTCACCTTATTAGTATAAACTCAGGTTCAGTTGAAAGAGGCTCATGATGAATAACAAAAGACATTCCTACTGTCTTTTGGGCATTTTAGGAATTCCAAAGGTTTTTGAAACTCTGTGCCAGGAACCAGGGACAAAGATGACATATAGTCTTTCTTATATCATACCTGGCTCATCACACGCTGGTCTCCTCTGATCTTCAGCATCCTGGTGAGCTTCTTTTTTGTGATATCGAGGTTGACCTGTTCCCATTATCTGGTTGGGAAACTGGGCATTCTCAGTCTTTTTCTGGATGTTCTTCTTTTTGTCGATGTAGCTCAAGATTGAATTAGTTTTTTAGACTAAAACACATAATTACAGTTATTTAGTGTGCACCTGTTTATAATTGAATCACAAGCCTCTCATTACTTGAATTCCTAATGCTAAGATGACTTAAGCCCCTCAATCACACATGATAAGAGTAAATAGTTAATAGCACTTGCTATATACCAAGCCCTGTTTTAAATACTCCACATACATTAACTTCACTAATCCTCACAAGTACGTTTCAAGGTAGTTAATTTACTACAGTCCCCATTTTATATGTGGGGAAACGGAGGCACAGAGCAGTTAACTAGCTCAAGATTACACAGATAATAAGTGGCACAGCTGAGATTTGAACCCAGGTAGTCTTGTTCCAGAGTCTGTGCTTTTAATCGCTAAGCCATTCTGCACATAACTTTTTGGAGACAGAAGGAAGGAGCACAAGAGGATGCCTGTGATTCACAAAGCCAAAGGGTTGGCTCAGGCCCCTGCTGTGATGGTGATGGAGTCAGGGCTTCCATGTCCTACACCACCCCCATCGGAGTACCTCTGGAGCAACCCTCTGGGGCAGGGCTCTAAGAAGGGAAGGCAGGCCCTGGGGCATAGCGGTGTGAGCTCCTGTCCATCAGGCCCAGAGCTTCTTGGTTCTTTGTACTTCAGGGAGGGCAGAGCTACTTCACAGCCTTCACAGATCAGTTACTGGGGAATGCAACCACTCCATGGGGAAGGGGAGAGGGTCAACCTTTTCCTGCCTGGAAGGCTCAGTACAAGGCTGTGCTGGCCAAAATGATCCCAGTCCCAGAGAAGCTGAGAGTTCAGTTGGCTTAGAGCCTGGAGTCCTAGGGAGCACAGGGGGCTCACATGCCTATGCTCACATCCAGTGTACTCACTGGGGAAGGGGAGTTGCTTGTTGCTGTTTTAAAAATAATATAAAAGGTTCAGGGCTTTGAAAGTGCCAAAGAGAATTAATTTACTATGATGAGTCACTAAACAGAGAAGGAGTGGGGTTCGATGAGGTGATGTCTCTGGAAGAATTTTGTTCTGCCGTGCTGCCTGCCCAGAAGAATCTGAGTGGGGGCCACATGTCTGTGTGGCTCTGATGCAGTTCTATTATGTTTGACTTTGTCATCCCTTCTTATCCTCAAGGTCCAGGGATGAGGTTGGGTGTGAGCATGATAGAGGTGAAATATTCTTAACTAACGCCATGCACGTGGGACTGACTGGAATCCACAAGGCCAATGTGTGTTCTTTGCAGATGTTTCTCTTTTGGCATCTGACTTGTGGGAGAGGCTCTGGGGGAAAGCGGGAAGATCTCTTGCTCCAGGAAACCCAGATCCTCCATGCTTCCGCCTTTATTACACGAATGTATCTGTCTCCAACTCAGATAAATCATAGAGTGTCAGAGCTAGAAGGGACCCCAGAGGTCATTTGGTTCATTTTCTGATTTAGAGCTGGGCAAAGTGAGACCCAGAGAGAGGCAATGACTTGCCCAAGCCCATGCAGCTACTGAGTGACAGATAGGGGCAAGATTGCAGGTCCCTGACTTCTAGTCTAGAGCTCAGTCCACCAGCAACATCCCTGACTCACTCTTTTTCCATTCAGATGAAAGGAAAGGGTCTGGATTTAAATGTTGCCAAGTATGACCACAACCATTCTAGCAGCCTGCCAAATCTGTTTCAAAATCTTTCTTTACAGAATCTTTTTTTTTTTTTTTGGCTCCCACTCCCAGCAGACCCCTTCCCCTACCTCCGACCCTTCATCTCCGTCCCCTATTATCAAATATTTTGTCAACACCGCTGGTAAGTGTGGTGCTGGTTGGGGGAGATCAGGTAAGGGCTTTCATAAGAAGATGACTAACTAGTGGAATGATTAAGATCATAGGTCCTGGTTTGGCAGCTTTGCAGAAGTGGGCCATGGTGGCATTTGGAGCACTCCCACTGCCTGTTAAAAGAAAAATTTTAGATGAATTAAACTTAACAGAGTTTGAGCAAAGCATGATTCAGGAACTTGGGAGCCCTCAGAATCAGAATGGTTTCTGAGTGACTCTGAGGCTGCCACATGATTGGATACATTTATGGACAGAAAAAGGAAAGTGACCTACAGAAAATGGAAGTGAGATACAGAAATGACTGGATTGGTTACAGCTTTGTATTTGCTTTATTGGAATAGTGTTTGAATAGTTGGCTACCTGTGATTGGTGGAAGCTCAGCTGCTGTGGTTGGCTGAGACTCAGCTACTTGTCACAAGAGTAGGTTACAGTCTATTACACATCAAGTTGGGTTACAGTTTATTATACGTGGAAAAGCCCTTAGGCCACACTTAAAATATGTAAGGAGGCAGCTTTAGGCCAAACTTAATGTAACATGTCCCAGGCCAAGTGTATGATAGCAGATGGTGGTTTGAACGAGGGGAGGGGCCTAGACAGCTATGGGACTTGGCCTGTGATGTGAGAGTCAGATTATGTGAGGTTTTGTGCCATCTTATGTCAGACTTGCTAGAAATGGCCAACACCTGGAATGGATGCCTTCCATTACATGTTGCAACCATTAACATCTAAACTATGGATATTTCAACCGAGGCTGCTCACTAGGGATTAGGGAGCTTTTGAAAAATCCTGATGTCCAGGTCATACCTCAGACTAATTATATTAGAATATCTGGCATCAGTACTTTTTAAAGTTCCCAGGTGATGCTATTGTGCACCCAAGGTTGAGAACCACTGCTCTAGGCTGAGGGCTCAGGCCATCAGCTGACCCTTGAGGAACTCTGTCCATGCGCCTTCCCTTGAACGAACTGTTTGCCTTTCCCCTAGAGGAAGAATGCAAACAAGAACAACAGGAAACCATCTGTGTATTCTGGGCTGATGGGATGGCCTTCCACTGTCCTCCAAGCTTATCTATGGCATCATTCTCCCCTCACCCCACCCAGAGAGACTGCAAAGGTAGTGTGTGGAGTTCTGGTAGAATGTGGAAGAAGAGGTTACAGGCAGCTCAGGGACAACAAGAATATGCTCTACTGGACATCAGCAAAGCCTCCTTTGTAATGAGCTTCTGACCAGAATCAAGGGTAGGCTGGGGCCAACAGGACTGCTGGAGCAAGGCCGGAGGGAGCCAGGACTGGCCAGCCACAGGCAAAGGGCAGATCAGGACCTGGGAGGCCAGGAGTCTTCTCCCAAAGAACAAGAGAGCATTCCATCTCCTCATGGAATGGGAGCCCATGGAGGTAAAGCAAGGGAGTGGCAGGTTATGGATGAGAACCCAGGTGTCCTGGTCCCTTGTAATGCTCTTTTATTTGTATCTTCACATATATGTTAAAAAGCTAATTATTGTTCAGCCAAAGTACATGCTGCCTTCTGCTGAGAAGAGAATCAGCCAGCAGGGAGAAGGCCAACGCTCTGTAAGGCCACCCTGGGTGTTGAAGGGGCAGAGCACCGATTTGAAGGCCTTGCAGTGCCGACACAGGAAAGGAGACGGGCTTCGCAAATTCCCACTGCCGGGAAGTGAAGCCCGGAACTGCAGGCTTACTCTTCAGAAGGGCTCCAAGATAGCAACAGAAAACATTTCTTCATTCATCATTCACACATTTTAAAAAGTATTCTTGATTAGAAAAAATCCACAGGTTTCCCCCAGCTTGACTTTCCAGAGGCTGTCGTGGTCCTTGCTCCAGGGAGCAGGTTTACACGCAGCACGTGGGGCTCTGGCAGCCGGGCAGCATGGCACCCTGCAAACCATATTTAGTTGTTGTTTCTCAACATGAGTTGAATGGGATTGGAGAGAAAATAATTTTCCATTAATAAAGTTGCACACCTCTTTTTAAACTTGGAATAAGAATCTGATTCTGCATTAAAACAAGTTTCAGAAAAACAGATTCACCAATAAATTCCTTTCCAGGGGCCAGAGCGAAGTTTAAGTTGTAAAGAAAAGCATTGGGCAAAGCGCTTCCCACGTTTCAGTAGTTCCTGTGCTCTTTTAGTAGTAGTCTTAGTAGGCCCTGTTTAATAGTAGTATTCTTTTGTGAATTTCCCACCATAATTTTTTTTTCTTTTTAGTTCTGTGATACGTGTGCAGGATGTGCAGGTTTGTTACATAGGTAAATGTGTGCCATGGTGGTTTGCTGCGCCTATCAACCCATTACCTAGGTGTTAAGCCCAGCATGCATTAGCTATTTCCACCATAATTTTTGAGGGGCCTTATTAGAGGGTTTCCATTTTAGATGAAGTACTGATTTCCAGTAAGTAGCTTACCACTGCATAGGTGTGCATCACAGAAATGCTCAACAAGGTCTGCAGGTCATGTTTCCATTCGGGGAACTCTCTACTCCAAGCCAAGTGTGACCATTTAAGGGCTGGCTAGTTGGGGAAGGGAGTGGACACCTGAACCCATGTTTTTACTTAGTCTCATGGCACAGCAGCGCCCCTATAGATGGGTATATGGGGCCGCTGCTGGCGTCCTGCCCTCCTCCCCAGGCTCTGCCTCTACCATCCTAGGAACAGCCGTACCCCACTGAGAATCCAACTGAACCTAGCCCTGTGCTCTGAGAAACGTGTACCCCGATGGGGAGCACCAACCTGACCGCATACCCTCTCCCCTTCTCTGTAGAGTTCCAGGAGCGAATTGCAAACCCACCGGGAAAATGAGCGAAGAGACGGTCCCCGAGGCTGCCTCGCCGCCGCCCCCGCAGGGGCAGCCTTACTTTGACCGCTTCTCAGAGGACGACCCCGAGTACATGCGCCTTCGCAACCGGGCGGCGGACCTGCGGCAGGACTTCAACCTGATGGAGCAGAAGAAGCGCGTCACCATGATCCTGCAGAGTCCCGTGAGTGGGGCTGACCCGGGCGGGAGAGGGCGCAGGGGGCGCTGGCTCTTCAGGACGTGTACCCACCCGAAAGATGAGTAACTCCTCTTTCCCTTGCTCAGGGTCAGTAGAAATGTAAGCCCACTGAGCAAGACGGATCTGGTCACCTGGGGCCTTGACACTCTCCCTTGTAACTGGTGGATGGCAGAACCTGGCTTGTGTGTGGCAGTTTGGCTTGGTGCGGGGGGAGGTGGGACGGAGACAGGAGTCCCCCTCAGTTTCCTGTGCCCCTTCGGAGCCTCAGTTCCCAGTCTTCCCTCCTCACCAAAAGCTATGACAGTGAACGGACAAATCCATGTAAACTAGAGACCAGCAGGGTGCCAGGAGGAGGGCTTGGGGCTCCCTTTACTGAACACCACAAAGTAAGAACTTTCTGTCGGGACAAATGAAGCTTTGACATGAATGGGATGGGGCTGAGGAGAGCCTGGAAGCCCCAGGAGGTGGGCAGAGTGGAGGGCTCAGCCGGGCTGTGGGATGGGGTGTGGGAAGGGAAGGCAAGTCGGGATCACTCACATCCCTCCTTACTTGGGGCCAGTTGGTTCCTGCCTGGCATGGACACAGCTCCTCCTTGAGGCAGGTAGTGCCTTGAGAAGGCCGAAGGGTGGGCCCTGTGGACCACTGAAGGCAGAGGGAGATCACTGTGGTGGAGGCAAGAGGGGTCTGACTGAGGAAGAGCTTGGGGGGCCTCAGGAATCAGCCCATGATCCTAAGGATCGGGAAGCCCAGGGACAGAGTTGGCATCTCCAATTGCTTGCCAGGATGGGCTCGAGATGGGAGCCGCTCTGCCTTGGCCTTCTGGGCTCCAGAGAGCCAGGGCCTGTGCAGGGGCTGTGTGAGACCCTGGCTGGGAGCCATGGTGCATACTCAGGCCACACAGAGCAGCTCCAGGGAATGGGCCGAGGTCCAATATCTGTGCCCAGATATTGTGTTGGGGAGCTGGGAGGAATATGGCAGATGCTGAAAGCATTGGGGTGAAGAGCCTCTGGGAAAACCCCCAGAGTGTGACTAGGAGGGGTGGCAAGGGGGTTAGGAGAGGCGGCAGAGTTAGCACCAGCCCAGATTTCAGGGCTCAGGCAGTAAATAGGGGTTGGAGGAGGGCCTGCTTCCTTCTTCCCTTTTACAGGTTGGCCAACACACCTAAGTGGCCCCCCATTTCCTCCTGAGTGTTTTCTCCTGCCACCTGGTGGGCAGGATTCCTTGCTTATGGCTTCATGGTCTGAAAAGCCAGGCTTAGAGTTGGACATCAGGAGTGGAAGTGACCTCAGAGGTCATCAAATCTTCCTGTTCTTCCTCCTACCCTTTCATTAAGCACATGAGGAAACTGAAGCCCGAAAGAATCACAGGCATCGCTAATGGAGAGGGATGGTGGCTCTCTCCATTCAGTTCTGCCTAAAAAAATGTCCTTCATTACTAAAGTGAAGTCCTACCATGTCTGATGGTGGGGAGGGGTCTTGGCCCTCATTTAGACACAGAAAGGACCTGGAATCTGGATTACTGCCCACAGGGCAAGGGAACACAAGATCCATTCCCAGCATTTCTTTGTTGCTTCCCATACAGCAATTCCTGAGGTCCTAGTGGAACTGCTCAGTGTCCCCTGTAGCTGGGGACCCTGAGCATGGCCCTGACCTAGCTGACCCAGGGGCAAGGGGTGGGCACTTGGAAGAGCTCATTGTTGGGCAGCTGTGTGAGAGGCTGTGGGGGGACAAGCACCTCGGGGCCTGCTTCAGTCTTTCAGGGAGGAGCTGGAAGGCCTCATCCAGGAGCAGATGAAGAAGGGGAACAACTCCTCCAACATCTGGGCCCTGCGACAGATCGCGGACTTCATGGCCAGCACCTCCCACGCAGTCTTCCCGACATCTTCCATGAGTATGTGGTGTCTGGGGAGCTGCCAGGAGCAGAGGTGGAGGGGAGGGTGGGGTGGGGAAGAGAGGGAGGAGCAGCAAGAAGCATCTGGTTGCCAGGCTATGGAGTAAGCAGCCCATTGTGTTATCAGGCCTTGGGGAGCTCAGCAGCAGCCAGAGAGGTACCTGGCTCTGCTTCTGATGTTGCTGCAAATTAAACGTCCACAGAAAAATTACCCCAATGCCAGGAATAAGAGGGTGGAGGTGACTTCAGTGGACGGGAAGAGACCACTGAAGCCTGTGTTTCCATGCCCCACTAGACAGGCCAACCTGACTCCACAGATGAGGGCTGAGAGGAGCCAGCCAGGGCTATGCAGGAAGCCACCCTCCTGGGCTGTTATGCTCTGCCCATAACGTTTAAAACACAAGCATCAAAAAATAACTCCCCCTCAATAAGATTATTACAGGATTATGGCTGAAAACTGTGAAAATAACCAAGAAAGGGAAGCAGAAATCATTCTACTGTGTTCTTAAAGCCCTCATATTACTATTCTTAATATTTTGGTGAACATATATCCTTCCAGTCCTTTTTTTCTTAACATATATAGATTATGCAAACACAAATGTAATCACATAAAATATGGTTCTATAATATAATTTTTGGTGGATACATGCTATTTAATAAATTTCCCATTGTTGGACTTTTAGGTTATTTCCAACTTTTTCTGTTAGGAACAATGCAATAAACATCCTTGTAAATAAACCTGAGATTATATCCGTGATTATTTTCTTAAGATAAATTACTAGTAGAATTGCTGAATTGAAGTACATGCATGCATGTTTTAAAGACTTTAATGCAGAATGGCAGATTACATCCTTTCTCCAAATGGATCCAATTTACGTTCCCAACAGTAATGCGGTAGAGTGCCCATTTCCTCTACCCTGGTCCATAGTGTATACTACCATTTGTTTCATCCTCCTGATTCAGTAGGTGACAAATAATACTTTATTTGTGTTTTAATGTGCATTTGTTTGACTACTGATGAGGTTGGATATATTAATGTATTTTCACATACATATTGGACATGATTTTCTTCCTTTCTCTCTCTCTTTCTCTTTCTCTCTTTCTCTTTCTTTCGTTTTCTTTTCTTCTTCCTTTCCTTTCCTTTTTCTTTTCTTTCTTTTCTTTTCTTCTTCCTTTCCTTTTTCTTTTCTTTCCTTTCTTTCACGCAGAATCTCACTCTGTTGCCCAGGCTAGAGTGTAGTGGTGCAATCTCAGCCCACTGCAACCTTCCAGGCTCAAGCAATCCTCCCACTTCAGCCTGCCAAGTAGCTGGGACCACGGGCACGCACCACATGCCTGGCTAATTTTTGTATTTTTTGTGGAGACAGGGTTTCACCATGTTGCCCAGGCTGGTTTGGCACTTCTGGGTTCAAGTGATCCACCCACCCCGGTCTCCCAAAGTGTTAGCATTACAGACGTGAGCCACCGTGCCCGCCCCTGACTTTCTTTTTATAGTAAATTGCCTTTTTACATCCTTTGCCTATTTTCCTATTAGTGTATTATTTTCTTATAGATTTTTACATTTTTATAAAGTAAAGCTGTTTCTCTATTATCTGTCAAATATATTGCTTTTTTTTTTTCCAGTTTCTCCTTTGTCTTTTAGTTTTGTCCATGGCATTTTTTTTGTCTTGTAGAATTCTTTAGTTTCTGTGTAGCGGAAACCATTGTAATTTTCCTTTGTGTGTTCTGCTTTTGATTGCATGCTTAGAAATACCTTTCCCATGTTTCATCATCTGATGGAACAAATACCCTTAATTATGCATTTGTCAATTTTCCTCAACTGTTTGTACAAGTTTATTCTTTACAATAACTTTAGGCCAGGCACAATGGTTCATGCCTGTAATCCCAGCACTTTGGGAGGCCAAAGCAGGTGGATCACCTGAGGTCAGGAGTTTGAGACCAGCCCGGCCAACATGGTGACACCCTGTCTCTACTAAAAATATAAAAATTAGCCAGGCATGGTGTTGCATGCCTGTAATCCCAGCTACTTGGGAGGCTGAGGTGGGAGAATTGTTTGAACCCTAGAGGTGGAGGTTGCAGTGAGCTGAGATTGCACCACTGCACTCCAGTCTGAGTGACAGAGCAAGATTCCATCTCAAAAAAGCAAAAACAAAAATCAAACTTTAGAATTATTTTATCAAGTCCCCCCATTGACCTTAAAAATTCCTTTTGGGATTTTGATTGGGATTACATTAAACGAATAAATTGATTTGGTGAAGAATTTATAAATTTATAATTTTATATTAGAATGTAAGCTCTGTAGGGGAAATTTGTAAGTTTGGTCCACTGCTATATCCTTTGATTTAGAATGTATCTGGCACATAGTAGGTACTTAAAGATATTTACATGAGTGAATTGTAAATCTTTTCAGAAATGAGATATGTCTTTTATTTATTTAAGTCTTCTTTCATATCCATCAGAGAAGTTTAGTAATTATTTTCATGTAGTTCTTACTAATTTCTTATGAAGTTTACTCTGAAATTTTTAAATAACTTTGTTATTTTAAGTGAATCTTTATCCATTCTATTTTCTTTCTGGTTATAGTTCTCATTTAAGATAAATTGTTAGATATATATATACATATAAGTGTGTGTGTGCATGTGTGTATACACTAGCCCCTTATTGAACTCTTATTTAAATTTTAATATCATCTCAGTTAATTCTTTTGGGTATTGTATATACAAAAATCACATAATCTGCAAATCATGATCATTTTGCTTCCTTCATTTCAACATTTACCCATTGGTTTATTTTTCCAGTTTTCTCATTGCATCTGTTAGAACTTTCAGAACAATGTTTAATAATAGATTAATTATCCTTGTCTTATTTCTGACTTTAATGGAAGTTGTTTTACCACAAGAGTTTGAGACAATTATTTTTTATCGTGTTGAGGAAATATCTTTTTATTCTAGTTCACTATGAGTTTTTCTCAGGAATGGATGTTGAATGTCATAAAATACATTTTGGCCATTTATTGGTTTTTTTTTCCCTTGAACTATTGAGGTGATGAGTTTTAGTAACAGATTTCTGAGTATTGAACTCCTTTTTCATTACTGAAATAAATCATTCTTGGTCTTGATGCATTCTTTTAAAAATACCCTTCTGGATTTGATTTTCCAGAATTTTATTAAAGATTTTTGCATTCATATTCACACATGAGATTGGTTAGCAGTTCACTTTTTGGGCAGTCTTTACCTAGTATTGATACCATGACTGTAATTTCATAACATGAATCAAGGTGATTTCTCTCTCTTTTTTACCCTGATATAGTTTAAATAAGATAGGAAATCTCTGTTCCTTGAGATTTATTATTCACTTAGAATGTCATCTAGATCTGGAATATTTTTAGGGATTTTTGATGTTTTTGTCCTCAGTTTCATCTGGGGTTTTAAAATTTATTTTGCTGCTTCTTGGTTAAATTTTCGTCATATATTTTGTGTAAAATAAACCATTTTATGGAGTTTTTCAAAATTATGAGTCATTTACAATATTATTTTTATCATTCAAATTTCCTGCTAAAGTAGATGAGATAACATCCCATTCTCATTCCTGGTGCTATGTAAATTTTTGCTTTCTCTTTATTGACCAATCTAGATATTTGTTTATTCATAGATCATCTCACATAAGCCAATTCTTGGATTTACTTATTGGTCCTGTTATTCTTTCTGCTTCCTGATTCATTAGTTTTATTTCTATATTCATTAATCCTTTTCCATAACTTTTCTATTTTGTTATTTATGTATTTTCTAGAGCAGCATAAAATGTATTTATTTTTATACTGAATTCAATAATAAAGACATTTAAGGCTATAAATTTTTTTCTATGAGTATATGTTTGGCCTTATCTCAGGAATTTGACACATAGTAATTATTTTATTGTTAATTTCTAAATAGCTTGCAGTTGCTGTTTGGACTTTATTTTTCTTCTAAGAGCTATCTAGGAGTGTTTTCTTATTTCCAAGTGGTTGAATGCTTAGTCTTTTAAAGGTTTGCTAATAGCATTGGATTTTATTGCATTATGTTTAGAAAATATGGCCTATTTAATTTCTGTGTTGGAGATATATTCAGGTATTCTCTGTGACCTAATAATATCATTTAAAAATGATAATGGGTATATACCATCTCTATAGCATGGTATTTAATCTATATTTTTGTCTTAATTTGATTTTGTAAACAATTTTCTCCCATTACATTTGATTTCTGTTCATTTCTCTTGGTATTTATGATAGTTTTTGCTTTCTATGTCTTGAAATATTCACGGCATAAGCATGACTGATAGTTATAGCTTCATTATTGATTGCACCTTTAATTCATATAAAATGACCTATTAAATAGCTTCTTTGTATAAGAGAATATTGTTTTGCCCAACTTCTATTTTGATAATAATGTGATGACCTCTGCGTAGTTTTTGTTTATATTTGCCTGGTGTATTTTTGATCTTCCTTTTATTTTTACCTTTTTGGAGCCACTTTATTTTAGTGGGGTTTTTTTTGTTTTGTTTTTGAGACAGGATCTTGCCCTGTCTCCTAGGCTGGAGAGCAATGGTGCAAACACAGCTCACTGCAGCCTCAACCTCCTGGGCTCAAGTGATCTTTCTGCCTCAGCCTCCCAAGTAGCTGGGACTACAGGCATGTGCCACCATGCCTGGGCAATTTTAAAATTTTTTATAGAGACGAGTTCTCACTGTGTTGCCCAGGCTGGTCTGAAACTCCTAGGCTCAAGCGAGTTTTCTGCATCCGCTTCCCAGAGTGCTGGGACTGCAGGTGTGAGCCACTGTGCCTGGCCTGTTTTTATTTTTTGTAAACTTCCTATAGCATTGCCATCTGACATTCTGTGGCTGTAACAGAGAAATGGGATAGCCAATTTTTTTGGTTCCTTTTTAGGTCGCCAAACATTTTTTTTCTAGATGCTTATGGATATTTTCCCCTTATCCCTGTATTTCAGAAATGTTACCAGGAAGCATATAATTGTAGGTTTTTTTCTTTATATGAACTTTCCCCATAATCAGTGAGTACTCACATGCACAGGTCTTTTTTTTTACAGTTCAGAAAATGTTTCTTCTACCATATTCACATGGCTTATCTATAGCCGGGCTCTCTGGTTTTTATCTCCCAAATCTGTCATATTCTCTACCATCCTTTCCACGTCTGTCATTATACTCTTCCTCCTGAGAAAGGAATGGGGCTGACCAGCATTCCCATTGCCTCACCAATCAACATCTGTCAGGAAGACAGATGGATGCCTGGAAATCTGCTTGGTACACATCCAGGATATCTGAGTCAGGGATGCGGAGAGGGGAAGTTTCAAGTACCAAGAGTTCAAGCCCAGATAGGTTGTTATCTGTCTAGCTCCATTTGCCTTAGAAATTGGGGTTTTGAGCATCAGTGTGCCCTTAAGTCTTAGCTTTCAGGGACCATGGTGAGTTTTCATCTTTTTCTGTGTTTTCTTAGGTACTTTGACTAAATGGCTCAGTTAGATCTGATTTATAAACGTGACATTTAGCCATCCTAACTTTCGTGAGGCCAATTAGAATAAGCTTTTAAAAACTTGTTGTAATATTATTTTCTTTTTAAAATGGATACCTAATAGTTGTACATATTTATGGGGTACAAGCGACATTTTTATATATAAATAATAATATAATGATCAAATCAGGATAATTGGAATAACCATCACCTCAAACACTTATCATTTATTTATTGGGAGCATTCCACGTCTTTTCTTCTAGCTGTTTTGAAATACACTATGAATTCTTGTTAACTACAGTTGCCCTATTGTACTTTCAAATTCTAGAACTTATTCGGTCTGTCTGTGTTTTTGTACTCATTAATCAACCTGTCTTCATCCCACCTCTCTTGAGACTCAGAGCAGGGGATCGGGAGCTCCTTTTGAGCCCTCCTGTTCTCTTCTTCTTCTGCCCCTTGTACCTGTGGGTGAGGTCATCCTCTTAGTTGAACCTCCACGGGGTTGGGGAGAGGGACTGTCTTTGATACAGACACAGATGATGTGATGGGGTGAGTATTTTCAGACCTGTTCTGGCCCCCTGGCCATCACTGGGGCCCCATGGTTATTTGTAGGAGAAGTATTCAAAGAACTGTGGTATAGACTATATAGACCTCCCAACATCAGCCCCACCTGCCCACCTTTGCCTGGGGCCCTGTGCTTTTGACATGCCCTCCTCGCTGCTAGGCATGAAGCAGAGAAGTAATTTCTTGTCTGGGGAACCCACAGAGGGGAGGAGGCAATCCCAAACTGGTCAATTTGAATTAGAAATCCTTAACTTTGGAAGTTTGTTGTTGTCCTTGGCAGTCTAACTAGGCTTTTGGACCACTGCTGTCCCTGCTATCTGTGTTTGCAGGGCACCTGCCCTGGAGGTGTATCACCTCTGGTTGGCAAGGCCCTTGTGTGCGTTTCCTGACATGGGTGATTCAAGGCCTACTCTGCTCGCTGGATGTTGGCCCAGCACCCAGTCTGCCCTCGCTTTTTGTAGACCACATCATCACTTCCACTAATGGCACACTCGATGCAGGACATACATCGTCCGCCCTCGCTTTTGTAGACCACGTCATCACTTCCACTAATGGCACACTCGATGCAGGATATACATCGTACTGCAGCAAGTTTCACAGAGGTGGTAAAAGCTTCCAAAGAGCATCCTGATCCATTAAAATCTTTGGTGGGAGCTGGGAGAGGCAGCATCAGGAGGCTCCCAGCCAGACACCATTTTAAGCCAGAACCTTTCCTATTGATTCTCTTATTAGTTCCTAGATGCTGATTCAGATGCTAGAGCTCAGATGCCCTCTGCTCCCTTCCTGAGGCATGTAGGCAGTGGTCATCATGGTTAACGGGATAGACTGGATGTCATATCCTAGACCCTTGCATGCCCTGAGGACAAGACTATCAAACCCTCTAGGCCCATTTCCAAATCCCTTCCACATCCCCTCAAATTCCCAGAAAGAACCACCGTATAGCTAAGGGACTGCATGCCCAGAGAGGAGCCTAGGTACCCTGCCTGAGGCCTCTGGCCTTTCAGCCAGCCACAGCTGCACTCACTTCCAGAAGTTTATGACTTGTTAGAAAAACTTGAGGAAGTTACTTTCAGGCTGATCTGGCTTTCTTTTTTTGGGAGGGTGTGGGGGACGGAGTCTCGCTCTGTCCCCAGGCTGGCGTGCAGTGGTGCACTGCAACCTCCACCTCCCAGGTTCAAACGATTCTCCTGCCTCAGCCTCCTGAGTAGCTGGTATTACAGGCGCGTGCCACCACACCCAGCTAATTTTTGTATTTTTAGTAGAGACGGGGTTTCACTGTGTTGGCCAGGATGGTCTTGATCTCTCGACCTTGTGATCCGCCCGCCTCGACCTCCCAAAATGCTGGGATTACAGGTGTGAGCCACCGCACCCAGCTCTGATCTGGCTTTCTATTTTCCCTGTTTCTAAATCACAGAAAATGTGATTACATGGTGTCGTTAAAACAATGTAATAGCTGGTTTAATGACGAGTAACTTCTTCATTAATAATAACTGATGAAATATACCCATGTTTCCACTCAGAGGTTTATTCTTGCTTTGATTCAGTGCCCATCTTCAGAGTTTATGGTAAGCTTGGCATTCCCAGAACCTGTGTGGCATTCCCAGAACCCTTCATTCTGTGGCCTTGAGACTTGCCATGATTTTTGAGCAAAAGTTTATCTGAATGAGCAGACTTTATTGGGCACAGACGTCGATTCTGTGGACTCCTGCCCCAGGTAAGGGTCAAAGAATGTTTAATTCCCTGCCTGGGGAAGTCTCCTGTGCAGTTTTAGTGCCAGTGAGAATTTGGAGAACACTGGAGCAAGGAAGGGGAGGGCAGATGGGCCCTGGCCCTGAGAGAACTGCACTGTCCCTGCAGATGTCTCCATGATGACGCCTATCAATGACCTCCACACAGCTGACTCCCTGAACCTGGCCAAAGGGGAGCGGCTCATGCGGTGCAAGATCAGCAGTGTCTACCGACTCCTGGACCTCTATGGCTGGGCCCAGCTGAGTGACACCTATGTCACGGTGAGCAGAACGCCCTGGAATTGGGTGGGGCACTGCATGTGGTCCCACAAAACCCAAAGGGAGAACTCCTGACCCTTGGCATGGCCATGGCACTGCTGGTGACCTTTGGCTAAAATGCACTGAACCCTTCCAAGTTTTTTAACCACTGTGGTCATTGATAAGGCATCCTGCCCAGTGGGCACTTTTTTGGATGGGAAGGAACTCCTGGATCCTATCCTAGAGCTACCCTTGATCATAGTGAGTTTCCTTTTGTAGCTCCCTTTCTCCTGCTCCAAATAAAAGCTGAGTTCTTTTTATCTCTTATGGCTGGGGGGGAGAGATAAGGGTTCATTAGAGATGGACTTGGGTGCAGTAGATTCAGGGGAAGAGGGGATTCAAGCACAGTGTCCTTGGAAATGTCCTTTCTCCCTCCTTGCCCCTGAGAACTTGTGTCTTTCCTCCAGTTGAGAGTCAGCAAGGAGCAGGACCACTTCCTGATCAGCCCTAAGGGAGTTTCTTGCAGTGAAGTCACAGCGTCCAGCCTGGTGAGTACAGTCCAGCATCACTGCCCACTCCTTATTGAAATGACAGCACTCTCTCTGTTCCCACAGTGCTAGGTCATCTCCAAATTGGTCACTGTTGCGCTGTGGAGCTCACAATCTGATAGGGCAGAGAAGACACATGGAACAAACTAAGTGTCCAGAGCATGATGCGACCAAGAGACCAATTGCCAGGAGGAGGTGGCAAGTGCAGTGGGAGGGAGGAGGGAGTGGAGATGGGCCTGGCATCCTCTCAGCAGACTCATGGGATGGCTACACCTGGGATTAGACCACAATGGTTGGGAATGGGGGGCCTTTCTGGTTAGGGGGATACATTAGAATAAGACCCAAAGCAGCACGAGATTTGTCCAGCACTGGCACCATTAGAGATGCTTCTGGGTCCCTTTTCAGTGTTGCTCCTTTTAGATGAGGTAGAGGCTTGCAAAAGTTGCTTTAGTTCAGGAAATATTTCCAGATGGGGGGAGGAAAGCAGTAGAAAGGACTGTCTTAGAAGCAGAAAAGGCCCAATCCTTCTCAGATACATGGGCTGTGGCTGCTATGCCATGTACCTCGGAGAGGAGGACACTACCTTGGGGGCTTCTGCCAGGCTTGAGACATGCTCAGGTGTAGAGCGCGGCTACTCACTCAAAAGTCCAGGCTCAGCAAGTCATAGAATATCTAGGCAGGGCAGGACTTCTACCATGGCCAAGGCCACTTGAGAGGTAAGAAAGGAAACTGGTGCCCAGGGAGGGTAAGCAGCTTGCACAAGGCTACCCAAGGAGATGATGGCCAAGTCAGAGTTGGGACCACAGAGAAAAGGATGACACAGGCTCTGTCCGTAAGGTGTTCATGGTCTGGTTGGAGGAGAGAGGCGAGGTAATCAGCTATGAAAGCTCAGGGTTACCGAGTGTTCCAGTAGAGGTGAAGGAAGCTTGGGGAGCCTGGAAAGGGGCACCCTACCCCGCCAGGAGCTGTAGGAGAAAGAGGGAATGAGGGAGGAGGCGTCTAGCTGAAACCATGGTGCAGGAGTGGAGTCAGTGGGATATGAACCAGCGGGGTAAGCAGACTTAGATCATGGTGGCAAGGAGAGGTTTGGCAGAGGTGACTGTGTCCTTAGCAGGAGTGCAGCATGCATCAAACCCAGATGCATACCAGAGCCCTGTGCATGCATTTGGGAAGACAGGCCAAGTCTGGCTCAAGTATTCAGTATCTGGAGGTGACCTTGGGAAGGGGATCGGGTCCAGGTGATAAATGGCATGGAAGATCCTGTTATGGTGCTTTGGCTTTATTCTGCTGGACACTCAGAGCCACTGAAATGCGAGCAGGGGAGTAATGCAAGCAGATTTCTGTTGTAGAAAGATCACTCTGAAAGCTGTGTAGAGGCCAACCGACACCTAGGTGGGGTTATTACAGCAAGCTGGGAAGGAAATTCCGGGCCTCTATGCTTAGTAGGCCTGCTGATCAGTTGGATTGGGAATATGGGATTGAGTTTGAGAAGCTGGTGGGACTTTCAAGAGATGTCAGTTGGCATTTGGTTATTCTAGGTTCAGAAGAGATGCAGGCTAGAGATACAGGTTTGAGTCATGGGCATGAGATGTTTATGAATTGTGTGTAGACATAGGGCTGCTGTGTGTGGTTGTGCAGTTTGTGCACTGCACAAGGGAGCCTGGCTAATGAGGAAGAGAAGAGAGGGTGAAATCCAACCTGTGCTCCACTCACTAAGTGTCCTAGCATTGGGCTTCTGTTTTGAATTTGCACAAAGGCAATACCCACACACCAAGCCCTATGTCCCTGGGCTGTCCTCAAGAGGGGGTACCTGCTTTCTCATTTGTACAAAGGCACCGTATGGGAGGGTGGCTGCTGTATTAGGCTGTGGAGGTTCTTGAATGACAACAGATCACACATCCAACAATGAGATATAAAATATGTAAGATCAGAGAGAGATCATCTGAGAGAGGGAATTCTAAACAGGCCACATGTCTGAGGAAGTGGGGGAGCTGGGCTGAGGGAAACCAGAGGGCAGCACTCCACACTTGGGTTTAAAGTACCTGAGGCGGGAGAGTTGCTGCAGCTTTTAGGGGTCACGCTGCTTTGAAGTCTGTGAAATTCACTTAAAATAGGATATTGTAAGTGGAGATTTGTTGAACATCTTCCTGATGCTTCTGTGTAAGCAAACGCCAGCAGCACATCCCTCCGCCCACATTAGAGTCTGTCTCCCTGCTTTGATACCCATCTTGTCTGCCTGGACTTTCTGGGGTGGGGGTGATGGGCAAGTTGAGGAACTGCCCTGTGTGCCACATTCAGGATGTCACGGGTGTCTCAGTTTTAAGGGCTAAAGTTGTCATGAGTTTTAGAGACTATCATCTGGCTTGTTAATGTCCAGGGAACAACTGCAGTCAGTGAAGTTAGGTTAACTTCCAGCTGCCGGGAGATTGCACTCCGGGAAATCGGGGAGGTGTTCAGTGAGAGCGTACTGGGAGGGGCTGGCTTCAGGATTTGGATTTGTGCTGAGTGATTTGAGAGAGAGTTCTGTTTACCTTGGATTGTGGGCTTTCAGGACACAGGACATTCTGTGATTGAATATTTTACTACTTTTTATCCAGGAGGCAGGGGAGTAGGGGCACGGAGTGAGGCTAGAGCTGTCACTGGTAAAGCAGCCGCAGCCTCTTTGAGCCTCGTTGAGAAAGGGCTCAGTGTAGACATTACTCCCCCTGGAAGGCCTCTCAGATGCTCCTTTTCTGATGGGATGAAAGACTCCCCCTGTCTCTGTCTAGAGAATTCTGTGCATGACTCTTTTCTAGCACTTTGCTACCCCATGTGTGGTCTGTGGATCACTTGAGAACTTGTTAGAAATGCAGGCTCTCAGGGCCCCCTCAGCCTCTGAATCAGAACCTGCATTTGACTGGGCTTCAGGTGATTCACGTGAACAAAGTCTGAGAAACTCTGCTCTCGCATTTCTCCTGCTGAATTATAATCGTCTGTGTCCCGTTAGACTGTGCACTCACTGAGGGCAGGAACTGGTTTGTTTTCTTCCAACACCAAGTCCGTCATTGCTCATGGTGTCTGGAATGTGTGAAGACAGGTGGGCGGCACATGCTGGGCCCACCAGCTGGGAGAGGAGTGCGGGGCCTCGGCCACCCTGTTGCCATAAGTCTCTCTTCTTCCCTGGCGCAGATCAAGGTGAACATTCTGGGAGAGGTGGTGGAGAAGGGCAGCAGCTGCTTCCCAGTGGACACCACAGGCTTCTGTCTGCACTCGGCCATCTATGCAGCGAGGCCCGACGTGCGCTGCATCATCCACCTGCACACACCGGCCACAGCAGCGGTGAGTGGACTCCTTCTCAGCCACCCAAGGAAAGACGTAAGGCTGCCGAGGTTGTAGCAATCTCGTCACTTAAAACAGTCTGGAAAGATCTAGAACTCAGGCCAAGGTGAAGCGAGAGAACTCCCAACGTGGAAACGCCCAGCCTCTCCATCTTTCTGACTACTGAAGTCATAGCATAACGTGAAGACATGGAATGTCTGTTCCATCGCATCCCCCACATACTGCATACACAAGCAGTACCTGCTAAGTTTCTACTCAGGTCAGTCCTGTTGGACCAAGGCGTGGGGCCTGCCCCCACGAAGCCAGGCTCTGGCAAGGAGATATCTTGACAGAGGACAACCAGTTAGTGGGAACCTGGACTGTGCCCGTTTTCCCATAGCTCAGGGTAGGCTGAGAGTAGGGGACGGAGCAAGCAAAACTGGGAAAGAATACAAAGAAGAGACTCAATGAGCAGGTTGTCCCCCTCTGATCATTTCTCCATGTGTACCTAAGACACTGCGATGTCACTTGGAAAGACGGCAGGCAGACAACCAGTTCTGGGTACTCCCCCCGAACCCTACCCTATCCTGCTGACCCCCAGGCCACACATGTACAGGGACAGAGTAGGCTGACTTGTCATCAGCCCGTTTTCTCAGCAAAACACACTGGTTGTGAGCATTCAGACTTTCCAGAATTTGGACTAAGATGTGAAGATGTATTTGTGCTGAGCATGCATCTTTGCAGAGCTCAGGGCTGAGTCAGGGCAGAATGAATGAAGGAGGGCAAGGGTTCTTCTAAACCTCTCCATGCTCCTTGCTAAAAAAAAAAATAAATAAATTATTGCACACTCTGTCCACCATGAGCAGCTTACTTTTAATAAGTGGTGGGGGAATGTGTTTCAACCCTGGTCCCCAGCACTTGTATTGTCCTAGTTCCAGGGGCAAGAGATTGCTTTTGAAGTGGGACCTTTATACTGGGCAGCAAATAATTTCATTCATTTTAAAATGGGACTTTTCAATGGGCCTCTCTGTTTGTTAAAAATTGTGACCTAGTCTGCACTGAAACCAAAGCTGAGGGTCTCCAGCCTACCCCAAGAGATCTGGACTCTGCTTACCCTAGCCTCGTACAAACTCCACCACAGCCTGCCTCTTCCCAGAGTTGTATGACAAGAGCAAAGCTGTGTGTGAGGTGGGGGGAGTGGGAGGGGCAGCAATAGGTCTCTGGAGTGCATTCTTTCTAGCAGTTCTAAAAGGTGATATGTTGACATGGCTGCTGTGAAAACAGTGATGGAAAGACACTAGAGCAAGCAGCGTGACACAACGCCCAAGCCAGGTGGTAGAGGAGCCCAGGCCTTTCTTGTGCCTGCTCCCCAACCTCACCCCTCACTCCTCACCCCTCACCCCTCACTGGCCCCCAGAGTAGAGCTGGACTGTGCTGCTCTGAGGAAAGGGCAGGGAGGGCTGCAGGTGCTAACCATGCCATTGTCTCTCTAAGGTGTCGGCCATGAAGTGGGGCCTCCTGCCTGTCTCCCACAATGCCCTGCTGGTGGGGGACATGGCCTATTATGACTTCAATGGGGAAATGGAGCAGGAAGCCGATCGGATCAACCTGCAGAAGTGCCTTGGACCCACCTGCAAGGTTAGCTTAGCTCTTCTGGGACAATAATCTAGAGTGGCATTGTCAAAAGCCAACATCACAAAAGTGACATATGTTCATTGGACAATAAGGGAGGGAGAGAGGGGGGAAAAAAAAGAAAGATCTCTATCCCACTACCCTGAGATTTTGCTGTGTACCCCAAATATATTGAAATTTATATTTGCAAAACTAGGATCATAAAATAAGTTGTTTTCCCTCAGCAATATATAGTAATTACCTTTGTATGTTATTAAATATTTTCTCTATCACCATTTTTAATTATTAAATTTAATTAAATTATAGCACAACTATTCACAGACTTCATTATGGGAATAGTTGTGCTATAATTTACCTGAATACTCTTCTGTGGTTGAACATTAAAAGGTATTTTTCAGCTGGGTGCAGGGCTCATGCCCGTAATCCCAACACTTTGGGAGGCCAAGGTGGGTGGAGCACTTGAGCCCAGGAGTTCAAGACCAGCCTGGGCAACATGGCCAAACCCTGTCTCTACAAAAAATACAAAAATTAGTGAAGCTTGGTGGTATGCACCTGTGGTCCCAGCTACTCAGGAGGCTGAGGTGGGAGGATCGATTGACTCCAGAAGGTGAAGGCTGCAGTGAGCTGTGATCACATTGCTATACTCCAGCCTGGGCAACAGAGTTAGACCCTGTCTCAAAAAAAAAAAATTTTTTTTTTCTTCCTGAGTTTTTTCTTAATAAAAACAACACATTGATGAAAATCCTGTCAGCTAAATCTTTGTGTGAACTTGAGATGAGTTTCTTAGGATAAGTTCCTAGGGCTGCACGGGCTAGAACTCTCACTTCATGCCGCCAAATTGCCCCACACGGTTTGTTCACTCTTCCACCCCATGTCTAGGATATGAGAGTGCCACTTCCCTGCAGTCTCCCCAAACTTGAGTGTTGTCGCCTTTATTTTTCCACTAGCTTGCAAGAGAAAAATGGAATCTTGTTGTTGCTTGACTGAACTCTTGAGCCCTGTTTTATAACAGCACATATTTGGGGATGGTTAGCTCAGTATGGCACAGCCACGGAGGCTAGTCTTGGTTGATGGATGCTTTGCCGCTGTCCTGGCAAGGAATGCACTGCCTGAATCATTTCCCATGAGTCCCTGTCTTCTCATCTCTAACACAGTGAGGTATCCCACCTCTCTCTCCTGACATCCTCCAGAACATTATTTAGAGTGTGGGGAGAGGGATGAAATATTCACATCTACGAAGTGCTACAAGAATTTGAGAGATGGGGTATTCATTGTTTGTAGTACTTTTTGTGGGCCACAGCCATCGTCTCTTTCTGTTTCTCTGGCACTTGAGAGGAAAAAATACCAGCTGTTTTCAACAGGAGAGGATGTGATGTTTAGAGCCATCAGGCTTCAGCCCAGGCTCTGCCTGGAGACAGATCTGACACATGGATCTGTGTCCCAGCTCCCAGGCTGGTGTCATCTGGTTCCAGAGAGTTCTTGAGAGTAAAACCAACGAAGAAAAGTTTCAGAGGGAAGATGCAGTTGAACTTTGGGGAGTTGTGCTCTTGGTACAAATTCAGTTTGGGTTCCCCCACTTTTACTCAGCTTTCCCTGACTGAGTCTAAAACATTGCACTAATAGTGAGAACCCCTGGCTTCTAGTTCAGATGCTTCCCCTAATTAGCTGAGAGACTTTCCGTTTTTGGTTTTTTTTTGAGACGGAGTCTTGCTCTGTCACCGACTGGGGTACAATGGTGCGATCTCAGCTCACTGCAGCCCCCAGGTTCAAGTGATCCTCCCACCTCACCCTCCCGAGTAGCTGGGACTACAGGCAGGCCCCATCACACCCAGCTAATTTTTTAATTTTTGTATTTTTAGTAGAGACGGGGTTTCACCATGTTGGCCAGGCTGGTCTCGAACTCCTGACCTCAAGTGATCTGCCCACCTTAGCCTCCCAAAGTGCTGGGATTACAGGCGTGACCCACCACGGCTGAGACTTTTAGTCTTTTCAGGCTTTTATTTTCTTTTCTATAAAACCGATGAGTTAGATGAGAAGGTCACTGTGGCCTCTTTCTAGAGCTGTGAGATCTCAGAGCTGACAGGGCCTTGTTGAGTTTATGGTGCAGAAACCTAAGACCCAAAGAGGTGACGTGACTCACCTGTTTCTGTAGGGCCACCTCTCAGAGAGCCGCCCCCTGGGTTTTGACTCCCACGTCAACTAAGTCACAGGAGCAAGAGATTGCTATTGAGGTGGGAACTCTGTATTGGATAGCAAACAACTTCATTCACTTTAATATACACAGCAGTTTTTCAAGCTTCTAAGCTTTCCAAGGCCTAAAAACCCAGGCATTGCCTAAAGAAATTGACCAAGCTATTTAGTCTCAGTTTTAAAATGCCTTTTCAATTTCAATTTTTAAAATGCATAAAAACCCAGGCGTTGCCTAAAGAAATTGATCAAGCTATTTAGTCCCAGTTTTAAAATGTCTTTTCAATTTCTTAGGGTAGATGCTTTGAGTTAAAATCCCATGTGGGGTAGCTTTGGGGTATTTGATTAGAGAACATAAGGAGTTGGGAGAAGGGGCCCTGGGATTGGTTGTGGAAGTTGATCTAAATAAAATGGAAAACCTCTCCCTCTTAACTAAAGTTTAGAGGACTTAAGGTTTTAATTGACTATTTATTTCTCTACAGATCCTGGTGCTAAGAAACCATGGAGTGGTTGCTCTGGGTGACACGGTAGAGGAGGCATTTTACAAGATCTTCCACCTGCAGGCTGCATGTGAGATACAGGTGAGCAAATTCTCCTGGAAAGTGGGCCCAGGAGTGGGCTCTGACAGGGGCCTGTGGGCAAACGTGGTGACCCTGTTGGCTGTGATTCAGGGAGTCTTTTGATCCCAGCCATCTAAAAGCCTTGCCCTATTTCTCTGCCTTGGCACCATCTTATCCTTCTAAAGTTTCACACTTAGGATTAGTTCTGTGGCTTTGAAAAATGCATCAACATTGTCTAACAAGCAATAAATACCCACTTCTTAGGGGTCAGTGCCCAGTCTGGGGAGCTGCCTGGGCTCATCAACTGGACAGTGGGAGAAATTGTAATAAGGCAAAGAAATTTTTTACCATGCTCATATGTTACGTGGGGTATACCTGTTGCACCTATGCCCAACAGACACACAGGTAGGTGTTTGTTTGTTTGTTTGTTTGTTTGTTTGTTTGTTTGTTTTGAGGGGAGGGGGTTGGTTTGCAAAGGCCAGGGACATGGTCACGTCCAGAAAAAGAAGCGGAAAGCAGACCAATCAGAGTGTTGACGTGGCAGCCTTAACAGCCAGAGCAACCCCAAGTGATATCCAGGAAGCCATCATGAAATCCCTAACCGGGAAGGGATGGAGAAGACAGTAGTGTCAGTGATCAGGGAACCCCCTAGAGGAGTTGGAGAAGCAGTAGGAAAACAGACAAACCTGTAGTTGTATAGACAACAAGGTGGTGTTGGATAAGCCAAGCACACACTTTTCAATGTGGCAAGTTGGTCAGGGGCAGGTAGGGGGCCTTGCACAACCCTGAAAAGACCTTATTAACCAGACCAGGCTGACCAGGCTCCATCCTCCCCACTCTGGGCTGTGTGCCCTTGGGTAGAGGACTTGCCCTGCTTGAGCCTCTGTCTCCTCAACTGTAGACGTGGGGCCCAGCGGGTCACTGTGAGGACACAAAGAGGGGTGTTGCTGATGCTATTTTTAGGACTCAACTGACATATGGAGGCCCGTTGCTCCTGGATGAGTCAGCTCTTTGCCCAGCCCCTTGGTGTCCCGTCCGCCCTCTCCTGGCTGGCCTAGGCAGAGCAGCACCCAGAGGAAGAGGTCTTTCTCTTGGAGGCACTCTGGGGAGATTGAGATCTGCCTGGAAGTGTCGCTGGTGGAGGCTCTGCAGTGGGACCTTTTCAATCGTTTTAAAAGGATATGTGGTGAGGATAGCTGTGAAGATAATGATGAAGTATTAGAGGCAGTGGTCAGAACAGGGGCAGGTGGACACAGACCCAGCTGGTGCCTTTCTGATGTGATGTAGCGCCTCCGGCTGCTGCCCAACCAAAGATTCTGGCCCTAAGCTCTGACCACTGACTGGTGGAAGAATCTGGTGGAGCCTCTGGGATACCGGGAAGCTACTCTCCCTTTCCCACATCTGAACTCTTAAGAGCTCCCTATCTTCCTTCTGGAGAAGATTCTTCAATAAGAAAATATCTCCTGTAAAAACATCATCTCTGCAAAGACAGCTCAGCCCTAAAAATGAAGGGAGAGGGATGCCCATGTGTCGCACCACCCCACATGGTGAAGTATGCCTCTCCCAGGATCCAGAACCCCAGAAACAGTTTCTGGGCAGTTTCAAGGGCAGAGCTGTGGGCTTCTGTACCTGACAGCCCCCTTCCCTCAGCTGCTATCACTTTCGTTTCAGGATTGGTTTGCTGAGACCTTGTTACAGGACCTCAGGCAATGCAGACAGATAACCCCGGGCAAGCTCCAGTGACCTTTTTTTCCCCCAGCTGGTAGAGCAGAGAGGCTTCTAGAGACGGGAATAGAGCTGGAAGATGTGGAAGAAAAAAGCAGGAAAGCCTAGAGGAGGTGTGGGTGGATCAGGGCATGAAAGAGCCTAGGTAACAGTGACTGCAGGTGCCGCTGGGAGCGCAGCCCTAGCCAGGTCATTTTTGGGTGAAGCGGCCAGCACTGAAGCTCTGTTTCCATTGTGGGCCAAGTTTTCTTCCTTGGTGACCTTGGCAAACAAGCGAACGTGGCTGTGGTCATGTTAGTAGTTCAAGGCTGAGAGCCTATTTATTTCTCCTGGGGATGGTGTTCTCTCTGATCCCCATCAATTTGGGGTTCCAGGAAACTGGGTCATCCCCTGCTGAGAGAGGCAGCTCCCTGCTCTGCCGACAGGCAGATGGGAAGAAGCTCAAGCAGTTCTTCTCCATCTGCTACCCATCACCATGGAAACTGGGGGAGGAAGAGGGAGGTGGGAGGAGGCAGCTCTTGCAAGGTTGTGGGCAGTCTCTCCCTCTCTTCTTCTCCATTAAGTATGGGTCCCCAGGGAATAGCGCTTCTCAAAATTCATTCATTAGAACATTATACTTCACCCCATATGTACCAGGTGATACACTAAGTGCTTTAGATCTATTACCTTAAAGACTTCTCACAAGGTAGGTTCTGCTATTTTCATTTTAGAGGAAACTGAGGTACACAGATGGTAAATAGCTACTAAAAGTCACACAGTTGGTAAGTGGCAGAGCCAGGATTCAAACCTGGGCAGCCTGGTGCCCAGGTCTGTGCCCTTAAACACTACCTGGAGAAGCGCTGCCTCACCAGGACTGTGAGGGGCAGTGGGAGAAGTCTGTTTATCTTCTGCTAGACACATGGCTTGGACGAGAAGGGCGTAGATAATATTCTTGCTTCCTTCTCTTCATAGGGTGACGGGGGTCACCTGGGAGGGCTGCCTGGCTGACCTCAGAGAAGTATCACAGGGGCATTTGTTAAATGATGAATTTAACATACTCTAAGGTCTGTCCCTGATCCTCTTGGGTTCATAGACCTGCATTTGTCAGCAGGTTAAATTGGATTTTTTCATTTCCAGTAAAAAATAACTGTCACAAAAATACTGAAAGTTTGCATAATTAAAGCAGTTTCCCATAACAAGCAGGCTAACATGGGATATCATATCTTATTGGAATGCTAATATAATAATGTGCAGTGCAGAACACCTGGCTCACCACCTGGACTATTCATAAGCCATTGTCTCTTTATGTAGCTAGATTTGTCATCCAGGAAGCCAAACCCTAACCAATTATATCTGAGTGGTAGATACATGAGGGTAAATAGAATGTACCATTAGATAAGCACAGAATTTAAAAAAAAGGGGATTTGTTAGATTAATGAGTGTTTTTTAGGATCATTCCAAAATTGCCTGCTATATACACACACCTCTTGTCCTAATACTCAGAGTCCATTGCCTACAACCACCTGCATTGCCCTCCCCATGGAGCCTTGACAATGAGACAGACACTCTAAGTCCATGTGTGGGAACTCTCACCCCTGCACAGTGCTTGGCTGTACACTACAAGCATTTTATCTGTCTCCTTTCTCTGGGCTTCCTTGACTGACTAACCCCATTGTGGAGAATGTATTTTTCCTTTGGACCTGTGAATTCATCCCATGAGGTTACAAATAAATTTCATTGGCTTGGGAGCCAGCCTATTTCTTTCAAGTGACTTTTAAAAAAATATAGGAGAGGTCAGCAATGGTGGTTCATGCCTGTAATCCCAGCACATTGGGAGGCCAAGGCAGGTAGATTGCTTGAGCCCAGGGGTTCGAGACCAGCCTGGCCAACATGGCAGGACTCCCATCTCTACAAAAAATACAAAAATTTGCTGAATGTGGTAGTGCACATCTGTAGTCCCAGCTACTCAGGAGGCTGAGGTGGGAGGATAGCTGAAGCCTGGGAGGTTAAGGCTGCAGTGATCCGAGATTGTGCCACTGCCCTCCAGCCTGGGCAACAGAGACACTGTCTCAAAATAAAAATAAAAAAAAATAGGAGATATTTCAAACATACAGAAAAGTGCAGAGACTAACATAATAGACACCCATACCTACCAATCAGATCAAACATATTCATAACCTCTGGCTTCAAATCTTGAAGAACAAAATATTACAAACAAGAACTGAAGTCCGCTTTGAAGTCCTTTCCTGTCTCATCTTCCCTCCCTCCCCAGATACAATCACAATTCTAGGTTAGTCTGTATCCCAGGTAACTTTCAGTCCTCTGTTTTGATTCTTAAGGTTTAATGCTTGCTGTTTCCTTCTTTATAATCTCTAAGAACTGGCATCAGAAAATAAACTAATAGCTCTTTTCTTGGAAATGGGGGCATGCCCATCAAGTATGGGTGGCTCTTTCTCAGTTTGGCCTCTAAGTTCTCCTCTGGACTCCCCATTCTCTCATCACATACAGGAGCATAGATAAGTGCAGGGTACCCATGTGCACATGGGCTGAGGGCTCTCTGCTCTTTGCTACAGGTGTCGGCTCTGTCCAGTGCCGGGGGAGTGGAGAACCTCATCCTCCTGGAGCAGGAGAAGCACCGGCCCCATGAGGTGGGCTCCGTGCAGTGGGCCGGGAGCACCTTTGGGCCTATGCAGAAGAGTCGGCTGGGGGAGCATGAGTTTGAGGCCCTCATGAGGATGCTGGACAACCTGGTGAGTCTCCTGCCATTGCCCTTCCAGGCCAGTCCATTGAGGCTTAGCCCCCTGGAACCAGGAAGTACAAGGCATCAGGTGGGCACAAGAATTGCCAGCATCACAACTAGGTTGTTGAAGCCTCATTGATGGGAAATTTGATTTAGAATGTGTGGTTATTCTAACAGTAGTTGAATTTTTGTAAACTGTGGACTTTGCCACCCACAACTAAGTGCTGTGGATGTTCTCATATCTGCAGTGTCCTCTATGAAAAGTCGTAGTCCAGGCCGGGCGCAGTGGCTCACACCTTTAATCCCAGCACTCTGGGAGGCCGAGGCAGGCAGATCACAAGGTCAGGAGATTGAGACCATCCTGGCTAATGCAGTGAAACACTGTCTCTACTAAAAAAAAATACAAAAAATTAGCTGGGCATGGTGGCACATACCTGTAGTCCCAGCTACTCAGGAGGCTGAGGCTGAGGCAGGAGAATTGAACTGGGAGGCGGAGGTTGCAGTGAGCCGACATTGTGCCACTGCACTCTAGTCTGGGTGACAGAGTGAGACTCTGTCTCAAAAAAAAAAAAAAAAAAGGTCATACTCCAGTAAAAACTGGGACACAGAGCCTATCTTATACTGGGGCTTTGCTCATACCTCTTATATAGTTAGTTCTGTCTTTCTGTCCATTTCATGACTTTAATACAGAAAACACATAATACTACTAATTTCCTTAATCCTAGGCAGCACCTTTGTAACAATATCCTATTGTAATGAATAAATGAACCAATCAGTCATGTAAGGAATTAAACTAGTATGTGTCTAGGAGTGGGCTGGCTCTTCAAAGGATACAAAAAAAATTTTAAGACATTCTTTCTTCTTCTGAGGGCTAACAATTTAGCTGATAATATGAGATATAAACAGGTGACAATTCAAGAACAAGAGGAAAGCATATGCAATGAGGAGCTAATTGCATAAGAGGCTGTAACTTCTTAGATTGCTCAGAGAAGTGAAAGATGAAATCTATCTTTATAACATTCCATCTGATTCATTTTTCCCATCCTCACTGCTACCATCTTGGGCCTTCTTTATCATGTCAAGGTTATGGCAATAATTAATACATTTCTCCCTGTCTTCAGTTCCTCCAAATCATCTCTACTTTGTTACCAGGCTGACCATGAGGGCCGCTTTATAATAATGAAAGGTACAATCCACAGTGAAAATGCAACTCCCATTAACATTTGTATGCTGAGTAATCTATGCCTAAAGAAAGCACCGCGACTAGATGGTTTCATACAAGAATTCTTTCCAACCTTTAAGACACAGATAATTCTGTTATTTAAACTCTTTCTGAGAGGAGTGAAAAAAGAATACTAAGCCATAATAATTGTAATATATTTAGACCAATTTTTCTTTGAACGTTGATGAAAAATGCTACATGAAAACTAGCAAATAGTATCAAGCCTAATAGTAAAATAATAATATACAATAACTGGTGGCTCATTCCTAGAATTCAGGGATGGCTTAATAATATCAATCTATAAATCTTTTAAATGTATTTCATGATATTGAAGCATCAAAGGATAAAAACTTTTGATCTGTCCAGTATGGTGGCTCATACCTGTAATCTCAGCACCTTGGGAGTCTGAGTCAGAGGTGGATCGCTTGAGCCCAGGAGTTCAAGACCAGCCTGGGCAACATAGCAAGACCCTATCTCTACAAAAAATACAAAACATGGCCAGGCATGGTGGCATGTACCTATTAAACTTTTAAACAAAACAATTATTCTTGGTCATAGCACTATTATTTAATATTATTCTAGAATAATATTGGAATTCAATCCAAGGCAATGAAGCATAAGAGGTATAAATATTATAAAGGAAAGGAAACTATTATTTACAGATAATATGGTTACATGCCTATAAAGTCCAAAAAAAAAACAACTGAAAAAATATTAAAAATAATGAGAATACTTTTGTAACTACCTGACGGGTTCTTCCTGCCCATTGCACAAGCAAATTCAGTTCACAGAGACCATGGCATTACAGTAAAGAGAGAGTTTAACTGATGCGAGGCTGGCCATGCCATGCAGGAGACAGACTCAAATCAATCTCACTGAAGCCTCAGAGGTTAGGGATTTTTCAAAGGGGGTTTTTCAAAGATTCCTGGTCTTAAACACTTGGGCTCAAGTGACTCACCTGTCTCAGCCTCCTAAGGTGCTGAAATTACAGGTGTGAGCCACTGTGCCAGGAAGATTCAAAGATAGTTTGGTGGGTAGGGGGCTAAGGTATGGGTGATACTGATTGGTTGGGGATACAATCATAGAAGTGTGGAATATGGTCCTCGTGCACTGAGTCTGCCTGTGGGTAGGGCCACAGAACTGACTGAGTCCCAGAGCCATCCAGTTGTCAGAAATGTGAAAGCCTGAAAAGATA
Organism: Homo sapiens; assembly: GCF_000001405.40. NCBI lineage: Eukaryota > Metazoa > Chordata > Mammalia > Primates > Hominidae > Homo > Homo sapiens. The sequence goes on along the minus strand of NC_000002.12, from coordinate 70,681,183 downwards.
CCTCCAAAGGCCAATTTTAGGTTCTATAATAGTGATATTATTTACAGGAGTAATTGGGGAAGTTGCAAATCGTGTGACCTCTGGAATAATAGCTGGTAATTATTTAACTATGCCTACATTTTAGTAAAATTCAGGCCCCTTTCCTCTTCCTAACTTGGTGGTCTTTCATCAGTTTTACAAGGATAGTTTAGTTTTTGGGAAGGGCTATCGTCATTTACACTATAAACTAAATTTCTCCTGAAGTTAGTTTGGCTCACATCCAGGAATGAGCAAAGCCAGCCAGCTTGTGAGGCTAGAAGCAAGATAGAGTACTGTCATAATTTTGCAAAGGTGATTTCAGTTTAAGGTGGACAATTATGCAAATATATACAAAAATCAGTAGTTTTTGTATCTTAACTACTTTGAAAATATAATAATGGGAGAAAATAATCCTATTTGCAAATGGATCACAATCATAAAACACTAAAAAGCATAATCCGTGTTTTTAAAACCATAAAACTTTATTAATAGACATCAGAGAAAACCTGAAGTCAGTGAAGAGCTATAATTTATTCTTGGTTAGAAAGCTTCAATAGGGTAAAGAGGTTACTTCCCCAAAATTAATCAATAAAGTCAATGGATTTCTTTCAAAAATGGGGGAAGGTATGAGGACTTGACAAAATATCCTTCCATGTGAAATTCAGAATGGCTAGGGCAATGTTATAAAAAGAAAAGTAATTAGGAATACTAATTCCACCTCATGACAAAGTGTGATAAAACTTTGGCAACTAAATGGCGTGGCACTAGCAGAATGGATGTGCAAAACAATGCAACAGCTTAGAGAATCCAGAAATAGATCCAAAATATATGAGAATTTAACACAGGAAAAGCAGGCACTTTATAAATCAGTGAGGGAAAGATAGACTACTTGCCATCTGGGAAGGAAAGCTAAGGCAGATGCTACTTCATTTATTTCAACAAGATAAATTCCTGGTTTGTCAAAATGGTAAACATAAAAAGTGAACTCATAGGGGTATTAAAAAACATAGACTTATGTTTTTGATGCCCTTGTGTTAGGGAAGACTTATCAAGCACGGCACAAAAGGCTGCAATCTTGACAAATATTAATAGATATGATATTAAACAATTCAAAACTTGCATTTCTATAAGCCACTCCCCCACCATAAACAAGGTAAAAGACAAAGTATGGAGGGAAATATTTTCACCATCTATGATAGTGAAAAAATTAATATTCTTAATTTACAAAGAGCTTACAAATCAATGTGAAAAACAGAAACATCAATAGAAAAATGGGCTGAGAACATAAACAATTTACAAAGGAAAATAGTTAAGTAGCCATTATATGTAATTGGAAATATCCATTTTACTAGTATCAAACATATATGGACACACATGTATATGCATAGAGATATGACTGGAAAGGTTTTTAGTGATTGTCTCTGGGGTGAGAGTTTGCATAAAATTCCGTTTTTTCCTTATTTTTTTTAATTTTGCTTAATTTTTCTACATGGATCTGTATTTCCTTTATAATCAGAAAAATAATGTCATTTTAATTTAAAAATAAAAGAAGACAAAGAGAGCTGAATATTGCTCCAACAGCTGCCAAGATTCCAGAATGTTTGTTCTCTCCAAGAAGCAGTCAGCTCCAGCTTTGAGGGGATGTGGCCTTGCTTAGGAGACAGGAATGTTCTTGAGTCTGATTTCAGGGTTCCTAGAAGGAAATTGTTAAGAAGTTTCACAGTCAAGGAAGGGAGGGGTGACTGTTAAATCAGCTGGGAAGCTTTTAAAGATCCTGTAGCCCAGGCCACACTGTGATCTGATTAAATGGGCAACTCTGCATCAGGGCCCAGGCATCAGTGTTTGTGTGAAGCTCCCCCCGTGATTCTAGTGTACAGCCAGGGCTGGGAGCCACTGGACCAGAGGAAATCTGTGGCTCCATTTGGATGAGGAGCTCTGTCTATCTGGTCCACAAAGGTCTAGGGATTTTCTCAGCCCTGATCAGAGGACTTGTTGGGGTAGAGAAAGAGAGGGGATGGGGGACCAGGAGGAGGGAACAGTTCTGAAATATACCAGAAGAGTGGAAAGCCTAGATTGTTTAATGGAGATTTGGGTTTACATGAAGAGTCCTTTAAGCAGACGGAAGGAAAGGTGTGTGTGCATGTATGTGCAGGTACAGGCCTTTTTTCTCACCCCATAAGTGGTTCTATTTTTGTCCTTTATAGGGCTACAGAACAGGTTACACGTATCGCCACCCCTTTGTTCAAGAGAAAACCAAACACAAAAGTGAGGTGGAGATTCCAGCCACGGTCACAGCCTTCGTGTTTGAGGAGGACGGTGCCCCGGTGCCCGCCCTGCGACAGCATGCCCAGAAGCAGCAGAAGGAGAAGACCCGCTGGCTCAATACGCCCAACACCTACCTGCGGGTCAATGTGGCCGATGAGGTCCAGAGGAGCATGGGCAGCCCCCGACCCAAGACCACGGTAAGGGGGAGCCCAGGACAGACCCGGGCAGAGAGGGGCAGGCTGCATTAGCAGGGTGAAGCATTTTTAAAACGGGAACAGAACAAACCTCTCCTGCCCCAGGTTAGTAGCATCCTCTTTGGGCTTCCTATTAGGCCTCTGGGAGCAGCTGCTCAGGCCCACTGAGCCCCTGACCACTTCTTCCTTGCACCTCTGCCTGAGTTTTTGGGTCTAAGGAGCAGATTTCTCCAGAGGGCAGTTGGACCAGGCACATGACCCAGAACCAGTTGGTTTGTGCTTCTTTCTCCCACATCCACAGGGGGCTCTTGGGAAATTCAAGGGAGGAGCATTTAACATTGGGACTTCAGATCTGATGCAAGCCCAGGAGGTGGGCTGTACAGCCACTTCTATGAAGTTATATTTTCTCTCCCTGTCCCCACCCACAGGCTCTCAATTTTTTATTAACATAAAAGTAGCCAACAGCCAAATAGAATAGCTCTTCATAAAACAATATGAAGCTCTCCAAACTCAAATCAAGTTACCTAATACTGAAGCCCAAGTGGTTGCCTGTGTATCAAAGCTGGTTCCCAAGGTTCTGACCCCAACTCTTGGATGTTCTTTATAGCCGACCTTTGGCCTGAGGGCCTTCATTGGTAACTGGGTCATCTGTTGCCATTCTCTGCTCCTGGAGACAGACATCAAAGAGGCCTAAGAAGAGAGAGTGTCTATGAGTAGGCTTGCTGACCTTCCATGCAGGATGTTGGGCCCAGATCTCGTGGGTGGACCACTGGGGAGGACTCATGGGCCTGTTCCCTCACCTCAGCCCCATGACCTTGTGTTTGTGCAGTGGATGAAGGCTGACGAGGTGGAGAAATCCAGCAGTGGCATGCCGATTCGCATCGAAAACCCAAACCAATTTGTGCCTCTCTATACTGACCCCCAGGAAGTACTGGAGATGAGGAACAAGGTAAGTGGGGTCTGTTTATCCCACTCTTTCTTCTCCCACACTGGGGGGTCTCAGGTCCCACAAACAGGAGCTGAGTTCCCAGGATGTGCCTGACTCGCTGACATCTCACATGCCTCACAGGAGAGAGAAACTACCATTGACTGACCATGGCCCAGGTGCTGTGCTAAGCGCTGTACTCCTGTGGTCCCGTAACCCTTTACCTAGAGCACAGCTTGGTTTACACACCAGCTGTCTCTGAAAGTCCTGCCCACAAAATGAGTTTTAATAAATTTTATACCATTTTCCTTTTGGCTTATTGGCAATATTTCAAGATTGCTGTGTTTGTTTCCGGACTTTTGCCTGACAGTTCACTTGCGTGTATTTTTAATGTTACTTTAAAACTGCAGTTGTAGCAGGCACCTCTAACAGATCAGATCGCTCACAGGATAGTGTGGCAGTGTGTGGACCCGGATACCCTACAGCGCTTGTTGAAAGTTGAGATTCCTGGGTCACCCTCCTCTACCACCCTCCCTCCCTCTCCCCTCTCCCCTCTCCCCAGATATTCAGATTCAATGGTGGGGGGTGCCTAGAATCTGTATTTAAAACAAATTCCTCAGGGGCTTCTTAGGATCAACTATGCCTCATTTTACTTTTCATAGTTTACAGCTCCTTCTGGTTTCATGAAAATCTGGTGCTTTACATAAATTGCTAATTCACCCTGGAACAGACTTGGAGGCCCCCCCTTAAAGTACAAGGATTGCATTAGGATAGGTGACGGGCTCCCACACCGCTAGAGGACCTTTCTAGACCCCAGGCACACCCGTATGCCCCCTCCCAAACTCCACGCTGACCCTGAACAGCCAGCTCACTCTTCCTCTCCCCTTTCCACACAGATTCGAGAACAAAACCGACAAGATGTGAAGTCAGCGGGGCCTCAGTCCCAGCTCCTGGCGAGCGTCATTGCCGAGAAGAGCCGAAGCCCGGTAGAGCAGAGGCTGCCCCTGACTGGCGGGGAAACGTGTTTGCCTTCGGGGTCTTCTGTGCCTGGGGCTGGGTTGCAGGACCCCTGAGTCCTCATACCCACCTTCCCCTGTGATCTTGGGTGCCGGTGCTCTTGCTGCAAAATGGAGGCCAACCTCACAGGGGTGCTGTGAGGACCAGGGAGGACAATGTCTGATGGCCCCTGTGGGCACTGGGCTGGAGAACAGCAGCCCAGCCTGCCTGCAGGAGTGATGCGGCCGGCTTCCGTACCTCCTGCCATGGAACTCCACTCTGTCCTCCCTTACTACCCCGTGAAGTGGGGACTCATAGGCTTGGGGCTGGAGACTCCCAGGTGCCCCAGGTGTGCCCAGCCCTGAGAGTCTCTGACCTCTGAGCCTGGTATGACATCATCCAACCAGAGCTCTGGAAAGATGATCATGTACCCATAGAGAAGGGGTATATAGACAGGACCCATGCTCCTACAGGATGGGAAGGGACAATATTACCCACACAAACCCACATTGAGTTAGAAAGTATTGTAATTGTTTTTGTGCTTGAGATAGAACAGTGTTTTGTCTAGTGCTTAGCAAAAGGGGTGAAGTTCAGAATTCTGGCATGTGTTTGAAATCACTGCTGCTCCTTGCAAGGTAGCAATGGGCATGACATTTTCCTTAGCAGTAAAAATTGGGGAAATACAGGAAATGTTCCTCTCTGCAGGGCAAATTGTGATGATGCAATGATTTCAGGTCAAGACTGCAGCCCACAGGGTGGGTGCCCATTGGCAGGAGAAGTGTGAAAGTTGTATCATCACACTTACCTCCCCCCAACCCCAACTCAGCCAAGATGGGGAACACTGAATATCCCGCAGGGTCAAGTATAGAAATAGCCATGTTCTGGCGGGAGGTGAGAGTTCATTACAATGAGCAACACTGTTAAAAAAACAAACAAAAATCTCCCCTGCCATTTATACCAAGTGCTCTTCTCGGAGTCCCTCTTCTTGGGTTTTTGGTCTTGGATTCTCGGTTGACTCCATGATTCCCTACATTAGGCCTACTGTGGCCTCCCTTTTGGAAGGGGCCCAGGGGCAGAAGACCTGGCGGGCCAGGGCAGGGAGGACTGGCAGCCTCCAGGCTCACCTCCCTTTGGCTTCACTCTCTTTGCTCCTCAGCTTCAGAGCACTGCATCCTCAAAGGCCAAGATGAGGATGCTGAATTAGGAAAAAAGGCTGTGGAGTCTGAATTTTAGTTCCTATCTTGGGCTAGAGGGGTCAAAGAATTCCTGAAGCTTATGTAAGGGCCGGCTGGTCAGCTCCCTAGAACCACGGGCTCCACAGAGGTGGCAAAACCCAGTGATTTTGCCAGTATCCCTGCAGGGACCTGCGGTACAGGCAGGTTGAAGATCTGAGACTCAGGAACCTTGGCCCCTTTGTCACTTACAACTGTGTGTGAAACAGGACTAACAGTTTGGACTGAGAGCACTGAAGCTGCTGTGTGTTGTGCATATAACTTAATGCTGTGTGTTGTGGCTTGCACTGCTGTGGGGGCGGGGAGGGCAGTGGTGGGGAATGGCTGGCATGAAGCTTGCTTGAGCCAATGCTATGCTTGCTGGGCTTTGGCTGACTGGCTTTGGGCCACCAACTGTATTTGCATAGTGATGGCTTGGAAGTGTCCATAGAAGGGATTGCAATAAAGGTGTGTCTTCCTTCTGCTCGGGAGCATCCTTTGATTTTATTTCAGGGGCAGACTGTGGACCCCCTATATTCATCCAGCCAGTTGCAAAATCTAGGGGTAAGGTAGCAATGGGGAGGAAAGAACAATCCCTACCCCAAGGCCCTGAGCTGTTTCCAAGGAGCTGCATGCCACGCTGTCCCTAGCAAGACCGCTTGCAGCCACATGAATCTAAAAGGAAGCTGGGGCCTGCACCCCAACTGCGGCGTTCAGAGAGCGACACACCCTCTGTGGTTAACTTTCAGTCTACAGAGAGCCAGCTGATGTCCAAGGGAGACGAGGATACCAAAGACGATTCAGAGGAGACGGTGCCCAACCCCTTCAGCCAACTCACTGACCAGGAGTTGGAGGAGTACAAGAAAGAGGTGGAGAGGAAGAAACTAGAACTTGATGGTAAATGACCCTGAGGCACACCCTTGCTTCCAAGTCCCCCAGGGTGGAGGGGAGAGCTCAGGACTACCAAGAGAGGACCTTCCTGCCCCATCATCAAAGAATATTTCTACTGTAGTTCCATTAATCACAAAAATGCCCTTCATTGCTCTGTTCCTGACAGTTACTCGGTGCCTTCATGACCTCACTTGACCCTCTTACCGGGCATAAAGGAGTTAATACTTGTAATGTGCTTAGAGAAGTGCCTACAAATATGGCTTAGGCCAGTAAACACCAGATCAATTTTAGCTATAATAATGATCATAGTCATCATTATTATTTCCCACCAGGTCTACTATAAGCCTTTTAGCCTGGCAATCAAAACCCTCCACCAGCTGACACCTTTGTGTCTTTTTCTCGCTCCTTTATTTCAGATTCTTGAGTGAAGCCCATCTCTCTGTGTTGACTCCCAAATATTCACTCACAGTAGCTTGTATGCCCTTGTTCCTACCTTTGTCTCTTCCTGGCATGGTTCCCCTTCTTGGCTAGCCTGATCAGTCCCGGCTTCCTCTCAAACCCCTCTCCAGCTAGGAAGGGCCTCCCTGTCACCCTCTCTACTCCACCCAAATTGAGCTGTCCCTTCTCTTTGCTTCCTGACCACTTGGGGTCTGAGACACATAATTCAGCTTTTGGTTGTGTCCACTGGGCTAGACTGACACTCCCTCAAGGCAGGGTCTTCTTCCACCATCTCCATTCCTCACCCCAAGTCAGCCACCTTCCTGGACACAAAGCAGACACTTAAAAAACCCTTGCTGGCCAGGAATGGCCTGTAATCCCAGCACGTTGGGAGGCCAAGGCTGGTGGATCACCTGAGGTCAGCAGTTCGAGACCAGTCTGGCCAACATGGTGAAACCCCGTCTCTACTAAAAATACAAAAATTAGCCAGGCATGGTGGTACACGCCAAAAATCTCAGATACTCAGGAGGCTGTGGCAGGAGAATTGCTTGAACCCAGAAGGCGGAGGTTACAGTGAGCTGAGGTCACACCACTGCACTCCAGCCTGGGTGACAGAGGGAGACTTCATCTCAAACAACAACAGCAAAAACCAAAAAACCCTTGCTGGCTTGCTTGGAGCTCTAATGTGCCAATTGAAAAGCAAATAGAGGAACATGGCACTTTTTATCCCTAGGGATTGTTTGGACAGAAAATGTAAATTTGATGAATTAAACAATAGTTACATGCAAAGAAATCATGGGTGTTTTTAAGGGGAGTCAGCAAAAAATAAAATAAGGGGAGTTGGTGGTTGTGGGTCCACCTCTTACCCGTTGATGTGCTCTGTGCTCACGACACAAAGCTCCTGGCTGGTTCTCTTCAGAGACAGGACAGGAACGAGAGCCAGGCTCTGGTCCGGCCGTGTGCGAGTTCTTCAGCGTTGCCCTCCACATCTGGAGTAACATATTGGTAGGTGTGTTTTGATGAAGGAAACATGACTCCACCCTCTCCCATTGGCCTTCCCAGGGAAGTAGCAGAAATCTAAGAAGGTCAGGGGGAGGAGCTAACTTCAGCTAGAAGTCTCATTATCAGCCAGGAGGATTGATGACCAAATAGAAAAAAGTAATTTTTAAAAGGCTTTATTTCCCTGCCCATCTCTTCTCTATTTGACCTCTATCCTGAGGTGTTTTTCTGTTTTTTCAGGAGAGAAAGAAACTGCCCCAGAAGAGCCTGGCTCACCTGCAAAGTCTGCACCTGCTTCTCCAGTGCAGAGCCCAGCGAAGGAGGCAGAGACAAAGAGCCCTTTAGTCTCTCCTTCCAAGTCTTTAGAGGGTGAGTCCAGCTGAGTAGGCTGGGAGGGAGGGAGAGGGGTGCATCTGCAGGCTGGGAAGGTGCCCTGCCTTCCACTCGTGTTGCCCCTAATCTGAAAATCTTTCCCCTCTGCTATTTCTAGGAAATCAGAAATAGGGGTTATCAAGTTTCATGTTGTTTCACTCACAAGCTATAACACTACACCTTGCAGCTTAAACCCAGTATAAGCAATGAAGAATAAGTTACTGGCTGGCCCCCGGCTCCTTGCCCCAACTCAGACATGGCCGGGGCTGTTAGGCCTTTCCAGATGCACTAGCCCCTTTCTCAGACCTTAACGTGTATAGGTACCACCTGGGGATCTTGTGAAACTGAAGATTCTACTTAGTAAGTCTGGGATGTGGCCTAAGATGCTGAATTTCCCAGGTGAGGGTAATGATGTCATACTCAACCTTAACCGCACATTGGAATCACTTGCGGAGCTTTAACCGTCTTGATTCTTGGATCCCATCCCCAGCTTTTCTGAGTTAAGGAAAACTCAGAAAAGTCTGGAGTCAGGTGGGTTTAGGAGTACAGCCTGGAGTTTTCACGTCTCTCCAGGGGAATCTAAAGTGTGTTCCAGGTTGAAAACAGCTTCAATAGAGAGCTACTAGCTTAAAGAACGGAGTTCGAGGCCCAACTGAACTGCTAACTAGTAATAACAGCTAATTTTAGCAAATCAGCATCTCTGAGCCTCAGTTTTGTTGACTGTCAGATGGGGCTACTCATATAGTCCCTTTTTATATATGTATAAGGGAAGTGTAGGTGAAAACATACTTTGAAAGAGTAAAAGCAGGACTTAAATAATTTAAGATGCAATTACGGTTATGGTTAATAGTATACATAAAGTGGATAAGAATTATAGTTCCTGGCCACCTAAATCATAAAAGTATCTTTACTGAGCTCCTGGAATCACTCCAGGGCATGCACACTCCATCCCAGGTCCCCGGAGACCCCCACCAGACAGAGCTGTCCTGCTACCCAGAGAGCAGAAATCTGGTGGCCTATTGGAATCTTCTCCCTCTGGAGTAGAACGGCCACACGTGTGGATTCTGATAGAATCCCCCAACCCTGAGCTCCCTCCACAAGCAAACTATTGCCTCCTGTGCAGGCCCAGTGTTGCCAGAAGAAACCCGTCTGCTTGAGGCCAGAGCCCCAAGTGGATGTACCCCGACTGTTGTGTTCATTGTGTCTCACTGTGGTGTTGTCAACCTGTCTCCACAATGTCTTCCTTTCTCTTCCCATTTGTGCCTTCATCAAAGGAGTTTCCTCCGATTCTGAATACTTGTCTCTGTAGTAAGTATAGAGAGGCTGTTTACTAACTCACTGCAACCCTTGCAATGGGGGAGGGAGGATTTTTTTTTTCAAAAGAAATAGATTTCTCCCCACATTTTTCTTTTGCGACTCACAACTCTGCCTTTGGGAAGTTTCCTGGCTGTAAAATTCATGGCCAATTCCACATGCACTATGCATGGATTAGGCTTCTCTACATGAGATGTGGATATACACACATAGGCCACACACATACACAAACACACAGGCACACACGCCCAGAAGCAACAAGCTCCCAAGAGTTTGCAGGCAGTAGGGCCAACTCTCGGGCACTCCCGGTGGTAGAGTGCTTACGGCTCTCAGGCGCTCACTCCTACCCCTCTTCCTAATGCACAGGCACCTTGAAGGAACCTGTGGCCTCATCTAGGTTTTGGGCTAGAGCCTGAACTGCCTTATAAGGATGCATAGAGGGCCTGGTCTGCTAGGGTCTTCAGGACATGTGTTCCAGCTGCAGGAAGGAAATCCAGGGCTGGAGAGGAGGCTCATGGAGGAGTGGGACAAGGGCCAGGAAGGGCATGCAATGGGTGGGGTAGCTGTTTACCCACTGCCTGACATTTTACACCCTATAGCAGGATTCTTCATTCTTCCCCTGGAGGGGCCCACGGTTGAGTTGTTAGAAGAGTTGTCTTGAAGATACTTCCCATAACCCACTTCCTATAACAGACAGAGCTAGGGAGCATGGCACCTTGGAGCAGACCCTGCATGACGAGGACACAAGCTGTAGTTGGGTGGGGAGCCCGGTGTGAAGCCTTGGCCAGGCTGCTCACAGGCTTGCTGGACTCCTGGGCAGACAGAACTGACCCACCATGCAAGTCTCTGCTCTTTCACATCTAGCCCACCCATCAGATCAGGGATGGCTTTTTCCAACCATTTGCCACCATGTCCTCAATTCTCTTATGCTGAGTCGCCTCAGTGTCACTCCTCATCTGTCTACCTGACTCCTACCCCATCAGCCTCTCTGAAGGCTGGCCATCAGAGAGAGCCTTTGCATCTGGTCATCTGTGCTATCACCTTCTCTTTAGCTCCTGTCAGACCCTTGTCCCAGCTCACCTTATCCTCTGCTGAACCCTCAGGGCAACTGGCTACGCCTGCAAAGAAATAGCCCTGTATTTGACATCACATGATCACATGATCAGCTCTGCCACTAACTAATCTAGCCATCTCAAACAAGTCATTTAAAAACACTGCTGGATGGGAATAACATGAATCTGCCTTTCCTAACCCACAGCATGTTGTCAGGATAAAATGAGCTACTGAATATAAAAGTACTTTGTAATATGCTTTACATAAGTTAGTCCTTTTTATCTACCATGTTCTCCAAATTGTGAGAGCTAATACAGTACTTGATGTTTTAAGCCACTAAGTTTTAGGGTGGTTTGTGATGCAGCAATAATATTTGATTTAAGTCATGGTATAGAATAAGAACTAGTATTACGGAAATTAGTTCTTTTGTGGGTTGACTGGGGTTGTTGGGGCTTAGCTGGATGATTTCTAATTGATGTGATATCTGCGGAGGGCTCCAGTCAGTAGGGAGCTTGACTAAGCTGGAACTTCCAAGATGGTGCACTTACATGCCTGGTACCTTAGCAGGGGCAGCTAGAAGGCTGGGCTCAGCTGGGACACTGAGATGGCTGGGTGTCTGTCTGTCTGTCTGTCTCTCTGTCTGTCTCTCTCTCCCTCTATGTGGTCTCAGGGCCCACCCATGCGGCCTCTCTACATGTTTTTCCATCAGGGTTGTTGGACTTTATACATGGTGGTATAAGGCTCCCAAAACTGTGAAAATAGAAGTTGCTAGGCCTTCTTAAGTCTTTGGCCTGAGGCCTGCTTTGTGGATCTTCCACTGCATTCTATTGGTTTTGCCAGCCACAGGGCCAGCCCAGATTCAGTGTGGATACCCGGAGGGATAGCTCATTGGGGTCATATTTGCACACAAGCTCTACCAGATACTGAAAGTATATTTGGGTACTTAGAGGAACATTTGTATCCTAGCTGTGGTGAGTGGATGGGAGTCACAGAGTCCACTGCATCCATTTATGAGAAGCTCTACTTTCTTTTTTATCAGTGGTACTCTCAGTTTTTGGGGGTAAGTAAACGTCGGATAAAGCATAGCATTCTAAACTTATGTTTCTCAATGTGTGGCTAATGGGCCTTTTGTATCAGAATTACCTGGGGACTTGTTAAAAATCTCTATTTCTTGGTCCACCTTCTGTTTCAGTTTATTGTGAGGACAACACTAAAGAAGATGCATTTTCACAAGCTCTCTGGGTGATTCTTTCAGACACGGATGTTTGAGAATTTAAACCCAGACAGAAACTCTGTTGCAAACCTCTCTGCGTGGCCAGCATCCAGCTCAATGGTCGGCCATGGGCAGCTCAGCTTGTTGCTCTTCTTCCCCTCTGCTCTGTTCTTTGAGCACCCGTGGGCCTTCTTGACTGTTGCTGCATGAGTGCCCAGCCCTTGTGTCAACATAGGACATGTTTTTTTTCAAGGTCTTTAATGAATCTCTCTATGACCTCTCTATGCAATGGTGTGGCACTGCCTTTTCAAGAGAAAAGTAAAAGCTGTACATGGCAGTGACCAGTTCTCCTTGCATTTGGAATGTAGGTCAGGATCCATCTGATTGACCTTGTGTTCAGAAGCGCGTCAGCAAATCCTGTTTCTAGGCCCTCCACTGGTGTCTTCCCTGCTGCAAAGAGAGGGCTTCTCAAAGCTGGGGGGCTTGAGGCAAGAGGTCATGTGTTTGAGCCTGAGATGTCAGCAGGCAAGAGAAGGAAAGGCAGCCTTGCTCCTTCAATTATGCAAGGTCCATATTCCTTCTCCATGTCTTTACCCCAGTGCACGGCCACAGAAGAGCCCAGCTGCTGAGCTGATACAAGGCATCCTCTGTTGAGCCTTCATCTGACCTCACTTGGCAGACGTCAGCAGCAGTAAACATGGCTTGAACATGTTGTCACTGAGCTGCATGATGATTGTTAGAGACGTAAAAGAGTTTCTGTCATAAACAGTGTACTTGGGTGATGAATAGACTCTCAAAAGAAAAAAAGATAAATGACACATGCAAGTGTAAAATGAATATGTGAGCAGTGGGTTTACAGGAAGGCGAGCTCATTGTCCAATGTCAGGGGAGGCTGTCCAGATGCAGTGTGGCTTGAGCCAGACCTTGGATAGGTACATGCTTGGAGCGGCAGACAGGAGTGGCATGGGCTGTGCAGGGGTGGTGCCTAGGAAGCTGGGGGAGCTGGCATTCCTGGAAGGGGACTGTATTAGAGTTCTCCAGAGAAACAGAACCAAGGGGATATATAGAGAGATAAGAGGAGACTTCCTAGGGGAATTGCCTCATGTGATTATGGAGGCTGAAGAGTATGTTGTCTCCAGGCTCTAGAACAGGAAAGCCACTGGTGTAACTCAGTCTGAGTCTGAGGCCTGAGAACCAGGAGCTCTAAGCTTCAGGGCAGGAGAAGATGGGTGTCGCGGCTCAAGAACAGAGAGAATTTGCCCTTCCTCCACCTTTTTGTTCTATGTGAGAGGGCCCTAAACAGATTGGATGGTGTCCAACCATGTTGGTGAGGGCAGATCTTCTATATTCCGACTACTGATTCAAATGCTAATCCTGGACGGGCATGGTGGCTCACACCTGTAATCCCAGCACTTTGGGAGGCTGAGGCTGGTGGATCGCCTGAGGTCCGGAGTTTGAGATCAGCCTGGCCAACATGGTGAAACCCTGTCTCTACTAAAAATACAAAAATTTGCTGGGCGTGGTGACATGCGCCTGTAATCCCAGCTACTCGGGAGGCTGAGGCAGGACAATCACTTGAACCCGGGAGGCAGAGGTTGCAGTGAGTTATTGCACCATTACACTCCAGCCTGGGTGACAAGAGCGAAATTCCATCCCCCCACCAAAAAGCGAATCTCTTCTGGAAACACCCTCACAGACACACCCAGAAATATTGTTTTATCAACTATCTGGGCATCCCTTACCCAGTCAAGCTGACACATTAAAATTAACCACCACATGTTCATTGGTGGCCAAGACACAGCCAGTGGTTGGAGGCTGTGGGCTAGTGAGAAATCAAGTTGGAGAGGCAGTGTGTCCAAACCAGCTCTGCGCCTCCCACAGAAGCCCCCCTCCTCCTCCAGCCTCTAGCAGCCTTTTAGTCCTTTGTCTCCCAACCCACAGGGTCTGGGTGTGGGCCCTGACTTCAGAGTCCAGTCTCGTTCCCGTCACCTGTTCTCCCATTGCCTCCTGTCTCTCCCCCAGCTTTCCAGTCACCATCCTTGGACAGAGCCCCCATTTTCCAGCTTCTGCCCCACTCTACTCACCCCCACAATATCCCCTATTCCCAGAGCTCCAGGTTCCCACCATTCAGGAGATAAAGTCAAAGGTTCTTCTTAGAAGAGGCTAGAAGGTGAGTTCCCATCTGACCCTAGTTCCTGGGGCCTCTCCCAGCCTGGTTTTCAGCCTGTTGACAGAGGAGGGGTCTAGGCTATCAGAGCCTGTCCTCAGTACTTTCCAGGGGCCTAACACATGTTGATTTCTGGAGCCCTGTCCCTTCTCTTGGCCAGTGGAACCCTCCAGTGGTCTCTGACTCTATAGTTGAGGGAGTGGTGACCTTAGTTGGGAACCTGGCTCCTCCAAGCCCCATTTTCCATTTGCTATGACTCCTCAAACAATTCATGATGTGGAACCTCTCTGAATCATGGCAGATGCACCATCTGTGGCCCCCACTTTCTACATGGTGAGAAGAACCTTGGGTGTTGCTCTCCTAAACCAGACACACACCAGGGGCTGAGGCTGTTGCTTAGGTTGACAGCAGGGCAGGTATGGGCAAAGGGACATGGATGAGGGGCATGGTTGAAGGAGGCCATTGGAGTGAAGATACTCATTGCCACCAGGCAGGAAATGACACTTGGACAGAAAGTGGGAGCCCCTCTTATCCATAGTTGTCTTCACGGAGCTAGAAGGCAAGTGCCCCAACCATCTTAGAGGAGAGCGCCAAGGGTCAGTCTTGAGAAATGCATCCTAATGTATCATCCAAGTGAAGGCCCTGCAGTGAGGGTCTAGTTTGAAGTTGCAGAGCCCTGGAGAGCCCAGGAAGATGAGAGGGAAGACCAGGGCATAGGTACAGGAGACAAAGGCCAGCACTCAGGGCTGGTGTTCATTTACATGAGTGGATCCAGTTCAGCTTAGAAGGCTCAGGCTGGGATAGATAAGAAAAGATTAGGTGATGATATTGGCTTGGTTAGAATAAATCCATTCACATATTCATTTATTTGCTCATGCCTTCAACCATTCATGGATTCCACAGACCTTTTCTGAGTGCCTTCTGTGAGCTAGTGACATAGGTCATTAGACACAATTTTGCCCTAATTCATTTCAGTGTAGAAGGGGGAGGAGATAGGCATAAAAAACAAGTGTGGGCTGGATGCAGTGGCTCACGCCTGTAATCCCAGCACTTTGGGAGGCCAAGGTGGGCGGATCACGAGGTCAGGAGTTCGAGACCATCCTGGCCAACATGGTGAAACCCCATCTCTACTAAAAATACAAAAATTAGCTGGGCTTGGTAGTGGGCACCTGTAATCCCAGCTACTTGGGAGGCTGAGGCAGGAGAATTGCTTGAACCTAGGAGGTGGAGATTGCAGTGAGCCGAGATTCCACCATTGCACTCCAGCTCTAAGCGACAGAGCAGGACTGTTTCGGGAAAAAAAAAAAAACAAAAAAACAAGTGTGATCGTTTTGCAGATGCTGTGATGGAAGTTTAGATAGCAGAGGCAGAAAGGAAGGAGTGATAAACTCTACCTGGAAGTGGGAACGAGGATCAGGAGAGACTTGAAGGAAGAAGTAACACTCAAGGTGATTCATTATATGGAGTGAAGGCTGGGGACACAGAGGAGAGAGAAGGGCCTTCCAGAGGGGAATGGGCTGGGATGACAGTGAGAGGTCCAGGACCAGCAGCTTGGTATGGCAGGAAGCAGGCGAAGTGGGAATAGGAGAGTGGACAGAGAGATGGTTGTGTCCAGCCTGGTTTATGGCACTCAAGAGTACTGCCAAGTGATGGCCACAGTATTACGTGGCGGGACGGGATGGGACACTGGATGAGGATGACAGGACATGGGCTGGGCAGTGGGAAGACTGGGAGCAGTGGCCAAAGTCTTTGATACCAAGAGGGAGCTGGTGCTCCGCAGTGGTCTGGAGGGGGCACTTTGACTTGCCCAGCAGTGTCAGGAGTTGCAAAGACTTTGTTACAGGGAGATCTGGCCCAGGTGGTTCACTAGTCCACTTTAACTGTCCACAAGTTACCCCACTCTGTCCCATCCTCCATGTAACCGTGCACTTCCCCAGACTTCACCCCTGTTAAGACCCCAGGCTTCTCCTAAAACTGAGTCCTTCACTCGCTCCCTCTGTAACACTGACTATACCTTCCACATCACCCACGATTCCATACACCTCAGCATGCCGGGTTCCTTCTTGTGATGTGGCAACACACACACTGCATTCATATGTGCCCATCACACACACACCACACAGGTGTGTCACACACTCACTCGCACACATTCACACCCTCGCATATGCTCATGTGCACTCACACACACTTACACAAACACATTTGTAAACGCTCACTCCCACACTCATATACCACTCACTGTCACACACACTGGTTCGCACATGCTCACACCACACACACAGACACACTCATGGCAAACAATCTCACTTGCATACTCAAACTTACACACTTACACCACACACAACCTGCCCACTCACACTTGCACACCCTCACACACCCACACACACACTTGCACACTCACACACACTTGTACACACTCACACGTGCTCACCCACACACACTCCTTTCAGTTCCCGTCGTGAGAAGAAGCTGAACCGGAAGTTGGTAAGCCGAGGTCTGCCCACCATGGTACTGTGTTCTTCAGCCTTCTTAACTGTGCAGTGGGGAGGAGAGGCATCAGATAATATTTACCTTGCTTTCTACTTTTCAGTCTGTGGTTTTACAATCTCCCTGACTCTCACCCCATCCAGGCATCTGAAAGGTTGTGTGGAAGCAAGGTTGAGTGAGAGTGGGGAGGGGGAGAAAGGGTGGCAGGAGGGTTTGGTTTCTGGGGCCTGAGTAACTCTGGCCTTGAACATTCCCGCGATCCCGACAGATTCCCAGGTGGAATAAAGACCTGGGGGCCCCAGTGGCTGCTAGAAAGGGCTGACCAGGGGTCTTCCCCTTTTGACTAACATGTCTTGGAAATATGGGGTCTGTGTTATATAAGGAATTCCACTCTCCCTCTGCCTACTGGGAAGATATTCTCCATATTTCTTGGAGTTCCTCACTGGTGTAGAAAATGAAATGGGTTTGAGGACATGTAATTTCCATGTTTTTATTGGTGAAACTAAACTGGTTACAGCAATGCTTAGATGTCTCCACCAAGCTGTACACCTCACGCCTTCTCCTTTCTCTGTGTCTGTTTCTTCTTTCTTGCCTAGAAAAACTCTGAGCTGGACCCCAGCCGGGCCTCCTGCCACTTCAGACATTAATATCCATCTAAATTCATAGACAAGAGCCCAGAGCTGCCAGCCTGCAAGGGGGTGTTCCCAGGACAGGCCACATGGAAGGTGCAGATCAGAACCCAGTCCTTCCATCTGTCTCTGGTAGCCATCCCTCAACATCAGGCTGGCCCTCCCCTCGCTCTGGATTGATTTTATAGAATTCCCTAGAAATGGTTCTGTTAGCCCCAGGTGGAAGCTGTCACCTGAATGAAATCTTACAGGTCATATCTTTTGATCTTTTTCTAGAAGGTACTAAGAAGACAGAAACAAGCAAAGCCGCCACCACAGAGCCCGAAACAACCCAGCCGGAAGGGGTGGTGGTCAACGGGAGGGAGGAGGAGCAGACGGCAGAGGAAATCCTCAGCAAA
Source organism: Homo sapiens (assembly GCF_000001405.40). NCBI lineage: Eukaryota > Metazoa > Chordata > Mammalia > Primates > Hominidae > Homo > Homo sapiens. Next base: position 70,663,613 of record NC_000002.12, on the reverse strand, counting down.
GGCCTGAGCCAGATGACCACCAGTGCTGACACGGATGTTGATACCTCTAAGGACAAAACCGAGTCGGTCACCAGCGGCCCCATGTCCCCAGAGGGCTCACCTTCCAAGTCTCCCTCAAAGAAGAAAAAGAAATTCCGAACCCCCTCCTTCCTGAAAAAGAGCAAAAAGAAGGAGAAAGTGGAGTCCTGATTCATGACACCCTTGGGCTCCCTCCTGCCTCCTCTCTCTCCTCCCCTTCCCTTCTCCCATCTCTGTCCCTGCAAGCACAGGGCTAAGGAGGGATAGAGTAGGACCCTGGACCACATTCGGAAGGGGAACTTAGAGATCACCCGACCAACCCTTCGTTTTACAGTTGCCCAAGAGAAATCAGGTGACTTGCCCAAGGTCACACAGCTAGTTAGCGGCAGAGCCTGCACTCGAATTCAGGTCTCCTGACTTCCAGTCCAGTGCTCCTTCTACTACACAACACTGCCTAGTTGTGGGCTGCCTTTGTTTGGATGCTGTCCACCAATCTGAGCCTAGGGCAAGAAGGCCAGAAATGGGCCGTGAGCTCTCACAGGCTCAGACTAAATCAGAGGTCAAGGCTTCCCCTGAGTAAGGTCCATTTCTTCCCAGGAATCCAATCTCCTGTGGATGGAGCTATCTCTACATTTAAAAATCTCTTCTCTTTTCCACTTTGGGTCCCTGCCCTGCTGCTCAAAGTGACTAGCCAAATTGACCCCTCCAACAGAAAGTAATCTTTGTTCCCAAGGGCTGATGGCTTAGCTTGTACTACCCCAAACATTAACCCTGAGCTTTCTTCATGGAACCTCTTGAATGATGGATGGAAGAGCTATAAGAGGTGGTAGGCATAGGGGCAAGCCATGTAAGCTGAGGATTGGGGATGGTTTCATCAACATAAGAGGCCAGGAACTTGACCCCTTTGAATTGTGCATCTCAGGCACTTCAAAACTAAAACCAAATTTAGCATAGGAAAAAGTTGTTTAATGCTCAGGGCAGAAATTTGGGGAAGTTGAAATCCTCTGTTGGCTTTGGGTTGTATAAGGAGGATCAAAACAACAGAGGAAATGCTGACTTTCTAGCTTTGCATGACACCTGGAGCAATGCACTGTACCTGCCTCACTCCTGTCCAGTGGTCAGGTTTCCCCTGACCTTCCCTCACCCCCAGAAACACTTGCTTACAGACCGAAACTGGCATCTTACTCTTGGCACCTTGACTTGCACCCTCTGAGGTTCCAACTCAGTCATTCTTTGTCCAGCAGAGGAGAATCAGAAATGAGCCCTTCAGGATTAATCCTCTTGCACCAGCTCTCAGAGAAATGCTGGGTATCCCTGTCCTTGTCCCTATCTGTCCATCCTGGGGCCTGGTAATGGCCACAGTTATTGTTTTAAATGCCAACACTGTCTTCTCATGTTCTTCCGTGGGGCATTGATTAATGAGCATTTGTTGGCTCCTAAAAATTAGACAATCCATTCTCTTGAAAGCACCGTGTCTTGAAAGAATATTTTTCCTTTTGATCTGACTATCGTGAAAATATTTTTGAAAGTTCTTAATCATAGTTTTCCACTTTTGAGCACTTGCTATCTATAGACACTGTGCAGGCTTCACATACATTACATTCTTTAACCCTCACAGTAATCCTTTGAGGGGGGTAAGATCATTCCCATTTTGTGGGTGAGGAAATTGACCCCCTAAAATGATAATTGACTTGTCCCAGCTGACTTGGCTAGAAAGATCTGGATCCTGGATTTGAATCCAGGTCAGTCTGAGTCCAGAGCCCTTGCTCTTAACAGCTATGGTGAACAGACAACTTTAATCCCCAGGGGTGGTGGTTTTCATCCAGGATTTGTCTCTATGACTGTTCTCCATTGCATAATGTTAGCACGTGAAGCAAAGGTAGGGAACACCCTGTGCTCATCCTCATCACTGCACGTGAAGTTCCTGGTCAATGTGGACTGTGGTGATGCTACTGTGTGCCTCTGACAAAGGAGAGGCAAGAGCCTTCTGGTTGGGGCGGGAAATACCATCCATAGTTGGCTATTTCTTGAGAAGGAAGGAAACTGACCTAGGACCAAGGTAAACCTGACACTGTGTCTCTCTAGTGCAGATTCCTAACTGCTACCCCAGGCTCCATCTCTGTTCTACTTCCTGATTGGGTCAAATTTTAGGAGGGACAACCCACTCATGCCTCAGAAAAATCTGTCATATGGGAAATGCCTTTAAAAGCCAATCCCTTGATGCCTTCTTTTAAAAAGTAGATTTCACACTTATTCATTTATCCTTACATGGTATTTGTTAAGGATCCACTGAGCACCAGGCATTATGCTGACGTTGAAAGAGAGCCATCATTATGACTAGAATAATAAGTGGCAAACGATGTTGTGAGAATGGTGAACACGACCTCTGATGCAGCCTTTTGTGTGCGAGTTGTTCTACTTCGGGGGTGATGTTGATTGCCTCTGCATTCAACACACTCTATTCCCTTGACAATGAGGCCTCACTTAGGCCTCATTGGGTGGAGTCTTGCTGCAGCATTATTCTGGGAATTTATGCCATGGGCCCACTTTCTATTGATAGATGAACCTGTCAGTTGGTTCATTCCTCATGCATTCCAAAAACATGCATTGAGCTTGGGTCAAGGGCCAGGCATGAGGATAGGCATAGTTCCTGCCCTCAAGAAGTTCATGAGCATAGGAGGTGTATAGACAAATTGCAAAACAGGCAAGGGTACCAAGGTGGCATAAGAAAGCATCAATTAACTATCTTGGGGACCAGAGAAACCCTGAGAGAAGCAATGGCTGCTAAGGTTTTAAAACAAAGAGTAAATTTCCAGTAGAATGAAAGGATTGGCAGGGCATGCCACAATGAGGGAAGAATGTGCAAAGGTGTGGACGCATGAAATGCCATGATGGGTTCCGCTGAGCAACGTGGCATTGCCAGAGCATGATGTGGAAGCTCAGGGGTTGAGGGGTCCCTTCATAGGTAGGCAGGGCTGAATCCTAAGGAAACTGGTAGGAAGTGTGGAGGAGCTAGACTTGTCATGGAAGGGGTTTGGAGCCACTGGAGCCTTTAAATCAGGATAGAGTCATGATCAGAATTGCATTTTAGGAAAATCCCTTTGGTGGCTGAATGGAGACTGTGGACTGGATGGGCGTGGGATGGTGGCATGGGAGCTATGAGGCCTTTTTGAAATGTCAATACTAAAACATAGTTGATGGCCTGCTTTACACGATGTTTCCTCTACAGCAGATAGTGAGTTTCCAACACAAAATTTATTTCCATAAAAGTCTTTGGATAAAGCACCTTAAGAGGGATTTTCAACAAGGAGAGGGGAGCATTCAAAGAGCTAATGTTTCCAGTTTTATTTTGTCTTGGTGTAGAATTGCTGGGAGAGGTGTCCAGCCATCCTGCCATTTCTTCTTCCCTTGCACAGAATGTGGCACATTTAGCTCCAGGCTTGAGGACATGCACCAAATGCTACAGAAACAGACATGTGGTCCAAACAAATCTACAGGCTATTAGAAAGGAAAGGCCATTTTCTTTGGCTGTGGATAAAAGTTGGCTGAAAACTTTGACCAATATCTGACTGGAGAAAATGTGTATTCAAGAGCTCAGATTTGGTGGGCAGTAGGTTCATGTCTGGTTGAGCTACTGTGCTTGGATGTGCCAGAGAAAAGGGTAACATTTGAACCAATGTGCTGCTCTGTGGCTGGCTGAGCTGGGAAGTGGAGAGGTTTCTGAGCTTATTTCCATCGCAAGGCAGGCAGGAGGAGAGAGGACAAGAAGGATTAGTGGTTTCGCAGAGACAGGCTTGGCTCCAACGGCTCCTTGCGTAGTGTTGGCTGCACCCAACAGTGGTGTGAGAGAACCGTCCATACCATGTGACCTTCCTCCCAAACTGCAGAAAGAGACACCTTCTAGCCCAGATCTGGACTCCCTAAGAGCCTCCTGGCCTGCATGCAACCCAAGTAACTGTCCTACTTTGGCCAGTTGACCCCCTCCACTCTCCTATAACTAAAACAGGGTTCTTCCTCTGTGAACAGATAAGTTCTTTTTAAAGGACTTGGGGGAAATTGGATGAAGAGCAGTAAGTTCTTACAGTAAGAACCCCACTGTAAAGCACTGCCCTCTGCCACTGATCCATGTAGACTGAATTTGAATCCCATTCCCTGTGGATGATACCGTCACTTGCTCATGGTGACATGGCAAGACAGTCATTCAGATGTTTGGCATTGTTGTAGCAGGGCTACTGCTAGTGTGGGGGAAAATGCTATAAATCCACTTCTTTGATTGCCATGGATTTGAAAGAACCATTTGCCCAACAGCATGATTCGCCTCTGAAAGTCTAAAAATAATTTTCAATTTTTCCATGAAGGTATGTGGAGGGTAAACACACAGCCTACGCATAGGTCTGCATGACATGTTTTTTCTTTTTCTTTCTTTTTTTTTTTTTTTTTTTTTTTTTTTAGACGGAGCTTTGCTCTTTGTTGCCCAGGCTGGAGTGCAGTGGTGCAATCTTAGCTCACTGCAACCTCTGCCTCCCGGTTTTTCAAGCGATTCTTCTGTCTCAGCCTCCCAAGTAGCTGGAATTACAGGAGCCCGCCACCTTGCCCAGCTAATTTTTGTATTTTTAGTAGAGACGGGGTTTCACCATGTTGGCCAGGCTGGTCTTGAACTCCTGACCTCGTGATCCACCTGCCTCGGCTTCCCAAAGTGCTGGGATTACAGGAATGAGCCACTGTGCCAGCTGACACGTTTTTTCTTTTGTGTGAATTTTATGTTCTAGTTTTGGGACAAGGGTAATCAGTTCTTGACTAGTGAACAAATGAGAGAACATTTACCCCTTACTCATTTTACACATGCAGGTCAGCAGAAGCCCTAGAGTTGGTTGGCACAGTCGCAGTTGACTGAGCATAGAGGAAACAGGTCTTTTTACATTCTCTCTCATCACTGGAGCTCAGTTGAACTCTAAGACCTTAGCACTCAAAGAGTCTGAAAAGAAATGAGGGAGAGGCTAAATTTAAGCTCTCCACTCCCACAGAAAGGACAGGGCACCCTACAATCTAAAAGCCAGTGAGGCAGCCTATCATCTGTTTCACATCTGTTCTGAAAGGGATAGTTTAATGCAAGAAGTAAGAGGCCTGTAGTGACTGTAAACTCATGAAATGTGCACATTGGTTATCTGTGCACATTTCCACTTGCACCATAACATAAGAAAGCGTACATGGAGTGTAATTACTTCCAGAAGCCCCGTCTAACCAACCTATTCAGATGTGGCACACTTTCTGTCATAAATGAGAGACCACACGTAGAGCTCGGTCACCAAGGAATGCCCAACATCCCTTTACCTCTCACAATGAGCAGCCACGCTCACCGGGAAGCAGTGTGGGGACTTCAGTGGGGTGTCCCTTAGTGGAGAACACCTTTCATCATTTTTATAGAGACAATTCCCTTGAGAATGTAGGCTTTTCATCTTAGGAACAATTAGGAAGAATCTCCAGCTGGGAGTGTTCTTATGTATACAGAAACAATGGGTCGCATTGGTTCATACTTAGGTGATATTAGGTTTGGCTATATTGATGTTTGGTGCCACTTACCTTCTAGATTTTCCCAAAAGTTGGGTCATTGCTATGGGAAATTGGGGCCTGCAGATGGGGGAGAAATGATCATTATTGGTGCAGGGAAGGGGTTCAGGCAGAGCTGGAGTCTGAGGCTCAGTGTGAGAAAGCACTGGCAGTTTTCTAGTAGAGTCAGGTCCTGGGCTCCTCTCCTCACCCACTGTGTCCCGAACTGAGGCCAGCTGTGATCGGCAAATTGCTTATCTCTAGGTAGTTTAAAGAAAACGTAAGAGTTTGGGGGGTGGTGGGAGAATAACTGTAGAAAGACCCTAAACTCTTCTCTCCCCCAGCAAATTATCTTGTATAATGTTTAAAAACCCAAAGGCCAGATCTCCCCTTTTAACGTGAATCAGAAGGAGGATGGCAATTGGACCAAGGGCAGAGTGGCCACACTTGAAACACATTATAAAATGGGAATATATTTCAGGGAACCCCACCCCCACACTTCCACTCCACCTCACACCTGTTGGTCCTGCTTTGTGGGTGATTGATTGATACCCAAGGACTGCCCCACCTTTAAATTCCTGCAATTTATGCTGCAACCAACATCTTAGTGTTTGCTCTCTCCGGGAAGAGGCCAGGTGGGGGAGAACATACGGTCCAGAGCCTGAGATCGCCTGGCTGGGGTGCAGGCAAGCAGGAACCCAGTCTAGATAGAATGCAGTGTTCTCTAAAGCTATGGATGGTTTCAGTGAAATGTCTGTGTCTGACAATCGTCACGCAAGAGTACTTACTGTCTTCCCTTGTACATACATTGTCTGTGTTTAGCTTTTCCTAGTATTGTGAGGTTTCAAATAGGGGTTCCATGTAAATACTCTTTCTGCTACTGAAATGCCGGCCCCCTTGAGTATGCATCACCCCCACAGATGGTTTTGCCTTTCTCTATGCTAACACTTTTTGAGCCACTGACGTGCAGATCGGTGGTTAGTTTCTTGGGCTTTTATTTTGCAATTTTATATATATACACATATTATATATATATATATATTTATGGGTTGGTTTTGTATAGTTTTCTGTTTGAATCTCTGAGCACCAAAGCTGCCCTTTGATTTTCACGAGAACTTTCCAAAGCCACTTCCTGAGCCCTCCTGCTGCTTTGGTGTCTGACGGTGATGCTGCGGTGGCATCTCTGCCCGTGAATTTCTGTATGTGTGTGCTGTTACCTCACCTGCAGACATGACCCTAGTAAATCTAACGTGCTTGGCTTCCCAGTGTGTGTGCCCCATCTCTGTCGGCTCCTCAGCTCTCCTGGCTCCCAGGGGAGAAGTCAGAAAGGGGGCCCTGTGGAAACATGGACCACGCAAGAAAATTGTACCCTTGAGGCCATTTCTCACACACGGAAAGCTGAACATGTGTCTACTTGTGTTCTGATTTGGGAAGGGCGGTTATAAAATACTAGACTCTCCTGAAAAGGAAATGGCCATGTGGATTTGAAACAGCTCTGTGGAGGAAGCTCAGTTTAGGTGGGTTGGGATAGGGGAGGAGCATTGCACAAACACACATGTGGACGGCCCTGCAGGGCAGCAGCAGCGGCAGATCTATAGGCTGGAATGGAAGAGGGTGTCAGGCCAGAGTGAGAATCTTGGAGAGGGCTAAGAAGTCACCCCAAGGGGTGAAAGGAGAATGGAGAGACTAGGTGGGGAAAAAGGAAGAGAGAAAAGAGGAAAGAGAGCCTTTGGCTCCTCTTTATTCAAAAACTACTGTGGAAGCTCAGTATTCCTTGAGTATCCACACATATGTGGCAGGTGTTGTTTAAGTATCTCATGCATCGCACCCACTGAGCCCCCATAAAACCCAGAGGGTGATTCTGTTATTACTACTTACTTTACAGATGAAGTAAGGAGACTTTTCTTGGGCCACAGGTTAATATGTGGTAAAGCCCAAGTTCAGCTAAGGTCTTGTAGGTAACCAAGCCCTGGCTCTTTCCACTGCTGCTCACTGCCGGGTGCCCTGAGCACAAGAGCAGTCCCCGTCATTACTCTCAGGCCCACTGTTATGGGCACGTCTGCTTTCCACAGACTGCCTGTATCCAAGGGTAGAGCCCCTCTTCCTCCTCTTGCATCCAGGTATCCTGAAGTTTCCACAGCTCCTGTAAACTTGGAAACAAGGAACCCAGCCCCTCGGGTGCCCCAAAGCCATCAGTTTCTCCCTTGCTGCAGTCACCCAGGAATCCACCTGTAAGGAATATGACTTCTGTGTGCTCTCACAGCTGTGTACATCGATCAGGTCAAGGACAATAGTCAATCTGCTGACACCACTTTATAAAGCTTGCTACAGTTTAAGATTATCATGCTGAGACCAGCCTGACCAACATGGAGAAACCCCGTCTCTACTTATAACACAAAATTTGCCGGGCGTGGTGGCGGGTGCCTGTAATCCCAGCTACTTGGGAGGCTGAGGCAGGAGAATTGCTTGAACCCAAGAGGCGGAGGTTGCGGTGAGCCAAGATCGTGCCATTGCACTCCAGCCTGGGCAACAAGAGCGAAACTCTGTCTCAAAAAAAAAAAAAAAAAGATTGTCACGCAAACCCACAAGTTGAACTCTTCCTAAGTTTGCACTATGACTAAAGGGAAACTAATGTAGGAGCAGAGTGCCCTCTATCTGCCAGAGATATTAAGAAATTTCTCCAGCGCATATACAGCAGTACCCCCTTATCTGCTGGGGATACTTTCCAAGACCCCCCCATGGGTGCCTGAAACCTTAAATAGCACTGACCCCTAGACACACTATGATTTTTCCTATACATATATACCTCTGAGAAAGTTTATAAATTAGGAGCAGTAAGAGATTCACAATAATAAATTAGAACTATTATAACAATGTGCTGTAATAAAAGTACAATAAGCATTACTTGAACACACGCATGGTGATACTGTTACAGCCAATCTGATAATCAAGACGGCTACTGAGTGACTAGTGGGCAGGTAGTGTAGACAGCGTGAATACACTGACAAAGGGTTATTTGTGCTCCCAGGTAGATAGCACTGAACAAATGGGATGATGAGATATTGCAGCACACTACTCAGAACAAACACGCAATTTAAGGCACGGTGGCTCACCCCTGTAATCCCAGCACTTTGGGAGGCCGAGGCGAGTGGATCACCTGAGGTCAGGAGTTCGAGACCAGCCTGACCGAAATGGTGAAACCCCATCGCTACTAAAAGTACAAAAATTAGACAGGTGTGGTGGCGGGCGCCTGTAGTCTCAGGAGGTTACTTGGGAGGCTGAGGCAGAAGAATTGCTTGAACCTGGAAGGCAGAGGTTGCAGTGAGCTGAGATTGCACCACTGCACTCCAGCCTGGGTGACAGAATAAGACTCCATTTCAAAAACAACAACAACAAAAGCTTATGAATTGTTTATTTCTGGAATTTTCCATTTAATTTTCTTGGACCCTGGTTGGCCATAGGTAACTGAAACTGCAGGAAGTGAAACCCACAATTCACTACATGTGAAAGGAAAGTCAGGCTGGAGAAGAAGTGGGAAGGACCTACAGCTGAGATAGCTCCTACTCAGAGGGAGCAGTGAGGGTGGCAGAGAGATCGTCAGGAAAATGTGGTGGAGGCCCCTCCTGGTTTCAAGAACAATGAGGAAAGTGCTGGGGTTCACACTGCCAGGACCCTATTTGCAAGATCTAAGTAACGAGGAAGTGAGGAAGAGTCAGGGATGTGAAGCACCAGAATCCAGATAGGATCAAGGAAGGGCACCGTGGCCCCCCTAATCCTGGCTACCTGGATAAATATGAAAAAAAGAAACTTTCAGCCAAGTTATTGTGGATTCCACCACTGCCACCCAGATAACTAGATCTCAAATCTGGCAAAATGTAACCATAAGAAATAGAAAATGTTCCTTTTCTCTTCATTTGTGCCTTTGCACAAGGGGGATGCACATCTCTGACAGGAGCGAACTCTAATCTGGATAGAGATCTCACTGTGTTAAGAGTAAGCATGGAGAAAAATCACGTCACAATTTAGTAGCTTAAAAGAAGACCAAGCTGGGAAACTAGAACACATTGTCCTCAATGCCACTGAGTTACTGCAAGAAGCAGGAGAATGGTTCAGGAAATCTCTATTAATATACCATTTACCGAAAAGATCAGCCAGTTATGAAAAGGGAGCACTTTAAGTCAAGAAACATTTTTTTTTAGTGATGAAAAACACTGCCATATGTAAACACAAGGCATAAGCCATCAATAGCAGGTTGAATGTTATTTATCATAGATGAGAACATAAAGACGTGTCTAAACATGGAAGGATCCCGAGCCCATCCCTTGAAAAAAATTAGACAATCGTGTCCAGTGGATTGGAAAATGTATATAAGTGAATAACTCAAGAAGGAGAAAGGCATTTGACTAGAATAAGGTAGCAAGCAATGAAACCACATAAATGTATTGCTAAGTCTAATTTTTCATTAATTTAACCAACTCAATGCAAATGTTTAAAAGTAGTTATTAGGATATATATATATAATAAATAATAATTTGGAGCAGCAGGGAGTTAAACATGCTAAGTTTCTCATTATTGGCAAAAGAGATTTAATAGATTATTTTTTAAATTGTTGGAAGAATATTGGCTCAATTACATATAAAATTGTTGTATTAGTTCAGGCTGCTATAACAAATGGCCAGGGATGGGGTGGGTCAGACACCAAACATTTATTTTTTACAGTTCTGGAGACTCAAAGTCCAAGATCAGGATGTCAGCGTGGTTGGGTTCTGGTGAGGGCCATTTTCCAGGCTGTAGATTACCGGTTTCTCCTTGTATCTCCACATAGTGGAAAGATAGTGAGAGAGTTCTCACCATCTTTTGTAAGACACTAATCCGATTCATGAGGGCTCCACGCTCATAATTTAACTTCCTCCAAAATTAGGAGGTCCCACCTCCTAATACAATCACATTGGGGATTAGGATTTCAACATATGAATTTGGGAAGGCGTAAACATTCAGTCCACAGCCAATTGTGAACTTAGAGATGGTTTATAAGAATTTAAAAGATAATCCTTATTAAAAGGCTCTATATCTTCCAAATCACTAAAGAGAAAAATAAGAATAGGAATTCAGCTAAGATGGAGTAATAGACTAAATTTACCATCCTGCCTACAATAACCAAAAAATGAATAAAATATATGAAACAATGGTCTTCAAACCACTTCACATCCAGCAGTAAAGAACAATGATGCCGGAGAGTTGAGAAATCCAGGAAGTGACCCCTATCTATGATTGTCCCAGCTTACTGCCTTAATAGAATTTCTAGGCCATGGCACAGGAAAGGTGAATCCGGGCAAACTCAGTTAAGCAGATGGAGCTGAGAGTCCTGGGAGAAGAAGCTAGCTAGAGTTTGCAGGATAGGGTAGCAGAAGGGAGAGACTGTACATAGATGCAGATGTGCCCCTCTGAGTATTCAGATGCATACCAATCAGTATATGTATGTGAGGAAACTACCCAAGACTTAAAACCAAAACAAAACAAAACAGCCTACCCAAAGCCTTAGAAGTAACACTGCCCAGTACCAACGTGGGGTCAGGAATAGTGTCTGTCCCTTCCAGGCTGACTGAAAAACTTCATGATTCATGGGTCATTGGATGGAGTACACTTGAGAGAACTCTGTCTTGCCTTAGTAGTGGGAAATAATTAGCACTAGAATAAAGACTGCTCTGGTCCTGTCTAGCAAATCTTAAACACAAGACCCAAAAGGATCAAACTGTTTCTAAATAACTGCATGTCAGAACTAAGGTCAAGATTATTGACAAGAATACAGAAACATGTAGCACCCAACAAGAAAAATGTACAACATTCGGTATCTAACAAGAGATTATCAGACTTGCAAAGAGACAGGAAAATGTGACTAACAATGAAGATAAAATATATATCAATCAAAGCTGACCTAGAACTAATTCAGATGTTGGATTTGGCAGACGTATTATTATAGGTGTATTCCATATGTTCAAAAAGTTAAGTAGAGACATGGAAGATATTAAAAAAAAACACAAATCAAGCTTCTGGAGATGAAAACTACAATGTGTGAGATGAAAAATACACTCAATGGAATTATCAGCAGATTAGACATCGCAGAAGAAAAGGTTGGTGAACTTGAAGACATAGCAATAGAAACTATCCAAAATGAAACACAGAGAGAAAGAGAATTTTTAAAAATTAACAGAGCATCAGTGAGTTCTTGGACAATTTCAAGCAGCATAATATATGTGTGCTTTCAGTTTCTGAAAGAAGGAGGCAGAAAAACAAATTGAAGAAATAATGGCCAACATTTCCCCAAATTTCATTAAAACTATAAAGCTACAGATCCAGGAAGCTCAATGAACCCAAGCACAAGAAACGAAGATAATCACACCAAGGCACATCATTGACAAATTGCTCAAAACCAGTGATAATGAGAAAATGTTAAAAGCAACCAAAATAAAAAAACTATGCACACAGAAACAAATACGGAGGTACAAGCAGATTTCTTCTCAAAAACAGTACAAGTGAGAAGACAATAAAATAACACCTTTAAAGTACTGAACAAGAAACTGTCAACGTAGAATTCCGTGCCTAGTACAAATCTCTTTCAAAAGTGAAGATGATTACACAGCTGGGCTTTTAACAATAACAAAAAAGTGAAGATGAAATACTTTTTCAGATTTACAAAAGCTGAAAAAAAAATCCATCATCAGAAGCAGCACCTTCAATAAATCTTAATGTTCTTCATGTAGAAGGAAAATATCCAATGGAAATGTGAATCTGCACAAAGGAGGAAGAACATCAGAAATGGTAACTACAGGAGGAAAGATGTAAGATTTGGGGGTTATTTAAATTTCTCTCTCCTTTTTTTCTTTTTTCTTTTCTTTCTTTCCTTCCTTTCTTTTCTTTCTTTCTTTCTCTCTTTCTTTCTTTCTTTCCTTTCTTTCTTTCTTCTTTCTTTTTTTTTCTTTTTTTGACAGAGTCTCACTCTGTCACCCAGGCTGGAATGCAGTAGCACCACCATGGCTCACTGCAGCCTCAACCTCCTGGGCTCAAGCGATCCTCCCACCTCAGCCTCCCAAGTAGATGGGACACAGGTGCACACCACCACACCTGGCTACTTTTTATATTTTTTTGTAAAGACAGCATCCCACGATGTTGTCCAAGCTGGTTTTGAACTCCTGGGCTCAAGTGATCCTCCCACCTTGGCCTCCCAAAGTGCTGGGGTTACAGGTGTGAGCCACTGTGCCCACTCTAAATTTCTTTAAAGGACAACTGACTGTATAAACAAAAATTACATTGAGGCATGGGGTTTATAACTTGTAAAAACAAAATGTCTGACAACAATAGCACTAATATTGGGGGAGGGAAATTGAATATACTACTGCAATGTTCTTCTGCTATACATGAAGTAATATCAGTTGAAGGTGAAGGTATGTTGTGATAAGTTAAAGATATAAATCCTATAAAACCTAAAATTGTCAGTAAAATTATAAAACAGTTACAGCAAAGTTTTTCATACTCAGCACTATTAATATTTTGGGCTGAATATTTCAGACTGGGAGAAAATATTTGCAAAGCATATATCTGATAAAGAACTTGTATCCAGAATATATAATAAACTCTTAACATGGGCTACTCAATGATATCACAATAAAACCCAATTAAAATGGCAAAAGATTTTCATATACACTTTACTAAAGAAGACAGTTGAATAGCAAATAAGCACACGAAAGGATTATCAAATGAAAATGAAAGCCACATGGGATCCCACTACCCACCCATTAAAATGGCTAAACTTAAGAGCAAAGACTATACTAAGTGTTAGCAAGGATGTGGGGAAACTGGAAGTCTCATACACTGCTGATGGTAATGTAGACAGTACAACTTTGAAAAACAGTTTACCAGTTTCTTAAAAAAAATTAAGCCTATATCTACTAAATGATCTAGCCATTCCACTTGTAGATGTTTGCTCAAGGGAAATAAAAGCATATGTTCATACAAAGATTTGTGCACAAATGTTCATAGCAGTTTTATTTGTAATAGCTAAAAACTTGAAGTGACCCAAATTCCCATCAACTGGTGAATAAACTGTGATATACCTATATATTGGAATAACACTCCACAATGAAAGGAATACATTCTTGATGCACGCTGCAATATAGATGAATCTCAAAATAATAATGCTCAGAGAGAGAAGCCAAAGAGAAGTATATACTGTATGATTCCATTTACATAAAATCCTAGAAAAAGTAGACTAATCTAGAGTGACAGGAAATAGATCAGTGATGATAGGGGTGGGTGTCATGTGGGGCGGAGGGATTACTAAGGGGCACGGGGAAGCCTTTGGGGGTGATGGAGATGTGCGTTACCTGTGGTGATAGTTTCATGGGTGTACACATATATCAGAAATTGTTATATACATTGATATACATAAATATGTGCTATTTATTGCATGTCAACTGTACCTCCATAAAGCTCTTAAAAATTAATTTATACACCAAAAGTCAGAAAAAAGGGGGGAAAGGCAAGGGAACATTTTAAAAATGAAAAGCAGAACACCAAGTAGAAGCATGACTAGGCCGAGCGTGGTGACTCACGCCTGTAATCCCAGCACTTTGGGAGGCCAAGGCAGGAGGATCACTTGAGGTCAGGAGTTTGAGACCAGCCTTACCAACATGATGAAACCCCATCTGTACTAAAAATACAAAATTAGCCAGGTGTGGTGGTATGCTTCTGTAATCCCAGCTATTTTGGAGGCTGAGGCAGGAGAATCACTTGAACCTGGGAGGCGGAGATTGCAGTGAGCCAAGATAGTGCCATTGCACAAGAGCGAAACTCCATCTCAAAAAAAAAAAAAAGAAGTATGACTAAATATATGTTTTCAACATAAATATGAATGGACTAAACTATTATAATTTTTAAGGGAGGGTTTCAGATTGAGTCAAAAAATGAAATCCATTGTCTGCTGTACAAAAGATACATATCAAATAGCAGAAATGTAAATGATAAAGGAGTGAATGTGCAAAGAAACAATTAAGCAAATGTAACGGAAGGAAGAACAGGACAGGGTCAAAGGTTTAGGGGCCTAGTTTACACAAAAAGCCCAATCCACAGTGAAGACATCACAGTAGAAAACTTTTTTTTGTGTTGAGTAACATACTGTACACTGCAAATAGCAACACCGTATTTGAATGTATTTAAATATCTGAAGCAAAAACAGCTGGGGGAATCTTAGTCTGTTTTTTCTGCTAAACAGATTACCTGAGACTGGGTCATTTATAATGAACACAGATTTATTTCTCTCACATCTGGAAGCTGGGAAGTCCAAGATCAAGGCACCAGCATTTGGTGAAGCCTTCTTTCTGTGTCATCCCATGGCAGAAGACAGAAGGGCAAGAGAGGGTGAGAGAGAAAAGGGGGTCTTTCTTCACTCTTTTATAGCGAAACTATTCCCATGATAGCAACACTAATCCATTCGAGACAGTGGAGTCCTCATGGCCTAATTATCTCTTAAAGATTCCACCTCTTAGTACTGTTACAATGGCAATTAAATTTCAACATGAGTTTTGGAAGGGATATTCAAACCATAGCAGTGTATGAAGGAAAATAGACAAATAAAAATTATAGCCAGGAGATTTTAACATGTCTCTCTGCCCCTCGTAATTGACACAAGAAATATATACATATATGAATATAGACTATATATATGAATTTAGACTATATATTCATATATTTTCATATGCATGGATTTATATATGAATATAGAGGATTTGAAGAATGTAACAATAAAAGCATCTTGATTTAATAGACGCATATATATCCTTTAAGCAGAATGCACATTCCTTTTAAATGGCCATGGGATAGTTACAACATGATAATTCACCAGGACTCGAGAAACCTCCTTGCCTTAACATCCTCCTCATACCTAATGCTGGTCGGCTGCCTACTGCCGCTACCAACGATGCCCACCAGGGGACGACGTTTCCTTTCTTTCCTTCCTCTGCAGAAACCGGTCCAAGCAGGATGCCTTCCTTTTTCTGACAGGCAGCCCCCAGCAGTACCATCACAAACCTTGGTCTCTTCTTGTCACCAGCAAAGGGATGAAGGATAAGTGGTGAGTCTCCTTACATTCAAGACCTTAGAATTCATTTGATTACTATGTCTGAGCAGCTATTGACATCTATTAATAATATCTAGTGCTCGCTGCTCAACTTCCTAAGAAGTCCTCATCTTTTGGGCATCCAGAGTGATGGCCCCAGTCCACCTGGGTCTGTTCTCCAGGCCAAGAGATCATGCAGAATAGTGTACAGGAGCCCGGGGCCCCAGAGCCACACTGTTTGGCGTGAACCCTGATTCAGGTTCATGAGCTCTGTGCCCTTGGGTAAGTCACTTAACGTCTCCAAGCCACAGTCTTCTCATCTGCAAAACAGGGAAATAATCAATATGGAAAAAAATCAGAATCTAGGGGAATAATTTTTGATGATTTAAGATTATTTTAATTTTGAATTTTTCAGTGGGGACACCATAACATTTTCCACTGATTCAGACCTCTAGACATTGGTTTCTACCATTTTTAAAATTAATGCATGCATACACACAAACACATGTGCACGCACACACACACACATAGACACACAACCGCACACATCCAAATATGCATGCACACACACACAGCCACACTCACATCATTGGCATCATTCTAAAATAAACTTAAAATTGATTATCTCAGTTTACATTGTTTTACCTGTTCAAAATATCCTGACTTCAGAGTTAGGAACAGGAGTGCTTCTCTAGAGGTGGGTCTTTGCTTTGTACAATCTCAGCATACAACAAAGATCATTTCTGGCCAACACAACTGCTCTGAACCTTTGGCGGTGCAGGGTTTGCATATCATTGGAGGCTCAATACTCTAGACATCGAAGAGTTTTACATCAAGCTAAACATTTTAAGTTAAATATATTCTATCTTCCTAGTTTTACAAATTCGTCATGAGCTAGAAAGCTAGGTTCAAATGTAGAGTTCAGACTTGCTGGAGCTCCCCAGAGGAAAATGGCAGTGTGAGGAGAGGACCATTATCCTCCTGTTCCCAATGCTGTGTCCATCCCGTGACACAGGTGGCCTTGTGAGCACACATGTGGACACCCAGAGTGCATGCCCAGGCTTCACCCATACCCCCAGGCAAATGGCTGCTTTCTGGACACCCTGTGAGTCCCTGGGAAAATGAACTCTGGGAAGAACCTGTGTGGACCCTAGAAGTAGGCTGCAGCTGTTTGGGCAGGGAATTTGGGGTCCTAGATCACCAGGGCACAGTGTAGCACCAGGTGAGCGTGTCTCCTTGGCCCCGCTCACTCCACCCTCATGAAAGGCGTGGCCAAAGAAAGGGTCAGGCAGGGCCCTCTGAGGCACAGGACCCAAGCCCCTTTTATTGGGGTCTAAGGTCAGTATCGCTTCCTGAAGTCCCAAGGAGAGGTCAGGAAACAGTAGTGACTCTCTGTGAAGTTCCTGAGAAGGCAGTGCAATATCCTCATTCCCATTCATTAAAAAACAAAACCTGACCACAGGCTTGGGTGGGAAATGTTTTGTTATAAACAAGGCAAGACAAACGCTTGCCAAGATTTGTCTAAGACAGCTGGTTGATTTGTCAGGTTAACGAGGGCTGGAAAAAGTAAAGCCTCCTTTTGCCTTCACTGGGGTCTAAAGGCTGCAAGAATTTCCTCACGGTGATACTGACATGCAGTGACACCAGGAACCCTCTCATGGTGTTAAAATCTTAATGGTGAGCCGTAGCAATGCTCTCCCTCCCATTCTTGGGCACTGGAGCATGATACACACAGGCAGGAAGTGCGCTGGCCTGTTGTTGGGTCACTGTCATTCTGGCTTTCTCCCTTGTAGGGCTAGAAAACTAACTTTATCAGATCACCCAGAGGTGATCCGGCTCAGGATGACAACTTATTTGCCACAGATTGCACTTTTGGGTGGCTACTTCCTCAATGCATTTAGGGAGGCACCTTCATCGTATCTGTTAGCCATCTCCCAAACACTGCCACTCCTGAGAGTATACCATAGGTCTCGAATCCCAGCCTCTGTGCGACAATTCTCATCACTGTCACTAGAGGCAGCAGCATTTGCTGACCTGGCCTTTTGCTCTAGGCTTTATCCTAGCTGTATTGTCTATAAATATCACCCATAACCCATGAGCCAGCTTGCGGGGCATATGGGATCATGTCTCTTACTTTCTTTCCACTCACTGTTCGGGCTCCACACAGCCATAGTGACAGAACAGCTAGCACTTCCCTCTTGAGGCCTCCCCCAGACGCACCTAGAGTTGTCCTAATGCCCAGGGGGTGACTGAGTCCAAAACCCAGCTCACAGGCTTCGTGGCTCCTGTCACCCCAGGGCGCTATCCCAACATCATGGTGCTGTCTCCTCTCTCAGCCCCCAGCTGTCCTTGAGGGAGACAAGACCTAGTGGCTGTTTTCCTGGATGAGAAGGCAAGCTCCTCTGAGGTGCAGGATGCTCTTCTTCCTCCTTGTCACTCCAGGACCTAGCAAGGCACCTTGGCTTATGCAGGGTAGAGGCTCAGACATTTATAGAACTAATTCAGAGCTATAGAACATTAGAGCTGGAAGAAGTTGTTGAGATCACATAGTTTACTGCTCCTCCTCCATTCTACAGATGAGGAGACTGAAGCACAGAGGTGAAGCAGCTTGCCCAACGTCACACTGCTGCTTAGTGATAGAGGCAGTGCTAGACCCCGGGGCTCCTGAATGTTACTGTTGGAGGCTCTTAACCCACTGGGATCAAGAAGGTGTCAAGAGCTAGACTCTCCCTCCAGGAGAATGAACACAGACACAAAACCTTGCATATATGCTTCCGGGTAAAGAACCTGCCTGCATTTTGGTACCACTACGTGCTGGCCTGTCCTGGGCATGTTATATCATGAGAAGGCAGGTAAGTGGGGCTCTGGAGCCAGGCTGCTTGGGTTCAAGTCCCAGCTCTGCCACTGCTAGCTGTGTGATTATTTAATGCCCTCACCTGTGGGAGGCTCAAGGCTGTAATCCCGGCACTTTGAGAGACCAAGGCAGGCGGATCACCTGAGGTCAGGAGTTTGAGACCAGCTTGGCCAACATGGCAAAACCCCGTCTCTACTAAAAATACAAAAATTAGCTGGGCATGGTGGCAGGCACCTGTAGTCCCACCTACTCGGGAGGCTGAGGCAAGAGAACCACTTGAACATGGGAGGTGAAGGCTATAGTGAGCCAAAATCACACCACTGCACTCCAGCCTGGGCGACACAGCGAGATTCTGCCTCAAAAAATCAAAACAAAACGAAACAAACAAACAAAAAAACCAATCGTGATGCGCAGCTCTTTGGGTTATTGTAAACATGAAACAATTTGATCTGTTTAAAGCTCCTAGGCTGGGCGTGGTGACCTGTAATCTCAGCATTTTGGGAGGCCAAAGTGGGAGGATTGCTTGAGCCCAGGAATTTGAGAAAGCCTGGGCAACATGGTGAAACCCCGTCTCTACAAAAAAAAAATTAGCTGGGCATGATGGCGTGCACCTGTGGTTCCAGCTACTCAGGAGGCTGATGTGGGAGGATGACCTGAGCCTGGGAGGTCAAGTCTGCAGTGAGCCAAGATCACACTACTGCACTCCAGCCTGGGGTACAGAGCAAGACCCTGTCTAAAATAAATAAATAAAGCTCCTAGAACCCAGCAGGACATGGAAGAAGCTCTGTGTCAGCTGTCAATATTATTATAACCACCAAGTGAGTCCCTAAATGAAGAACAACAAGCAGCCACAATTTGAAATAAGAAAAGGATGTTGAAATCCTGTGATGAATGTTTGATTTCATCTCCTCAAGTTTATACTCCAGCCCTGGAAGCCAATCACAAAACAATGACTATCTTTTGAGGAAATCTTGCTTTATGTCTTAAATTCTCACTAGCGACATAGAATATTCAATAGACAGTGGTTTCTTTTGCAGAAAGTTGAACAAAAAGCTTAAAAATAACGCGTATCTCTGTCTTCAGGGAATTGGCTCAGGCCCAGTCATTTATGTTTGGTGAATTGGCAGCACCCTCCCAGCCTTGCTGTCCTGCCACGAGGCCTCCCGGGGGCGCTCTTCTCACACAGGAATCATCTAGGTTTTCTAAATTCTTCTACGTTCTTGCCTCAAATCCTTCTAGATTTAGCCTGGACCACATAGCGAGACCCTGTCTCTTAAAAAAAAATTTTTTTTCTTTTTCTTTTTTTTTTTTTAGTTAGCCAGGCGCGGTGGCCTGCACCTGTAGCTACTCGGAGGCAGTAGCTACTCGGAGGCAGGAAGATCACTTGAACCCAGGAGGTCAAGACCAGCCTGGCCAACATGGCAAAACCAGATTTCTACAAAAAATACAAAAATTAGCTGGGCTTGGTGGTGCATGCCTGTAGTCCCAGCTACTTGGGAGGCTGAGGTGGTGGGAGGGCCGCTTGAGCCAGGTAGGTCAAGGTTGCAGTAAGCCAAGATCGTGCCACTGCACTCCAGCCTGGGGAACAGAGTGAAACCTTATCTCAAAAAAAAAAAAGAGAGAAAAAAAAATCCTTCAAGATTGCCCATTCCTCACTGGGCACGCCACTCATTCAACACGACTTGCAAGGATACCTTTTGGATCTGGCCCTAACTATGCCTCCAGGCTCACCTGCTGGACTTGAGGACACCATCCCGTGTCCTGACCATCCTGTGTTCCTGTGCCCGCCTCACCTACTCCTCACCTGGCCCTTCAGTGCAAGTGTGGTCTCCCATGGCTCACTACCAGAAGTGGGGGGATCTCACCATCCTCCACCCAGTGTAACCATGGTGCTCAGCCCGGTGCCCAGCAAACCTGCTTAGGGGGAGAAAGCTCTGAAACCACAGGCACTCTGAGGGGCTGCCTTTCCTGGTGCAGAGGGCACAAGGCCCTGGAGGGCTTTCTCTCCTGGCTGGTCATTCACAGGTACTAGAGCAAGGATCAGGCTATGGTGCTGTGGAATCTTGATGGCATTAATTTGAAGTGCATCATTGTTCATTACAAAAATCAATCTCCTTTCCAATAGCAAAAGGAGAAAAGACACTTCCCCTCCCCACCCCTAATTTTTTTTCCACCATCAAATAATGTTCCTCGGCCCCAGGGAGGGGTAGAAAGCAACACCACAGAAGAATGTTGTTAAAATTTTCTTCCTACTATGGTGACTGCGTTCCCAGAACTGATTAAGGCTAGAACGGTTTGGCTTTCCTAGGCTGAAGGTTTAAGAAGCCAAGTGAGGGGTTTGAAAGGAACAAGACAACATTTTAGTCTAGGACATTCTATGCTGTTCCTTCCATATCATCAAGTCCCTAGAAATCTGACTAAATCTTGCACAAGCACCAGCAGCAGGGAAGTTGGCTCTGAGATGCCACAGCCTGACCTGGTGTGGAAGGCAGGATGGGCCCAGACTCTGCTCCCTCGCCTGCCCCTGACTTCTGTGGAAGGCAGAACTTTCTGAAGAACCTCCACTTATTAGACTTTCTTTTCAGCCTATCGGCCCTGCCTTTGCAGCCAGCAGACTTGCATTCATACACCAGCACCTCTACTTACTGGCAAGGTCAATCATTCTCTCAAGGACTTGGCTTTTTGATCTGCAGAACGGGCTCTGTGGCCACCCTGGTCTCCTGAGGTACTGTGTGGGCCTCCTGGGATAAGGCAGGTGCAGCCCTCATACAATACCTGGAGCCAAGTGCTTCCCAAAGTTCCTGTTTATTATTATTATTATTATTATTATTATTATTATTATTATTTCCATTTTTAAACAAAACAAAACCAAAACTCAGGTTAAGGAATTTGCCTAAGAACCACTGCATTGACAGGGCTGAGGCTGGAACCCCATGGAACTCCTGGTTCCAGCCCAGGGCTCTTTCCCAGGGGCCTGAGATGTCCTGCCTCAGTGACAACTGCACGATTCCTCCTCCATTCAAAGGGAGGAAGGCATAATGAATGTTTTCAGGATTCCAGATGCTGAGATGAAAGGAAGCTCCAGGATGTCATTACCCAGCATGTCTATCTTGTCACTGCCTTTGAAGTTTATTTTGGTGGCAGCGCATGACGGTTTCCCTGCATCTGGTCCCTGTGGCCACTTCACTGGGCCCTTGACCCGCCTTCGCCGTTGCCAGCCCATGAGCGTCGCCCTTCAGGCCCTCCTCCAGCTGGAAGATGGGGCTCCTGGCAGGAAAGCCCACCACCCACATCAGTTCCAAGCACAGATAGTGGAGGGCGGACTGGAAGCCATCCAACCTCACCCCTATCCCCAAATGGCCCTCTTCATACAAAAGGCTCTGTCCTTCAGAGTCCCCTCACTGCTTTGCTCTTTAACAGTGTGAAGACTCCTGGGGGGGTGACACATTACCACAAAGGTGTGGGCCACTGCCTTTAGGATTGGTGCAATTTATGGCAATGGAGGGGAGAAGGGTAGATAACCAGGAGGGAGACGTGGAGGCCGCAAGACAAACCTCTCCTCTCTCACAATTACAGGGAAGGCTGAATCATTAAGGACATGAATCAGATTGATTCTCGTGGCTTTAAAAACAAACACTACAGGACCAGCATGACCCGCCAGCCTGTTATCCACAGAGGCTTGTGGTCTCCATTGAAAAGAAGCAAAGACAGCACGTCCCAACTCAAAAGATTGTGTCATCCTAAAGGGTGAGACCATCATCCTTGTTCTTCCGTATGAGAAAGAGATCCATGATCCTGGGCTCCTGTTTCCCTGTCACTGTGGGCTTGGTTGGGTCATTGTGGCACCTGGAGGGGAGCAGGCTATTGAACATGGCAGGAAAGGCATGGACTCAAAGTGACAGGGGCAAGGTGAGTGTTAAGGGAGCATTCCGTTCCACCTCCTTTCTCCAACCTTCCAGCCATCGCTGGGAGCCCCAGGGTAAGGAGGATGCTGAGGTATGGGAAGCAGAAGAGGACAGTGGTCCTGACATTGCATCTTCTCAGAGGCAGGGTGAGCCTTTCTCTGTCAGAATGCCCTTTGTCATGTCTGGGCTCATGAGTAGAGGGCAAAACTCAGGAAGTGGGCTGGAGGGATGCCAGGATGGACACGTTCTCAAATATCTCCCCCACTGCCTTTCACCAAGTTTGAAATTCTGTCTCTCAACTTATCACGTATTTTATTTATTTAGTTCTTCATGAAACCTCTGACTTTTTTTTTTTTTTTTTTTTTTTTTAGATGGAGTCTCGCTCTGTCACCCAGGCTGGAGTGCAGTGGCACGATCTTGGCTCACTGCAACCTCTGCCTCCTGAGTTCAAGCGATTCTCCTGCCTCAGCCTCCCAAGTAGCTGGGACTACAGGCGTGTGCCACCACACCTGGCTAATTTTTTGTACTTTTTAGTACAGACCAGGTTTCACTGTGTTAGCCAGGTTGTTCTCAATCTCCTGACCTGGAACCTCTGATTTTTAAGAGCTCCTTTTAAAGTGCAAACTCACCTTTAAGCAGTAACTTTAAAGTACTCCTATCAGCAAGATGGAAGAACCATCTTTACCAGGAGGGATGGAGCTAGGCCACTTAACTCAGAGAGAAGGGCAGCCAGGTGACCTAGTGGTAAACCTGCCAAGCCAGGAACAGAAAATCTGTTTTCCATACTGTTATAGGTTGAATTATTATTTGCAAATAAGGTCATTGCAGATACAGTTAGTTAAGATGAAGTCATACTGGAGTAGCATGAGCCTTTAATCCAGCATGACTGGTGTCCTTATAGAAAGACGATGCGAAGACACAAAAGGAGGATGCCATAGGAAGTCACACAGACACCCAAACAAAGAGGGAAGACAGCCACATGAAAGCAGAGGCAGAAATTGGAGTCAGGCTGCCGTGATCCAAATAACTCCTGAAGCTACCAGAAGCTGGAGGAGGCAAAGGAGAATCCCCCTCTAAAGCTTTTGGAGGGAGCCTGGCCATGCCCACACCTTGATTTTGGATTTCTGATGTTGTAAAGGCACCCAGTTTGTGGTGCTCTGTTACAGCAGCCACAGGAAACGAATATCTCTAGCTCAGCATCTAACTCACAAAGTGGCCTGAACACATGCTGGCTCCTATCTGAGCTTCTGCAAAATAAGGTGATTGGACTAGGTACACTAGGATCCCTTCAGCTCTAACAGCCACTTCAGGGTTGTTCTGAGGTTAGGAAAGCAATTTGTTCTTTCAACTAATAATTTTTGGGCATTTTCTGTACCAGGTTCAGAGTGATGAGCAGGTCTCTGTCCCCAGGGAGGGTGCATTCTTGCCTGTCAAATGGAAGATAAGCCAGTTAAGAAAGAACTGGGCACGGGACCCATGCACTGTGGTGTGCACCTGATATCCCTGCTATTTGGGAGGCTGAGGTAGGAGGATCCTTGGAGGCCAGGAGTTCAAGGCTACAGTAGTTATGATGATCATGCCTGTGAATAGCCACTACACTCTAGCCTGGGCAACACAGCAAGACCCTGTCTCTTAACATTTTTAAAATAAAATAAAATAAAAATCTTAAAGCTCACTATTATAGGAAAAAAAAAAAAAAGAACTGGACACAGGCTGAAGCCAGGAGGAGCCTGAGTCCCTGGAGCTCCCCCAGAGCAGGTCCCAAGGAGCTAAAAGGCCATCAACAGGCCAAGGGCTGAACCAGACAACACAGGAATGGGGGGGACCTAAAGATTTCCCAATAAGTCAAAAAGGAAATTAGCTACATGATAAATTACAATGGTTGAAGTTTAGGAAGGTGTTTAAACTTGCATTTAAGAATTTCCTGCTTCGTTATAATTTTCTTCCCTGTGAATAACTTTCTTCGTCTCCAAGATATTTGATATGGGTATAATTCTTTGAAATAATAACATACTTTAAGAAATACACAGCTACACAAAAATAAGAGGCTGGGTTTTTTGGGGAGGGGCAAGATTGTCATTATTTTCTAAGCCTTACGTTTGAGTCAGGGCAGCCATGAGACACCTCTTGCTAAGAGAAATTAATTGATTTTTCAAATTAGTTTTTTTTTTTCAGTGCACACAGTTCCAAACATCAAATTGAGCTAATATACTTGTAACAAAACATGATTCCCTGTCCCATCCTTCCCCACCCCTACCTGTTCCCCTCTCTAGAGTCTTCCACTTTCAACTGCTTTTTTCCTGGGTTTACATATCTTCATATTTCTAAACAACATGTATATTCTGTTATCTTTTACTTTATCAATTTGAGATATTATCTACTGACTTCCTGTTATGCTAGATGAGGATCTAGTTCTCTTACAGCATCATCTCTATCCGTCTGCTTCCTGTCCCCCCTCCTCCCCATGCAATTTGATTATGGTTTTTGGTCAGATTAATATTATCTGTTTATATCATTATGCCTGGACAAATATTATTCACAGCTGAGCATTGTCGTGCACTATGATTATGTTTCCTTTCTTACCTTTTGTTTCATCTGTAGTTAATAATTGCCTTCTTTTTATTTACTTAATTTTCTGTACTTATTGCTAATTTATCTTGCAACTTCTGAAAGTCTCCCAAACACTTTTCTATAAAGCCAACAACATCAAGCAATCTAACTGTTCTTTTTTTGTTTTTAATTTCTGTTAGAAACATCTCTCATGAAGATTTGCCTTCTCCTATCTAGGCTGGTTTTTCTCTAGGCTTGCCAGGCTGCTGTATACCTGTCTTTCTGGGACTGATTCCTTTTTGCTGCCATCCTTGGGATTTTTTTATTTTATTTTATTTTATTTATTTATTTATTTATTTATTTGCCTTTTTCTTTGAGTTGGATTCTCTGTTTCTTTGATATCTTCCTCTTTTTAGTTTAATACCTTGTTTTAATGGAGTACATGCTCCAACAGTCTGATCAGGTTAAAATGATGGTACAACAGTGATGGACACAGTGATGATGTTCCTCATTGTGGCTGTCCCTTGAGGATACTGCTTCAGTCTGACCCAGGTGCCCTGTACGTCATCAGATGTCACTCTGGGATCTTTGTTCACCGTACTCTTGGTGACTTCCTTCACTTCTCTCCTGGGTTGAAATTCATTTTCTTTATTTTATTTTATTTTATTTTATTTTATTTTATTTTATTTTATTTTATTTTTATTTTTTTGAGATGGAGTCTCGCTCTGTCACCCAGGCTGGAGTGCAGAGTGCAATGGCATGATCTTGGCTCACTGCAAGCTCTGCCTGCCAGGTGCATGACATTCATCTGCCTCAGCCTCCCAAGTAGCTGGGACTACAGGCGCCCACCACCATGCCCGTCTAATTTTTTGCATTTTTAGTAGAGACGGGGTTTCACCGTGTTAGCCAGGATGGTCTCGATCTCCTGACCTCATGATCCAAAGGGCTCCCAAAGGAGCCTCGGCCTCCCAAAGGGCTGGGATTACAGGCGTCAGCCACTGCACCTAGCTGAAATTCATTTTCTTTATCCCATGTCCCATGTCCTTCTCTTTCTTGCTTTACTTCCAACAGCTTCTAATAGTTTCCTGAGAAAGCAGACATGGGAGGCAGAGCTTTTGAGACTTTGCATGTCCAAAGATGTCTTTATTATGCCCATATACTTCCTTGATTATTGGCTACCTACAGAATTATAGCTTGAAAAAAATTAAATTTCCTAGGTTGGAAAAATTTTCAGTAACTTTTTGTAATTTGGGGGGCTTTGCTCTACTGTCTTCTTGCTTTTGGTGTTGCTATTGAGAAGCCCAAAGCCATTCAGATTCTTCCTCCTTTTTATACAGTATAGTTTTTCTCTCTGGAAGCTTTAAAATCTTCTCTTTGTCCTCAGGGTTCTGAAAGATCACGATGAGATGCCTTCACATAGGTTTAGTTTTAATCAATTTGCAGGATTCTCACTGAGCCCTTTAAATCTAGAAAGTCATATAAGAATATGAAGTTTTCTTCAGCTATTGTTGATGATTTATTCCCCACAGCCTTCTCTGTATTCCTTTGCAATTCCAATTGGTTGGATTTTGGATCTGTCGTACTTACCCTCTAATGTTCTTATATTGTCTCTCCTACTTCCCATTTCTTTGTCTTTCTCCTCCATTTTTCAGGAAATTTCTTCCAGTTTAGTTTCCAGTTCTATCGAGTTTCTTTCCATCATCATATTTTCATTTTAAAGAGCTTCTGTTGTTGTTATTGTTTATCAAATGTTTTATTTCTTTTTAAAATAACATCCTGTTCTTCCTTCATTGATGCAATCTCTCCTGTTCTCCAGGAATATTAACAACTTTTAAAAAAAGTTTTATTCTTTCTGCATTGACTATTTTCTCTAGGGGTTTCTTTCCACTATTTATTTGTTTGGGTCTCTTTATTCCACATTAGAGAACTTTGTCAGTGTTTGGCTGTCTGTTCTTGACTAAGATTGGGGTCTAAAAAGCTGTTCTAAGAAGTTCTGAGTGTATGAAGGCCTTGATAGATTAGAGCTTCGTGGTGGAGTAGTCTCAGGGTTGTGTGCTGGGAACCTCCAATTCAGGATCTTTTTTCTTAGGCTGTTTAGATTCCTCAAGAAAGACTCTTCTCTCCAGCTTCTGGATCCTGACATTTTGGGAGACGAATGTGGAAAGTGGACTGGGGGTCTTGGAATTCAGTTGTATGTGCTAACTAAGTATCCTTGTTTTCTGTGCAGTGCTCAAGCCTTTGTTTCCCCTCTTTACAGAAAAACTCCCAGTCTTCTGAGAGGGTGGGAAAAGGGCAGTCACCAGGAGTATGGAGTAAAGAAGGGAACTCGGGAATCTAATCACTTCTCAATGGATTTCACTTCCTGTTCTTTTTTGAGTACCCTTTCATCCACAGTTCTGGAGGTGCCCAATGCTGCCCAGTTCTGAGCCCTTTGAGGACTCTGTGGAATAAATCAAGTTGGTTCTTCACTTTCTCTATAGATGACTTAAGGTTCAGCTTTATCAGATCTGCTAATCCAGTTACCACTCACACTTCTGCTTTCTAGCTTCAAATATTTTATAGCTGTTCTCTCCTCTTGTCCATGTGAGTTTATGTTTTCGGTTTGTTTTAAAATTTCTTTACTGGCGAGGGACATCAGACATATATTCAAATAGGCATCTTTTTAAAAATTGATTTTTGTTTATATTTTTAAGTTTTGTTTTATTTTTAATTGACAAGAATTACACATATTTATGGTGTAAAATGTGTTGTTTCAATACATGTATACACTGTAGAATGATCACGTCAGGTGAATTAGCATATTCATCACCTCGAATATTTATCATTCCTTGTTGGCAAGAACATCTAAAATCCTCTTTTAGCTATTTTGAAATATATATTATTATTAACTATAGTCACTGTGCTGTGCAGTAGAACACCAGAGCTTGTTCCTCTTATCTAACTGAAACTTCAAACCCATTGACCAGTGTCTCCTCTTTCCCTTTCAACCCTCCCACCTGCCACCCAGCCTCTGGTAACCACCATTCTACTCTCTTCTATGAGACTGACTTTTTGAGATTCCTCATATAAATGAAATCACACAGTATTTGTCTCTTTGTGCCTGGCTTATTTCACTGAAATGTCCTTTAGGTTTATCCTCGTTGTCACAAATGACAGAATTTCCTGGGTTATTTTAAGGCTGAAGAGTATTCCATTTACAAATACACCACATTAAAAAAAATCCATTCATCCATGAATGAGCACTTAGGTTGTTTCCATATCTTGGCTATTGTGTATAGCGCTGCGATGAACATGGAAGTGCAGATATGTCTTCAATATACTGATTTCAATTCCTTTGGGTATATACCCAGGAGTGGGATTGGTGGATCATATGATAATTCTATTTTTAGTTTTTTTGAGGAACCTCCACAGTTTTCCAAAATGGCTGTACTGATTTACATTCCCACCAACAGTGCATAAGGGTTCTCTTTTCCCCACATCCTCACCAACACTTGTTATCTTTCCTCTTTTTGATAACAACCAATCTAACAGGTGTGAGATGATATCTCATTGTGGTTTAATTTTCATTACTCTTATGAGTAAAGATGTTGAACATTTTTGGATATATCTGTTGTCCAGTTATATGTCTTCTTTTGAGAAATGTCTATTCAAGTCATTCGCCCATTTTTAATAGGTTGTTTTCTTGTTATTGAGTAGTTTGAGTTCCTTGTTTACTTTGTATATTAGCCTCTGATTTGATGTATGATTTGAAAATATTTTCACCCAATCTGTGAGTTGCCTTTTCTTTCTATTAATTGATTCCTTTGTCATGTAGAAGCTTTTTAGTTTGATGCAATCCCATTTGTCTGTTTTTGCTTTTGTTGCTTCAACTCGACATCTTAACCTGGAGGCCCTCAAGGCTAATTTTCCAAACCCAGTGATAGCCAACATTTATTCATCTGTCACTTAATGCTGAGGATACTTTCTGAGAAATGCAGTGTTAGCTGATTTCATTATTGTTTGAAGATCATAGAGTGTACTTAAACAAACCTGAATGGTATAACCTACTACACAGCTATGTTGTATGGCTTCAAATCAGTACAGCATGTTACTGTACTGAATACTGTAGGCAATTGTAACACAGTGGTATTTGTGTATTTAAATATATCTAAATGTGGAAAAGTTACAGTAAAAGTACTGTATTATAACCTGTTGGTTGACTGAAAAGCTGTTGTGTGACACATGCCTGTATTTATTATCATCCAAGAGGTCATCTGACTACTTTATATATATTAATTCATTGAATTCTCATACCGGTCCTAGTAGATGAGTACTATTGTTATCAAATGAAGAAACTGAGGCACAGAGAGGTTATGTAACTTATCTAAGATCTCCCAACTTGTATATGGTGGAGCTGGGATTCAAGCCCAGGAATTTGGCACCACATCGGTACACTGTCTAGCCTAAGGAACGTTACTATTCTCTCTTATCTTCTAAGACTTGGTTACCAAAAGACAAAAAGGGATCTGGTTAGGATTCCCTTCAATGGCTCTCTTCTAGTTAAATGATCTCTTTGTTTACCCTGCCTGCTACGTTTCAGGCACTATGCGCAATTCTCGTTTAATTCTCACAGCATTCTTATGTAGTAGGTATTAACAGGTGCATTATACAGATGAGAATACTGGGGCCCAGAGCTATTAAATAACTTGCTGGAGCCTCTTGTAGCAACTTGAAGAGCCAAGATTCAAATCCAAGTCCACGTAGCTTCAAAGCCAAGGAAGACTCTGAGGCATGCTTAGAATTTTGAAAGGCCTCTGTCAAAAAGGGGAGACCAGAGCATATACTTTCACTACCTTTCACCATGTCCAAATATTTAGCAAAGTAAATATATGTGGTTCATTATTTTGATTTTCTTTGTCAGGGGTTCCAATTAATGTATGTTGGATCTCTTTTGTCTGTATCTGATATCTCTAATTTTCCTCTGTAATCCTTTTTAACATTTTGATTTTTAAATTTAATATTTTATGTCTCTCTTATTTGTTTTTCACAATGTTTCTTTTCCTTTATTTCAATCATGGCTTCATTTATTTCTTTTACTGCTTTTTTAAGTTCTGCCAGTTTACTTTTCATCTTCTCCTGCTGTTTTATCATCTCTTCCCCAGCTCTTGCATCTCTTCTTTGTCCTCTTACTTTAGAAAGATAATTGTCTGTTGCATATATGTTTAATCCATGGTGAAATATTTGTGGTCAAAATTTCATCTGCTCCATGACAACATTTTCAGGCTCTCTGTCTTTTGTTTTCCCTGTTTTCTTCTTTTCCTTTTCTTTTAACATTTTCATATAAATTATATGCTGCTTTGTTTTACATTACTCAACATTGCAGAAAATGAGTTATTTCTGGAACACCTCTTAGAATGAGATTCATGTGTCAGTGGGGCCAGGGCCATGTTCCAGGCTAACTGGAATTTGTGTGTGTGCTGGTTTCACTTTTATTGTTTCCCAGCTAATGAAGAAAGGCCAGTGTGCCATTTGTTTGTTTGTTTTAATGCAAGAGCTCTTTTTTCCCTCACTGCCAAAGAGATAGACCACTTTCCATTATTATGGCTTATCAGTATGATTTCTTGTTCTATCGCATTTGTATTTTGGAACCAAATTAGATTCAGGGTCACTTTTACTGATAGAGTACTCCTCAACACAATTAGAAAAACAAGGGTTTGATTTTGCCTGCCAAGGATTCCCTTCATCTTTAAGATCGGTAATTTTGCTGGCTTTTTCTGAGATCTGTGGCCACAGCACCTTCTCTCTGCAGCATCCTTTCTGTACGCAAATGCCCCCGTCAAGCTCCCTGTTTATGGCAGTTCTTCTACTTATCATATAGACTGGTGTTTTAGTTATCTCTAAGCTTCTTTTAAAGTGAAGTTTGCAGTTTTGTGTCTCATTTTCCTTGTTGCTTTTGGATAAATTCCAGGAAAAGAGAGGGAGAAAGGTAACTTTGAACAGCCGTATTCAAACCAGACATCCACTCTAATTTCTTTTTCAGACCTGTTGCACAACTTCCTATTTACTGAACTCTGGTTAGGTTTGCCATTTATATCTCATGTCTTGCTCATTCTGTTTGTTTTTTTCCCCCTTTTCACCCTTGGTTTTGCAGGTTTTTTCCTCAAGAAGTTCCATAGGAGATAAACTTTCTATTAGTCTGGGTCCCCTGAAAAGTAAATTTCAAGTCATGAGTAAAAATAGAGAAAGATCTGGATAAGGCTTGGAGAGATATCAGAGCATGATGCAGGTTTGACCCTGAATGATGGAGAGAGGGAGAGAAGGTTGGGTAGAAGTGTTTTAGATTCCATTCAGTCAGACGAAAAGTTTGACACAGTTGTTGGAGAGTCCCCTGTCTCCCAGGAATGGGTCTGGGTTAGTATCTCTGCTACATTCAGTCTTTGGCTGGGAGCAGCCATGACACAAATGTGCCAACAGATTTCAGGCACAAAAGTGGGGCCCATGGTCAGTTACACTCCTGTAATCAGAGATCTGCAAGGCACATTCTCATGGCAGCCACACTTCCTTTGCTTTGCATTTCTGAAAATATTTTATTTCAGCCTGACATTTGATTGATAATTTAGCAATATATAGAATTCTATATTCAAAATAATTTTCTCTCAGAACCTAGAAGGAATTGGATCCATTATCTTCTAGAATCTAGTTGCTGATGAGAAGTTTAATGTCAATCTGACTTCTGATTTTTAAGGAATTTCTGTTTCTCTCCCCCCACTGGCCACTTCCTCCGTCTCTCTCTCTCTGCTTTTAGATGTACCCTATCTTCAGTGTGCAGAAATGTGTTAAAGAGTGTGTGATTGTCAGCACTATGTGAACTTTTTAAGGCTAAAAACTGCTTCTTTTCAGCTCTGGGAAAATTTCTTATATGATTTGTTTGATCCACTTTCTCTGTTTTCTCACTCTGGAAATTCTATTAGTCGGATAATTGACTTTCTAAATAGATCCTTTCTCTCTGGTTCCATCTCTTTGCCTTATGTTCTGGGAAATTTCTTTGACTTTATCCTTCAATTACTCTATTAATTTTTCCTAATTAATTTTCTTATTGTTCCTTTTAAATAGCATTCTGCTTATGTTTTTGTCCATATTCATACAACAACTCAAAAATTCTGGGGCTATTCGTTAGAGTTGTTTTTTTTTTTTTTAATGTTTTCCTTTCTTCACTAAGTTACCTATTTCTTTTGGAGTAATTTGTTCTGTTTGAATTAGCCTTGTCATTTTATGCTCAGGTGTTTGTCTTCTTTCTGGTGATTGGTTCTACTTAATAATGGGGAATGGTGTTGATTTTTCTCCAGAACTGCCATCAGTTTACTTGCTTATCCAAGGTGTGTCTATTTTTCTTCCTAGCTCTCTCCTAGGAATGCGTATGCTGACTAGAAGCTCTGCAGTGTGGGCAGGGATCAGCTGTAGGCCCAATGCTCTTTTAGATAAACTGTAGAAAGTCAGCCTCTAAACTGGGATTTCCCAATTGCATAAAGGGAAGGCTTTACTCTCAAGGATTTTACCAACTCTAGGAGTCCTATTTGGCCCCTGGGAGTACATTCAGTATCTTTAGAGAAGTGTCCTGTAATTTTTGACCTGAAGGAAATGCCGGGCTTCCTACAATGTATTTCTTGGCAATAGGGTTAAAAAGAGGAAGTGAGAGGGGTCCACTTTGAGTTAACTCCTTTCTTTTAGGACCCTCCTTCTTACCCCTGCCCTCCTTTATAACTGCCAACTGGGGCCTGGTCCTGAAGCCTTCTGGAGCTTCCTGGGGCCATTGGCTTTCTCCTTTGCTGCAGTTTCCTCCTGCATATTCTGAGATGCTTTGTTTCACACTGTTTCTTCATGAAATGTCTTACATTCTCTTTTCATCTGTAAGAAATTCATTGAAACCCCTTACCTACCAATGATCTCTTTCCCAATTCATTTAGGATACGAGTTTATTCCTTCACCATCATTTTACTGGAGTCTCAGGTGGAAAGGAAAAAAAATTGTGTGCATAGCCTTCCAATTTATACATTAAAATCCTCATGCTACTTTACCTGTTTCACAGTAAGGAAATAATTAGAATGCTGCCTGATTCTCTTTGAGAAGCTCATATTCTTTTAAGGACATTGCTTCTTCTGTAGCCTTCCTCTGGGAGGTGTTTTTCTCTTGCTTCCTAGCACCATTGAGTCTGGCAGGGCATTATGCTTGATGCTCATTGCTGGTATTAGACAGGTCTTCTTTTCCTACTAATAACATCTCATGTCATCAGACTACATACTACCCACGCATCTTGTGGCAGTCACCTACACCACCCAGTCATTTCCCTTTATTCCTCAAAGATTTTAGCTCTTAGTTCACAATCATGCTCTTCAACACTGCTACTTTCACAATTGATGATGTTTTATTAGTGACACGGATGACGTTTCCAGTACCCAGCATCTCAGTTCCTCGACCCTGTCTCTTTCAGTGAGCATGTTCTCCATTGTACCTCAGTTACTCATTCCTGTGGTTATACCTCTGACCTTGGCTTTACCAATAATATCTATTTCAAGCATCCACTCTGACAATCATCATGTAAATAGCCAGCTTGCTTTTTCTGATACTCAAACATCAATAATTACTATCAGATCTTCCAGCCCTTTGATCCTAGTATATTTTTCAATGCTCCTCATATTCTTATTTTATGTCTTACCTAGCTTAAATTCCATTGTCCAATCCTATAATCACTTCCTTAAAACTCCTTTACCTGCTCCCTCTTTACACAAGCTCACATGGAAAAATCCCGAACCTAGTTAAATCCGACTCTTGCTTACCTTGTACCTAAACCTGCACAAATGATTCAGGGGGGATATGAGCATAAAAACATTCTGACCGTTTGTACCTTATAATTTTAATTCTCTTACATTTGTTGCAGTTTGTTCTGTGGTTCAAAACATGATGGACCTATTTTGATGAACATTCCCTGTGCACTCAAAATGAATGTGTATTCTGCTGTTGCCAGGTGAACTGTTCTAGCAACGTCAATTAGGTCAAGTTGGTTGTTCATGTTCTTCAGGTCTTCTATACTGCCATTGATTTTCTATTTACTTTTTCTATCAATTAATGAGAACAGAGTTTTGAAGTCTTCAACTATAATTATGGCTTTGTCTTTCTCCTTTCAGTACTTCAGTTTTCATTTCATTTACTTTAATTTCATGTAATCATTTGTTTATTTATTTTTGAGATGGAGTCTCGCTCTGTCACCCAGGCTGGAGTGCAGTGGTATAATCTGGGCTCACTGCAACCTCTGCCTCCCAGGTTCAAGTGATTCTGCTGTCTCAGCCTCCCAAGTAGCTGGGATTACAGGCATGCGCCACCATGCCCAGCTAATTTTTGTATCTTTAGTAGAGACGGGGTTTCACGATGTTGGCCAGGCTGGTCTCGAACTCCTGGCCTTAAGTGATCCACCCACCTCCACCTCCTAAAGTGCTGGGATTACAGGCATGAGCTGCCATGCCCAGCCTTCATTTCATTTACTTTAAAATTCTGTTCTTAGACACATACACATTTAGGATTGTTAAGGCTTTGTTGTGAAATGATCATTATGTAATGTTGCTCTTTATTATCCCTAGTAATATTCTTTCCTTTGAAATCTTTGATATGAATATAGCCACTTCAGCTTTCTTTTGATTAGCATTTGCATCGTATATCTTTTTCTATCCTTTTATCCCATCTGTATGTTCATATTAAAACATATTAAGGATTTCTCGCTTACACACTGTTGGTAGGAGTGTAAATGAGTTCAACCATTGTGGAAAGCTGTGTGGTGATTCCTCAAAGGGCTAAAAACAGAACTACCATTTGACCCAACAATCCTATTACTGGGTATATACCCAAAGGAATATAAATCGTGCTCCCATGAAGATGTACACACAACTGTTCATTGCAGCACTATTCACAATAGCAAAGACACAGAATCATCCTAAATGTCCATCAGTGACAGACCGTATAAAGAAAATGTGGTACATACATATACACCATGGAATACTACGCAGCCATAAAAAGGAACCAGATCATGTCCTTTGCAGGGACGTGGATGGAGCTGGAAGCCATTATCCTTAGCAAGCTAACGCAGCAACAGAAAACCAAATACCACATGTTCTCACTTGTAAGTGGGAG
Organism: Homo sapiens; assembly: GCF_000001405.40. Lineage (NCBI taxonomy): Eukaryota > Metazoa > Chordata > Mammalia > Primates > Hominidae > Homo > Homo sapiens. The sequence goes on along the minus strand of NC_000002.12, from coordinate 70,628,470 downwards.
CTAAATAATGAGAACACATGGACACAAAAAAGGGAACAACAGACACTGTGGCCTCCTTGAGGGTGGAGGGTAGGAAGAGTGACAGGATCAGAGAAAATAAGTATTGGGTACTAGGCTTAGTACCTGAGTGATGAACTATTATCTGTACAACAAATCCCCATGACACAAGTGTATCTATATAACGAACCTGCACATGTGCCCCTGAACCTAAAATAAGTTTTAAAAAAGCGAGTTTCTTCTAGACAGCATATGGTTGAGCCTTTTAAAATACAATTTTGACAATTTCTGTCTTTTAATAGGAGTATTTAGACTATTTACATCTAATTAGTGGCATAGTAGGGTTTAACTCTACCATCTTGCTAGTTGTTTTCAATTTGTCCCATCTGTTCTTCATTCCTTCTTTTCCCTCTTTTTCTGTCTGCTTCAGGATTGAGTACTTTTTATGATATAATTGTGTCTCTACTACTGGCTTATTCTTTTGCCTCTTTTAAAAAAATATTTAATAGCTGCCCTAGAGTTTACAATGTACATTTTTAACTTATTACAGTATACCTCTAAATAATATTATACCACTCACAGTGGTGTAGAAACCTTACAACAGTATACTTCCAATTTGTTCCTCTGATCCTTGGTGCTATTTTTGTCTTACATTTTACTTTTAAATGTTTTTAAACCCCACAATGCATTTGTATAGTTTTTGCTTTAGGCCAGAGGCCAGCAAACCATGACCATCAGGTCAGCCAAACATTTTTATAAATAAAGTTTACTGGCACACAGCCACACCCATTTGTTTACACATGTCCTGGCTGCTTTCCAACTACAGCAGCAGATCTGAGTAGCTGCAACTGAGACTGTATGTCCTGCAAGCCTAAAATATTTATTATTAATATCTGGCCCTTTCACAAAATGTTTGATGACTTCACTTTAGAAAATTATCTTTTAGTGCAATTAAAAAGAATTAATTTACCTTCATTTTCAGCATTTCTAGCGCTCTTGATTTCTTTTTACAGTTCCAAGTTTCTGTCTGGTGCCATATTCCCCCTGCCTGGAGAATTTCCTCTAACATTTCTTGTAGCATAAGTCTATTGGCAACGAATTCTCTTGGTTGTTTTTCTGAAAAAGTTGTTATTTTGCCTTCATTTTTGAAAGCTATTTTCACTGGAAGGAGAGTTCTGGATGGAGAACTTTTTTGCTCTTTGTATTTGAATGGTGTTGCCCCACTATCTTCTGCTTGTGTGGTTTCTAAGGAGATTCTACTGCGATTCTTTTTTCCTTTATATGTCATGTGCCCTTTCCTCCCTTCCTCCCCACTAGCTGCCTTCAGGATTCTCTCTTTAACAGTGGTTTTCCGGGGACACTGTGCTGTGTCCAGGTGTTTTTCTGTTTTGGTTTGTTTTATCTGTATCTTTTGGTGTTTATCCTTCTTGGTTCTCCAAGTTTTTTGGATCTGTCATTGGATGTATTTCATTATCTTTATAAAATTACTGACTACTATCTCTTAAAATATGTTTTTGCCCTGTCCTGTCACTCTTCTTCTTCTCTTGTCCAAGAGCAGGGCCTGGGGAACTGTTTAACCTGCCTGTGCCTCTGAGGGAAGGGCTTTCGGATCTCCCGCCCTGCCCATGGAAACTGGTGGGGAGGAGCTTGTGAGTGAGCCCAAAGGCCCCTGGGTCACAGCTCCCAGGGAGTCTGGACGGACACACTAGCTCACACTTGGCCTTTGGTGGCTGGCCAGTGCTTTAGCTTATTTCTTCTTACCCACTTGTCCCTTCTGGAGCTCCTTCCTCCCCAGCTTTGCCACAAGTGTTACAGTTAGTGAGTTCCATCTCTCCTCAGGAAACCTTACCTCTCTTTGAAATTCAAGTAGTTTGTTGCTGTGTAACCTCAGCTCTCTGATGGTTTCCAGAGAAATTGTGATTGTGTAGCAGCTTAGAATGGGGTAGCATATTTTCTTTTGCAGTTTTCTACATCTTAAGCAGAAACGGAGTCGCCTCCGCTGATTGCACTTTCGATTCCTGACCGCATGCCCTTTACTGCTGGTGGGCAATCTTACTGTGTCTTTCATGCGGGTCAGTGTGAAGAGACCACCAAACAGGCTTTGTGTGAGCAATAAAGCTTTTAATCACCTGGGTGCAGGCGGGCTGAGTCCGAAAAGAGAGTCAGCGAAGGGAGATAGGGGTGGGGTCGTTTTATAGGATTTGGGTAGATAAAGGAAAAAGCAGGGGTTGTTCTCTGGCAGGCAGGAGTGGGGGTCACAAGGTGCTCAGTAGGGGAGCTTTTGAGCCAGGATGAGCCAGGAGAAGGAATTTCACAAGATAATGTCACCAGTTAAGGCAGGAACAGGCCATTTTCATTTCTTTTGTGGTGGAATGTCATCAGTTAAGGCAGGAACCGGCCATCTGGATGTGTACATGCAGGTCACAGGGGATATGAAGGCTTAGCTTGGGCTCAGAGGCCTGACATTCCTGTCTTCTTATATTAATAAGAAAAATAAAATGAAATAGTGGTAAAGTGTTGGGACGGCGAAAATTTTGGGGGATGGTATGGAGAGATAATGGGCGATGTTTCTCAGGGCTGCTTCGAGCAGGATTAGGGGCGGCGTGGGAACCTAGAGTGGGAGAGATTAAGCTGAAGGAAGATTTTATGGTAAGGGGTGATATTGTGGGACTGTTAGAAGAAACGTTTGTCATTTAGAATTATTGGTGATGGCCTGGATACAGTTTTGTATGAATTGAAAAACTAAATGGAATAAGAGGAGAAAAACAGGTATAAAAGGTCTAAGAATTGGGAGGACCTAGGACATCTGATTAGAGAATACCTAAGGAGATTCAGCATAGTCCTGCCAGCAAAGATTATTTATTTACTTCAAGAGTTAAGAGTGGCGGTTTGGGGATAGCACCAGGAGATATCAGCTGTGATGGCTTGGAGAAACAGTGTAAACCGGCAGTGTAAACAAGAGCAGGGCAAGTATGAATAGTTGAGAACGGTGAATAGGAGTATGACTAGACAGAAGACAGTAGGGATGACAAGTTTTTTGGGGCACAGTCTAAGTTGGTCTGGTGTCGAATGAGACTGGGGCCTAATAAAAAGGAGCGTCTATACAGGAGCTCAAATGGGCTGTATTTTGTAGCATTCTGAGGACAGGTCTGACTTCTGAGAAGGGAAAGTGGTAAAAGTATTGTCCAGTCCTTTTTAAGTTGGTGGCTGAGCTTGGTGAGGTGTGTTTTTAAAAGACCATTAGTCTGTTCTACTTTTCCTGAAGACTGAGGACTGTAAGGGATATAAAGGTTTCACTGAATACTAACAGCCTGAAAAAATGCTTGGCTGATTTGACTAATAAAGGCCGGTCTGCTCTCAGACGGTATAGAGGTGGGAAGGCCAAACTGAGGAATTATGTCTGACAGAAGGGAAGAAATGACTGCGGTGGCCTTCTCAGACCCTGTAGGAAAGGTCTTTACTTATTCAGTGAAAGTGTCTACTTAGACTAAGAGGTAACTTAGTTTCCTGACTCGGGGCATGTTGAGTAAAGCTAATTTGCCAGTCCTGGGCGGGGGCAAATCCCTGAGCTTGATGTGTAGGGAAGGGAGGGGGCCTGAATAATCCCTGAGGAGTAGTAGAATAGCAGATGGAACATTGAGAAGTTATTTCCTTGAGGATAGATTTCTACGATGGAAAGGAAATGAGAGGTTCTAAGAGGCGGGCTAGTGGCTTGTACTATAGCATAGCCTGCCTTTGCTGGTGTGTGGCAATTAAGCCTGGTGGAACTGCCGTCAATAAACTAAGTGTGATCAGGGTGAGAAACAGGGAAGAAGGAAATGTGGGGAAATGGGGTGAACGTCAGGTGGATCAGAGAGATGAAGGAGCCGGGGAGCAGAAAGTATATGTGTCAGGTGTGAGGAAGAAAATAGATTTTGGAAATTATGAGAGCTGTATAGAGTGAGTTGAGCATAGTTTGTGATTTTAAGGGCCTCTGAAAGTATTAGGGTGGCAGCAGCCACTGCACGGAGACATTATGGCCAACCTAAAACAGTAAGGTCAAGTTGTTTGGACAAAAAGGCTACAGGACGCGATCCCAGTCCTTGTGTAAGAATTCCGACTGCACAGCCCTGCACTTCGGCTGTGTGTAATGAAAAGGGTTGGGATGAGTCAGGGAGAGCTCGGATGGGGGCAGTCTCTAAAGCTGTCTTCAAGGAATGGAAAAAGGAGTGGGGAAAGGATTTAGGATCTATGGGGTCAGCTAGGTTTCTTTTTGTGAATTTATATAATGGTTTTGTTAGGATGGCAAAACCAGGTATCTAAAGTAGAAAGTATCTTACCATGCCTAGGATGTAGAAGGTGTTGGGGTTTGAGAGATCAGTCAGACACAATTGGCAGGGAGAGCACGTGTGTTTTTATAAGAATTACGCCGAGACAGGTAACAGATAAGGAAGAAATTTGGGCTTGACTGAAGTAATGGGGGATGTCTGTGAAGCCTTGTGGCAGTACAGCCCAGGTAATTTGCTGAGCCTAATGGGTGTCAGGGCCAGTCTAAATGAAAGCAAAGAGAGGCTGGGATGAAGGGTGCAAAGGAATAGTAAAGAAAGCAGGTTTGAGATCTAGAACAGAATAATGGGTTGTAGAGGCAGGTATTGAGGATAGGAGAGTATATGGGTTTGGCACCACAGGGTGGACAGGCAAAACAATTTGGTTGATAAGGCGCAGATTCTGAACTAACCTGTAAGACTTGTCTGGTTTTAGGACAGGTAAAATGGGGGAATGGTAAGGAGAGTTTATAGGCTTTAAAAGGCCATGCTGTAGCAGGTGAGTGATAACAGGCTTTAATCTTTTTAAAGCGTGCTGCGGGATGGGATATTGGCATTGAGTGGGGTAAGTGTGATTAGGTTTTAATGGGATGGTAAGGGGTGCATGATCAGTCACTAAGGAGGGAGTAGACGTGTCTTATACTTGTGGTTTAAGGTGGGGAGATACAAGGGGAGGATGTGAAGGAGACATTGAACTGGGGGAAAAGGTGGCAATTAGGTGTGGCTATAGCCTAGGAATAGTCAGGGAAGCAGATAATTTAGTTAAAGTGTCTCGGCCTAATAAGGGAACTGGGCAGGTGGGGATAACTAAGAAGGAGTGCTTATAAGAGTTTGTCTAAGTTGGCACCAGAGTTGGGGAGTTTTAAGATGTTTAGAAGCCTGGCCGTCAATACCCACAACAGTTATGGAAGCAAGGGAAACAGGCCCTTGAAAAGAAGGTAATGTGGAGTGGGTAGCTTCCATATTGATTAAGAATGGGACGGACTTACTTTCTACTGTGAGAGTTACCTGAAGCTCGGTGTCCGTGCTGGTTTAAAGGGCTTCCGAGGCGATCGGGCAGTGTCAGTCTTCAGCTGCTAAGCCGAGAAGATCTGGGAAGGAGTCAGTCAGAGAGCCTTGGGCCAGAGTTCCAGGGGCTCTGGAAGTGGCTGCCAGGTGAGTTGAACAGTCCGATTTTCAGTGGGGTCCTACACAGATGGGACGTGGCTTAGGAGGAATCCCAGGCTGCGGGCATTCCTTGGCCAGGTGGCCAGATTTCCAGCACTTGTAGCAAGCTCCTGGGGGAGGAGGTTCTGGAGGAACAACTGGCCACTGCGGTTCAGGCGTTTGGAAGTTCTTGTGTGCTGGAGATGTGGCTGGGGTTTGTCTCACAGTGGAGGCAAGGAATTGCAACTTTTTTCTATTATTGTACACCTTGAAGGCGAGGTTAATTAAATCCTGTTGTGGGGTTTGAGGGCCAGAATTTAATTTTTGGAGTTTTATTTAATGTCGGGAGCAGATTGGCTAATAAAATGTATATTGAGAATAAGACGGCCTTTTGACCTTTTAGGGTCTAGGGCTGTAAAGCGTCTCAGGGTTGCTGCTGAACAAGCCATGAACTGGGCTGGGTTTTTAATGTTTGATGAAAGAGCCTAAATGCTCACTGATTTGGGAGAGGTCTGATAAAGAAAAAGGAGCATTAACCTTGATTATGCCTTTAGCTCCAGCCACCTTTTTAAGAGTAAATTGCTGGGCAGGTGGGGGAGGGCTAGTCACGAAATGAAACTGTAAGCCCGACCAGGTGTGAGGAGGGGTGGCAATAAAAAGATTATAGGGTGGAGGAGCAGAGGCTGAGGAAGAATTGGGACCTAGCTCGGCCTGGCGAGGAGGGGAGAGGTCAGATGGGTCTGTAGAAAAGGAAGATTAGAAAGACTCAGCGATGCTTGGGGTTGGGACTGAGGGGACAGGCGGGAGGGAAAAAAGGAAGATTTGGGATAACTTGCATTGGGAACAGAGACTAGAGAGGGACTGATGTGTAAAAGAATGCCTGGACGTCAGGCACCTCAGACCATTTGCCTATTTTACGACAAGAATTATTTAGATCTTGTAGGATGGAAAAATTGAAAGTGCCATTTTCCGGCTATTTGGAACTACTGTCGAGTTTGTATTGGGGTCAAGCGGCATTGCAGGAGAAAATAAGATGCTTAGATTTTAGGTCAGGTGAGAGTTGAAGAGGTTTTAAGTTCTTAAGAATACAGGCTAAGGGAGAAGAAGGAGGAATGGAAGGTGGAAGAGTGCCTATAGTGAAGGAGGCAAGCCTAGAGAAAAGAGAGTAGAGACACGGAGAAGGGGTGGGGGGTTCTTGCCCTCCAGAAAAGCAGAGAAGGGATCGGGGCATGGAAATAAGGGGTTGGGGCACAGAGATAAGAGGTCGGAGTGCAGAAATAAGGGATTGGGGCACAGAGATAAGAGGTCGGGGTGTGGAAATAAGGGCTCGGGGCACAGAGATATGAGGTTGGGGTATGGAAATAAGGGATCGGGGTGCAGAGATATGAGGTTGGGGTACTTGGCCCTCCCCTAGAAAAGCAGGACTTGCTGCTAAGAGTGAAGGAGAAGGGGTTGGGGGTTTCTTGCCCCCCAGAAAGGCAGAGAAGGGGTAGAGACATGGAGAGGAAGAGGTTGGGGTACTTGGCCCTCCCCTAGAAAAGCGGGACTTGCCACTAAGAGTGAAGGAGAAGGGGTTGGGGGTTTCTTGCCCCTCAGAAAGGCAGAGAAGGGGTAGAGACATGGAGAGAAGGGATTGGGGTACTTGCCCCTCCCCCAGAAAAGCAGGACTTGCCGCTAAGGGTGAAGGACCAAGGCAGGCGTCCCTGCATGGTCTGACACCTCTGAAACATGGGTGAATAGTCAGAGAGGCATCCCTGTAATGATTAAACACCAAGGGAAGGCTGCCTTCCCAGTCCGTGACTGGTGCTGGAGTTTTGGGTCCACGGATAAAACGTGTCTCCTTTGTCTCTACCAGAAAATGAAAGGAATTGAAATTAAGAGAAGGGGGAGATTGAAGTGTGGTGCCAAGATTGAAAGGGGAAAGAGGTTGAGGGATAGCGAGGGAGGTTGGAGAAGAGAGTAAAAAGAGGCCACTTACCAGATTTAAAATTGGTGAGATGTTTCTTGGGCTGGTCGGTCTGAGGACCTGAGGTTGTAGGGGGATCTTTCTCATGGAACAAAGAACAGGAGGACAGAGGATTGATCTTCCAAGGGAGGTCCCCCGATCCGAGTCACGGCACCAAATTTCATGCGCATCTGTGTAAAGAGACCACCAAACAGGCTTTGTGTGAGCAATAAAGCTGTTTATTTCACCTGGGTGCAGGCGGGCTGAGTCTGAAAAGAGAGTCAGCGAAGGGAGATAGGGGTGGGGCCGTTTTATAGGATTTGGGTAGGTAAAGGAAAAAGGGGGGTTCTCTGGCAGGCAGGAGTGGGGGTCACAAGGTGCTCAGTAGGGGAGCTTTTGAGCCAGGATGAGCCAGGAGAAGGAATTTCACAAGATAATGTCATCAGTTAAGGCAGGAACCGGCCATCTGGATGTGTACGTGCAGGTCACAGGGGATATGATGGCTTAGCTTAGGCTCAGAGGCCTGACAGTGTCCCCCTGGTGTAATCAGTCTCCCATGTCCTGGGTAGTAATGAAATGGCATTGTTTGTCTGGGGTAACACCCAAGGTTCGTGGCCTCACACCAAGGAAATCAAGGACATGGACCACAAGCAGTGAGGTTAAGAGTGAAGGTTTAATAGGCAAAAGAAGGAGAAAAGCTCTTTCTCCTGCAAATAGAGAGGGGCTCTGGAGTGCGTCTTCAGGTTCTGAGGTGAAATGCATGGGGTATCATAGACTAGCTTGAGGAGGCAGTGTCTGATTTACATAGGGCCCAAAAGATTGGTCGGACCAGGTGTGCCATTTACATAGCTTGGGAAGAAGCTGGCCACCCCATCCTAATCTTTTGTTATGCAGATGAATCCTCTGTCTGGCCGGCCCCAGGTTGTCTGCTTCTTTACTGCACACATGTTGACAAAGAAAAGGGAAGAAGGAGCCTCCATGTTGAACATGCCTTGCTTCCAGGTATCACTTTTCTATTGGCGCAGCTGCTGGCATTCGCCCGTGCAAGCTTCTAGCTTGCTTTTCTATATCTGCAGCTTGAGTTTTCAGGATGCTCTTTGTTAAAAAAGAAATGATCTTGGGGCTGCTTTTCATTAAAAGGAAAACCTTACTGAGGACTCTGTTACCCTCACTAACTGCCTAAATAATTTCTTTTGGGCTCCTGTATCAGTGATTTCAAACTTTTCCCTCTCTCCTCCTGCAAGCTCTCCTCCTCTCAGCTGACGAATTTGCTTTCAGTTTCACTGACAAAATTAAAAGAAACATTCCATCATCTCTCACTCTGTGTCTACTCCTTGCCTTCCATCTTATTCCTTGGATGAGTGGATCCTGATCCTAGCAGAGGACGACACCCTCATTTGTCCATCAGATCCCAGCCTCTCTCCTATACTCAAGGGCCTCACATAGCATTTCTCCCTCTCCCTCTTATCACAAACTTTCTCCTGTTAGCTGCATCATTCCCATCAGCAAATAAACATTTATATCCTTCTCCTATTAAAAAAATGCCAAATATTGTTTTCACATCTCCCTTTAGCTATTTCCCCATTTACTTTTCTCATTTACAGCAACGTTTCTCAGAAAAGTTGCCTGTACTCACACTCTTACCACTTTTTCTTGAACTCAATCCAACTGGACTAAACTCAACCCTCTAGTTCACCAAAACTGCTCTTGGGGAGATTATCAGTGACTTCTTAGTTGCTAAATCTGTGTTCAAACCTCAATTCTCACTTTACTTGACCACACATCTCAGTTCGCCCAGAACATCCCTAGCTTATTGTTGTCCTGCCAAAGTTGGGTGCCCTTTTTCGACTTTAAAAGTGCCATACTTTGTATAGTAAAGTATATGGTCACTCTCTTATCTGTAGCATTTGATACTTTGGGTCCTGCTGTCTTCTTTAACATTCTTTCTTCATTTGATCTCTGAACACCACTCTCCTGGTGTTCTTCCTCCATTACTGGCTACAAGACCTTATAAATCTGCCCTTCACCCCCATTACCTGTATGATCTCATCTGCTAGTACAATAGGGTGATTATTAGATTAATGTGTTTGTCAGCTATTGCTATAATAATGCTGCATAACAAATGGTCTTACAATTTCAGTGACTTACAACCCTGATAATTTATTTCCATGCTCCTAGGTCTATAGATTGGCTGTGATTTGGGGTGGGGTAGGCTGGGCCAGACCGGACTCCCAGCTTCTGGTTGGACTCAAGACTGCTCCACATGTCCAGGTTGAAAGGGCCCCACTCACTCTACTCTAGGACTGGCTCCCTGCTCCTCCTTAGGATGCCAGGAACACTCCCTCCTTAGCACCTTTCCATTGCTGTGCCCTCTGACTTGTGCAGTTTGCCCTCCGATATCTGCACGGCTCACTTCCTCACCTTCTGAATGAATTGATTCAGAGATTAATTTATTTGTGTACAGGTTGGCTACTCTCAATGTTTGGCTATTCATCTATTGTCTAGCAATCATTAGCTACTTACTTAGTGGATTATGCCTGTGTTGACAGTTCTACTCTCAACTTCATAACCTCTTTAGGGCTGGTAGCACACCAAAAAATGTTTTGAAGCCAACAAATTCGACATTGATGAAAATTAATGCAAGCATAATTTATTGCTGTGCCAAATCCAGTGTAGACATTTTCAATTGGTGAACACAGCTTAATTAAGAGATATTTATATGTTAAATAGAATTAGATAAAACGTAGGTCCCGACTGAAGTACAATTTATAAATCTGCCATTGTTATTGCAAGATTATTAGCTGCAAAAAGCAACCTCTGCTCCTTTCTAAACTTTCCAGGTATACTACATCGCACAGGCCTATATTTGTGTATTTTACTTTCCCATAATGGTTATGTTGGACTTTATTGCCATTTATAGAAATGGAGGTGGGTCTAATAATTTTTTTGAGGTGGAGTCTTGCTCTGTCTCCCAGGCTGGAGTGCAGTGGCACGATCTCGGCTCACCACAACCTCTGCCTCCCAGGTTCAAGTGATTCTCCTGCCTCAGCCTCCCAAGTAGCTGGGATTACAGGCATGCGCCACCACGCCCAACTGATTAGTAGAGACAGGGTTTCACCATGTTGGCCATGCTGGTCTCGAACTCCTGACCTCAGGTGATCCGCCCACCTCAGCCTCCTAGAGTTCTGGGGTTACAGGCGTGAGCCACCGCACCTGGCCAATTGTCTTAAATTCTGTTCCTGCAGACACTTGCACGTGGGCTTGCAAATCACAGAAAATACACCCTGGTGCCAGCAGGTGGCACCCTCCTCATGCCCAGCCAGGCTCCTCCCAGGAACTGCATTCTGGAGTCCAGGGAGCTTTGGTTTGGGAAATATTTGCCAGGGTTTCTGGTTATGGTCTTTCCCCAACAGGCACCTGTTTGACTGGCATTTCCTGGCATGCACCCATCTTAGCATATTTCTTTGTCGGTAGAGTTTGGCTTGAAGGGAGGTTTCAGTAATTGATTACCTCACACCACCAGGTAAGTTCAGACTTCCTTAGCTTAGAAACCAAACTACACAGAGTGGTGAAAATAAACACGGTCTTGAGTAACTCAACATGGATATTGCTGTTATACTAATAGGGTGTTAATTAGTAAAGAGTGCTTAACTTTTTTACTGCCAATCTAAACAAGCTGGCTATGTTTTTGGCTGTGGGCCCTACAACTGCATCTCAAAGTGCTTTGCAAACATTAATTAAATCCTTCAGTGCACATCCAAGTAGTAGGTATCATCAAACCCTTTTCCAAGATGTGGAAAACAGATTCCCTAAGCCAGTCCTTGCTTAAGGTTAGGCCCAAACTGGGACTGGGTTTAGAATGTTGTGAACAGTTCTGACACTCTCTGCGCCCAGTTCCCTGGAGTGTTCCAGCAAGTCAGCCTTTCAGCCAGACCATGGACGCCTTTTTCTTTGCCAACAACTGCAGGGTCTGAATTTTTCCAGGCTGAGGTTGATTCCTTCTACCCTGTTTGTCCTTATTGATACATTATAACCTGTCACCTCCCTGTCACTTAATTTCTGTTTTAGCAACTGTGATCTTCAAGATGGTGGCTCACAACCTTTGATGCACAGACTTAGGCTGGCTGGATGCAACATTTCTCAGGAAATGCCAAGCACCATGCCACAGTCATCTGAGGTCCTCTCTGAAAAGATACACTTTATCTTTCTGTCATGGTGGGACCCAGGTTCTGGGCCACAGGACTTGGTGGGCTAAAAACACTCACGCCCTATGAGGAGTAAAGGGCTTCTTCCCTGAGTCTTCTATTTCCAGAGTGTTCCTCTCTTCCTTGAAGATGCAGGAGAACAAAACGCACAGGGCACCCAGAAGCGAGGAGTGCCCCCATGCATTCCATGCTGGTGTGTCCAAGGTGCACTGTTTATGCTCTGCCCTGCTTGGGGAGCAGTGGCTCCCAGGCAGGCTGGGCCGGTATCACAGCGAAGCGGGTGGGACCCCCTGTCATCCCCAGAGGCTGGCCTGGCTCTCAGGAGTGAGCCCTGTGGAGTATCAGGCTCAGCGCTTCCATTCTGTCTACCTTGGACACGTGCTGTGGTTATAAACCAAGGTTGCAACACTCCCTGAGCTTTACTACCTGCCTTCTAGATGTGAGGTCAGGCTGACCTGTCAAGCTGTGACAGGCACCTGGGAGCAGGTTACTCACTCCACTCTGCTGAGTTAGGAGAATATTCCCAGAAGAGGTTTCACACCAGATGAATTGTCTGAACTCCGGATGTGGCTAGCCATAAGTGGCTCACACCTGGTGGCTCCTCCAGAAAAGCTCTCCAGGAGGAACCCTGCTGCCCTTAGTGAGCTGAGCAAGGGGGTGTTCCAAGGGAAACCTGACCTCCAGCCAGATACCCTGCAAGGGCTACCTAACTGCAATAGGAGGTTCTCCTGCAAAGACAGCTAGAGGGGCTGCTGTTAGCTTCCTGTCACCTGCTTTCCTTGCTTTCTTTACTTTCCAAGGCAGAGAAGAACTCCACAAGTAATTAACCCTTTACAAACTGAGTCACCGGACTTGGGCTATACAGGACTAGAGGGTTTAGTTGAAGAAGTTCACGTTGTAAAAATAGTGCTTTATGGATCTCTGGAACCTTTGGTAGTACTGTATATGGATTTCCTGAACCATCAGCAGAACACACAGTTAGGCAAGAGGCTCCTGGGGTGCTTCCAGCCTCTGGATCTCCTAGCCTTGCTAGAGATGTGAGGTCATTGGCACACACTGTGTCTATCTAAGCAAAGGCTGGACTGGAGTTTACAGTATGAATTATTGAGTGGGACTCATTTGTGGGTGCAATAAACTGAATGTTTATGTTCCCCTAAATTCATATATTGACAACCTAACCCCCAGTGTAATGATATTGGGAGGTGGGGTCTTTGTGAGGTGATTCAGTCCTGAGGATGGAGGCTGACAGTATTAGTACCTTTATAAGAGACTCCAGAGGGCTCTCTGCCTCCTCCTGCCATGTGAGGACAAAGCTAGAAGACATCCGTCTTTGGGCCAGGAAGCAGGTCCTCACCAGACACCAAATCTGCCAGCATCTTGATCTGGGACTTCCAGCTTCCAGGAGTGTGAGAACCAATTTCTGTTGCTGATAGGCCATCCAGACGGTGGCACTCTGTTACAGCAGCCTCTACAGACCAAGACAGTTAAGGTCTTTGGCCACCAGCTTAATGGCCAGACACCTTCCTCTTACACAAAGGAAGAGCAAGTTTTGGCAATATTGTGCTGTTACATGGTGGTCCCCTAACTACTCCTGGAGTGGGGGGTTCTGGGAGTGCTATACAGAGGGGTGGAATATTCTATTCTGCTAATGTGTGTTCAGCCAAAAGGAAGAAGGAAGGAGGGGAAAGAGAAGTAGGAAAGGAAAAAAGCTCCTAGAATTTGGTTAAGTCACAATGTTACAATCCCGAGGGTGCCAACCTTAAGATGGCAACTGATGAAGACAATGACGACTTTGGGGACAGTTCCTAGGACATATGTAGCCATCTGGGTGGGAGGTATGGATTTACAGTCAAACCTACTTTATACCACAATGCACAATACAGACCACGACTACATGCCTGACTAAAAAATGTTTTCAAACACATGCTTTCAAGACACTAAGGAACGTCTCTAAAGGCCCCAAACAAACAGGGTGGGAATCCAGAGAGGTGAGTGAGAAACAGTCAGTGGTAGGCCCAGGGACTTATGGCAATTCCCCATGACTGGAACATCATTTGCATGGCCATACATAGGACAGGATGCTCCCACGGTGGAAGGGTGTATTGGAGACTCAAATAAAATAGTGACTACCGAGGGCTATACCATCAGTTACAAAAGCATAAAAGAAAATGTCGATCCCACAAAAATGAAGGCAGCAAGAATGCATGTCTCAGCCTTGGCTCTAGGTAGAGGAAAAAGAAAAGAAAAAAAAAAAAAAAAAGAAGGGCTCTCTTCGCTGTGAATTTGTAAATAAAAGCTGGCCTTCATACAGTTTGGGACCTGAATCCATGCTACACAGGTGGCTGAAAGATCCTCAAGCCTCCCTAACTAATGGTGTGCATGCAAAACTATTTAGGAGGAAGCATACTGATGCCTGCAACTTACCTTCCAATACATTTAAAAAATAAGACAGATTGATGGATGGAGAGAGAGGGATGTGTAGATGGACAGACACATGATAAAGCAGGAAGAATAAAATGTTAGTAAAACCTAGGTGGTGGGTATAGGGTATCTTTGTGATTTGGAGTTTTCTCATATGCTCTAAGTTCCCATGTATTTAAGCCTTCTTTAATGTCTTTCTGTAAAGTTTAATCATCTTCTCCACTGATAGCTACATACTTTTATTGGATTTATTCCTAGGGTCTTAATATTTTTAATTGTTATTATAAATGTGCCATGAGTATTTTTCAAGATATCTGACTTTCCACATTCCCAGAAATTAATCTTTGAGATTTTGAACTTTTTTTCATGGATTTGGCTGCAAACATGTGTTGTCATGGTTAAATATTCCACTTTTAAAATGCACCTTCTAACTCATTATCCCTTTTAAACTGTAACTGGTATGCCCTAGGCCTCATCAGCCTACAAGATCATATTTCTATTTATACCTAGAATTAATATGGCCTTATCACCCCCATGATGCTTTCCTGCAGGAATCTAGTGTTGTATCTAGTTGTCTCTGCCCTTCTAAGGATTTCTGAGGTTCAAGCAGAACTGATTTCATGTTCCGCAGACCTCTGCTGGGCGCTGCTGGCAGCAAGGGCCTGTGTCTCACTCTTGGCAGCTGAGCCACCAACGAGCCTTCACCAACACTAAGCTGGGGATCTCCCAAGACTCCTGCTGCTCTTGCCTGAAGCACCTCCTCCCAAGGACAAGCACACGCCCATCCCTTAATTCCTCGCAGTAATGGCTAAGCCAGGAGCGGAAGGTTCAGAGATGGTAGGGGTGATGGGTCAGGGAGACGACACCAGATGCAGCCCAGGCCCAGGATCACACCTCCATGGGACAGGGGCCAGCTTCTCTCCACTACCAGCTCTACTCTTGAGCCTGTAAGTTCAAACCAACTCGACAAGACCCAGAGAGAGGAAAGGGTTTTTGAATCTCTTCGCTCTGAGATTTGCCTCCCTATTCCTCATTTACTATTCCAGGTAAAACTCCTTCCAAGATGATTGACAATGGGAAACTCCACTCCCTTTAGGGGGAAGCCCCACCTCCTCCCAAAGGGGATGGTCCCTTTGCAATCAATGGCCCCTAACAAGACGATCACATCAGAGCATCCTGATCTAATATGAGTATACTCAGTTATTCTGTCATAAGTAATTCTGCATTGATAAGATACTCCCACATAGATACTGTGGGAGATACTACAGACAGGCACACTCAACTCAGTTCCAAACCCATCCTTAGAAATTTGCTGATCCGTTTCCTTGCCCCTATGAAGAGTGGCTCTGAGATCCCAGGGCTGACCGTGGTTTTCCCAGGGAGAAGCATGTGATGGCAGAGTCCAGGAGTGTGATTGTAGCAATGTCTGCTGCCATCGAAGTGGAGGACTCTGAGTGTTAATGCTGATGGGCTGAGCTCATTAGATATACAGAGTTCTCCACTGCACTGGTAGTCAGAGTGCAGAGGCCCAGAGTAGCCCACCAGAGCTGCTGCCCAGCCCTGGCCTGAAGTGAAGGGACACAGAACCAGCATCTTAGAGAGAGAGCATCCACACTCCCCTCTGGCCAGGGTGGAACTTCTCATGGACTAGAGGCACACACAGGAGGGTGGGGAATATGGAGACAACACACCCAAGGCAGCTTTCAGGAGTGATGTCAGAACTGAAAGCCTAAGAGACAGGCCAAGAGATGCTGTATTTTCCAGAGGCTGGGAAGGGGGGGGGCGGGGTTCATTATAATTGTTTCAGGAGCCAGCACTGGATGACAACTCCAGGACAGTTTCGGGCTTTGTAGGCATCATCTCCTATACTCTTCGCAGGCCTGTAAGAAAGGCACCATACTATCCCTGGTCTAAAAATTGGTGAGGGCAAAAGGGTAGAAGCTGGGTCCTGCTCAGTCTAACTTTCAAGCCCTTACTCTTAATCCCTGTTCTGTTCACTTTACTTGTTTATGCAAAAAAAGAAAGGGCAAAAAGAATAAAATGCTATTTTTTTAGCTATCATATTTAGCAAAAATTTTAAAAATAATAGTTACCGCCACCAAGAATGCAGTGAAAGGGGTAGCCTCACTTGATCATGAGCCCAAGCTCTCTAGAAATCTTTATATCACATGCTTTGAGTCAGCAATTATGTTTCTATGATAAAACCATGCAAAAACCTCTGAAATTTACCTTAAGGAAACAACTGAAAGGTGGACAAAGATTTATGTACAGCTGTTGTTGTTTTTGCAAGTAAAGTTGCAAAAAAAATGAAAATGTTGCAAATGTTTAAAGCAATTTGTTTAGTAAGTGCTGTTATATCAATTCAATGGGATGTTATGCAATTTTTCTAAATGATGTTTTAAAAGAATGTTTATTGACTTGAAAAATGCTCATCACATAATTTTAAGTGGAAAAAAGCATGGCATTTTTTTTGTCTCAATATCATTTAATAGAATTTGCAGGGTTTTTTTTTTCCATTAGGTCATACAGATTTCTTACTAGGGTATCTTATACTTTAATGAATGGATCATCTTTTTATCTGGTTACTGGCGATCTGTAGTAAAGTATTTGGTATTTCTATTATTTTCTAGTACATAACTAGTTTCTTTATATAATAGCTTTTTAGTTAATTCTCTTGAATATTCTAGCCACAAATACAAATAATATTTTTTTCGACTTCTTTCAAATATCCATGCCCCATGTCTGGTTTGTGTTTATGGCATTTTCTCAGAACTTCCAGGTCCAGTTTAAATGATTGTCATTGTTATCTCCAATATCTCCCACTTCTCCATCAACCAGTCTACCCATCCCCTTCCCAACTCCTCCAGAAAGGAATAGTTGCTAATTTGATTGATCAACACTGAGGGAACCACCTGGGTCTTGTTTATTGGTGGGCAGCATCATTACAGAGGTGGCAGCATCATTACAGAGGTGGCAGCATCGTTACAGAGGTGACAGCATCGTTACAGAGGTGGCAGCATCGTTACAGAGGTGGCAGCATCGTTACAGAGGTGGCAGCATCGTTACAGACGTGGCAGCATCGTTACAGACGTGGCAGCATCGTTACAGAGGTGGCAGCATCGTTACAGAGGTGGCAGCATTATTACAGAGGTGGTGGCACAGCCAGGCTCCACTCTCACTTACACTTAATGCACCAGAATCATGGGCCGCACCATGCCTCTCTCCCACTGAGGATTGGCCTGAGCATATTGCTGATTGCTTCAGCCTCCCATACCATGGAACCCACCAGAAGAAGACAAGACCCCCAAGACTTGGACTCAGGCTTAGGGAGCTCCTAAGCTACCTGCTCCACCCCAGCTTTGACCTGCTCTGGAAGGGATTAGGCTCTGGTTCCGCTATCATGTGACACTTGAGTGCCTTTCTGCTCTTGCTCCTTGTATGAGCAGCTCTTGCCGGAGCCTCACAGAGGGAGAAGTGATGGTTAGATGGGATTCAGGCTTCCCTTGGATCTTCTAGCCAAATACTATCCATTTCCACTAACACTTCACCCACCTTCTGCTCTTTTTGGTTCTGCCTGCAGGATTTCACTTTCATCCCATGTGGCAGGATCAGAGCTAAGCCATTGCCCCTCTAAGTCGCAGTCATAACATTCTTAGATTTCTTCTTCCATAGGCACTACATGGTCAAGGAGTGTGAGCTTTGGGAGCATCAGGTCCTCTCTCCATATCCTCTTTGCTCTCTCTTCTCATGCAGTAAGTCCTGGAGCTACTGCCATGTGCAGCCTTCACAACCTTAGAGTGGTGCTTGGCAGTTGGTGGCAAACTAGACATTTTTGACTCCCACCCTCTTTTCCTCTTTCTTCCACGTTATCCTGTTCTGGTAGGAATGGACTGGCTTTCCCTCCCTCAGGTTTATGCTAGAGAAGATGTCTCCAGATTAATTTACAGAAAATCAACCAAATGACCAGTCCCTTAAACTATCCAATGGTTTGCAGTAGCTGGGGATGCAATAGCCCTCTGTCCACATGCAAGGAAGAGGGGATGGACAGAGGATCCTGGGCAGTGTTCCAGCTTATTTGATTCCCTAGTCTATCCTTAGGGATGTGGCTCCAGGGGTCCCATGGGCAGTATTCCAGGAACATCTTCCAGGATTTAGAGGTGGTTGTGGGATGGCCATTCTGAAAGTCTCTCTCATCCAATCCCACCTGGAAGGAAACAGGGGGTATGAAGCTAGGAGAAAAACTAAAACTTGGAAAGTTCTTAAAGCCTATTCAGATAATTTCATAGATCATTATAATTTTTTTTTTTTTGAGACAGAGTCTCAATCCGTTGCCCAAGCTGGAGTGCAGTGGGGTGATCTCGGCTCACTGCAACCTCTGCCTCCCAGGTTCAAACGATTCTCTCGGCCTCAGCCTCCCGAGTAGCTGGGATTACAAGCGCCCGCCCCCACGCCCAGCTAATTTTTGTATTTTTAGTAGAGATGGGGTTTGCCATGTTGGCCAGGCTGGTCTCAAACTCCTGACTTCAGGCGATCCACCTGCCTCGGCCTCCCAAAGTGCTGGGATTACAGGTGTGAGCCACCGCGCCTGGCCATAAATGTGTCTTTAATAGAAACAGGGCTTCGGGGAATCATGGCCACAGGAAGGGGCAGTACCATGGCCTGCTCATCCCCTGCCCACCCAAGAGCAAATGGCTTGGAAGAAGCCACAGCAACACTTAAAACTTCCAAAAATATACTGGAAGCTTCTAGCAAGGCCAACTGGGTGAGAAAAAGAAATACAAAGCACTCAGATTAGAAAGGAAGACGTAAAATGATCTCTATTTTCAGATGTCATCCTCATGACTTGAGAGGGAGGTGCCAGAATGGCCTTTGGCCTCTGTTGAGCCTCACTGGCCTCTGCTGAGGGTCAGCTTGTCCAAGGGAACTTGGCATCGTCTTATTCCTCAGCTTTGTCTGCTACTGAGGTGAGGCCACCAGTGTCGGGTTTACATTGCCTTTTTCCTTCTTGTCCCAAGGACAGGACCTCTTTGGTTCTGCTGATCATCTTGGCACCTCCCTGCACCACACTGGAGGCACATGCCCTGTGAAACTGTTCTCAGGTTCACCCACCTAGACGCCTCACTCAGCCATGAATACAGCACTCCCCAGCTGCTATGCTGGAGGTGGGTCTTCTCCACAAAACTTTCAACCTCCCAGGCTACACCCATGGGTGCCAGGCCCCAGCTTTTCCTGAGAGAGAGCTGTTCAAGGCAGGAAGTGGAAGGAAGGCTCTGTGAAAAACCTGAAGACATGGGGATGTGAGCAGTGATTTACAACGGATCAATATTCTAAGGGATTATTCCAGTTATTGGGAAGGGTTAAGCAGAACATCATCCATGGAAGAAAGAATCACAGAAGAAATCACAGAATGGTGTGGAGGGACAGGTGTGACATCAAGGCTGTGGCCAGGCTAAGTAGCAGAGGCCTGACAGGGCACATGGGCCATGGGCCTGGTCAGCAGCGTGAAGTCTTTGCTCAGGGTTACAAGCAGATTGCAGGGGACGTGCCACTCTGGTACCCCAAAGAGATGTACCTGGAGACCGTGTGCCAAGGGGACCAGCACCAGGCCCTGGGGACTGGGAAGGAGATTCAGTAGCTTCAAAGAGGCTCACTTCCTGAGAGTATTAGCACGACTACTGAAGGAAAATATGCGTGACCCACTCGGGATTATTAACAGAAGGTGTTTCTACTTGTAGCATCTTTTGACAGCAACAGGGGCAGGACATCCACTTGAAAAGCTGGCAAGGCATTTCTGTGTGTCAGGACATCATGCAGCTCAATTAAAATGAGTTCTATTCAGCAAGGGTGTCCTGAATATTCCCCCATTCTCAGCGTGATGCTGTTACTGCAGATTCAGCCAGGATGACTCATAATTGTGAACCCTTCCATAAAAATCATTTATTAACCTGTGCAAGTAGATGGGTTTCGGTTGTTATTCCTTTTATACATACATGTTTATAAATCATAAACAGGCTTTCGTTAGACCATGTGTTCTGACTTTTGGATCCCAAAAAACCAATACCTCAAGTCCCCGTTCCAGAAATGATGAAGCTACTGAGGTCCAGTCTCCCAGGACGTACCTGCATCAGGATATAAACAAGTATAAAATGAGTGCTCTAGGCAGGGAGAAACATCAAATTCAAAGACATTGAGTTGTGCCTTTTCCAAAATCCATAAAAGTGAAAAATGACCCTCCAACCCTCTAAGCCATTGGGCAAATGCCCACTTGCCCTCTGAGGTCATTCAATCTTGAGTTACAAATTCTTAGGATGCATAAGTGGGCACCTTGAACAGAAAGAAACACAGAGAAGATTACTTTATTGGTTTCTTTGGATACAAGGGGAAGAGTATTTGTAGGCTTCTATGTCACAAAACCTGGGTCCTAATCCCAGCCCCACCACTTATGTTTATTTGTCAGTAGGTAAGTTCCTTAACCCCCTCCACTCCTCACTCTCCTCTACTATAAAAGGTAAGTGCTTATCTTTGCTTTACAGGTTGTTGTGAAGATTAAGGAAGGCCTGTTCAAGAAGGCGAACCACAAACGGTATTCAATAAATGCCTGTTTTTGTTCTTTCTTTAGTGAAAGGAAGAGATGATCCAAGCAAATTTAGGACCAATAGCAGACTCTTCACACTGCCTGGGGATAGAGGGACCACCCTGGGCTCCTCTTACTCCTGGATTTACTTGGATGACCAGACTCAGGACTTCATTTAAATAGAATTTGGTTTCATAATGGAATCTTCAGCTTGAAATATAAATTTGTTTCTGTCTCCCTCTGCCATCTCAGCCTTTCTTGGCCACCTCCTGAATAATGCATGAACTGAACTCCTTAGAGGGCTCAGCTTCACTGCCCCTCCAGCTTTAGCCATGCTCTAGCAGAGAGAAGGACATATATCTTCTCTCCACAGAAACTGTCATGTCCTGGAACACAGCCTGCCTTCTCTGGGTTCGGGCTTCTCACCTCCCAGGCTGACGTCAGCCCTGTTCTCCCTGGGGCTCTGTGTGGACTGAATAGAGGTTCTGCAGTGAGTCTCCACTTTGGGGTTTTCAATAGCTATCGTGTGGCAACAAGACAACGGATGTGTCCGTGGCACCGGCTGTCTCTGAGGATGTGGCCTGAGAACCCTCGGGTCACCAAGCCAAGAGCTGAGTTGGCAGGAGTTCCTACAATCACAGAGGCTAGGCCTCCATGTGGCATAAAGAAGAGCATTGTCTTGGCAACCTAAGAGATGATTCAATGAATAAGGCTGGTAGCAAGACTGCTTATTATTACCTGACCTCAGTTGATTCGGTGCCCAAGCAGTGAAATATAGGCAATTCATGGAATTCCTTTCTTTCTTTCACACTAATTATACAACACAAACCATACAAGTCTGTTACCAGTGGTATTTACAAATGAATGTCTTGTAGAGCAAATTTCACATTAACATTTTTTTCTGCATTGAAAAACCATCAGTAAGATGTCTTATTCATTTTTTTCTGTTGCCAAGAACGTATCAATTCTGGCCCACATTACACAGATTAAAATACGGTTAGGGCTGACTTGTGTACTCGATTGGAAAACCATCTTAGTCCTTAACAGTGGGGCTGCCACTGCAGGGTCCATGTGTCCAACCTAAGCTGAGAACTCAGACCCAACCGACACCCCTTTCCTTGTCCATAGGCAACACCTTCTCTCTTTTCAAGTCCTTAGCATCATGTCCAAGCTCCCCCTCGCTCTTATCCCAGGAGAGGACCTACCACCCACTTCATTAAGGTAATTGGAGTGGGCATCTATAAATGACTTCCCTTTCCTGCTCCCCATCTGAAGATTTATCTACATCTGCCTCATCTTCACCTCCATTTCTCCAGACTCAAAGGATCTAGTATCTGGACTTGGGCTTGAAGCCAGTCCTTCCTCTACATCCCCAGTTGGTTGCTTGCCCCTTGGTCCACCAGTCTCTCCTACATCTTCAACTTCCTCCCTACCGTATGTTTTTCTTCTTCTTATAAGCATAGTGAAAAATTAATACTAATCCTCACTATGTAGCTCCTTTCCTACCATTATCCTTCCCTGTGCACCAAACTGTGAGAAGCAGGTCTGCACTTGCTCTCTCCACTCTCTCCCCTCCCTCTTATTCCTCCACATTCAAGCTCCTGCTCCTTGGCGCACTGCTCTTCCTTCTCTATTCTTACCCAAGTCACTCCCTCTCTCATGGTTTTACTACCATATTGTGCTGAGGACATTCAAACAAGTAGAACCAGCTCTGTCCTCTCCCCTATACTTCTTTACATCGGCATATATAACTGCTTGATAGGCGACTCCACTTGGATGATCTGTGAGTCTCTCAAACTCAACGTATCTAAAACCAAACATATCTTTCTTCCTTCTCCTCTTTATGAGACCTACTCCTCCTCCTGCGTTCCCAGTCTTATAATGAACCCACCATATTGGATCCCAAGATATAAAAAACAGTCTAGCCTCTTTCCTTTCATGCATTCCCTATATTCAAAAAATCACTTAGTCCTATCTGTTTTGTCTCCTAAACACAGCCATACATTGATTAACACTGGGGATATGCCTGATAAATGTGTTGGGTGATTTCTTTGTTGTGCAAACATCATAGAGCGTACTTGCACAAACCTAGATGGCATAGCCTACTACACCCCTAGGCTATAGGGTATAGCCTATTGATCCTAGGCTGCAAACCTGTACAGCATGTTACTGTACTAAATACTGGAGACAACTGTAACACAGTAGTAAGTATTTGTATATATAAACATAGAAAATGTACAGTAAAAATATGATATTGTAATCTTTTGGGACCACTGTCCCATATGTGGTCCCTAATTGACTGAAACATCATTATGCAGCACATTATGGTATTCCTAGAATTCTCCCTTTCTCTCCATCCACCCTACCACTATGTCTTTTCATTTCTGTCAATAACTTCAAAATTTATCAGATTTCATTTGGGTTATGCTCAAATCCACCTGCTATATAGCCCCTAGAACAGTTTGTATAAAACAAAAATATTATTTTGATTTGATGTGTGACAAAGACAATAACTTACATGTAATGGTTTAAAATTATTGCCTGACTTCTACTTCTGGCCAGGCATGATGGCTCACACCTGTAATCCTAGCACGTTGGGAGGCTGAGGTGGGCAGATCCCTTGAGCCCAGGAGTTCAAGACCAGCTTGGGCAACATGGCAAAACCCGATCTCTACCAAAAAAAATTACAAAAATTAGTTGGGTTTGGTGGCAGTCACCTGTAGTCTCAGTCACTAGAGAGGCTGAGGTGGGAGGAT
Source organism: Homo sapiens (assembly GCF_000001405.40). NCBI lineage: Eukaryota > Metazoa > Chordata > Mammalia > Primates > Hominidae > Homo > Homo sapiens. The sequence goes on along the minus strand of NC_000002.12, from coordinate 70,605,122 downwards.
CACTTGAGCCTGGGAAGTGGAGACTGCAATGAGCCAAGAGTGTGCCACTGCACTGCAGTCTGAGTGACTGAGCTATACTCTGTCTCAAACAAACAAACACTTCTGGGAAGATGGAATAGCTGTACTTTTTCTTATTCCTCCTGCAAATCACAGCTAAAAATCCTGGACATTATATGTAAAATAAGCATAAGAAGATTCTAAAAGGGGGAGAGAAGAAGGCAGACTAACCAGGGACCTGGGACCTAAGGAACCTGCCATAGCAGTATCAAAGAAAGCCAGCTAAAAGAGAATATCCGGAGTTATAGAATGCAAAACAAAAATGTCCAGATTTTAATTGAAAATCATTCATCTGATTTGCAAGAACCAAGAAGATCTCAAACTGAATTATAAAAAAGCCAATACACACCACCATCAAGAGGTCAGAGATGTTAGAAGCATTTGACAAAGATTTAAAAGCATGTATGATAAAAATATTTCAATAAGAAATTACAAATATACTTCAAACATGAAAAAAACAGAACACCTCAGCAAAGAAACAGAAAGTCTCAGGAAGGAAAGAGAAGAATAGGCCAGGGGCAGTGGCTCACACCTGTAATCCCAGCACTTTGGGAGGCCAAGGGGGGCGGATCACGAGGTCAGGAGATGGAGACCATCTTGGCCAATATGGTGAAACCCTGTCTCTACCAAAAATACAAAAATTAGCTGGGTGTGGTGGCGCATGCCTGTAATCCCAGCTACTCAGGAGGCTGAGGCAGGAGAATCGCTTGAACCCAGGAGACAGAGATTGCAGTGAGACAAGATCTAGCCACTGCACTCCAGCCTGGCGACAAAGTGAAACTCCATCAAAAAAAAAAAAAAATATATATATATATATATATATAAAGGCAACCAAATGTAAACTTTGGAACTGAAAAATATAATAAATAAAAAACTCAGTAGATGGGCTCAACAGCAGAATGGAGGGATGTAGGAAAGAATTCATGATCTGGAAGATAGAACAATGAAACTAGCCAATATGAATAAAAGAGAGAAAATTAACTTTAAAAATATACAGAGCCTTAAGGACTTATGGAACTGTAACAAAAGATCTAACATTCATGTTACTGGAGTCCTGGAAGGAGAGAAGAAAAAGGATAGGACTGAAAAAGTAGTTAAAGACATAAAGGCAAAAATTCCTTCAATTTGCCAAGTGACATAAACCTACAGATTTAGAAAGCTGAATAAACCCCCAAACAGGATAAAACCTAAGAAATCTATACCAAGACACATTATAATTAAATTTTGAAAACTAAAGACAAAAAAATCTTAAAGACAACCAGATGAAAAGCTTGCCAATAGAGGAAAAATAACTCTAATGAGAGAGGATTTCTTATCAGAAACCACTGAGGCCTGAAGGAAGTGGCACAATATTTTTCAAGTGCTGAAAGAGAAAAAAACTGCCAACCCAGAGAGGAAGACAATCTCAGATAAAGGAAAACTAAGACAATTTGACACCAACAAACCTACCCTAAAAGAATGGCTAAAGGAAATTCTATAAATAGAAATGAAGCAGTTAAAGAAGAAATACTGGGACATCAAAAAGAGAGAGAAAGAAAGATTACTATAAGCAAAAATATAGGTAAATATATATTAGGCTTTCCTTTTCCTCTTGAGTTTACTAAATTATGTTTGATGATTGAAGCAGAAATTATAAAACTGTCTGATGTGGGAGAAGATAAAGATGTGCAAAGGTAGATAAAGTTTCTATACTTCAGTCAAACTAGTAAAATGAAAACACCAGCACACTGTGATAAGTTATGTATATATAATGTAATACCTAGAACAACCACTAAAAAAAAACTATACAAAAAGAGACATTCAAAAACAGCATAGATAAATCAAAATGGAGTTCTAAAAAATTATTTAAGTAACTCACAAGAAGGCAAGAAAAAACTCTAACAAAGAGAATAAACTTAAAACAAAAAATAAAATGGGAAACTTAAGCCTTATCATATGAACAATAACATTAAAAGGTTTAAATATACCCAATAAAAGAAGGATTAGCAAAGTAAATTTTAAAACATGCTATAACTGCTGTCAAGAAAAAACTCATTTCAAATATAATGACATAGGCAGATTAAAAGTTAAAGGATGGGAAAAGATATATCATGTAAATGGAAAAATAAAAATAAGCAAAATTGTCTATATTAACATCAGATAAAGTAGACATCAAAACAAACAAATTTGTGAGAGAAAAGTGGAACATTATATAATGATAAAAGGGTAAATCCATCAAGGGTAAATACATAAATCCTAAATATGTATGTACCAAACAACAGAGCTACAAAATATTTGAAGCAAAAACTGATAAAACTGAAAGGAAAAATAGACAAATTCATAATTATAGTTGGAGACTTCAACACTATCACCCCTCAAAATTTTATAAAACTAGGCAGAAAATCAGCAAAGATATAGAAGAACTTAACAGAACCATCTACCAAAAGTATCAAATTGGCATTAATAGAATACGCCACCCTAAAACAGCAGAATATACACTGTTTTCAAGTGCCCACAGAGAACATACACCGAGATAGACCATATCCTGGACCATAAAACAAATCTCAATAGATACAAAAAGTAAGTCCATACAGAGCATGCTCTCTGACCACAATTGAAATCAAACCAGAAATCAATAACAAGAAGATAACAGGAAAATCTTCAAACACTTGGAAACAAAATAACATACTTCTAAATAATACATGGGTCAAAGATGCAGTCTAAAGAGAAGTTTAAAAATACCTTGAACTGAATGAAAATGAAAATATAACATATTAAAAATTTGTGGCACATAGCTAAAGCTGCCGAGAGGGAAATTTACAGCACTAAACGTATATAATTGGGAAAAAAGGAAAGACTTGAATAAAAAACCTAAGCTCCAATCTTAAGAACTTAGCATAAAAAGAACAAAATAAACCTGTAGCAGACAGAAGAAAAAAAATAACAAAGAACACAAATCAATAAACTTGAAAACAGGAAAACAATAGATAAAATCAATGGAAGGAAGAGGTGGTTCTTTGAAAAATATCAAGAATATGGTCAAACTTCTAACAAGACTGACAAATAAAAAGAGAGAAGACACAAATTACCAATACTAGTAATAAACAGAGGATATCACTGCAGACTCTACAGACATCAAAAACGAGAGAATACTGACTGGATGCAGTGGCTCACGCCTGTAGACCCAGCACTTTGGGAGGACGAAGCGGGTGGATCACTTGAGCCTAGGAGTTGGAGACCAACCTGGGCAACATGGCAAAACCCTGTCTCTACAAAAAATGCTTGAACCTAGGAGGTCATGGCTGCCATGAGTCGTGATTGTGCCGCCACACTCTAGCCTAGGTGACAGAGTAAGCCCGTCTCAAAAGAAAAAAAAAAAAAAAGAATTTCATTCTCAGAAATTCTCAGAAAAACCATTCCTTGGAGAAACCAAACTATCACAACTTACCCAATAAAAAACATATTTGAATAACCTTTTACCTATCAAGAAAATTTAATCTGTAGTTATAAAACTCCTACAAAAGAAATTCCGAAGCCTTGATTATTTCACTACCAAACACTGAATAAGAATTAACACCAGTTCTACACAATATCTTCCAGAAAGCAGAAGAGGAAAAAACATCTCCCAACTCATTTTATGAAGTTAATATTACCCTGTTACCAAAACCAGAAAAAGGCAGTATAAATTTTAAAAACAGCAGACCATCTTGCTGTTGTTTTTTATCATTATTATTATTATACTTTAAGTTCTAGGGTACATGTGCACAACGTGCAGTTTTGTTACATACGTATACATGTGCCATATTGGTGTGCTGCACCCATTAACTCATCATTTACATTAGGTATATCTCCTAATGCTATCCCTCCCCGCTTCCCCCACCTCACGACGGGCCCAGGTGTGTGATGTTCCCCACCCTGTGTCCAAGTGTTCTCATTGTTCAATTCCCACCTGTGAGTGAGAACATGCGGTGTTTGGTTTTTTGTCATTGCGACAGTTTGCTGAGAATGATGGTTTCCAGCTTCATCCATGTCCCTACAAAGGACATGAACTCATCCTTTTTTATGGCTGCATAGTATTCCATGGTGTATATGTGCCACATTTTCTTAATCCAGTCTACCATTGATGGACATTTGGGTTGGTTCCAAATCTTTGCTATTGTGAATAGTGCCGCAATAAACATACGTGTGCATGTGTCTTTATAGCAGCATGATTTCTAATCCTTTGGGTATATACCCAGTAATGGGATAGTGGGTCAAATGGTATTTCTAGTTCTAGATCCTTGAGGAATCACCACACTGTCTTCCACAATGGTTGAACCAGTTTACAGTCCCACCAACAGTGTAGAAGTGTTCCTATTTCTCCACATCCTCTCCAGCACCTGTTGTTTCCTGACTTTTTAATGATCACCATTCTAACTGGTGTGAGATGGTATCTCATTGTGGTTTTGATTTGCATTTCTCTGATGGGCAGTGATGATGAGCATTTTTTCATGTGTCTGTTGGCTGCATAAATGGCATATGTATACATATGTAACAAACCTGCACGTTGTGCACATGTACCCTAGAACTTAAAGTATAAAAAAAAGAACAGCAAGATAAACTAAAAAATATTTAATAAATAAATAAATAAATAGATAGATAAAAACTGCAGACCAATAGTCCTCATGAATACAGATGCAAAAATTCTAAACAAAATATTAGCAAGTAGAATTCACCAATCCATGAAAAGATTTATATAACATGACCAAGTGAAGAAGTTTATTCCAGGGATGCAAGCAAGGCTGGCTCACTATTCGAAGTCAACCAATGTAATCTATCATATTAACAGGCTAAAGAAGAAAAATCACATGATTAATCGTTGCAGAAAACACATTTGACAATATTTGACACTGATTCATGATAAAAGCTCTCAGAAAAAAAGAAAAGGAAAACAGGAATAGACAGGAATTCCCTCAATTTGATGAAGAACATCTACAAAAAAACCCTACAGCTAACAGTATACTTAGTGGAGAAAGACTGAATGCTTTCCTCCTGAGATTGGGAACAAGGCAAGGATGTCTGCTCTACTCTTACTTACCAAGTGCTGAAAGTTCTAACCAATATAATGGGGAGCTGGGAGGAATGAAGAGCACACAGATTAGAAAGGAGAAAATAGAACTGTCCCAATTTGCACATAGACAATCCTAAGGAATATTTTTTAAAAAACCTTCATATAACTAATAAGTGACTTCAGCAAGGTCACAGAATACAAAATAAACATACAAAAGAGTGTATTTCTATATTCTAGCAATGAACACACAGCCACTGAAATGAAAAATACAATATCATTTATAATCACTAAAAAAGAAATAGATGTATATCTAACAAAACATATAGGACTTCTATGCTGAATAGTATATAATACTGATGAAAGAAACCAAAGATATAACTAATAGGGAGATATAATGTTGAAGAGATATAATATTGAAATATGAATGGAAGACTTCCAATATGAATTGGAAGACTCAACATAGTAACAAATTCAATTCTCCCCAAATTGATGTACACTTTTAACACAATTCCTATCAAAATCTCAGCAAGATTTTTAAAGACACAAACAACATTATTCTAAAATTTATATGGGCAGTCAAAATAACTAGAATAGCTCAAACAACTGTGAAAAAGAAGAATAAAGTAGAAGCAGTCTATCCAATTCCTAGACTTCTTATATAGCTACAGTAACCAAAACAGTGTGATATTGGCAAAGATCACAAAGGCCACATGATCAATGAAACAGAACAGAGAACCCAGAAATAGACCCACATGAATATGCCCATCTCATTTTTGACAAAGATGCAAAACAATTTAATACAGGAAAGATAGCTTTTCAACATTTTCAAATGGTGCTGGGACACTGGACATGATGAACCTCTGAGTCTCACATCTTTACACAAAAATTAATTCAACAATGAATCATGGATTTAAATGTAAAATGTAAAACTATAAAACTTTTACAGAAAAAAAGCACACAAAAAATGCTTGACATCTAGGGTTAGGCAAAGAATTCTTAGATTTGATCCCAAAAGCATGGTCCATAAAAGGAAAAACTGATAAATTGGACTTCATCAAACTTAAAAATGTTTGTCTGGTGAAAGACCCTCTTAAGTGGGTGAAAAGAAAGGGCATTGGAGAAAATATTTTCAAACCATGCATCTAACAAAGAACTAGTATTGAGAATATATAGAGAACTCTCGATATTCAACAGTAAAAAAGCAAACAATCCACTTAGAAAATGGGCAAAAGATACGGAAAGTGACATACAGATAGCAAAAAAGCATATGAAAAGATATTTCATATCATTAGCTATCAAGACAATGCAAATTAAAACCACAATGAAATGTCACTACACACTTACCAGAATGGCTAAAATTAAAAAATAGTGACACCAACCAAATGCTGGCAAGGACAGAAAGGTCATTCTGGAAAAATGTTTGGCAGTTTCTTTAAAAACATTAAACATATAGCTACCAAATGACCCAGCAATTGCACTCCTGGATATATATATATATCCCAGAGAAATGACAACCTAGGTTTACACAAAACCTTTTACATGAATAGCAGCTTAATTCCAATAGCCAAAAACTGGAAACAAACCAGATGTCTTTCAAGGAGTAAATGGTTAAATAAACTGTGGTATATCCTTACTGTAGAATACTACTCAGCAATGAAAAGGAATTATTAATATGATACAGGCACCAAACTGGATGAATCCAGAGAAGTATGCTCAGTGAAAAAGCCACTCTCAAACGGTTATCTACTGTATTATTTCATTTATATAACAGTCTTGAAATGACACAATTACCAAAATGGAGAACAGATTAGTGATTGCCAAGGGCTAAGGAAGGGTGACAGAGAGGGAAGTAAATGTGCCCATAAAATGACAACATGAGGGATCTTTATGGGATAGAAATGGTCTGTACTTGACTGTATCGATGACAATATCAAATTATGCTATGGTTTGGCAACATGTTACCATTGGGGAAACACACAAGGGATTAATCTGTATTATTTCTTAAAACTGCATGTGAGCCTACATTTATCTCAAAATAAAAAGTTTAATTAAAAAATAACTGCAGAAAAAAAAATTTATCCCTCTGGTCCTTTTAAGAAGGGTGGGCCTCAAAGGAGATGGTTTTGTTTTGCTGACCAGAGAAGCAGATGCAATGAAACACTAAGGAAATGTAATAACAGGACAGAAGGAGAGAGGGAAAAAGAGAGAAAGAAAGAAAGGAACAGAGAGGCAAAGAAATGGAGGAAATACTGGAGGGATTTAGGTATAGGGCACTCACCATAAGAAACTGATGAGAAATCAAAGTTCGGGCATAACAAGAATTGCTTAGAAAGGATTTTAAGAGATATTTTTGTCTGACGTGCTATGTAATCCTCTCTTCTGGGTTTACAAGAAGTAAAGACCTGCATTACTTATCAATCTTTCTTTTTTCTTTTGAGGTGGGCTTGTGTTTATTGGGATGTGATACCATAGTGAGGGTCTACAGGGCAGACTGGAATGTTCACATCATATTTGGTAAGGTTTGTCTGGGGTTTCAACCTGAGTATGCTTCAGGTAACTGATCCCCCCAGAACTGTGACAAGAATGAGCTTTCGGGTTGACCATCTAGTTGTTATGCTCATAGTACAAGGGAAAGGAAGTTGGCCCAACAGGAGTTATGTGATCCTTGCAAAGTCACCTTCAAAAAGAGGGAAATGGTGGGGTCTGTTCCAAAATCAGAATTAGAGCCATGAGGGCATGGAATGTTAAGGGCCCCGGTGTGTGAAATGGAGAATCACACTTACGCTGCTTTACGTAAGCCAGACTGAGAGGCTAAGGAAGCCTTTCTGCAGTACAGGCTGGGATTCAGTATTTATTATAGAATCAACATGTACAAATACACAATTTCTGCAGATATTGGGAATTTCATGGATGAGGACGTCAGTAGCAGACATGCCTGGGCATGTTCTGAATCCCTGTCTGGCCACTGGAGAGCAGAGGGGTCACTGAAGGACCAGCAATCAAGCAGACCACCTGCTACCACGCACGTCCGGTCTGTGGTTAGACACCCTCCAAATGCCACAGGGGTGGCAGATCCTGGAGGCTGTAAATTGAAGAGGTTAGACGGTTGCATGGCCCAGCCCTAGTAATTACTGTGGGCATAAAGCCACAAAGACCAGCTCTGTGGCAGAATGCTTGCCAGCCCTAGAAAGGCTCTACAGCAGAGTGGAGACGTGCTGGAATTCAGAGTTCACCACAGCGTGTCAAGGGGAAGGGAAGTTGGGAACAGCATGTGTGATCAGGACCTAAGGACTTCTGCCCCAGTTCATTCAAGGGCACAGCTGAGTGCAGTTTGAAAAGGCAGAAAGAGCTGGGCACAGGTAACTGAGCAACAATGAATGGTCAAATTCATGAGCAAAATTAGATTTCCCCAGGAAGCCTGATGTCTTGTTTCTGGGGATCTAATTCAGAAAAAGGGAGAGAAAACGGCCTCCTTGGTGTGCCCCAGAGGACCTGATGGAGCTAACAGTGGGGCTGGGGCCGGAAGCGGGATGCAGACCTGGGCCCCAACAAGGATGATGCTGGTATGACTCAGTCTGCTGAGGTCAGGTCCTGGCAAGACAGGTTCCGGTGAGTGAATGAACCGATGGCAGTAGTAGATTGCTTTATGTAAGAAAATGCAGGCAGGAAAAAGATTTAAGAGGTGGTGGAAGAGGGTAGGATTTGAGCAGCGGCTGGAAGGAGAAAGAGATTCTAAGGATAATTTTAAGGAAGTACTGCTGTGTTCCAAGCCCTGTAGTGAAATCCCTCCTTGGCATCCTCAATTAGCCACCAACAAATGCCAAGGCTATTGAGAAGACTCAGCCCATTGGAGGCATAGACATGAAGGGTTTTCTTTCTTTTCTTTTTTTTCCCATATTTAAAGTATATATTTAAAGTGTACAACATGAAGATTTGATATAGGTATGTATTGTAAAATAATTACCACAATCAAGTTAATTAACATATCCATCCCTCAAATCACATAGTTTCCCTTTTTAATTTTTGTTTTTTTTGGTGAGAACTCTTAAGATAAACTCTCTCTTAGCTAATTCCAAGTATATAATACAACATTATTAACTGTTGTCACCATGCTGCACATTAGATCCCCAGATCTTATTTTTTTTTAACTTTAAGTTCTGGATACATGTGCAGAACGTGCAGGTTTGTTACATAGGTATACATGTGCCATGGTGGTTTGCTGCACCTATTAACCTGTCATTTAAGTTTTAAGCCCTGCATGCATTTGGTATTTGTCCTAATGTTCTCCCCTTGCCCACCACCCCCGAACAGGCCCCGGTTTGTGATGTTCCCCTCCCTGTGTCCATGTGTTCTCATTGTTCAACTCTCACTTATGAGTTAGACCATACGCTGTTTGGTTTTCTGTTCCTATGTTAGTTTGCTGAGGATGATGGTTTCCAGCTTCATCCATGTCCCTGCAAAGGACATGAACTCATTCTTTTTTATGGTTGCATAGTATTCCATGGTGTATATGAGACACATTTTCTTTATCCAGTCTATCATTGATGGGCATTCGGGTTGGTTCCAAGTCTTTGCTATTGTAAATAGTGCTACAATAAACATATGTGTGCATGTGTCTTTATAGTAAAATGATTTCTAATCCTTTGGGTATATACCCAGTAATGGGATTGCTGGGTTAAATGGTATTTCTGGTTCTAGATCCTTGAGGAATCACCACACTGTCTTCCGCAATGGTTGAACTAATTTACACTCCCACCAACAGTGTAAAAGCATTCCTGTTTCTCCACATCCTCTCCAGCAACTATTGTTTCCTTCTTTCTTTTCAAAAGGTCCCTCTTGTGGTCACTCTGTTTGGTATTGCTACTTCTCTGGCTAATACCAGTGGGTCCTCAGTGGCCCCTGAAGGTCAGCCATCCAAATGCTGTCCTCTCTTGACCCAGTGAGGCCTCCCCCTGTGCAAGTTTCCTGACACAGGTGGTCCTCCCTTCAGAAAATGCCTCAGGGGCCCCTTAACCTAAAGGCCACTCAAGCCTTGCCACCTTCTCTGGTGCCTACTGAACTGTGGGAAAATGTCATGTCTTCACTGAGCCAGAAGCGGGGTACATCTTTCAGCACCCTTCTCTCATCTCTACTGTCTCTCTGCTCCCCCCTCTCCTCTTCTCCAGGCTCCAGCAGGGTTAGAAGCTCTGTGGATCCAAAGACTCAGCAAATTTCAGAGAGAGAGAATCAGCAGGCTCCAATGTGGCTGGGGTAGGGATGGCCATGTTCTGCTGGGTCCTCTTCCGTCGGTCACCTCTAATGTGAGGTGGCCCCATCTAACTCTCCAGCCCCAGCTCCTCTGGTCCTGCCTACACAGGTGACACTTGTCCTGGTGACAGCAAAGTGCATATATTTTCTGTGCACCATGTTGTTCCACATATCCGAGTGCTTGTGCCTTTCTCCCCTACCCTGAACACCTGGAAAATGATCCTCTTTTGAGATCATATCAGACTCATCCTCTCCCACTCAGACAGAGCTAAGCATCTCTTTCCTCTGCTCCAATCCCACCCTGTGAACATACATGCTCCTAGTATGTGTCCCATCACAGTAAAACAGCACCTTTAAGTATCTAGTTCTCTCCCGTACCAAACTATGCATTCCTTGCAGACAGGAATTGGCCTTTTGATTTACATAATTTGTGCCTATGACAATTTCTGATTCTTACAAAGCAGTCAATAAGTGCTTGTTGATCAAACTAAAAAGAAGAAGGGAAAACAGACTAAATTTCTCATCTTTTACAATGAGGGGATATGTACCGCGGACACTTCAATGTTTGGGGTACAGCACCTGACACCTTCCTAGGTTCAAGGAATCAGCCACTGTGCGAGTCTTGGTGGAATGTGGGGCCAGCCTTTTAATCCCAGCACTTTGGGAGGCTGAGGCGGGCAGATCACGAGGTCAGGAGTTCGAGACCAGCCTGACCGACATGGAGAAACCCCGTCTGTACTAAAAATACAAAACTAGCTGGGCATGGTGGCACATGCCTGTAATCCCAGTTACTCAGGAGGCTGAGGCAGAAGAATCGCTTGAACCTCGGAGGCGGAGGTTGCAGTGAGCCAAGATCGTGCCACTGCACTCCAGCCTGGGTGACAGAGCGAGACTCCATCTCAAAAAAAAAAAAAAAAAAAAAAAACAACTAGAGCCCAGGTGGATGGCCTAAATTCAGCTACTAGGAAGCCCTGCCCAGGGTCTGAACCTAGAGGAAGGGAGGTGAGGAGAAGAGGCCTGTGCCCTGGGGCTGTGGGACTGGCAGCAGCAGGACTCTAAACAGCCTGCTCCACCTGCCCACTCCCCCAGCCTGGCTCTCCAGGCCTCCCACCAACTCTATGATCCACCAAGTATCCTTTCACTGAAATCATCTTCTATTCAGATTGGCGGAAGGCTTCTCTTTTTTGCCAGCAAGAGCCCCCTGACTAGGATATCCGGTACATGGGTTGACAGATACTGATTCATGCTTGACCCTGAAAAAGGTATGGAAGTATATACTTAACCTAAAGATATACATAATCTAAATATATATTTATTTATGTATACTTCAACTAAAAATAATTGTAGAATAAAATAGAATACAAAACTTGCAAATTACTTTAAAAAATCAGTATGACAAAAGATTAAAAAGAAAAGTAGAAATGCACATAAACATAAGAATAAAGAAGTTAGATCAATATCATTTCTAATAAATGTGACTGGGCTACTCTCTCCATTTGAAACAGAAGGGTTCTCAGAATTCAAAAGGCAAACTTCAAAACTATATGGTAGATTCTTGGATTGGCTTTCCTAAGATGGAATGGCTTTTCCATTCCATCCTCCTACTTGGAGGGGTTGTAAAACTAAAAATTACCTTTTTCAAAGGCCTTCCAAATGACGGTGCTAGGTGCAAATTAGGTTGGGCCAATAAGATGCATTCAAGGGAGATTTAGCAGGTGGAGGTGAAGTGGAGGCCACCTTGCTGCTGCTGGTTGACAGGAAACAGGTTTGGACAAACAAGACTATTGGTAGCAGCCAGACCTGTGTTCCAGTGCCTGGTCACCAGCTTCATGGGCTAAGAGGCAGTTGTGCTGGCAGCAGCAGCAGTAACTTCTCGACCCACGGCAGCAGATGTGGTGCTGTGAGTCCAGTGGGGGCTGCCAACCTCTTCATTCCTTCAGCCTAGCCTAATGCTTCTGTAAGCACCTAATTCCTTATATTAAATCCCTTTTCACTTAAAACACATAAGGGGTTTTCTGTTTCCTCCACAGAAATCTGAGTCATATACAGTGTTTACAAATGGCAGGCCTAAAATAAAGTGACCCACAAAGCTCCTCTTTAAAAGGATGTACAAAAATATAGGACATAAATGAAAATAAGACAAAGCAACAACTGAAGTAGGAATGACAATGTTAATAGTGAACAAAGAATTCAAGAAAAAAACATATGGAATATTATATCAATACAAGATGCAATTCACAAAGGAGATAAGCTCATCAGTGTTTATGTCCTGAATAAGATAGCAGCTAAATATTAAAAATTAGATCTTAAAACTCAAGCAGAAATGGATAAGACTATAATCTTAGTGATAACATTTATCATTTCTTATCATCATGGACCATGATGCATTAAATTGACACATAAAGGAATTAAATAATCAATAAGCTTTTCAACATTTATAGTTCACAAGTACCTAATTAATATTGCTTTTAAATGGCCAGTTTGTAAACTGAGGTAACATATTAGGCCATAAAGAAATGTCAATAAATTCTTAAAAATGTAAACTCTCTTTGACCATAATCATAACACAAATAATTAGTGAGAAAAATATTAAATAGTAGAATTAAAATAGCAAGAAATTAAGCAACACTCTTCTAAATAACTCTTGAGTAAGAAAGGAAATAAAACATATAATTAAATACTGTTCTGAAAATAGCAACAATAAAACACCAGTTTCAAAACTTTTGGCAGATGACAAAGCCATAGTCAGAAAGAAAATCATATTCTAAAATGCTATTATTATTTTTAAAAGAAATAATGAAAATAAATGAATTGTTTATCTCAATAGGAAAGTTTTTAAATGTAAAATAAAGCTGTTAAAAAGTATTCATATAATGAAAGCAGAAATTGATAAGTTGAAAAACAGAAAAGTGTCATTAATAATTCAATCCAGGCTGGTTTTTATGAAAAGAAAAAAAAAACTTCAAAACAAAAACAGCTAGGCACAGTGGCTCACGCCTGTAATCCCAGCACTTTGGGAGGCTGAGGTGGATCACTTGAGGCCAGGAGTTCGAGGCCAGGCTGGCCAACATGGCAAAACCCCGTCTCTATTAAAAATAAAAAAATTAGCCAAGCATGGTGGCATACACCAGCAATCCCAGCTGCTAGGGAGGCTGAGATAGGAGAATTGCTTGAACCTGGCAAGCAGAGGTTGCAGTGAGCCAAGATCATGCCACTGCACTTCAGCCTAGGAGACAGAGTGAGACTCTTTCTAAAAAAAAAAAAAAAAACAAATAACACTAATTTAGACAACCCTTTAAAAACGTAGTGAAAGAGAGGGAGGGAGAGAGAAAATCATGCTAGCATATTTGAAGATCTTAATGAAATGAAATGATTTTCAAAGGAACATGTAAGTTACCAAAATGAACTCAATAGGAGATAGAAAGCCTGATTACATTACTAATTCTGATTTTGTTTTTTTTTGTTTGTTTGGGATGGAGTCTCACTCTGTTGCCCAGGCTGGAGTACAGTGGCGCGATCTCAGCCCACTGCAACCTCTGCCTCCCGGGTTCAAGGGATTCTCCTGCGTCAGAGCTCCTGAGTAGCTGGGACTACAGGTGCGCACAACCACACCCGGCTAATTTTTATACTTTTAGTGGAGACAGGGTTTCACCGTGTTGGCCAGGCTGGTCTCGAACTCCTGACCTCAAGTGATCTGCAGACCTCAGATATTTTAAAAGTTGTAAAAGAAAACTCCTAATCACAGTGTTTAGTTCCAGAGGACTAAAGGTAGTGCCCAAACTGTGGATACCCGAGCTGTGGGTACTGTAATTAGTCCTCTGGGCCTCAGCTCTTATTTCACTCACAACTATGGCTACCAGCTCTGCTCTGGCTTTGAACAACCTCCAGCAGGTGCAATCCAACAGCACTTTGTTTCACCCTGCCCCAGGCCTTCTCTGACACTCCTCAGTGCAGGATGTAGTGGCACCCTGCCTGCTCAACCAAGATGAGAAATATTTAATGTCGTTTGGGGCAACCTTCAACCAGGAATTGGGAGAAACAGGGAGCCAGTGGATAAATGCTTTCCCCTCTCTTTTCCCAGGAGCAAGGCCTTGAGCCACATGTCATAACACATCTCAGATTGTCCATTGGGATTGAGCACCCTGTAGCAGTTGTTCAACTTGATAACACATCCTTGTTGTGATTTTCCCTCTTTCCCTGTTTATTTCTTTTATTCTTCTCTTGCTCCTGTCCTAACCCCTAGATCCACACTCCCAAATGAACATTCATACCTAAGCTTTGGTCTCAGACTCTGCTTTAAGGGGAACTCAGGCTATGACAGTTGGTAGTAAGAGCAGTCCTAGAAAGTGGACCTTCAGGGTGGGACTTTAGATGGGCCACTCTTGGGTCAGATGGCCATCGGTCTCCATAACTGGCGGTAAGTAGGGTGACAAGAACTCCTAACATGCATTGACATCAAAATTACTAGAAGTCTTACCTGGGGTTGACTGGGATGAGGCACAGCTGGGAGGGAATGTGTTGGGTTAAGTGGTAGGGGTAGCGTTTGGACAGTTGGATGGCAATAGCAGTTACAAGGATTATGGAGTTGTCCAGCTTTTGTTAACTGCATTGAAAGTCTTGAAAAAAAGAAAATGGTGGAATCAGGACAGCCAACTCTGAACACACAAAACATGCTATGTAAGCCAAATTGCTTCTATAGAAGCGTTTAATGAGATCCTTCATTTCTAGCAGCTATAAGGCTGACTGCGTCAAAAGTCAGGCCCAGTATCTAATTGTAGAGGTAGCAAAATAGAAAAAGAGACTACCTGTATTCACAGTAGGTCTCACATGTTGAAGTGATACAAAAAGAATGAATCTGTGAGAACTGAGATGTGGACATTTGGATATATGAACCTAATAATCTTGAACTCCCAGACACCCCTGAATTGTCTGCACCAGGAGAAGTGGCCGTCTCCCCGTTATCAGAGAGAGAGCATCTCCCCTTGCCTGGAGGCACTTCAGAGACTTCACCTGACGCAGGTACCTTGTGATATCCACCCTTGTCGCTCATAGTTGTCTATGGGCTAACAACAACGATCATGTGCCAAACCAGCCTGAGGATAGAAATATGGTTTTTCCTCCAGGAAGAGTTGTAGGACCTCACCCGTAGATACTGGGAGGAGCCAAGGAGTACATCTGAGAATAGACCTTGAAGATGTCAGACCAGGGAATGTGGAATATAAGGAGAGAGAGAGAGAACACATTGACGATGGGCACTCGCCAATGACTTGGGAGGCAACGTTCTGAAAGGGCAGATTCAAACAATTTATGGGAAAGTTATTTCAAGGCTTTAAGAAAAAAATAATTAAGGGAGAGACTTTTAAAAATTGCTCTAGAGAATACAAAAATGTAAAAGGCTTTCTGATTAATCAAGTAAAATTCAATTTATAAAATAAAGCTAACGTAGCCCTGAAGGCAAAAATGACAACAAAAATTACAGGCCATTTTATTTTATCCACACAGTGGGAAAATTTCTAAATACAATCTTTAGTATTGTATTTAGAGAATCTTTTTGAGTAGTATAGTTTAAATAATATACCACACAGTGTATATTTTCAACGTTTATTCCAGGTAGAATAGTTTTTTCCAGAATGCAATTCTGGCCCAACAATGGAAAATCTATTATTAGAATTTAGTATATAAATAGGAAAATAGCAAAGGAACATTTATCAATTCTTTTTTTTTTTTTTTTTTTTTTTGAGACGGAGTTTTGCTCTTGTTGCCCATGCTGGAGTACAATGGAGTGATCTCGGCTCACTGCAACCTCCGCCTCCCAGGTTCAAGTGATTCTCCTGCCTCAGCCTCCTGAGTAGCTGGGATTACAGACACATGCCACCACGCCTGGCTAATTTTGTATTTTTAGTAGAGACAGGGTTTCTCCATCTTGGTCAGGCTGGTCTCGAACTCCCAACCTCAGGTGATTCCCTGCCGCCTCAGCCTCCCAAAGTGCTGGGATTACAAGCGTGAGCCACCACGCCTGGCCAATTCCTTTTTAAAAAAGAGAATTCTTAGTAAATAAGAACAAGAAAGAAATGTCTTAGTATATTTCCAATATATTATTCCAAATTATTCCAAATTATTATTTATAATATAATTATTATTTATTTATAATATAATATATTATAAATATATTATAAATTATTTATAATTATTTATATATTTATATTGTTTATATTATTTATAATATAAATAATATAATATATTGGAATAATATATTATTCCAATATATTATTCCAAATTATTGTTGGCAATAAATATATTGCCAACAATATATTTAGCAGTGAAAAGTTAGAAGCATTCCAGGGGTTAAAAATAGGGCAAAGATAGGTCTGTCTTGTTTGCTTGTTTATTCATTGGTCTATAATGGCTAGTCAATTTCATATACCCCATAAATATATACAGCTACTATGTACCCATAAAAATTAAAAATTAAAAAAAAAATTAAATGGCTAGTCAATGCAGTAAAACACAAAAAAAAAAGATAAAGAAGAGAAAAACATATATAGGAAAGAGATTAAATCTTCATCAATTGCAGATATTATTACCTAGCAGGAAATATGAGGGAATCAATTTTTCAAATATCAGAACTGCAAGGGGACAAAAGTGCATCAGCAGGTACAGAGGTGGCAGCTACGGTGGTAGCCCTGGTGTACAAAAACCTCACAGCGCTTTCACTGGATAAATGTGTTCTCGGGCCTTGGTCCCCTGGTTGATCCCCGGGGTACTCACTGGGAAGCTCTCATCACCATTCTGACAACCTAGTTAGTTTGCTGCCATCTCCTTTGACTAACTGCAATTCCAGCCCACCTCAACCCTCTCCTTGGACCACAACTAAAATATGAAACGCAAGCATCCTTGGCCTCAAGGAAGAGGACACGCTGCTCAGTGCTTTGTTATGTTGGTGACAGAAGGCATTCATTTATCTGCAAGAGTGCCTCCTACTCCTGACTGCCTTCCTCAACACATCTGCTTGGCTCTCAGATGTCTTGAACATTTGAATAGCTTATTCTGAACTTCAGTATTGTGTTCCCTTCTGACATATGAGAGAAATATGTTAAATCTCTTTTAGGGAATCTGTGCATCTGAAGATGGCTCCTGTCCTTTCGCAACATGGCAGCAAGCCATGTGTTTGAGACATATGCAGAGGCTGCTGCGGTGCTGAAGACCCCAGTGAGACAATCAGAAAGAGAAAGTGCGCAGAAGAAACATCTGCCCCCAAGTGATGGAAATACACCAAAGTCTGTTTTCAGGATTGCTCTGTCGTTTTTTGGAATAAATTATTTTTCTGCTTTCTACGGAACAATACTCAAACTAATAAAAACAATTTAGTTAGTTGTGACATGCTAAAGCATGTAGTTAAAAAGCAGTAACTAGTTACAAATATCTAATGGAGAAACAGTTTCCAATAACCATAGCTACAGAAATTGTCAAATATCTAGAATAAACTTCTATGAAATGAGCAGCCATTTGTCCTACCAGATATTACAACATATAACAAAATAATGGATAACAAGTAACACTAGTTGAGATAGTCTAGGAGCAACATAGGCTAAGGCTGGCAAATTGATGAAAATGAATTACAAGTCCAAAGACAGATAAAAATATACATGAAATTGTAATACATGATAAAGGTGGCCCCTCAAACTAGATAAATAAGAGTAAATTTTTCAATAATTGGTCTAATGCCTAACCATTTGGAAAAAAATGAAATTTCTACTTCACACAATAAATCCACATCAATACCAGGTAACATAAAGATGTGAATGTAAACTGTGAAATTATAAAAACTCCAAAGAAAAATAGTTATATACATTCTGGGTACGGAAGTACTTTCTAAGAATTGTGCCAAAGACAGAAATTGTAAATGAATAAAATCATTAGATTTTGACAATGTTAAGAAATTTGTATATCAAAAAAAATCTTAAATAAAAATAACAGGCCAGTCTGGAAGGGTAAGGGGGAAGGAGGGATAAAGGGAAAAAAATATATAAATGTGTTTATTACTGTGACCTGTACACCTAAAAATGGTAAAGATGGTAAATTATATATGCATATTTTACTGCAATAAAAAATAAAGTTAGAAAAGAATAAACTTATCTTTCCCTCCAAAAAAATATTAATAGGCAAACAACAACATGGGAAGAAATATTTGCAACTTATAAAGGAAGCAATGATTTGCTATCCGTAATATATATAAATCAACAGAAAAAAAGATGAATTGTCCAACAAAAAAATGAACAGAAGACATGAGGATACAATTCACAAAAGGAAAAATATAAACAAATGTTGATGCTGAATAAATAGTCAAGCTCAATAATGACCAGAAAAATGCAAATTTAAAAAAATGAGATACCGTTGAATACATAGCTACAAAACTGGCATATTTAATCATGATAATAACTAGAATTAAAGAAGACGTGGGGAAATGGGTACCCTCATGCCCTGATGGCTTGTGTATAATATACACAAACTCTTTGAAGGACCTTTTAGAAATAAATAACAAAAATCTGAATAATATTTATATATTTTGAACCAGAAATTACACATCTAGCGTCCATGTCCAGAGCATTTATAAAAATATGCATATTTTTGGTCCGGCTCGGTGGCTCACGCCTGTAATCCCAGCACTTTGGGAGGCCGAGGTGGGCGGATCACCTGAGGTCGGGGGTTCGAGACTAGCCTGACCAACATGGTGAAACCCCATCTCTACTAAAAATACAAAATTAGCTAGGCATAGTGGCGCATGCCTGTAATCCCAGCTACCGGGGAGGCTGAGGCAGAATTGCTTGAACCCAGGAGGCAGAGGTTGCAGTGAGCCAAGATCGCGCCATTGCACTCAAGCCTGGGCAGCAAGAGTGAAACTCTGTCTCCAAAAAAAAAAAAAAAAAAAAAAAATGCATATTTTTATATGCACAAAATCTTGACCTAAAAAATTTTATTGCCAATATCAGAAACAATTGGAAGTAACCTAAAGCTACAATAATAGGAAATCGATTAAATATATTAATATATGCTTATATATTAACATATATCAATTTTACATTTTAATATATAGTAATATATAAAATATGTTAACTAATATAAAAATTTTATAGTTTAACATAAACTATATATTAATTTTATAATTTATTGATGTAATTATTAATACATGTAATATATTAATTTTCTATTAATAGATAAACCTATCTATTCTATTAATAGAGTGTAATACAAAACTGTGCAACCATTAAAGATAATTTTAGAAGCATATTTAATGACTTAGAAAAGACTGCAATATATTGTTAAATTAGAAATTAGCTTACAAACATTATAATTTCTGTAAAACAATATATTTCTATATGATTGGAAAGATACATACCAAAATACAACAAATATATATGTTAATAGTGGTTATCACTGGGTTGTGGGATTCTCATTTAATTTATATTCCTTTCATTGCTTTCTGCCTTTTCTAAATTTCTTACAGGCAACATAGCACTTTTATAATTTTTTAAAACAATGAATACTAAAGCAAACATTAAAATACTACAATAAGACCACACCCAAGAAGTGGCCAAATTTTTTTTCTATTGGGTTTGTGAGCTTCCCAGAATAAAAGTGGGAATAGGAAATAGAAAACGAAGTTATTATTCTTGCATTAATTACTATTATTATGGGCACACAATTGTAGTCTGTCAGTTGCCGAGTTCCTGTCATTACCTAAGTCTAAGTCTTCAGGGAATCTGTGTTCCTCTGGCCTCTTTGATCAACATCTCAGAGCATCACATAAACATCCCATCCAAATGAATTAGAAATGTAGCAGAAACATCCCCAGCTTCTGGATGAACAAACTGAGCCTCAGAGAGAAAAGGGGATTTGCCACATCCCAACACTAGGATCCCTGACCTCAGAGCTTGGAATCATCCCAGGAGGCATCACAACACCTGTTTCAATGCAGAGTCCTTGGTCCTCTGTCCCTGGTAGACTGCTGAGTATGAATCTAGTGCTAGGGAGGGCACTACCTCATAGAAAGTCTTCCATTCGCTAATTGGGTCTTTGTAATAGAAGGCCCCTTCTTTTTTATTATTATTATTATTATACTTTAAGTTTTAGGGGACTGTAAACTAGAAGGCCCCTTCTTAAGGCAGAATCTGCATCGTTGGAATTTCTGCTCACTGACTTTGTTCAGAGAAAACAGAATTTTTAGGGTTTTCTAATGCAGCTTTGGGTTATGCTGGAGTCACCAGTTGTTCATCCACCAGGAGAAGTAGGTGTCTGTGATCCATATTTTTTTCTTTTTTATTTAACAGCTTTACTGTGGTATGATTCACGTGCTGTAATGATTTTCAACACTTTTTAGTATATTTACAAAATTGTGCAGCCATTACCACAATCTGATTTTAGAACAAGAGCCCATAGTGAAGGTGAGCCTCTTGACCATCTCCGTGGCTAGCATTGTCTCCGTACTCTTTTTTTTTTTTTTTTTTTTTTTTTTTTTTTGAGACAGGGTCTTTCTCTGTCACCCAGGCTGGAGTGCAATGATGCAATCATGGCTCACTGCGGCCTCGACCTCCCAGGCTTAGGTGATCCTCCCACCTCAGCCTCTCGTGTAGCTGGGACTACTCAATTAGCCCAGCTAATTTTTGGGTTTTTTTTTTTTTTTTTTGGTGGAGATGAGGTTTTACTATGTTGGCCAGACTGGTCTCCAGTTCCTGGGCTCGAGCGATCCCTCCGCCTTAGCCTCCCAAAATGCTGGGATTACAGGCATGAGCCACCACGCCTCCCCACACCACCCACCTTTTGTTTTAACTGTTTAAAATATTGTTTCCTGTTCCATCAGGCCCAATTCTAAAGAATCCAGGCTAAACCAGTCTATGGTCTGAAGGTATGTTTCCCCTCAAAATCCATATGTTAAAACCTAATCTTCAATGCAATCGTATTAAGACGTGGGCCTTTGGGAGGTAATTAGGTCTTCATGAATGAGATTACTGCCCTTATAAAAAAGGTAGTGAGAAGGTGCCATCTTTGAAGCAGAAAACTAGCCCTTTCCAGACACCAAATCTGTTGGTGCCTTGATCTTGGACTTCCCAGCCTCCATAACTGTAAGCAATAAATTTGTACTGTTTATAAATTACCCAGTCTAAGGCATATTGTTGTAGCAGCCAAAACAGACTCAGATACTGAGGTTTAGAGACTGCAGGAGGCTGAAGGCCAAAATGATGCCACGTCCTCACTGTGCCTGGATGCTACTAAACTAGGCCAGTCTCCTACACCCTTTGCAAGTGTCTTTGGATAAGGCGGCCAATGTGCTCCTAAATGAGCATTTAATGTGCTTTAATTCAGTTTACCAGAGATCACTAAAGCCTAGGGGAGGACAAGACCTGAGATTCAACTTTGAAAGCTGCTGACAGATTGTTTTAAAAAACGAAGCCCTTGATTCTTGCTCACCTCACTGTCATCAGTGATGAGGCTTTGAGAATAATGTCAGCCCGACACTGAATTGCGAGAGGTGCTGGGTGTCTCAGGCAGAAACCCTGCATACGGCAATTTGGAGGCCAATGAAAGCCTTCCCAAGTCCATGTCCAAGCCATTTGGGGATGCAGTGGAGGCAGGGAGAATTCGGTAAGGATGTGACAATTTGGGTGGGTCCCGAACCTGAGATGTGTGCCATGGCCAATACTTGCTTGCCCCCACAGACCCTCAGGGTAGGAGGCTTGTATCCTGTTTGCTAAGTATGTAAACTAAAGCAAAGAGCCACAGAAGGAATGACTGTATCCTGAAGGGTTATATTCACACTAAATCTCTTACTAGGAACAGAAGCCTTAAACTGTGAAAACGCATCTGTAGTCTACTACACTGGCCATATGTTTTTAACTAATCCAGCCATCTCCCCCTACCCCTTCACTTTCATCTTAATGTCATCAAGCTAATCTCTTAATCAGCAACCCACTTCAGCCTGCCCCCACGAACATTTTTTGGTTACGTCTTTTAATCTTCATTCCATAAATAAGATTGCAGCCATTATGTCTAAACTAAACCAAGATGTTTAAGAGCTCTTATAACCCTATCTTGCTAAAATATTGTACCAAAAACTACCAGTACCAGGTTCTCAGAAAATGCTTCTGCCCCCATAAGTCTGAAATGACTATTTCTGTGGGTGGGATAGGGTGAGTTGTGAGGAAACTCTCTGAATAGTAGAAATAAAGCTCAGGTAAGGGTTTGAGATCCCTGAATTGAAACCCCTCTGGGGTTTACATCTGAACCTGGGGCTTCAGCAGCCTCAAACCCCCTTCCCTGCCCCCATCTCTCTCTTAATCTTGGCTGTTTGATGATATTTTCCAAAAGACTCAAAAATTAAGAAACACTAGCTCTGAAACTCTCAGAAAAATGTGCAACACCAAACCTGAAGCTGATTTCCAAACACAATGTAAGCCTTCACACCCAGCACCCTCGCCACTCCCTGCACCCATCTCTCCTCAAGCACATCCCTCAGACATAGAAGCTTTTCCAAAAAGATGATAAAACCATGTCACACTCCTAAGCATGTGTAAACCAAATTGGTTTATACCATCAGAATCTTATTTGAAGGCCTTATCCACTTGGACCTCCCTGGTAGGTGTCCCTAGCACATATACACACACAGGCATGTACTCAACAGCACCTACTCACAAGTTCCCTTCATGTCCACACATTTTTCCTGTTGTAGCTTCTTCATCATGCAGGTTTATAAGAAAGAAGCACAAAAAAGGGTTTGAGGAAGACGAGTAGGTCAACTGGCAACTATGATCTGCAGAAGACACATTTGAGCGTAGGCTGCAAGGGTCACCTGATGGGAAACGAATTACCTGCAGAGCAAAATGTTTGGAAAATATGACTGGTGAGGAGGAAGGGTGGGGAAAGGAGACAGGAAGAGAGAGAGGAAAGGGGGCCTCTGCTAGATGAAAGCAGGTAGAGAAGCCCCTTCGGCGTCCCTGCAACACCTTCTTACAACGCGTAGACTCGTTGCATTTCTACCATCTCTGTGTGACATCCACAGCCCACTTTAAAAAATCAAACTACTATGACATCCAGGGTTTCCAAGGCATATCTAAAGATACACATAAAGTTAGGAAGTTTTTAAGAAGCTGCAGCTCTGTTTTCTGATTTAGAGTTTTTAGATTCTCCTCTTCACTCTACATCCTGCAGTGCTGAATCAGCTGTGATCACAGGAAGGGAAAATTATCAGCTTTATGCTTCCTGGTGGACTACTGTGCTTGGGTGATGTTTGGAGCTAGAATTATCTCTGGACTTTAAACATTTGCTTGAAGTTTGACAGAAAATTTTTTTTATTATCTTATAAGTTGGTGTGGGGGGGTATGTACACACATACACATACATACATATAAGCACATATATGCTTACAAGTATATATATATTTCCTTTTGTTGGCACAGATACAGAGATGGATGGGGGAGAATAGTTTTCAAGCTGCATATGAGGATAAAGATAAACTTCATGCAGTTAAATGAAGTCGCTTTATTTGAGAAGCCACGGACTGGGAGATGTTAGAGATTTCGTCGTGAGACTCACTGGGCTGGGGAGGCTCCCTAGATCTCACTGAAGTCCTATTAGGGCATCTATAAGGATCAGCTCCCAAACTGAAACGTGGTTTCATGAATTTAAAGTGCCATCCGCTTATTTTCCTCTCTCCATCTTAGCACCAGGTAGACAACTTGTCGATTTAATGCAGAACTATTCTTAGAGATTCAAATACTCCGTGCTTTCTGTTGTGATGATGAAAGGTGGATTTTTGTTGTTGTTGTTCAGTTGTCCTCTTCCATGCTATCAGCAAGCTTTCAACAACATCATAGAGAGCTTATACAAATGCTACATTACCTATTAATGAATTTATGACGTTCCATAAATTGTGGCATCAGGGTGCCCTCAGTCGGAATGGTTTTATTTTGACCATTGCAAGGGCAACAGTGTCTATAACCCCAGCAGAACCCTAGAGCCGATGTGAAAGAGTACAACAGTATGTGTGCTGTGTGTGATGGGCCCTATTATTTTTACAGCTATCCCAGCTGAACAAAGACAGCTGCAACTCCAGAGGAGCTTGTAGGGTTTAACCTAAACTAGAGTGACAGCAATTGGTCTGCTTAAAATAGCTTTTTATTTCCCCTAGAAATCCTGACTTTGGTAGCATTTACAACCTCAGGGGCCCTAGCAGTCACTTCCTCATTCCCCCACCCCCACATCCATCACCATGTCCAAATGCATAGAAGATGTAAGAAAGTGTGTGGAGAGTGGGTTGGGTGTTTGGTTTCAGGCATTCACTTTTGAAGACTGTGCAGAATCCAGAATGCCCAAGTAGATATGGTTAAACAGCATTGTGCAGATATATCTTATCAGGAAAGGCTTGGCTTGACCATGGATATTTCAGCTGGGTTATATGAATCCCTCAAATGCAGCAATATTGGAGGAGATTTCAATGAAGGCTTCTTCATTGACTCCAGTTGGCCGCTCATGGGGAGGGGATTAACAAGTTAGCTGGTTTTAAACATCAGGACACCCCTAAAGTGCTACCACCAGAAATGAAATAAAATGTTCAAAGATAATATTCAGGATGTATTCAGAGACCATTTAGAACAGAACAGAAAAAAAATGGAAATTCTTATGGAGTAAACAATTTCAATTCATGCACTACTAAAAATAAAATCAACAGACTACACATAACAAGAATTTTGGTTAAAAATGACAGAATTTAAAGAAGAAAAAAGAACAGCCAGTGAATATATTAAGAAAATGATCAATTTCACTAGTATACAAAGAAATGCAAATTAAAGTTGGCCACACAGAATGCTGGTAGGAGTGTAAGAAGTAGTTACATTTGTAAGTTTCAGGTGGCAGCATGACCTCCATAGCTGCCAAATTGTCCTTTGGGTTGCTCTTAATTGCAAGTTACAGTTGTATCCAGAAAACCCTAGTATTGCCCTTGATACCCAAACCAGGCTTTACAAGCCAGAGACAGCAAGGCTGAGACTGGGGACCGCAGCAGGCATGCCCATTATCACCATCATGGACTGCTGGAGGGCCTCCAACCCTGACCTTGCCCCTCATGGTTTTTTCTTAAAAGGGAAAAATTTTCAGAAAGGCATAGAAACAATTTTAGAATAGGTGAGCAATATTAAAAACTTTTTGTTTCTTGATGAGCCAAGGTCCTATAACAAAGGCCTGTAGCATCTATGGGGGACCTGCCTGAATCCATTGATATGGAGGAGATTTTCCAGCTTCAGCTGCATCACAGACTCACTGACATCACATTAGTTAAAAACCAGATACTGATGCATTTCTGGATCACATGTCAATGTGCTACAGAGCAATTCCTGAGGATGTTGAGGTTAACACAATTGAAGTCCAAAGCATGGGTGGGGACCCCAATAGATGCAATCTGTTCTTTGCAGTTGTGTGATCCAAGCTAAATCATCTAATCCTAAAGATTTTAATTATGAAGTTGGTTATTTGTCCTTTCCTATTTGTTTTCAGCATGGGTAGGACAAAATCCCAGCTCATGAAACAGACCCTCTTGCTTCAAGAGGGTTCAAAATCCATACCTCCAGCCCAGACTGGTATATTCAGCTGCCTATTTGGCAAATTTGCTTAGATATCTACTCTTAAATTTAGCATGTCCAAAACTAACTTCTGCACCCCCCCAAAAAGATTGTACCTTTCATTTTCTTCCCCATGGCAGTAAGTGGCATTTCCAACTGCCCAGTTGCTCAGGCCAGAAATCTCTTCCTGTCACACCACCATCAGTCAATCCTGCCATTCCTGTCATTGCTATCCACCCAAAATTCTCACCAACTCCACCAGTATCACCCTGGTCCCGGTAACCATCTCCTTCCACCTAGATTATCGCTAGGGGATCCTCCCTGGCTTCCTTGCATCTGTTGTTACAATGATGCTGTCATTAAAATATCTTCACCAAGAAATTCATCATATATTTCTATTACATTTTATAAAAACCTATGAAGTTTTTCTTCTCTTGCAAAAATCATAGAAAATAGGAGGATCATAGCAAACATTGCCATTACTTGATCCATTGCTTTAGAATGAGTTTTCATTCTTGGCCAGGCACAGTGGCTCACACCTGTTATCCCAGCACTTTGGGAGGCCGAGGTGGGCAGATCACTTGAGATCAGGAGTTCAAGACCAGCCTGGCCAACATGGCGAATCCCCGTCTCTACTAAAAATACAAAAAATTAGCTGGGCATGGTGGTACGTGCTTGTAATCCCAGCTACTCAGGTGACTGAGGCAGGAGAATTGCTCAAATTTGGGAGGCAGAGGTTGCTGTGAGCAAGAATATGTCACTGCACTCCAGCCTGGGCGACAGACTGAGACTCTGTCTCAAAAATAAATAAATAAAATGTTTAAAGGCTACTGTCAGCGTGCTGCCCATGGGGTAGTCCTTATCTACAAGGAGCGGTTAAAAAAAAAAAAAAGAATGAGTTTCTATTCTTGGTGAAAATGATCAAGACATTCAAACTCTGCCCTTTTGAATTCTTCTGGCAATGGTCACATGACCAAATTGAAGTAACTCCAGCTCTATTTCTTTACCCTTACAGTTACTGTGCCTTTATTGTTTATTGCAAATCTCTTTCAGTGTAGGACTATGTAGTGCCACAGAATTGGAGACACAAAGTGCCTCTGAAGCAGGATTAAATGACTCTAAATTGTTATAAACTTACTTTCCAAACAACCCGTGTAACTAAATCCATGTGTATCAGGGGCTGACTATTTACCTGAGAGGTCTCAATTAATTCCATGTAGGACACAATGTTTATTAATGGATAAGTAATGAAAATCAACTAAGTGGAAACATGCATTATTTAAACTCAACAATAACTGCAACAATTGTATAGAAGTTAGAGTATTTTTTAGGAGGAAGAATATTTTGTTACTGGCGTTGTTTAGAACTGTCCCTCTCAAGTGATTATAAAAGCAGGCAGACTTTTAGTCAATTTATCATTGTTTTTAAAATTCTCCACAGGATATACACTCTCTTACTGCCTACACTAAGGGAGGACTGCCCCCACCACTCCATCCATCTAACATTTTTCCAGGTAGAAAATTTGATAATATGTTTAAAATGATCATTTTTCTCTGCTTTTCCAACCTGCACTGCTTAATTATTTAAAGATCTAATTGCATTTATTAGCACTTTCAGAAAAGTGATAAGAATAGGCGATAGAATGTTCCTTGTCTTTTTCCTAGTTTGAATGGAATACCTCTAGTGTTTATCATTGAAAATAATATTGGCAGTCGGTTTTATTTAAATATATATTAAGGAAAAAACCCCTTGTTCCCAATTTACTAGAGGATTAATAAAAAGTAAATATTGACTTTTATCAAATTACTTTTGATATCTATTAATACTGTGTTTTTCTCTTTGACCTACAATGCGATAAATTAAGCATTTATGTCCATAATTATACCATTCTTACATTACTTCAACAAGGTCTACTTGGTCATGGAGTATTTCTTTCAAATTTCTGATGATTTCAATTTGCTAGTATTTTCTTTATGATTTTTTTAAAATTTATATTCATAGGTCAGATCAATAATTTAAAGTCATCTCTCTCTTTTTTTCTAGTCATTGTCCAGTTTGGTATCAGGGTTATACCAGCTTTGAGAAATGCATTGAGAAATGTTCTGTCATTTCTTGTTCTAAGACCACCTAAATAACGTGAATATTTTCTGAATAGACTTCTCTACAATCTCTGTGAATGCAATAAATGTCATCACATACATTTAAGATAGTTTTTATTTCCTTTCAAGCTGGTGTTTATTACTTTTAGAGCTTTTATTTTTCATTGCTTGATCAACATATTTTTATCTATACAATTTGTTTAGGTATCTTGGGTTGCAATGGAGTATATCATAATTTTTCCACTGAAAGTTAAGGAATGAAAAAATATTTTTATTTAATGGCTTTTTACCTAGCAGCGGGGTTTCCAAGAGTGGGTTAAAGTCCTTAAGCAAGACGTAGGTGTATATTGCTTAATTTTGCCTGATCTTTGTATTTTATATAAAAGGAATCATATTATATATATTCTTATGGAACATGCTTCTTTAACTAAATATTACGTTTTTATATTTATCCATGTTTCTGTATAATCTGTAATTTGTTTTGCTTATTTTTCTGTGGTTTATTATTGTTATGAATATGTCACAATTCATGTGACCTACTTTTTATTTTATTTTTTATAGAGACAGAGTCTTGCTATGTTGCCCAGGTGGGTCTTGAACTCCTGGCCTCAAGCCATCCCTCTGCCTTGGACTCCCAAAGTGCTGAGATTACAGGCATGAGCCACTGTGCTCAGCCCTCATCTGACATACTTTTGATGAAAATTTGGGTGGTTTCCTATTGTTCACTACTATAAACCATACTGCTGTAAACATTCATTGCATATAGGATATATAACTAGAAGTTGAATTCCTGGGTCAAAGAGTATCTACATGTTCAACTTTATTGGGTAATCCGAACAGTTTTCCAATGTAGTTGTACCTCTCCAATCAGCCAACTATGAGAGTTCCCATTGCTTTATATTTACTGGAGCAAATAAATCCAAATATTTCAGTAGCTTAACACAACAGAATTGTCTAATGTGTAGTTTCTGGTTTGTAGTGGGGCTTAAGAGAAGACTGTGCTCCACACAGTCATTCAGGGACCTTGGCTGATGGAACACGTGCCATCTTCAACTAATGGCTTCTAACATCACCAGCATCAATAGCTAGCTGGCAGAAAAGGGAGAAGAAGGTATAATGACTTTTTAACTACAGTGGTCTGGAAATAACATGTGTAACATTCATTAATGAGAATTAGTACATGGCCTGTCCTAGATACAGAAAAAGGTGGGAAATGCAGTTCCTGTCTGGGAAGCTGCCTGCTGACAACACTGTGCCATGGAAAGGGGAGCATAAGCTATGGTGGTCAGTTAGGCAGTTCTGCCATAGATGGGTCCCTGTTCACAAATTTTGAGTGAGATGCAAGGAATTCTTCTGCTATTACCTAGAGTTCAAATACTTTTCTTCTGCCATATCTTTGATTATTTCTGGTCTGCTTTGTTCTGGTCACCAATCTATACCTATTATCTTCTCTCTTGTTTTCATGACTTGCCCCTTTCATCTTAATTATGAGGTGTTTTTTCCTGTTTTTTTCATTCTCATAACTAATTCAGTTTTCTTCAGCACTAATTCTGCTTTTTACTGAACTCAAAGTGGATTTTAATTTATTACATTTTAGTTTCCATTAAAAACTTCCTTATATCATTCTTGTCCCTTTCCCTAAAAAATAGGGTGGTGGTGTATGCCAGTTTTCTCAGGACGGTCTGGTTATACACTTAATATTCTGGCATATTTTTTTCTGTTTTTTCTTTCTACTTTTTAGTAGGGGTATAATATACATTCAGTAAAATATGTAGAATCACTACTCTTAAATGTATAGCTCAATGAATTTTTTCATATGTATTTTCTAGTGTAACTACCATCCAGATCAAGATACCGAATGCTTCTAACATCCCAGAAAGCTCCCTTGTTCCTTCTACCCCTGCAAAGTAACCACTATTCTGACTTCCATTATGTTAATTTTGTCTGCTCTTGAACATATGAGGTAGTCCCTGGATTATCCATGTGGTATATGTTACAAGACCCCTAGTAGATGCCTGAAACTGTAGATAGTACCAAACTTCATCTATACTATGTTTTTTTTCCCTGTACTTACATACCTATGATAAAGTGTAATTTATAAATTAGGCATAGCAAGAGGTTAACAATAATAGTAAAATAGAACAATAATACACTGCAATAAAAATTTTGTAAATATGGTCTCTCTCTCTCTCTCTCCCTCTCTCCCCCCATCTCTCCCAAAATATCTTATTGTACTCTACTCATCTATTTTTGGACCGAGGTTGACCACTGGCACCTAAACCGCAGAAAGCAAAACCACGGATAAGGGGGGACTACTATGAATGGAAACATACAGTATGTATTCTTTCATGCCCATTTATTTTGCTCAGCATACTGTCTGGGATCTTTATCCATGCTTTTGTGGTATCAGTAGTTTGTTGTTTTTATTGTTGAGTATTCTGTTGTGTAAATATACCATAATTTATTGCCCATTCTTCTGTTTATGAACATTTTCATTATTTCCAGCTTGGGGATGTTATTAATTAAGGCGCTGTGAACATTGTTGTATATACCTTTTGGTGAACATATGAACTCTTTTCTAGTGGGTATATACCTAGCAGTGAAATATCTGGGTCATAAGGTAGAACTATATTTAGCTTAATGGATATTGCCAAACAATTTTCCAAATCGGTCACACTGTTTTATACTACCATCCGCAATATATAAAGGTTCCAATTTCTCCACATCACTGCCAATGCTTACTCTTGTTAGTTTTGATTTTAGCCATTCTGATGAGTGTATGGTGGTTTCTCATTGTGGTTTCAATTCCTATTTCCTGATGAATAATAATATTGAAAACTTGATATATGCTTATTAGCTATTTAGACACTCTCTTTTATAAAGTGACTGTTTAAGGGTTTTGTGAACATCTTTATTGGGTTGTTTGTTGTCTTTTTCTTCTTACTTTTTGGCATTCTTTTACATACTGTATACAAGTCCTTTTGTCAGATATGGTTTGTGAAAACTTCTCCCATTTTGTCACTTACCTTCTCACTCTCTTCTGATAAGTAGTATCTTCTGATAAACTGAAGTTCTTAATTTTAATGAAATCCAATGTATCATTTTTTAAAGCTTGTGGTTAGCTCTTTTTGTATCCTGATTAAGAAATTCTGTGTATTCCAAGGTCCCTGTTCTGGCTTCTCTTGCTGCCTAACAACCAATTTCAAAACAGTGATTGAAAACAACAACAGTCATTTATTATCTCTCAGGGTTTCTGTGGGAAGGAATTTGGGAAGGGCTTAGCTCTATGCTTCTGGGGTCTCTCATGCAGTTGCAGTTGGATGATGGCTGGAGCTGGAACAGCAAGGAACTAGAGCAGCTAGGGGCTGGCCAGGCATTCATATCATCTTCTTTTTGTGTAGTCTTGGGACCTCTCCATGTGATCCCTCCAGATAGGCTGACTTTGGGCTTCCTCACGTCATGGTGCCTCAGTTCAGCTGAACTGCTTACGTGACAGTTGAAGTCTAAAACAATGGCTATTCCTGTAATCCAGGTTGAAGCTGAATTGCCATTTATCACCTGCCGAGGAAGCCATGAAGCATATAAGCCTATCTAGATTCAAAGAGAGAAAAAGTAAACTTCTATTGATGGGGCAGTGGCAAAGCCATATTGTAGAAGAATATTTGGGATTTGGATTGGGATTACAATAGAATTTAGTGAGGATTGACGTCTTAACAATATTGTATGCTTTGATCCACAAACATGGTATATTCCTCCATTTATTTTGGTCTTTTAAACATTTTCCCTTCAGTGTTTTATAGTTTTCAATGTAGAGATCTTAAACATATTCTATTGTATTTATTCTTTAATATTTGATGATTTTATGTTGTATATAGTATTTTTACTTCATTTAAAATTATTTATTGCTAGTACATAGAAATTAATTGACCTTGTATTCTGCATCCTTGCTCAGGTCACTTATTAATCTTAATTATTTGTACATTCTGTTGAATTTTATACATATGCATCCCCTTTTCAGACCTGAAGTACAAGTTGACATGCATGAGTCCAGACCAATTTTCAGTTTCTAGCAGACATGCACCAAATAACATTTTCATTCTACTGAGGTAGCACATTCCCCATCTGGTTCTCTATTCTTGTGACCCACAGAGTCACCTGCAAAACTGCAATTGATAGAGTGTCCTGCTATTAGGAATCTTCCTGTCTCCACCCTTGCCTGTAGTGTTTAGCTTGTAAAGTTAAAGTTACACCTCCCAAGATACAGTACAAATTGCTGGTTCTCCTTCTTCCTACCCCTCCCCCACGTATACACACACTTCCTGGCCAGTTATTTCCTGGGAGGTGCTATCTCCAAATAGATGTAGTACTGGCATCCTCAAAAAGCAGGACTTCCATGGCACATGGGTGCCCGCTTAGTGTTCTGGTTGGTACAGACCGTGAATCTCTGTGTCTCTAAGAAAATAGGGGCAGCTGGCTTCCCACTGACTTCTATTACATGAGGCATAATTTGGATGGGTTTGTATCAATCCTATGTTTCTTGCCTTGTAATTAAGAACAATGCTTCCAAGAATCTGGGTAAGACTTTGATTGGGTCAAGTTTCTGGTGCTTGTTTTGAGTTCTTGTCTTTCTCTTTGTTTTCAAAGATATCACAGGAAAGTTGGGAGAGGCTGCCTGAGACATTTCTAGCCAAATGACATTTAAAGCCAGAAGTTATTTCTTTGTGGCCACCTATTTTTATATATGTGTTTAGATCTGTCATTAGGGGAAGAGGCAAAATGCCAGAAATCTGCCAAATAGGATTGTTTTTGGTTGACCAGAATGACATAAAGAAATAGAATCCATACACTAGAAAATGTTATTATCTTGTCACTTATAATGACATATTTATACAAGACCTGTTTTTCTGTATATATCAGACATCATTGCATTGATTTCAGCATGAAGGGATCCCCTTTCCTGCCTCTCCTCCACTCCCCCTCTTGCCAGGTCATCTTTTCTGACCATAGGACACTGTGCTAGCATCTTCCTCATCAGCTGAGACCTCCTAGAGTGCAGATCTTTTCGTAGTATGTTCTTTGCAAAGTGAACACTCCAGTCTCAGCTGCTCATTTCTCAACCTGTTTCCTGAGTTTATTCTTGTAAAACTATTTGATCAGGCAGTTAAATCTGGAAAAACACAAGAGAAAAGGGTGATATGGTAGGACCACGAGAGGTGGAAGGTGAACACTTGATTAAGAAATCTAATCCATAGTGTGTGAGGCCGACTCCTTGTTGTCTTCTTACCTTTTTAAAAAAAAAAACAACAACCTGTTTTTCAAAAGTGATGCTGTCATATCCTGAGAGTGACGCTGTAGGAAAAAAAAAATTTAAAAATAAAAACAAAACAAAACAAAGCTAAGCTTTCAGACTTGCAGGGCTAACATAGACTAGTTCCCAAAGACATGTGGGGTAGTGGTGGTTTTATGACTTTGTTTTGGTCAAAGGTTCCAACAAAAGGGCTTGGGATTATTGGAAGATTTAAGGAGTTTCAAGGATTAGTTCACTCATTCATTGAATGAATATTGATTGAGAATCAAGCACCTTCTGGACTTTGTGCTAGGTATATACACTTCTAACAGAGGAAGGTAGACATGAAAACTAACAATTTTGGAAGTCCTTATGTAATTATACTTGTGCTATGGGCATAATAGTTATAAATTTAGATGAAAGAAAAGACCTTTTAAATCTGGCTTGAAAAATTAAATCTGGCTTGAGAAGCCCAGGCTGTTGATGTTCATCCATTGATCCCTGCTATTCCTGGGTGATGTCATCCAGGAAAATGAGATAGAGCCCTATTCCTCAGACTGGGTGGCTCCCACAGGGGCTGGCCTCTGTGGAGGAGCCCCTCCTTCTATGCTTGACTATGGCAAGCCCCCATTGAGGGACCCAAGTTCACAGGCTTAGTGTCTGGACTTCACAGCACCTTAGCAGCTCTCCATCAGAGGCCTTATCACTGCTGGGAAGATGGTGCTGTGTGGTTGAGCTCACAAAATCAGCGACTTTCTTCTCTAAGCCCAATCCCCATGGTTCCAATGCCCAGCTTGATTCCCACTTCCACCTAGGAGGCACACAGCCTCCACATCCTTCTGGGGATCCTTCCACTGACCACCCCAAGATGCCTGCAAGGCCAAGAGAATCCAGTGAGAGGTATATTGGGGTGGACGGGCATCCATACCTGCATTGTGGGATCAGACAAAACACGCTGAGATGGGGACAAAGGAAGTGCTATGAGTGCCACTGAGAGGTCTATAGGGCAGTATCAGAGTCCATGGGTGGCCCTGACCATGTTTGAGGAATCAAGGGGGCCCCTGAAAAGGTGAGGTTTTGGCTGAGCCCTTAAAGGCAACTAGGAGTTAACAGGAGTCATTTAAACTTGGAAGCATGGAAGGTTGTTTGTGTGTGTGTGTGTGCGTGCTTCTGAGAATATGAGAATGCAGTAAGTGTGGGAATAATTCTAATAGAATTAGAAGGAGGGCATTTTGATTGGGAGCATAGCTGGTGAGTAGGGTTGCCTCAACCAAGTCTCATGTCTAGATATCTCTTATCTTCCTGGGACTTCCAGAGACATACCCGAGGGCACAGTACTGGTTCTGACTGCCCAGCTGAATTCTGCAAGAGCCAGGGAACTCAGAGATGTCTCCCAAATTTTACATTGTTTATTATGATCTCCTGGGGTAAATCATTAAACATGTTCCAGGTTCTTCCTTATACTAACTACAAATTCCTTCAAATCATTCACACCACCATGCATGTGAGAACATGTTTGGTGTCAAGATTCCCGTACCTGAAAGCGGCAAGGGTAGAGCCCCGCCCACAGGATGCGTACTCGGCATTCCTCATTCTCTTAGTCACTAGGTTCTCTACCCAGCTCCTATGTAGCTTCTTTCAGCTGTAATGTTTTCAAACAGTTTTTAAAAACTTGTCCCTTTCTTCTCCTTTCCCCCAAGTTTTTAAAGTAATACATGGGCAAAGCCAGCTTTCTTTTCAGGATCAAAATACAGAACAAATGAAAAAATTTATGGTATTTAACCTTCCCAAGTTTGAGCCTTCACAAAGAACGCAGCCAAGTTTTATATTTGTAACAGCTCTTCTACGTACACTTTGCCTTCTCTAACTTGGTTCCAAGCTTTATCTTCATTCCCAATTATGCCAATTCCATTTTTATTTAAAAAGAAAAAGCCTTCCCAGTTGTTATTAGAAACTACTATTTAGCTTCCCCTCTCTGCTACCTAGCAAACCACAGAGAGGAGTGTCCTAGGATTAGCCAGTCCTATGTGATTCATGGGGCCGCTTAGTCCTTATATGAACCTGACCGCTAACATGTCTGTTTTATTGTGGCAATGACTCTCAACTGTTATCCT
Organism: Homo sapiens; assembly: GCF_000001405.40. Lineage (NCBI taxonomy): Eukaryota > Metazoa > Chordata > Mammalia > Primates > Hominidae > Homo > Homo sapiens. The sequence goes on along the minus strand of NC_000002.12, from coordinate 70,569,681 downwards.
GTGTGAGAAATAGGAGATTCCCTTCTTTTTCAAGCAGTGGTACATAAAGTAGCAGTCTCATCAGTTGAGCTGGCAGGGGACATCCAAGAGATCCGTGAGCGCTCCGAGATCTGAATAATGAACATCACAACACAACTGGGTCTTTAATTCCTCTTTGCCAGGGGTCCTGGTTGTGGGGATGTCCTTCCCTGAAGAGCCGGTCCTACAAGACAGAAGTGATGACTTTTCTTTAGCTCATGGCAGGTGTGATGGGAAGAAGAAATGTCTGCTGGGCCCACTCTGTGCCAGGCCCTGGATCTCAAGTTCAGAAGGCCAGGGTTCAAATTCTCACCTTGACGTTTCCTGGCTGTGTGACCCTAGACAAGTCACCTAGTTTCCGTGAGTCTCAGTTTTCACATCTTTAAATTGGGGATAACATTAGTAGCTTCACCTCCTAGGGTTGGTGTAAGGATCAAACAGATAATTATTCAGAAGCCCTTTGTAAGTGGCACCATGAGAAGGAAAATTTGGTTATCTCATTCGGTGTGATCCAACAGTAATATCAGGGGATCTATCCTACCCAGGAGTCTCATCCAGGGGAATCCCAAAGTCCTGCCCAACTGGAGAAGCAGGTTACTCACCTGACTTGTGTCTGGCATCAGGAAGAGGCTGATGGCCAGATCTTTAGTGATATCTAAGTCAAGGACCAGGCGGGCACATTTTTCTCAGATCTGAGGTGCAGTTTCAGAGCATAGGTGAAGGCTGTGTCATGGGCAAGAACTGGATTATGCTGAGTTACTTACTACTATATTTGCAAACATACATTGTCAAGTTTATAAAAATGCTTGCAAGAAAACACACACACACACACACACACACACACACACACACACACTAGAGGTCCAGTTATCTAACAGTAAGAAATAAAATGGCAGGATAAAACACCTTTCAGATCAGCACAGAAGTCAAAGGATTGTTGTTAATTTAAAATACAAGCACACACAGTGGGAAAAAAGTTAAGTGAATTACATCTGAATAAGGTCAACTAGATTTAGGTTTTTAATTAAAACAAGAAAAAACGACAACATAAAGATCTCTTAAAATCAATGACGTTAACATTAAATAAAAAATCTTATGATGCTTACTTTCTCCTATTGCTGGTAAACAGAGAGAGAAAGTGAGAAATAGGAAGAGAGAGAGGACAAGAGGGAAGGGAAAATGTGATAGGAGAGCAAGGCCAAGTGGGGTGGCAAGGAGAGAGACGATACAGCCCAGGGAAAGGAAGCAACAAAAGGTTCTTTTTTTCTTTTTCTTTTCTTTTTTTTTTTCTTGAGACGGACTCTTGCTCTGTCACCAGACTAGAGTGCAGTGGCACCATCTCAGCTCACTACAACCTGTGCCTCCTGGATTCAAGGGATTCTCCTGCCTCAGCCTCCCGAGTAGCTGGGACTACAGGTGCCCACCACCACACCCAGCTAATTTTTGTATTTTTAGTAGAGACGGGGTTTCACCATGTTGGCCAGGATGTTCTTGATCTTTTGACCTCGTGATCCACCTGCCTCGGCCTCCCAAAGTGCTGACAGGTGTGAGCCACCGCGCCTGGCCAACGAAAGGTTCTAAAGTGAGCGTGAAGCCCAACAAACGGCTCCTGTCCCCTGAAGCATCAATCGTCAAATAAATTACTGACTTTAAGACTCTTGGTTTTCCAACAGTTTCTCAGAGCAATCACTTCTGCTCTCAACATCGCTCATCTACCTGTGGGGGAATAAACGCTTGTTCTCATCGGAATTCGGAAAACGTGATGTGTAAAGAAATGACATATGTTTAGGGGATTTTCTTTGTGTGATCTTGGCTATATCTTAAAATCTGTTGGTTCACAGTGGGTCCTCAAATAATGTTTTGTTCACTATCGTTTTGTTGTAATGTTGATGAGAAAAAAAAATCAATTCCTGGCTGGAGCCACTGTCTGAGTGGAGTCTGCATATTCTCCCTGTGTCCGTGTGGGCTTTCTCCAGGCTCTCCAGTTCCTTCCCACATCCCAGAGATGTGCATGTCAGGTTCCTTGTTGTGTCTACAGGGCCCCAGTGAGTGAGTGCGGGTGTGTGTATGAGCGCCCTACGGTGGGCCGGTGCCCTGTCCAGGGCTGGTTCCTGCCTGGTGCTCTGAGCTGCCAGGGTAGGTTCCAGCCACCCCTTCCGCTGAACTGGAATAAGTGGGTAAATAATAATCTTACTTGTTTTTATTCATCTTTCTTAAATGTCAGTATAGCTCACATTTATTTCAATGTTTAATACTAGAAGTGTTTTAGTCTTTATTCAGAAGTTTGGTGATGTTTTTGTAACCAGAAATATGCCGTAAGAACTTAACTCTTGTTTATGTCAATTAGCCTATGGTAAAACTGGTTTTGTTATACATTGCAATTTCCAAGAACCCATCAATGATGTTAAATGAGGATTTACTACACTTTTCCTTTCTGCATTCCTGCTGGTGGCCAGTAGAAACTCAAGATAAAAAGAAGTGGGAAGGCCCTGCCATGGTGCTCGTGATTCCACTCCTTGTGTCAGACCTTTGGAGATTCAACTCTGCATAGCACCCCCAAAAGGGCAGACTGAGTATATGACTCAAAGTTCTCCAGAGAAACAAGAACAATAGGGGCTATGAAGATACAGAGAAAGAGATTTATTAGGAGGGCTTGGCTCACACCATTACTGAAGCTAAGAAGTCCCAAATCTGCCATCCCAGCTAAGCCAGTGATGTAGTTCCAGTCCAAGCCTTAAGGGCTGAGAACGAGGGGAGCCAAGGTTGTAAGTCCCAGTCTCAGTTCAAAGATTCAAGAAGTGAGGGCCAATGGTGTAAGCCCCCGTTCATGTCTGAGGACCCAAGAACCAGGAATGCTGATGTCCAAGACCAGGAGAAGGTGGATGTCTCAGCTCAATCAGAAGAAATTTGCCCTTCCTCCACCTTTTAATTCTATTCAGGCCCTGCTTGGGTAGGGTGATACCCACTTTTATTGATGAGGGCAGATTTTTACTCTGTTTACCAATTCAAAGGCTAATCTCCTCCGGAAACAACCTCACAGACACACACAGCTATTTGGGCATACCTTAGCCCTGTCAAGTTGACATATAAGATTAACCGTCACACTGAGGAACCCTTATGACCTGGGATACAACAAGCAAATGTCACTTCAGATACTTGCCCCTGATGATGTTAGTAATGGTTAGAGCTGACAGGGCAGAAGATGATAAAATGGATCAAAATTAGCAGGCTCCCTTTCCCCTTTCTGTATCATTCATGTGCACATCACATCCCTGTCGGAGCACCTCTCATCACAGATGGGCATTCTCACTCTCACAGTACTGGAAGAGCAGGGGAGATATGGAGTACAAAAGCCCTTCCCCAGGATTTCTATATCCACTTCCTTTGGTAATTACTGATATTATGGTAGTTACCCAACTACAAGCCAGTATCAGACAGAAAATCACTGTCCTGGCAAACTACTTTTCTAGTCCTATACACACACCAGGTTAGCCCCATCTTCCTGGACTGGGCGAATGCTGTAACCACCTATTCCACGTGAGGTGACAACAGTTGCAAGTCACAGCAGTGATGGCAGCCACTATGCATTGAGTGATTTTCATATGCCAGGCTCTGACTTACACCCTTTCATACACATCATCTCATTTGATCTTCATAATGACTTTATATGCTGGGTACTATCATATCCCCCATTTTACAGGTAAGGAAATTGACGATCAGAAACGTTCAGAAAGTTGTCCTTAGCCATTAGTGCTGGAGCTAAGATTTGAACCCAGACATCACAAAAGGCCACACAGTTTCCACCTTACCACCATGGTATTCAAGGTCTTATTCCCTATAGTGTTAGGCACAGTCTTTCAACATGGGACCACTTAGACTTTGATGATTTAAAGACTTCTATGTCTGATACAAACTCTATGTCTTAGCAGGTCTAATTGAGGGGGGTTTTGAATGAGCATCTGAAAGGAAAGGAGTATTTCGAAGTGTGTGGGAGGTTGGACAAAAGGAAGGAGTGTTTCCATAATTATGTGATTACTTCCAGCCTAGAATGAGCTTATTGCCAAAGGTCAAAGGTCACTTCGCCCAACTGACCAAGGAATTGGGAATGCCTCATTTCTTGGGAAATGAATGGACAATTCAGAGGCCTAGTCAGTCACTGCTACTTCTTAAGCTTTAAGCCATAAATCTAAAAAACATAGTAAACAAGGGAAGCTCTTTAAGACTCCTTCAGCGATCTAGTCTGATTGATTTTATTCACCGAAGATGCCAAAAAAATCTCTGACTTACTACAATTTGTTTTTTTGTAAGAAACTGAAAAGAGGAAAAACTCAAATGTTGTTGCTGTCCTTCATTTGAACATTTCTAATCCAAAGTAAACAGGGGAACTCTGTCCTTTGTGTTGGACAGTGGAAGACACAGGGCCCTTGTTCCAGGAACGAGCAGTATCGGCCCATCACAGGCCCCGGTTCACACTGAGGCGCCTGTGTCCAGGCAGTGAGATTGGCCCAGACAGCCTCTGATTCCTGCCTGCCCTGGTGCACCAGTGCAAACAGTTGATGTTCAAACTTCACTCTCCACGACCCCCTAATCATCTCTACCCACAAAGGAAGAGAAACTCTCCCACCTCTCATTCCTGTAGCTCTGTAACCAACCAAACCATTCTCACTGCTTTTCCTTCTGAAAGAAATTAATCTGTTTCTTATTACAAAAGCGAAATAGATTTATTGTGGAAAATTTAAATAAAGAAACAGAGAATAGACAAAGAATCACTCAATTTTACCACCCACAGTATTGAAACATTTTGCTATATCTGCAGCTTTCTGTTTCTCTATGCATGTATATAATATATTTATGGGGAGGGACAAAAATTGGATCATACTGTACATTTTTAGGAATATATTGTAAATAGTCATCAAAATACATTTCCATTGAATTAAAGAGCTAAAAATGTAAAATATAAATGTGCAAGAATAAGTATAGATGAATATTTACTGCAGATGTTGTTAACCTGGGATCCATCATAAACTCCAGAGAGTCTATAAACACCTATAATAATATGTGCAATTTGGTATATAGAGATGTGGATATAAATATAAATATATATGGGAGTAGTAGGCAAAACAGTTCGTAGTTTTCACCAGATTCTCCAAGCTGTAGGTGACCCAAAAAATCAATAATTTATATTAACTTGGCTTGGGGAAAAAGGCCCAATGTTGGAAACAGCCTACCACACAGCTGGTAGGAATGTTAATTGGTAAAACTTTTCTGTAGGGAAGTTTGGGGGAGTGTGTGTATGTGTGTATGTGTGATTTAAAATAGTCGTAAGAACACATTATGAAGTTAAACTAATGCAAAACAGTGTGAAGTTGTGGGAGGGGACAGAGATAGAGAAATAATTAATACAGAATATAAGTCCGGGGGGGGGGCGTGGAACCAAGAATGTTAAAGAATTTGCCATATGATAAAAGTATTATTTCAAACAATACCTTGTTTGAAGTGGGGAAAGAATGGATAAATGTACTCAGTATCAAAAAACCTTAAGATTCTAAGATTCTTCACACAAATCAAACTGTATGGAAAATGTTATATAATTGTGGTTAAATTGGCATCCTTGTTTGGTCCCATTAATAAGAATACTTCAAATGTCTTAATATGAAGGATTTTATCAATGCTGATTTAACAGAGGTATTCTTTACATAAATGAAATACCCTGTTTCTAGTTAACAAAGAAATTTTCCAGCCACTGTAGATAATTATAAGTTTTATCTTTGATTTTAAGATGTAATTATTTATATTAATGAAACATTACCTGAATTACTAGAACAAACTCTACTTGGTCACAGTGTATTATTTTTAATAACATTTTAGTTTTGATTTGCTAGCATTTTATTTACCTTTTTTCATCTATACTCTTAGGTCCGATCGATCTTCTGTTTTCTTTTTTTGCTTTTTGTTTTTGCTAATTTAGTTAGTTTGGGGTATCGGGGTTACTTTAGCTTCAAAAGCTGAATTGGGACCTTTTTCATTCTTTTTTAATGTTCTGGAATATTTTAAACAGCAAGAACATTAAATTTCTTGAGTGAAAAGAAATCCACGGTATAACTCTATGGAACAGGCCTTTTTTATAAAGTAATTATTTAACAACATATCCCTTTCTTCTTTGATTATTAGTCTTTTCAAGTTTTCTAGTTCTTGAGTCAATTTAGCAATTATATTTTCCTGGAAAATTTATTAATTTTAATAAAATTTTAAAATTCATTAACATTCAATTACATATTTTCTTATAATTAAAACACCTTTTCTATGCCACTTCTCATTCCCAACGTTGTGCATTTTCAATTTTCTCACTACTGTTCATGATTAGTCTTGTTATGGTTTCATTATTTTCAAAATGCTCTTGCATTTCTTTCCAATCTTTAAATTCATTAAGGTATGCTTTAATTGTAAACCCATATTTTTGCCTTCCATAGTTTTACTTTATTGCTTTTTCCTTCTCATTTCAGTCAAATTGTTAATTTAGTGAGTTTAGTTTCTTGATAATAAAAGAAAATTTGTGTCTACAAATTTTTCTTTGCATATAACTTTAGCTGAATCCCAAATGTTTTGATTTTGCTTTCATAACCATTTTGTAGCATACATTTTCTCTTTGATCCAAGAGTAATATGGATTAAAAAATTTATTTCCAAGTGATTAGATGTTTAAGTTGTCCTTTTGTTATTAAGTTCTAGTTTAATTGTATTATAGTCAATGGCTATAACCTAAAAAGTGTTTTCTTTTTTTTTTTTTTGAGATGGAGGGTGGAGTGCAGTGGCGCAATCCCGGTTCACTGCAACCTCCGCCTCCTGGGTTCAGGTGATTCTCCTGCCTCAGCCTCCCGAGTAGGTGAGATTACAGGCATGTGCCACCACATCTGGCTAATTTTTGTATTTTTAGTAGAGACGGGGTTTCACTATGTTAGCCAGCTGGTCTCGAACTCCTGACCTCAAGTGATCTGCCCGCCTCGGCTTCCCAAAGTGCTGGGATTACAGACGTGAGCCACCGTGCCCGGCAAAAGTGTTTTCTTAGAATTACTTAAGATTCTGAGGGTTGGCATATGATCATTTCTTTAAAATCTTCTAAAGATACTTGAAAGGAATATATATTTACAGAGTAGAAAATGTTGATTTGTATGTATTAATTATATCGGACAAATTATTCAAATTAATCATAACTTTACTTAATTTTTCCTTTTGAGGAGCCACAGACAGAAAGAGATGCTCGGGTTTGACAAAGTGTGGTCATTACTTACTGCTGCACAACAAGCCCCACTAAAATTTAGTGACTTAAAACAATGGCATTTTATTATTTATCACAATTCTATGGGTTGACTGGGTTCACTCTTACAGCCAAATTCAACTGGTAGGTGGGGTGGGGGGCTGGGTTCAGTAATGGGGGCTGTGCTCCATGCAGCCCCTCATTAGCCTCTAGTAGACTAGATTGGCAGCTGTTCATGATGCAGAAACATTCCAAGAGCACAAGCCCTAATGCACAGGAGTTTATGGAGTCTCTGCATGCATCATTCTCTTTACTCACATTCCATCAACCAAAGTAAGTCTCATGGCCAAACCCACAGTCCATGTGGGAGGGGACTACACAAGGAGGGGGTAATGGGAAGTTTGCTTCACTGGGGGCCATTCATGTTACAATCTACCAATACAAAGGAATTATAAATTTGTCCTTGTAGGTTTTCTTATATTTCTAACAGTTTTGACTAAAATGATCCTGTGTATATATTAATTTCCTTTTTGTTGTGAATTTTAGTTTTCTCCTCATTGTATCACCTCCCCAGGTTTTGTTTGGTTTGCATTTACTGAGCAATGGTTTTTGCTTAATAGTGATATAAATCACTATTGGGTGTGTTTCTTATAAGCCTCTCGTCAGATTTTGTATTTTAAAGGAGCAGTTAAACCTACTCATGATTAACGAGAACACAGATATATTTGTGTTTACTTCTACCATCTGATCATATTTTATATGCTTCCTGGCTTTTCTATCTTGGGATTTTCCTTGTTCTTTCTTCTTGCTACATTAATGTTACACACAACATCTCTTGCTCACTCTCTTTGTTCTTTTAGAAATGTGGATAAATTCTATTTTTATTCTATTACTAGTTACCTTTAAATTTTTAAATAAATTTTAAATTTCTCTGTCAGAGGAAAGATTTCACGGTAGCTATTAATTCTCTTCAACAAAAGATGAGCCTGGTACCGTGGCTCACACCTGTAATCCCAGCAGTTTGGGAGGCCGAGGCAGGCAGATCACCTGTGGTCAGGAGTTTGAGACCACCCTGGCCAACATAGTGAAACGCCATCTCTACTAAAAATACAAAAATAAGCCAGGTCTCGTGGCATATGCCTGTAATCCCAGCTACTTAGGAGGCTGAGGTGGGAGAATTGCTTGAATCCAGGAGGTGGAGGTGAACCAAGATTGCACCATTGCACTCCAGCCTGGGTGAGAGGGCAAGACTTGGAAGAAAGGAAGGAAGGAAGGAAGGAAGGAAGGAAGGAAGGAAGGAAGGAAGGAAGGAAGGAAAAACAAGCAAATACAAGCACATTTTTACTTTCCCTTCTCCTACGCCACCCCGTCCTCCCAATTTCTAAGACAATAATATGGGCCTTTAGATTTACTTTATTATTATTTAGTCCCAACTCCTAATCCATGTATACTGTTTTAGAACGCTCTTCCATATCTCAGACATTATGGACATGTAATTATCCCACATAGAAACATGGGTGAAAGAAACAGGTCCAGGGCTGGCTCAGCAGCTAGCTCTTCAATATCAAGGTGGGCATGTCTCAGATTCTGTTGGCCTCCTCCTCAGAGTCACAAGATGGATGCCACAACTCCAGATATTTCATCTTTTGACAACCAACTTTGAGGCAGAAAGTCAAGCTACCTTGCTTGACTTTATCAAGAAGCAAATTCCTTCCCAAAAAGCCTAACAGGAGACTCCCCCTGACATTTCATTGGCCAGATTTAGTCATGTGCCTGGCCCGAGGCCAATCATCAGCAAAGGCCAAGGGATTGTCGTGCCTCCTCCTGTGGGCAGAGGCATGCTGTCAACCAAACAAAATTGGGATTCTGTTAGCAGGAAGGAAAGTAAAATCTCCATCCTATTGACAACCAACAGTGAGCAGTACAACATATTAAAAATCAGGAGTTAGGTTCAACATTAAATTTTATTGCTGTCATTCACTGACATTTCTTTCACTTTATTGAGTTTATTTGCTTGGCTGGAATATTTTCTGTGGATTCTTTCGTTTTCATTTGGAGTGGTACATAAATGGTTTACTTTTAAATAGATTATCTGAAATATGTTGGTAAGAAACAGAATTTTGTGTCACAATCATTTCCCTTCAAAATTCCATGGGTATTGCTTTGTTTACTTTGGCAATTATGTCAAATGTCAATGTCAGTTATGATTTTTTTTAACTTTGGAGGTAACCTGATTCTTTTGCCTGAGTAGCTCCACAAAGCAGAAAACACTTCACTTCTCCATTGTCGACAAGTGCCTAACCCAGTGCCTGGAACACAACAGGCTTGCAATGGACACATGTGGAATAAAGAGATGAAAGAAAACTATTAAGAGCCAGTGGTGCTCTGTGGGGGCCCCCAAGAGAGCAGAGTTTCGCCTTCATATTGAAGAGTTTCTTTTCCCCACTGTTGTAAACACATAAAGCCAGCAAGGAGCTTGTGTGGCTGCCTTCGCCACTGCCCCCCAGCAATGTTGTCTCTGTACCAGGCACCAAATTAGGATCCCCTCAGTGGGATCCCTGCTCTGTATGCACCCCAGTACCTGGGCACTTCCTAAATGTTTCAAGAGGATGGAGACTTGCCCCACATGAGTTTTCTGTGGTTTGTTTGTTTGTTTGTTTGTTTGTTTGTTTGTTTATTTGAGACAGAGTCATGCTCTGCCGCCCAGGCTGGAGTGCAGTGGCGCGAGTTCGGCCTACTGCAACCTCTGCCTCCCGGGTTCAAGAGATTCTCCTGCCTCAGCCTCCCGAGGAGCTAGGATTACAGTTGCCCACAACCACACTCAGCTAATTTTTTTGAATTTTTAGCAGAGAAAGGGTTTCGCTATGTTGACCAGGCTGGTCTCGAACTCTGACCTCAGGTGATCCACCCACCTTGGCCTCCCAAAGTGCTGGGATTACAGGCATAAGTCACCATGCCCGGCCTCTGTGGTTTATTTTTGCCTGCAGCTCTTGTCATGACCAATTTGGGAGCATTACTGAGTCTGGGGTTGGGGGCGGGGGTCCTTCCCTGGAGAGGCTTTTCTCTGAGGTGAATTGAAGGTTGTCAAATCCTTCTGTCAAACTGGTCTCATCTGCATTAAGTCTTACAGAAATTCCTTAAAACGTCTGGCATGTGGGTGGAATCCTTCTTTCAGTTTTGAACAATGACATAGAGTTTCCCCTACCATTATTTTCCTTTGGTTCTTCAATGGAGTTTGGAAGCAGGGGGTGGGGGTGGTATGAGAAGTTCAAGGTGAGGGTTTGGATGTCTGTCACAGAATGCAAGTTTATCCTTGCACCTTTCATAGTCTCTTTAAACAAGATCCTCTCCACCTTATAGACTTGTGGGAGGCATAACACCCTCTTCCCATCACTAGTTCCTCCTGTTGGGGGATATAAGAAGTTTCTCTTCTATCAGCTCTCTGCTTTCTTTCTGAGCACTCCATCAGTATTTTGGATATTCTGGCTTTGGCTTTGTCTCATACCTTAGCTCTCTCAATTTATTTTCCCTTTTCCTCTGAGCTTGGGGAGAATCTCTTGAGTTTATCAGGCACACTGACCCATACTGAAAAATAAATTACCAAGCCACCTTTTCAGCTCTCTATAGTTCTTTGATTTCTCCTTCCTTGATTCTTCATATTTTCTTTCTCCTATCTCTCTTTTGCTTCTGTTAATCATCACTACCCTATTTCCATCAACATCATTAAGTGTACTTGCCTGAGTATTTCTGGGTGCTTGATTTAGGACTTTCCCAGGGGCACTCCTGCTGGGGCAATCTTTCCAGTCTCCAGAAGGGTATGGCTGTGTGGTTGAGACTGCTGAGGAAAGTAGCAAAGATAGGAGGACAGAATTGAATGCAAAGCTATCCTGCCTCCAAGCACGCTTAATGGAATGGCTTCACAGCAGCTGCGCTCAATCCTGTGGGTACTGCTACTGCATCCTGTCGTCTAGGAAGTTCACAAACTATATAATGTCTTTCACGTGGTAGCCACCTGGTGGCCCTGAGTCCCAGAGACTCTGACCTAGCACCTTGACTAGGACATGGAGCTGCTTGGACCACTAGTGGAACACCAACCTCCACACTTCAATACTGGGCTTTAGAGCCATTCTGTGAAATCTCCTCTGGAAAGGAAAGATTTGAGCTTCAATTTCAACTTCAATGTGCATTCCAAACGTAGGCCTGAGAGCTGGGGGATGGCAGATGTTAAGCAGAAGGTCAGACCAATCTTTGGACAACACTGGCAACGAAAATCACGCAGGTAGCTGAGAACAAAGCAAATGCCTCTTATCTCTTCTTACCTCGCCCATTATGCTGGTGATGAAAACTGTAAAAATGAGCCCAGCATAAGGTTTCCTACTTTTTCCTTTGGCAAGAGATAAGGAACACACTAATAGCTAAGGCCCCAGAGGGAGCTGATATTTAGACAATAGATTTCTTTTTCTAAATCCCTTAACACATTAAAATCTCCTCACTCTCCCTAAACACAGTTCTCCAGAGTCCTTAATAAAACTTCCCTCTTTCTTTCTCATACACAGATGACATCTCTCCTTTGCCCTCCCTCTGCACCAGGTGCCCCATCCTGTTTTCCCTCTGAGCCTGGCTGTCTGCTGCTGTCACCCAGGAAGGTCCTGCAGCCACCTGAACCAGCCCAGTTACTGCTCCCTGGGGCTTGACTGTGGGAATTGTAATTCCTTCAATGCTGGGCCCATGGCTGTGCTTCCTCCCAAAGAATGTCTGGGCTGTTCAATCCCCAGTATCTTGGGTAACTGCTGATCTAAAACAGCAAGCTCAGCTGGCCTGAATTATTCAGGGAAGGCTCTGGTGCTCATAGCTCCACAATCACTTCCACAAATGAATCAGGAAGGAAGGGGAGGCTGATCACAGTGAAGAAGAGGGCTCTTTAAACATACCCTCTATAATAAGCATGTAGGAGAAAGGAAAGGGAAAACTGACAGGGCGGTTTACCGGCTCTCAGTAGAGCATAACATAGTTCTCTTGTTTGCACAGGGAGGAGAGGCTGTGATTGGCTTCTCACAGAAGAGATTATACTGAGCTCAAGGCCAGCTGCAGCAAGTGTGTGCAAAGGCAGTCCAGGCAGACTCTTAGTGGGAAGGCCACATAATCATCAGGCTCCACGTGCAGAGAAACAGGAGCTGCAGTGGCCACGCGAGACAGATGCAGTGTCTGTAGGTGAAGGCGCATACCTGAGTCTCCACACAGCTTCAAGGGGCTACAGTTGGAATTTCACTCGGCTCAGAGAGTGAGGTGTTCCAATACAAAATGTCACACCACCCTTTAGGAAAAATGATTGCTTTGCTCTAAATCGCGTTCTGTCAATTTTTTTCTTATTTCTTTCACACCACAGCTGAGAAACAACTTCATACCTCCTGATTCACCTATGAAAATATTTCCCATAGGAAGAGGTATGCACGTGCATGTACATGCATATGCTCAAGCAAAGAAGCTGATATGAAAATGATAACATAAAGATAGTGGTAAGGAACTAAGACAAGGGAAAGGTGTGTCCACTGAGGGAGTTTTCCTTTAAATAATAGGTAGTTTTGTTGATGTCAAATATTATGCTAAGTATGCAAATAAATTCTTGCATTTAGTACTCACATCAACCCAATGAGTTAAGCATTATCCTTATTGAAAATGTGGAAACCGAGGCAGTATAGCAGAGAAGCCAGCACATAAGCCTCAGAACCAGCTTGTTCTGCTTTCAAAATCAAGCTCTGCCCTTTATTGGCTGTGTAATTCTGGGTAAGTTACTAAATTCACTCAGTCTTGATTCTTCTCTTATAAAAGGGGATGGGATCTATCTCATAAGATTATTGTGAGGATTAAATGAGATATATAAAATACAAAAGATAGAGCATCAACAATTTAGGATATTAGGTTTCCTCTATGACTAAACGTTTAAAAATCATTTCAATTCAGTTTACCAAAAAAATGATCTTTAAGTTAAAAAAAAAAAAAAAAACACCCAGCCCCTGATGACCTGTTTGACTTGAATGAATTGGAGGGTTATAAAACCACAGATATGGACCAGCTTTTGAAAATCTTGGAGGGAGAATTAATGATTTTCAAGCATTAGAATGTACTTTGATTTGGATACTCTTTAGTTTGTAAGATGGCAAGTTATCTCTTTTTTTCTTTTTTTTTTTTTTTTTTTTTTTTTGAGACGGAGTCTCGCTCTGTCGCCCAGGCTGGAGTGCAGTGGCGGGATCTCGGCTCACTGCAAGCTCCGCCTCCCGGGTTCACGCCATTCTCCTGCCTCAGCCTCCCAAGTAGCTGGGACTACAGGCGCCCGCCACTACGCCCGGCTAATTTTTTTTGTATTTTTAGTAGAGACGGGGTTTCACCGTTTTAGCCGGGATGGTCTCGATCTCCTGACCTCGTGATCCGCCCGCCTCGGCCTCCCAAAGTGCTGGGATTACAGGCGTGAGCCACCGCGCCCGGCCATCTCTTTTTTTCTTTTTTTTTTTTTTTTGAGACAGAGTCTTGTTCTGTCATCCAGGCTGGAGTGCAGTGGCACAATCTTGGCTCACTGCAACCTCTGCCTCCCAGGTTCAAGTGATTCTCGTGCCTCAGCCTCCCAAGTAGCTGGGACTACAGACGCACGCCACCATGTCTGGCTAATTTTTTGTATGTTTAGTAGAAATGGGGGGTTTTACCATGTTGCCCAGGCTGGTCTCGAACTCCTGAGCTCAAGCAATCCACCCACCTCAGCCTCCCAAAGTGATGGTATTACAGGTGTGAGCCACCATGCCTGGCCTGCAAGTTACCTCTTGATTTAAAATATTTTCCAATCATGAAGGAAATTGACTTGATTCTGCTACTTCCCTCCACCTCTGACTTTGGGGGTAGGGGACAGATAAGCAGAAACTGCTGAACATGACCCTCAGCCGGCTGGGCAGCCATCCCTCAGCCACAGTGAGCTTGATTTGCGTGTTCCAGTAGGAAGCAAGGAGTCAGGTCCTTCTCTAGTCCTGGGGAACAGGAGAAGGGTGGGGGAACCCCTGATTCCTCCCCTTCTGTAGCCAAAGCAGACTAGTTTAGGGAGGAGACAGGGAAACCACCAGAGCAGGTCAAGATCAACCTGAAGGAAGTGGGAGTCAGGGACAACCTACTAAAGGAAGTGCATGTGTGCCTTGTACATGCATGGGGTGGACCAAGGAAAAGATTTACCCTAAAAGAACAAAGTATGCTCCGACAAATCTATTGAAAGGAATGATTTACACTGGTGCTTCCTGCCCAAATGTTGAGACCAATGGCCTGGTGCTTCCTTCTTGAAACTAGGTTGCTCTACTTACATGAAACAAACTGGGCAGAGGTCAACCGTGAGAGCCTGAGCCTCCCCAAGTAAACAGCAAAAGATTCCCCAGGCCCAACAGCCCCCACCCCCACCTTCAAGGAAAGTGGATCTACCCGGAGCACGTAGGCCAGAGGAGGCAGGAGAAGAGGGTCAGTCCGTGAGCTCCGGGTACCTGGAGAACATGAATCTCCCGGGTGTACTGTCCCCATGAGGGTCACCGAGGAACCTATGGATCTTCCACTCTTCGCCCAGAATGTCTTCCCTCTATCCCCTCCACCTCCCCAAATTCCAGCACCAGGGGCCACCTCAGAGCCACAAATCCTGAAAGGACCACCCAGGTGACTCGGGCCCACACACCCCTCTTTCGGGGTACACTTGGTGGCAGGCTAGCAGGCTTTTGGCCTCAGCTGGTGGTGCCATATAACCAGATTCGTCACAGAGACCCATTTTTTATCAGTCCCAGGCCAGAAGTACGAAGACTGATCTTAACGATGTGGCCTGCCTGGGAGGTAAGGCGGCAGGCGTTGCCAGAATTGATGGGAACTGTGGCACAGGTGGGAAACCTGGTTTAACAAATTCTTCATTGATTCAGGGGACCACTTTCCTTGAGCCAAGTCTTGGCAAGCGGCCGGCGAAACTCACAGGTCCCTTTCCTGGCTGCGTCCCCAGCCTCCAGCCTTCCCCGCCCCAGAGATGCCCCAGGAGCGGCCCCTCGGTGTAGGTAACGGGTGCCCGGGCGGCTCCGCTCCGCCGCCTAGAGCCTGGAAGCCGCCACTGCGGCCCAGGACAATCCGGCTACGCGGCCGGCGCCGACCCCGCACGCTGGAGTCCGCTGCCGCACGGCGCTGGCAGTCGGGGGTGGTGTCTGAAGTCAGGCGCTTCCTGCCTTTTCGTCGGCCCGGGTGCCCGGCTCGCGCCGCCAGGCTCTGGGATCCCAGGTCGCCCCGCCCAGCAGCCCGCGCCCTGCTCGGTGCGCTCAGCGTCCCCGCCCCTTACCCCAAACCCCCACCCTCTGTGCCCTCAGGGGGGCACCCCCATCGGGGCGGGAGGGGGGGGTCAGCTGTGCCCCGGTCGCCGAGTGGCGAGGAGGTGACGGTAGCCGCCTTCCTATTTCCGCCCGGCGGGCAGCGCTGCGGGGCGAGTGCCAGCAGAGAGGCGCTCGGTCCTCCCTCCGCCCTCCCGCGCCGGGGGCAGGCCCTGCCTAGTCTGCGTCTTTTTCCCCCGCACCGCGGCGCCGCTCCGCCACTCGGGCACCGCAGGTAGGGCAGGAGGCTGGAGAGCCTGCTGCCCGCCCGCCCGTAAAATGGTCCCCTCGGCTGGACAGCTCGCCCTGTTCGCTCTGGGTACGTACGCCGGCTGCGGCGCCCCCTGCGCCGCGCGACACCCTGCTTCCCCCGGTCCCCGCCGAGTTCCCCTTTCCGGGGGTTTCTGCGCCCGCCTGGGAGAGTGGAGAGAAGCGAGTAGTCTCAATGGGTTGGCGCCTGGGAGGCAAGGGGAGTCATTAAGAATGACAAAGAGGGGACTGTCCGGTCGAGCGCCGAGGCTTCCCCGGGAAAGTGGCTGCCTGGGCCGTGCGTGAGAACACCTGGGAAGGGGAAGCGGAGTGTGAACGGGCTTGAACTTTAATCCGCCGCAGCTGTGTGTCTGCTCAGACACATGCCTACACCTACCTGCTTACCTGGCTGCCTCCAAGCCCGGCTCAGCCGGCGTCGCTGGCGTGTAGACTGGGCCGCCTCGGAACGGGGGCCGGCGTCTAACCCTCTGGCCGGGTCTTGCCTGCGCCCCTTTGGCACCCCCTGCCCACCTCTAAGCCCCAGCGACGAGCAGAGATGTTCAAGATCGGCAGAGGCGCCCTCGATCTCTTTTCAGAGCTCTTGAGCTTTGGGGGTAGGTTTTGGATTTTTGGGCGGATTAATGGTTCCTTTAATTAACTTCCCTGGGAGAAGTGGTTTCGGTGTCCGCCGAGGGCAGGAGCGAAACCCTAGACCGAGTGTTGCCAGTTTCCTTTGAGTATGTCCTTGGAAATGAAGGAGGGATGGGAAAGGTGAGGGGAAGTTAAACCCCTCTCCCGGGTCGGGTCTGCGGAGCGGTGCGTTTTTTGGCGGTGAAGTTCAAGGGTCTGTCTGGACGCGGTGAGGGCGCAGCGCCGCGCGCCTCCTGGCCAATTCTTGCCCCTTGTGCTGGTGGGTCTCTCTGGTGTTGAGATAGCTGATCAATAGCGCAGGTGTCCTGGTTATTGCTAGTCTTCCGTGAAGTGAATTGTTCGTTCGATATGCCCCGAGTTTAACCCGTATAGCATGCGGCTCGCTGCAGGGTGGTTAGAGTCTGTGGAAAGCCATGGAACTCCTCCCCAGAAATGCCCAGAGCCGCAGCCTCACCCAGCTCCGTGTACAACTACAGGGGGTTCGCGGCCCCGCCTGCAAGCCTGCCCTAGAAACGCTGATTAAAAACCGCAGCAGAAGGGGAGGCATCCTGTAAGAGAAATACAAGGCAGTCTTGGAACCGGATGCTCCCAGCTACACCCTTACCTGAAACTCACCAGCAGGTAACATGGGTATGGGAGGCTTTTCCCCCACATTTTTGAAGAATTGCCTTTTTTGTGTGCATGTATTGACTGTTGCTCTGATTTAAATTTTAGAAAAAGCAATAAAACATTACCAATACAAGGGAAGCTTCCTGGATATAATTATCCCTTGTAATGTTTTTGCAAATAATAGTAGTAAGTAGTAGTAGTAATAACAGCTGATGCTATTCGAGCATTTTACTCTGTGTCAGACACAGTCCAAGTGCTTTACATTTATTCATGCAGTTTTCACACCAACCGGATAAAGAAGGTGTTAATATTATTCTCATTATATAGCAGAGGAAAGTAAAGCACACAGGGTCCACAGTAAGTAACTGGACCAGGATTGTCGAAGAACGTGGAAGGAATGTGAATATGAAAAGTCACCTAACTTGTGGTCATTATAGTCCCATCTCTCTTTTGGGACTTTGCCTTAAAGAGAGATTATGTGGAATACCCTGGAACTTGTTGTTAAATTGAGTTTCCTATTGAATTCCTGGGATCTCAAGGTGGTTATTCGGTAAAAATTAGAGGCAGGAAATGATGAAGATAAGCACATTTGAGTAAGTGTTTGAAAGCTGTCCCTACACCCCACACTCCCATCCCAGAATTCTCGCCCACAAAGACTGCATTCATTCATCATGTAATTTTTCTCTTTTGCCTGAATGTTCTTTTCAGCTTGATCTTTGTTTCCTTCTTTAAGAAAATGATGTATAAACTTTAAAAGATTGATCAATATGTAAAAACTTGCTCACACAGTTCCAAAATGTGAGCAGTTGAAAAAAGTGGAGAAAAAAAAAAGGCAGGAGTAATTTACACCAGTGAGGACTCCTTTTTATTTATATGTCTTTAAAAGAAAAATCACAGCTGTGAGTTCTGTGCGTTTACTAGAACTGCTGCCTCCCACATATAGCTTTACTTTGCACATTTCCTTCAAAGCTGCTTTCCCCTCTGATTTTTCTTAAATAGTTGAAGGCAGTTCCAGGAGAATCAACCAGTGTTCCATCGCTACCCGAGATCTAGGAAACCTCCGTGGGGCTAGTCTGAGAAGGAACTGGCTGTTAGGAGTCTCGGTTAATGTTTGATTACTTGGAACCTGAGCATTGATTAATGTTTTCAGTAAGAGAATGTGAAGACTGTTGCCCAAATGGCAACACTGGAAACATAACCCAGGTTCCTGTGGTGGCTGCCCTCCCATGTCAGGTTTCCATCACTGGCAGGCAGACCGCACGGGGGCTTGGCATTTCCAGTTACATTTCCTCCTCTGTGTTCACGGAGCAAGATGTGTGATCTTGGGCAAGTTACTTAGCTTTTCTATGCCTTGTTTTTCTCACCTGCAAAATGGGGATATTAATAGGGTTGTTGAATATATTTAATGTATGCAGAAGGGTGCCTGGTATGTAGTAAGATCTTAATCTTATCATCATCATCATTGTTGTTGTTACTTTGGGCCCCATAGAATTCCAGACATCATTGCAGGTTATGTGAGTTGTATAACTGGGAGAGTTTGTAGGTTTTCGTTTATCTCATCTCCATGCTCTTTACCATTCCTTCGAAAAATATCACCCAACCTAAAAACCTACCTAGGTAATTTCTGGTGAATATGATTTGGCCAATGACAAATTCAAGCAAATCTGGAGGGTTTTTTTGTTTTGTTTTCTTTTGTTTTTTTGGTTTTTTGTTTTTTGAGACGGAGTCTCGCTCTGTCTCCCAGGCTGGAGTGCAGTGGCGCGATCTCGGCTCACTGCAAGCTCCGCCTCCCGGGTTCACGCCATTCTGCCTCAGCCTCCCGATTAGCTGGGACTACAGGCGCCCGCCACCACGCCCGGCTAATTTTTTAAATATATTTTTAGTAGAGACGGGGTTTCACCGTGTTAGCCAGGATGGTCTGCATCTCCTGACCGCGTGATCCACCCACCTCAGCCTCCCAAAGGGCTGGGATTACAGGCGTGAGCCACCGTGCCCGGCCCTGGAGGTTCTTTTAGACATCATGAATTCTTTAATTCTTTTTAATTTAATCTTTTTTAATTTTAATTATTTAATTATTTAATTTTTTATGCAAATTTTTTGTATCTCCTTTAGTATTCAACGATCAGTTGTTTATGGAAGTTAGCACTAAGTTCCAGTTTTGTCATCTGTAAAGTGGGAATAATAAAACTGTGCCCACCTCACAGGCTGTTGTAAGACTCAAATGAGATGGTAAATATGGAAGCTATTTATAAAAAAAAATAAGGACTGCACACAAAATGCAACTGATCTTATGATACAAAAATGGATTTTATAATCCAGAGATAAGCTTTATTATTTTTATGGCAACTCCCGTAAGTAAGGACCGAATGTGGACCTAAAGAATGATGTCATAGGAAATGAAGTAGCATTAAGGATGGGCAGAGGCGAAATAGATCACCTTCCCTGTTTAAGTCAGGACTGAGGGACCAGTACGGGAACTGAAAGAAGACGTTTCTTTTCTCTATTACCTGGACGTGATGTCTTTCAGAGTAGACAGTGGAGGTTTTCCTAGGACACATGTTTTCCGTATTGGGCAGCCATAATTAGGGAGTGTTCACTTAGAACATGGGCTGTAAAGCTGTATATGGAAGCCTTAGAGGCTGAGTTTTCCATATTTGCTTTTCCAGATTTTGGGTTCCTCAGGATAAAGTGATCTTTCTATAAATACTCAATGTCCCCTGCAAAGGGGACTTTTCTTATAGGAATAAGTGATGCTTCTTGTTACTGTTACTGTGGCAACATATGAAAAATAGATGACTTTTCCATTAGGCCTAAGGACCTTTTCAAAGTGTGTCTTGAACAAGGTCCTACTCTTTGCACTGCCCTCTAAAAGGGATGGGCAACGGGAAGAGGAGGTTTGGTTAATGGAAATGAAAATGGCTTGTACACACTGAATTAGGCATCTTGTGCTTGGTGTCACACTCAAAACCTCTGTAGTATCCTCTACAGCAGGCCTTACATTGGAATGATCTGGAGGGCTGGTTAAAATGGATGGCCAGGCCTCCTCCACTGCGGTTGTGATTCAGTAGGTGGGAGGTTTGCCTGGCTGACAAGTTCCCAGGTGTGGCGTATGTTGCTGATGGGGAAAGGGCAGAAGGGACCCTTGGAGAACCACTGCTTTTCAGTCAGTTGCTGTTAGGGAAACTTTTGGCTTAACCAATTGCATGTTACCTAAAGTACGTTCAGACGCTTGTAAATGCCACCGTGAATTTACAAGCTACTATTAAAGGCACTTTAAGGCCTGTCATGCCGACCAGGACAGAGTTAGCCCTCTTGCTGAGACGTCTTCATTTTAAGTGTTCTTGTTCGTTATCCATGGAAAATGTAACGATCCCATGTTATTAAACTTAAGCTTGCCAGTGCTAATCATGTCACCTTTTCCTTTGGATTACCAAAAGCTGACCGTTGTCTTGCTGCCGTTTCAAATATTTTTAATCACCTAATTAAAAATATGAACATAGCTCTTTGCTAAAGGGCTAATATGTTTAAGACTGCACTTAGATAGAGGAAGATTGGGAGACTTTTATGGTGGCTTTTGGTTTTGTTTAGCCTTTTCTTCCCCCTAGGAAATGTCAAGTATAAAAATCTTTCATAGGCTCAAGAAAGCCAGAAATCTACACTACCAAAACCATCTCTTAGGAGCTCTTCAAGGCACATTCCCTTTAGAATAACACTAAAAATCTAGGTAAAAACTGGGTAAAATGGTAAATTCTGTTAAGGATTACACGTTTGTTGTACTGAGTATGACTTAAGAAATAAATAGTTGCTACCTGGGCTTAGAAAAAGTTGGAAGTTTATTGAGATGGAATTTAATGTATTTTGCTAGTGCTCTAAGTCAGAGGAAGCAAATTTGTTTCACATGGAGCTGCTCCCCTAATCAAGTGAGTTCTATGCCTAGCACGTTTGGCTTTAATTTTTGTTGTTGTTGTTCCCTTACTGTGAAAGGCTTTCCGTTTTCTTCACCTTCGCATTTGTACCCTTGAAGTATTTGCTGCTGCTTAGGGTTTCCTCAAGACGGAACCCCTTTAGGTAACAACCAGGCTGCCATTGCTTCACCTGTTTTCATCTTGGAATGTGTTAACTTTTCCAGCTGGGAACCCCGGTAGCAGAGCCCTGGCCCCACTGTGTTCTGGTTTGGATTAATGTTGATTGGTGCTTAACCTCTCTCCTCTATCAGTTTGAGGGCTTCTTCCTCCTCACCTCTGTGTTTGGCACCTCTGAGCACAGGCCGAGCCTCAGCAGGGACCAATAAGTATTTGATGACCTCGTGGGGACCCAGTGCAGGATACTCTGAGGTACTCAGTTGGCAAACACTTGGTGGTGTTCATGTTAATCCTGAAAAATTCTTTATTATGGCAATCAAGGGTGGTTGCATATAAAGTCTTGCATCACTAATGCTGGTAGTCTTCAGGATAGCATTTTATTGTTTTAAAAAATAGATTATAATTTAATGTCTTCACAATTGCAAATCATATTTTTTCTCTAGAACACTTGGAAAATTAAGACAAGTGTAAGAGAGTGTTTTCATGACCTATAATTCCACCATGGAAAGATAACTGATTCACATTTTGTTTTAGAACCTGATGGATCTATTCTTTATAGTATACTATCTATCTATAGATATATATATCTCTCTATATATAGATATATATATCTCTATATATATCTATAGATAGTATATATATAGATAGTATATATTGTATAGATAGTATACTATATTACATATATAGCATATATAGTATACTATCTATATATATAATATAGTAGTATAAGTATAGATAGTATACTATCTATACTTATTCTATTTTTATACTATTATATAGATAGTGTAAGTATCTATTCTTTAAAAGCATATATGAATTCCAGTGGGTTCACACTGTTTAATGTACTTGTTTTTGTAACTTAATCTTTCATAATAGTTTTTGTTTGTTTTTCATGTTTTTTTTTTTTTTTCTTGAGATGGAGGCTCGCTCTGTTGCCCAGGCTGGAGTGCAGTGGCACGATCTAGGCTCACTGCAACCTCTGCCTCCCAGGTTTAAGTGATTTCCAGCTAATTTTTGTGTTTTTAGTAGAGACAGGATTTCTTCTTGTTGGCCAGGCTGGTCTTGAACTCCTGACCTCAGGCAATCTGCCCGCCTCGGCCTCCCAAAGTGCTGGATTACAGGCATGAGCCACCGTGCCCAGCCAACAAACATTTTTTGGGTCATTAAACATTCATCTATAGCATTTCTAGTGGCTGGGAAATACTCCCTTGACTACATTTATTGTAACGACTTTTGAAGCACTTTGACCATATAGATTTTTCCTATTTGTCACTATTATGAATAATCCACACATTGTTGTGGGAATATTAACCGATACAACATTTTTTTAAAAGTCAGCGTGGCAATAGCTACAAATTTTAAGTGGGCATAACTTCTGAGTCATCAATTTCACTTTTTGATATATCCTACATAAATACATGTTGAAATGTGCAAAGAAAAATGTAGAAGATGGTGACTATTGAATTGTTTGTAAGAACAAGTTGCTAGTACCACACTGCTATAATTATTTAAGGAGATTTCTTAAATCCTTTATTTTTCTATGTCAGTACAATGATTTACTGTGTAGCTATTTAAAAGATTTAGCTATTAAAAGGTTTTCTGGCCAAGCAAGGTGGCTCACACCTGTAATCCCAGCCCTTTGGGAGGTTGAGGCAGGCAGATCACTTGAGCCCAGGAGTTCAAGACCAGCCTGGGCAACATAGTGAGACTCCCACCATGGCTGGATCAAAGATGGCCAGATAGGAACAGCTTTGTCTGCAGCTCCCAGTGAGATACTCCCCACAATCTCTTCAAAAAAAAAAGAAAAAAGAAAAATTAGCGGGGTGTGGTAGTGCATGCCTGTAGTCCCAGCTACTTGGGAGGCTGAGGCTGGTGGATCACTGGAGCCTGGGAGGTCGAGGTTGCAGTGAGTCATGATTGAGCCACTGCACTCCAGCCTGGCCCTGTCTCAAAACAAAAATAATAATAATAAGGTTTTTCATTGGGATGGAGAGAGGGAGCAAGTGTTGAAAAACTGTCTATTGGGCACCATTCTTACTATCTGGGTAACAATGAATTGTACCCCAAATCACAGAATTACACGATATACCCATGTAACAAACCTGCACATGTACCCCTGAATCTAAAAATAAAAGTTGACATTAAAAATAAAAAAAAGTAATGAAGGGTTTTTGCAATACACTAAATTTAAAAGGGCAGGTTCCAGTGTCTTGCTCTGAATTGGTTAATTTTTTATAAGAAGCATATATTAAATCTATAGTGCCTAAAGTCAAAGAAGTAATACAACAGGCATTCTTGTACAGAAATGTTTGGCACATCCTGTAATATTTAGAATAAATTTCTAGAAATTGGCCTTTTCTCTCACTTTCTTGATCTTCCATAACACTGTAAGTTAGATTTAACATTTGCCAAGTTGATTGGAGAAAAATGATCTCAGCCCAGTTTTCATATGTAGTATTTGTTAGAGTCAGTAAATTTGTTGGACATTTGTCATTTTGCTACTTGCATCTTAACCTTTAAAAATTTTTTTCTTATTGATTGATCATCCTTTTCTTGGAGTTTTATAATAACACTTTATATGAGAAGAATAGTAATCCTTTTTCTGTCATACATTGCAAGTATTTTCCCCCATTTATTTTTTATCTTTTACTGTTTTGTTTATGGTATTTTGACATACCTAAGGTTTTTATTTTTATGTAGCAGAAACTATGCATCTTTCCCCATTAGTGTTCTACCTTTACTTATATATTTAGGAAAACCTTTTCTTATTCCAAGATATGCCAATATTTTCTTACTTTTTTTCTTGTAATTCTTTAGTGATCTCATATATTATGTTGAAATATTTTATCTATAATTTTTCTAGGGTATGTTGTGAGATGTAACTCATTTTCATTTTTTGAAACAGTTAACCAGTTAGTAGTCTAAAATGCTATTTATGGAATAATCTACCCTTCCCCCTGTGGTTTGAAATTCCATTTTCATCATATGACAAATTCTGTTTTTTTAAAACAACTAAAACCGGTTCTTTGTAAAATTATAAGATCTGGGGCATACTGTGGCATAGGAACTAAGCGCACAAGACTTGGACTCTCACAGACTCTGGATTCAAATCTCAGTTCTGCCCTACTAGCAGTTTAAAATGAGACACAATATGCTTTCTTCTTCTTCCTCTTCTTCTTCTTCTTCTTTTTCTTCGTCTTCATCTTCGTCTTCTTTGTCTTCTTCATCTCCTTCGTCTCCTTCGTGTCCTTCATCTCCTTGGTCTCCTTCCAACATTTTTACAATTTTTAATTCTTGTGGGTACATAGTAGGTATATATATTTATAGGGTACCTGAGATATTTTTATATATAGGCATGCAATGTGTAATAAACACATCAAGGTAAATGGAGCATCTGTGACCTCAAGCATTTATCCCTTGTGATACAAACAATCCAATTATACTCTTTTAGCTATTTTAAAATATAAAATTAAATTATTATTGACTATAGTCCTCTGTTCTGCTATCAAATACTAGATCTTATTCTTTCTAACTATTTTTTGTACGCTTTAACCACCTCCACTCCCACACCACCCACTACCCTTTCTAGCCTCTGGTAACCATCATTCGACTCTGTCTCCATGAGTTCAATTGTTTTCATTTTCAGCTGCCATGAATAAGTGAGAACATGTGAAGTTTATCTTTCTGTGCCTGGTTTATTTTCATATGCTAAATTCTTAAGTATTGGAATCTGTTTATGGAATATCAGTTTGGTTCCATTATTTGGTATTTTTGCCCTTATTGTGAATGTGTTCACTCATTTATTCTGCAAATAATTACCAAGCACCTGTTCTGTGCTGGGACCACTTCTAGATGCTAGGGATTCAGCCAAGAATGAGGCAGAGTTCCAGTTCTCGTGGACCTGTGTTCTAATGTGGGAGACATTTCCCCCTGCTATCTATTCTAATTGGTTATTGCTGGTATATAAAAGCTTTTTTTTCATATTTATATCTTAACGAGTTTTGTTAATTCTAATAGTCCTTCAGTTGATCCTCTTAGGTTTTCTAGGTAGATGATCATTTAAGCTTGAATAATAATAACTTTGCCTCCTTCCTTTTAATATTTTAATCTCTTATTAAATATCTTATTTTAATCTTTTATTAAATATTAAATTATTAATATTTGAATCTCTTCTTACTTATAGCATAGACCAGGACTTTAAGAGCATGGTTTCTTAAAAGGCAGTAGATATCCTTGTATTTTTCATGGCTTTACGGGTAATGTTTGCGCATTTAACACTTAAGTACGAAGCTGACTTTTTGGTTATATATTATATATACACATATATTCTTTATGATGTTAAAATATGTTTCTCATCATAATTTACTAAAAGAGTTGGCATTTTTTGTTTTGTTAGTTTTTTAAAGCAGGAGGCAATAATGTGTGGGTTTTTTCCCTCAAATGTTTTGAGGACATTGATTGACTCAATTATGTTAAAGCCACCTTTAAATTCTTGAAATAAACTCTTCTTGGCTATGTGGTATTATTCTCTGTATAAACTGCTAGATCTGCTCCATTATGAAGTATTTGGGGCTTTGTTTTCTTTTTTAGATTTTGATATCAATATTATGTCAGCTTTATAAAATAAATTTTAAAGCATCTCATCTTTTTTGTGTTCTGCTAGTTGAAGTATCAGGATAACCAACAATTTTGTGAAGGCTTGAAAGAAATTGCTAAGAAGCTTCTGGCCTGGTCCCTTTTTAGTGGTCAGTTCAAATTTTCTACTTTTTGAGTCAGTTTTGGTAATTACATATTTTCCTCACAATCTATTCAACTCAAATTTCTAAAATTTTAGCATAGATTTATAAATGAACTCCTTTTAATTAAAGAAACATTTTTTGTATCTGTGGCCCCAGTTAATGTAGTCTTTTTTTTTCTTTTTTTTTTTTTTGAGACAGAGTCTCGCTCTGTCGCCCAGGCTAGGGTGAAGTGGCGCAATCTCAGCTCACTGCAACCTCTGCCTCCTGAGTTCAAGCAATTCTCGTGCCTCAGCCTCCCAAGTAGCTGGGATTACAGCTGTGTACCATGCCCAGCTAATTTTTGTATTCTTTAGTAGAGATGGGGTTTTGCCATGTTGGCCAGGCTGGTCTCAAACTCCTGGACTCAAGAGATCCACCTGCCTCAGCCTCCCAAAGTGCTGGGATTACGGGCATGAGCCACCATGCCAGGCCTAGTAATATGACTTTAACAAATGTGAAATAAAGTAAGTATCAAGGCCCCCAAGATAAGACATATTTTAAAGTTTGTTTTTCTTGATGATATTTAGAGGGAAAAAACCCTTCTTTTATTTTTAAGTTTTCTTTTTATTTTTTTTAGGTGGAGTTTCACTCTTGTTACCCAGGCTGGAGTGCAATGGCGCAATCTTGGCTCACTGCAACCTCCACCTCCCGGGTTCAAGCGATTCTCCTGCTTCAGCCTCCCAAGTACCTGGGATTACAGGCGCCCGCCACTACGCCCGGCTAATTTTTGTATTTTTAGTAGAGATAGGGTTTCACCATGTTGGCCAGGCTGGTCTCGAACTCCTGACCTTAAATGATCTGCCCACCTCGGCCTCCCAAAGTGCAAATACCCTTCTTTTAAATAAAATTGAAGGAAAAGTTTCATAAGTAACAGTGTTCCCATAAGACCAGGTAAATAACCTTAGTTTGTCTGCATACGTGCATATACCACAGTTGTTATAGCAATGCCACTTCTGATTTGGAGAGTATATGACATTGTAATTTGTAGCTGAGGCTGCTGAGCAGCATCTTGATGCTTTGTTAAACTTTAAAAAGCTTGAAAACCTCCAAATACACCTTAAAAACCTCCAAATTTACCATTGTGTCCATTAGGTGCACAACCAATGCTTATATGAGAGAATTTATTGTTGGTTGGTTGATTTTGTTTATTTTCTGCTGTGTTTTTAAAATCAGCACTTCTAGGTTAAAATATTAGATTCTTACAATGAGACCGTATCTTCAGCTTGGGTTCCTTAGGGGCTTTAGTCTGAGTTTGAATGAGGTCAGTAAACAATTCTCCTAGGCGCTGAGAGGATAGATATACCTTTACTCGTTTTCATCATCTCTTGCCAGGTCTGAGGCATTCTCTTTGTAATTACTGTACTTCCAAGAGGCATAGGAGATTAACTGGCTAATAGTTCAGGTAATGTGGTCACACAAAAGTGGCTGAAGCTGATAAACAAGGTGTTTGCAATTACAGACTTTCCTCCCTTCCCTCTCCCAGTTCTTAGCAACTAACAAGGAAAACTCAAATTTATGATATATATTTTTTGGGGGGGTTGACAGAGCTTAAGATCTGTAACTTCCGCCATGGCAGCAGCCCTGAGGAATTGCCAAATGAATTATGGTGGCCATAACCTGTCCATCTTATTTGTCACCGAGCGCAGTTGGAAACTTTTGGCTGGAACCCTTCTCACCTCGGGATGGTTTCTGGGTTTTAAGTTTTGCAGTGGAGGATCGCATCATCAGGCCGGTCTGCGTGCTGTACACACTCCCTGCCAGCAAATTTCAACAATGACAGATGTTTTTTGCACATAGCAGACCTAGGGTGTTATAATTAGGGTTTCAGGGGATGAATCATAGGTCCCTGAACTGGAATGAAAGCAAGCCTGGGGCCTGAGCAGTTTTTAGGAATGTGAGGTAAACTCATAGATCACACAGATGGAGAATCCTTCTGGATCTGGACTCTCTCTGAATCTCATCAAGCACTCTCCTCCCCCAACAAAGAAAACCCTCAAAACAAGCACACCCCTGTGCTGGCCACAGCACCGGCCTCTTCTCATTCATAGAACACGTGCATCCTCTGCTGCCATCTCCCTGTGTGAGCTCTTCACGACACACTCCTTTTCCACCAGCCTCAGTTCAATCCTGCACATTGTTTTCCCAAAATGAAGCAGAAATCAGAATCTGCAAACAGCGTGTAAAAACACCCCCAGATTGACTCACCAGAGACATCCTCTTACTAGATTTAACTGCCAGGTGTCCTACCAGCCTTCTTTCTGGGCAAGGATACAGATATTTGTATAGTCATTTTTTTCCCTTCACAACATTGCTAGATTCTGTTTTAAAATCTGCTTTTCGCTTACAGTATATGGGGAAAATATTTCTGTGGCAAACATATAAATATATCTATAAACTATTAATTTTTAATGGCTAGGATATATTCTGTTATACAACTCTTATCACTTATTAATCCATCGCTATTGATGGAGATATAGATTGCTTTAAACTTTTAAATATTCAAACCTGAAATGAAAATTCTTGCCACTGAGTTATTATCAGCATTTTAAAATTATTTTCTATGGATGAATCATGAGAAATTGATCACTAGGTCAAAAGTTTCACACTTTTTTTGTCTCTTAATATATTTTGACAACAGAAAAGCTGTGCACGTTTATACTTCTATTGTTTATGTGTGAATGGTTGTGAATATTTTCATTCTCTAGACTTTGCTAATTCTGTTGGCAAAATGGTATCTCATTTTAATTTGTATTTCTTTGGTTTTCAGTAAGATTGAATGCTGCTTCATGGTTGAGTATTTAAATTTATTTTCTTGTGAGTTACCTGTTTGTATCCTTAGGCCCTGTTTTGGGTAGGTTAGTGATTTTATTATTGATTTGTAAGCAGTTTTTAAAAATACACACTGAAAATATTTTGTCATCTTGCCTTTTAAATTTATGTGAGTTGTATTTAGGTTTACTAAAAGTGTAATTTTTTTGTTTTTAACCTTAGGGACTAAAAATCTGTTCATAATCCCTTTATGATTTCTACTTTTGTGTAATACTTAGTCTTGGGGTAGAAATGATTTTCTGTGACTCTTTGATCTCTGATTTCCCCTCATACATTTATGTAGTTACCTTCAAATCTAAATTTTAATTCTTTGGGTGTGGATTTTGGTGTAAGATGTGGGGTAAACATCTAACTTGCCTTTTTGTCAAATAATGATCCAGTTATTCTAACATCATTTATTGAATAGTTTATTCTCCACTCACTGATCTCAAATCTCACTTTGTCACTTGATACATTCTTAGGAGTACTTGGGTCTGTCTGTCGAGTTTCTGTTCTGTTCCATTGATCTAAGGATCATGGCTATAATGAACCACTCTTATGAGTTGGAATGTGTTATTGCACTAGAAAATTAAGGCAGAAAATATTCAGGACCAAGAAGATAAAGTGTATTCCAGTGGATACCCATCACTTCTAACCCTCATAATGAGACCTTGACTTCCCTCCTACCTAGGTGATGTTGAAGGGAAGGATTACTTACCACGTTTCTCTCTCTGTTCTCTGGCCATTCTCTCACTTGGCCAGAGACTGGTGGGCACTGGGTCTTACTGTACTGAAAGGCATGGTGAACCTGCTTATCCTCTCTCCTATTGTTTCTGGAACTTAGTGTTTTATAAGAATTGGGCCGGGTCATGAGGCAGGCCTGCAATCCTCCACATTCTGGTGAACTGAGACTGTCTATTTTCATGTCCCCTTCTCAAATGGGAGTACTAGTGTAGAGTATGCCATGGCATATGTGGAACCACAGACCACACCTGGCACGGGAACAACTAGAGAATGAAAAAGGAACTTAAGTGGCAAGTCATAACATTGTTTTCTATATTAAAACAAACTTAGATGTGTTAATGAATAGGATGCAAGATTGAAATATCAAGGTTGTCTGGCTGTGGTGTCTCATACCTGTAATCCCAGCACTTTGGGAGGCCGAGGCGGGCAGATCACTTGAGGTCAGGAGTTCAAGACCAGCCTGGCCAACATGTTGAAACCCCAACTCTACTAAAAATATAAAAATTAGCTGGGCATAATGGCAGGTGCCTGTAATCCCAGCTACTTGAGAAGCTGAGACAGGAGAATCGCTTGAACCTAGGAGGCGGAGGTTGCAGTGTGCTGAGATTGTGCCACTTCACTCCAGCCTGGGCGACAGAGTGAGACTCCACCTCAAACAAACAAACAAAAATATCAAAGTTAATTTTTAGGATAAAAGATAAGGCTTTATGTAAATTGTGATTTTTTTTTCTTCCATTGGATTGCTTCAGGCTGTGTTCCCAGACTAGAGGGATAGGTATGAGTTCCCTCTCTCTGCCATTTTACGGGGGTTTTGATGGAAAAGTTTGAGAAGTATAGGCATACCTCAGAGATACAGCAGGCCCAGCTCCGGGCCACCACAATAAAGCAGATATCACAATAAAGTGAGTCACATGAACTTTTTGGTTTCCCGGTGCATATAAAAGTTATGTTTACACTATACTGTGTTCTATTAAGTGTGCAATAGCATTATGCCTAAACAAATTACATACCTTAATTAAAAATACTGTATTGTTTAAAATGCTAACAATTATCTAAGCCTTCAGCAAATCATAATCTTTGTTGGTGAAGGATATCACCTTGATGTCGTTGGCTGCTGACTGATCAGGGTTGTGGTTGCTGAAGGTTAGGGTAACTGGAGCAATTTCTTAAAATAAGACAACGATGAAATTTGCCATGCTAATTGATTCTTCCTTTCATGAAAGATTTCTCTGTGGCATGTGATTCTGTTTGATAGCATTTTACTCATAGCAGAACTTCTT
The DNA here is from genome assembly GCF_000001405.40 of Homo sapiens. Classification (NCBI taxonomy): domain Eukaryota; kingdom Metazoa; phylum Chordata; class Mammalia; order Primates; family Hominidae; genus Homo; species Homo sapiens. The sequence continues at coordinate 70,538,845 of NC_000002.12, read as the reverse complement.
TCAGACTTGGAGTCAGTCCTCTCAAACCCTACCACTGCCTTACCAACTAAGTTTATGGAATACTCTAAGTCCTGTGTTGTCATTTCCACAATGTTCACAGCATCTTCACCAGGAGTAGATTCCATCTCAGGAAACCACTTTCTTTGTTCATCCAGAAGAAATAACTCTACATCTGTTCAAATTTTATTGAAATTGCAGCAATTCAGTCTCATCTTCGGGCTTTACTTCTAATTCCAGTTCTCTTGCTATTCCCACCACATCTGTAGTTGCTTCCTCCATTGAAGTCTCAAACCCCTCAAAGTCAGTCATCAGGGTTGGAATCAACTTCTTCCAAACTCCTATTAATGTTGATATTTTGACCTATTCCCATGAATTACAAATGTTCTTAATGTCATCTAGAATGGTGAATCATTTCCACAAGATTTTTAATTTACTTTACCCAGACCCATCAGCAGAATCACAAATCTGTGGCAGCAATAGCATTATAAAATGTAGGTCTTAAGACTTGAAATTTGAAATTGCTCTTTAATGAGCATGGGCCGCATAGTGGTTGCTGTGTTAGCAGTCATGGAAACAACTTTAAGCTCCTTACACAGCTCCATCAGAGCTCTTGGGCGACCCAGGTGCATTGTCAATGAATAGTAACATTTTGAAAGAAATGCTTTTTTTTTCTGAGCAGTAGATCTCAACAGTGGGCTTAAAATATTCCATAAACCATACTGTAAACAGATATGCTGTAATCAGGCTTTGCTGTTCCATTTGTAGAGGACAGGCAGAGTAGATATAGCATAAGGACTTTGGAATCTTGAATGGTAAATGAACATTGGCTTCAACCTAAAGTCACCAGCTGCATTAGCCCCTAACAAGAGAATCAGCCTGTCTTTTGAAGCTTTTAAGCCAGGCATTGACTTCTCCATAGCTACAAACATCCTAGATGGCATCATCTTCTAATTGAAGGCTGTTTCATCTGCACTGAAAATTTATTGTGCAGAGTAGCCACCTTCATCAATGGTCTTAGCTAGATCTTCTGGATAACTTGCTGCAGCTCCTACGTCAGCACTTGCTGCTTCGCTGTGCACTGTCATGTTATGGAGAGGGCATCTTTCCTTAAACCTCTTGAACCAGCCTCTGCTAGCTTCCAACTTTCTTCTGCAGCTTCTTCACCTCTCTCAGAATCAAAGAACTAGGGGCTTACTCTGGAGTAGGCTTTGGTTTAAGGGCAAGTTTTAGCTGGTTTGATCTTCTTTCCAGACCACTGAAACTTTCTCCATAACAACCATAAGGCTATTGTGCTCTCTTATCATTTGTGTATTCACTGGAGTAGCACTTTTAATTTTCTCCAAGAACTTTCCCTTCGCATTCACAAGTTAGCTAATTGTTTGGAGCAAGAAGCCTAGCTTTTGGCCTATTTCTGCTTACAACATGCAGACTTCACTAAGTGCAATCATTTCTAGCTTTTGATTTAAAGTGAGAGACATGCCACTCTTCCTTTCACTTCAAAACTGAGAGGCCATTGTAGGTTTATTGATTGGCCTAGTTTTAATATTATTGTGTCTCAGGGAATAGGGAGGCCTGAGGAGAAGGAGAGAGATGGAGAAATGACTGATAAATGTGTGTTCTGACTGCTCCATTGATCAGCTAAGTTTGCTGTCTTCTACGGGTGTGGTTCATGGCACCCCGAAACAATTACAATAGTAACATCAAAGATCACTGAGCACCTGTCACCATAACAGATATTATAATAATAATGAATTGTGATTATTACCAAAATGTGACACAGAGACACGAAGTGAGCGCTTGCTGTTGGATAGATGCCACAAACTTTAAATTTGTAAAAAAAAAAAAAAGAAAAAGAAAAAGAAAAAAGAAAACAAAACAAAAAACCACAGTATCTGTGAGGCACAATAAAGCAAAGTTCTATCAAATGAAATATGCCTGTGCTATCCCATGTGGATGACTAATTTTCAGATACTCAGCACAGAGCAAAACAGTAACTAAAATGAATCACTTCATCTTTCTTCTGTTTACTTTGCACTTAATTGGCTCTTCTCTTTCTAGTTTCCTAAAGTGGAAGCTTAGCGTATTGATTTTAGATATCTCTTCTTTGTAATATATTCAGTAAGTGCTATAAATCTTCCTCTAAGCACTGCTTTTGCTGCATCCCACACATTTTGATAAGTTGTATTTTTCTTTTCATTTAGTTCAAAATATTTTTAACTGCTCTTGAGTTTCCTTTTTGACCCATGTGTTGTTTAGAAGTGTGTTGTTTCTTCTCCAGTACTGGGGGATTTTTCAGCTCTCTTTCTGTTATTGATTTCTAGTTTATTTCCATCGTGGTCTGAGAGCATGCATTGTATGATTTCTATTTCTTTAAATGTGTTAAGGTATATTTTATGGCCCAGAACGTGGTCTCTCTTGGTGAATGTTCCACAGGAGCTTAAGAAGAATGTGTATTCTGCTGTTGCCAGAGCTCAACTATGTCCTTACTGATTTCTGCCTGCCAGATCTAACCACTTCTGCTAGAGGGATATTGAAGTCACTACCCATAATAGTGGATTCCTCTATTTCTCCTTGCTGTTCTATTAGTTTTTGCCTCATGGATTTTGACACTGTTGTTAGGTGCACATACACATTAAGGATTGCTTAGTAACTTCGTCATTCTTTAATGATTCAGAAGCTATTTCTGCGTCTCTCAATAAAGGTCTTCTCTAATAAACTCTTTATGCTCATGTGATACCTGTAGTTGACATAGTCTCCCTCAGTACTTGTGAATGAGAAGTTCCAGTGAGTTCAGTTTTCTTCCTGACTTAGTTAAACAGAACTCTGCTCAATTTTAACTTTAATTGTGGAGAGAGAGAAAAAAAGCATTACTCCAGTTTCCTGGACAAGCATTCTACTAGGGTCAAGATAATGGGGCTTTCTTTTATTGAGGTCATAATTTCAAATAAATTCTTTTTTGAATCCTATATGGGTTGTAGAAGATTTTGGCTAACAGACTGGTATTGCACCAGTGAACCACTTCAAAGTTAGGGATTTACTCTTAGGAAAACAACATCAATTCACTATGTAATACGACCTTATTTTCTTGTGAAGTGTCTCTTTCCCATACGGTGCAACAGAGGGAAAAACAAACAAAACAGTCCTTTCAACTAAATTGGATGTTTTGGATTTCAGATAAAAAGCAGGGCATTTTTCTTTTAATAGTGAGAGCAGAGGCATGTGGAATATCTATGCTATCATCCCATGTAGGATATATCTAAGTGATCAAACAGTAATTGTGATTTTTGTGAACTAGGCCTAATGTAACATTTGGTGCTTAATTCACCTGAGGTAGCTACTTTCTTTACTTAATGCTTATAGAGGCAATGGAATGAATAACAAAACTAAGATCAGCACGAAGTGGGAGATGCTATGTATCTACATATTTATTTTGGTGATTTATTTTGTGGATTGTTCACTTTAGTAAACATTTAACTGTATATTAGATACTCTGCTGGGTCTGGTGTTATTAATGCAAAGAGAACCATGACCTAGCCCTTGCCCTCAGCTCCTGAATTTTTTATAGATCATGGCAGGAGCAGACACACAGTTTTTTACAATATGGCATGAGGTACACAGTGGACACCTTGGGCACCTTCTTGGTATGACAGGGCAAGGGTGCTTTCTTCTAAAAGATAATGGCCAATAGTTAGAAGGTTGCCTGGCTCATAGTTCTTCCAGTACCTTACATATTGTACAAACTCCTTTAACCCACCTAGCAATCTTATGAGATATGGTATCTCCATTTTAGAGATTTAAAAAAAAAACTGAACTGAGGCACAAAATTGTTAGGTGACTTGCCCAAGTTCCCTCTGCCAGCAAGTAGCAGAATAAGGATTTGAGCCCAGGACCCTTGCCTGCCATCCTAGCCATGCTGCTTCCATTCTGACTCTCCATATCAGCCTGTGGAAGGCTGTGGATGCTGAGGTGCCTGGAGTTGTTTGTGTGTGAGAGCACCATCGTGTAACAGACTTGGGCTAAATGCAGCCAGACTTTCAGACAGCCACTCTCCGACATATTTACCATGATGAGAGTAATTCCCACATAGGTGGTTGTCATGCTGGTTAAAAAGAAATACTGCCCTTCCCAGTGCTAGGAAATATAAAAAAACAAGTATGGTAGAGTGGTTTTTTCCCTCCTTCAGTCAACAGTTCAGGTATTCAGATGATCACAAGAGGCATGCTATTTGACATATTTTATTATGACCAAGGAACCTCTAATAATAAATTCATTGGTGGGGGCTTGTTTGCTTTTCTACCATAAATTTTTTTTAAAGGTGTTTGATTTGAAGAGTGATCTGTTGATGTAGGCAGTCTGTCCCCCAGTGAGTGACACGCCTGGAAGTCATGGGGCACATTGAGCCACAGCCCCTGGGGCACTGGCTTCACCTCCTCCTCATCCCCCTCTACACCTCCCCACCAACATTTCCCCCAAACAATGGCAGAAGGCTGCAGAGTCTTTAACACTTTTACTTTAACACTTTTAGTTCTTCACAGTCCAACTAAAGATAGAACCTGCGAGAGCACAGTTGCTAATAGCTGGCTTACTTTCAGACTTGTCCCCACCAACTTTAGCGATGACATGAACCTACAAAAAGCACAGGCATTTCCACTGACTTGAAGGAACAGCAGATGAGAACAAAAATAGCATTTGCTCTTTTACTTGTATGTAAGAACTTCATTCAGCTGGCAGCATTTTTGGGTGGTCTTTGTACCTCCGAATAGTGGACACTTCAGTATCTGGTTCGGGTCTGCATCCCCAAGTGTTAGAGCAGGGCCACAGTGTGTGCATTCTACAAATGTTTGTTAAAGGTGTATTTTTTTTTTTCCTTTAGATAAAGAGAGTTGTATGCATTGGCAAACAGTGTATTGCTAACACACAAAACAACCAGTGAGACAGACTTCTTTGCAATGAATGAGCTTCTGGAAAAAAAAAATGTGGATTTTAAACATCTGTCTCTTATTTAAAGGACCTTATGGTCTTCCTTTAGGAGAGTTTCCCCTTAATTTGCTTGTAATTCCAAATCATTCACATCTCTGAATTACTTGAAGCAGATTACATCTACTGCAGGGCCCACCCCTTCTCCTCGACAAAAGTTGACTACTTGTTAACTGTGTTAACACAGTTAATTTGTTAACAGTTAACAGTTAACATAGTTAACACAGTTAACAAGACCAGCAGCCTATCCAGCAGCCTATCCTGCTGGTCTGTTGGGGAGGAAGAGTTGATGTTTTCAGAAGCCAAGAAACTAACCTATCTCCTGAGATTTAAACACACAGACATTAGCTTCTTTTAAAAATTCTGCTGCTCAGACCAGAGGCCCTTGTGGTATTTTCTGCAGTTTTTGTCCACATTGCACTAGAGGCTTCCTTGATCTTCATCTGGGTCAGCTAATCTTTGTGACCCACAATCTAAAATTTTTCTTCCTCACCTGATTGATGTGCTTCCGTTGTAACATTCAGCAGGTGTTGGGGGGTGGGGGTAGGGGGAAAAGGTTTAACATTTTATAACAGAGCAGTCCCTTTGGGTCGAAATTTCTTCATCTTTTCAGCTTGTACCTCAGAACACAAGGAGTCCAAACTGCACAGAACCAGTGAGTGATAACAAGGAAAAGACGCTGTTTTCCAGCAGTAAAGAAAATAAACCGCTGGGCGTGGCGGCTCACGCCTGTAATCCCAGCACTTTGGGAGGCTGAGATGGGCGGATCACTTGAGCCCAGAGTTCAAGACCAGGCAATATGGTGAAACCCTGTCTCTATGAAAAAAAAAAATACAAAAATTAGCTGGGCGTGGTTGTGTGCATCTGTCACCCCAGCTACTTGGGAGACTGAGGTGAGAGAGTCACCTGAGCCCAGGGAGGTCGAGGCTGCAGTGAGCAGTGATTGTGCCACTGCACTCCAGCCTAGGCAACAGAGTGAGGCCCTGTTAAAAAAAAAAAAAAAGAAAAAGAATATACACTTGCTTAATTATTCAGAGATGTGCTTCACCACCTACAATCAGGGAACAGCACTTTCTGGCTGTTTTTGGCTCCTCTGGGGGAGGAACTGCCTAAAGCAGGGAGAGGGTTCTGCTCTAGCAGTGACTGTTCACAGGCCACGGATGGGGATGGGCTAAGAGAGGATGGGCAGTTTCTCTGAGTCCCGAGCCTTGAGAAATGAACCACAGGCGTAGGAGCCTAGTGTATGTTTTTTATCCCAGTAAATAAGATATGATATGCATCTTCCCTTGAATATACTTTAAACAAGGCCGGCACCAGCCGCCCTTGTGAATGAGGAAGAGGATTGTGTTGGAAAGGGAATCCCTATCTTTGTGTGCATGCTCCTCTTCCCTGAGCCAAGGCCCCAGAGGCTGGAGGCAAAGCCAAGCGTGCCTGCTCTCTGGGGGCTGTGATGTCATCTGACTCCACTGGGGCAGAGCAAAAGTAGATGAATGGCCTCCCTGCTTGGCCGTGAAGATAAAGTCATTAACTTTGGGAAAACTCATGTTTAGGTTCCCAATAAGATAATTAGAAAGCAAGAACAAAATCTGGATTGTTCTAAACTCCCTAGCTATGTGCTGGTTTGGGTTTTCTCTATTTTAGCTTCTCCCATAAATGGTTTCGTCGCTTTCAACTGGTCTGTTTATCACCTGATGAGCTATTTTCAGAGGCTTCACAGGCAGAAATTTTCTGAAAATCTGGAACTTTGTTTATATAAAAACCATTTGCTTTAAGGAGGTAGATAGATTGGTATGAATAGCTGTTGATATTCTTGTGTACTGCCTCCCTTATACTGGGGGGAAAAGAATCCACTTTCATTTTGTAGTCAATACCAACGAGTGTCTCTGGATGACCTCTTGCTCCATTGGCAATAATTTTGTGTGAGTATGTGAGAGTGTGGGTGTGTTTCAAGTAGAGGTTTCATTTCCTACTTCATGGACTTCTTATTTCACCTTTCCTCTTGCCCTTGTGTTCATTCTCTGCAGTGACATTCAAGGGTTGATCAATGTTTTCATTGATGACATACTTTACCCTTAAGAGTCTCTCTTCACTTCCCTCTTTTTTTCCTTCCACCCACATCCTTGACATAGCAGCAGATATTGTTTGAAGCAAGTGGGAAATATTCCATCTTCTGTGACAACTGTGATCATTTGGAAGTGGCTGTTTAGAAGGACTTGGAAGCTGCATCTGAGTTCAGCAGGAAGTAGTGCTGTGATCAATTAGTAATGTCTGCTGTGGGTTCTGTATGGAGGTGGTGATACAAGCGCAGTGTATTTGCATTCTTGCTTGAGATGGTGGACTCTTTTCCTTAAGAATGAGGAAAATATGTGTTTCTAAGAATTAGTTGAAGGTGTCCCCACTTATGTTGCTTATATCTCATGGCTTTTTATTTTTTTAAACGCAGTACTTGAGGCTTTAAAAGGTGTTCCATAAATCTAGTACCATAGCCATGGAGAATCACTACGGAGTCCTGTTAGACAGGATTGGCTTCCCAGCAAGGCAAAGAGCCCATGAGGGTGTGGACTGGTATGTTTGAAACCCTTCAGGACACACTGGGGTGTCTGCCTCCCCTCGAAGTAAGAGGCAAAAAAACACAGCTAATGGGACTGACCATACTCTGTGTGGACGTTCAGGTCTGTCAACTTTGGGCCCTTGTTGAGTTATCACATGAGTATTCTGTCTGGCTCTTAGTCAGAAGGAACACTGCCTTCTACCTTTTCTTAGAGGGGAGGACTCCTTTCCCTGGAGGATATAGGGTATGTCTCAGTGCTCCTGCCCGAGCAGCCAGCTCAGCATCATCACACCCACTTCAGTGGAGGTGGCTATCTCTGTTAAACTTTCTCCCACAGGTGCAGTGTGGAGATATAAAGGAAAGTGGAGACCTGGGGCCTCAGGGATTGCTGCAGAGGTGGTACATTGAGGGCATAGAAACCTAGAGGAGAGCACAGTCTTGGGCTGGGCATTTGCAGCTTGCACGTGCTCTGGTACCAGGCCAGCACCGAGCCTGTTTGCTTTGGTCCTTGTGGACCCTTCACCTCTGAGCTTGGGTTGCTGTCAGACCTGCCTGCAGGTGGTATTGCTGAGGTCTGTGCTGAGCTAGATGAGACACTGTGTGAGCTTCCAGAAAGCCTTGGGCATAGCCGTTGTCATCTGCAGGCTAATTTCTCCTGGGTATTTAATGCATGTCTTATAAGTAAACCTGGGGTTACCTTAGACAAAGGTTGTCCAACCTGTGGCCCATGGGCCGCCTGTGGCCCAGGAGGGCTTTGAATGTGGCCCAACACAAATTCATAAACTTTCTTAAAACATTACAAGATTTTTTGTGATTTTATTTTTGGCTTATCAGCTATTGTTAGTGTATTTTATGTGTGTTCTTATTCTTCTTCTTCCAATGTGGCCCAGAGAAGCCAAAAGATTGGACACCACTGCCTTAGATGGAGATCCCTGGGATCTGCCTGTGAATGACCAAGGACAAAGCCTTCATTCCAGGTGGCAGCATCCTGAAGTATTAATATTTCAGGGATGGTGGGCAGACCCTGGAAGGGAACTTGAAAGTGCTTCAGAGAAGTTTTAAACTATCCAGACCAAGATAAGATTTACTCATGTAGGTCTGACTCTCACAGGAGTTGAGCCTGCTAATGGATATCTCTAAGCCTGAGTTCCTACTTCTTCATGTTTGCTTTTTAAATTTTTTTGAGGGAGACAGAATCTCCCATCTGAGGTGGTCAGGAAAGGTTCTTGCAGACATTGGTACTTGAACTGGCCTTGGAGGTTGAACATAGCCTAGGAAGTAGAAGGAGAAGGCAGGGAATAGTATAGATAGAGGCAGAGGGAAGAATGAGGCCAAAGTATACCCCCACATTCAGTCCCTCAGGAAGTTCTGCTGGCTCTGTTTCTGTTATATTCTATGTCTGACAACTCTCATGTCCCAGTGGCCACCCCACTGTGACCTTTGCCTGAACTTCTGCAGTGATCTCACCCCATTCTTCCAGTTCCCACTTGTGCCTCCTTAAGGCCTCTTCTGTCCCCAGGACCCTGAGTGTCTCTTCTGTCACATGCATCAGATGTTATTGCTCCTCTGCTCAAAGTCTTCCAGGGGCTGCCCAGCTTGGAATAAAGTCCAGGCCCCTAGTGCTCCCCACTGGAGGCGTCTGCCCCAGCATCTCTCCAGCCTCATTTCCCGGTGTGCCCTCCCCCAGCCACAGCAGCCACCTGCTCTTTTCTAGGACTGGGGCGGGGGGATTCACTCCTCAGGACCTTTGCACGTGCTCTTCCTCCAGATATTTCCAGATCTGGCTCCCTCGTTTTATTCAGGCCTGTGTCAGATGTCATCTATTCAGAAAAGACATCCATGATGACTATTTATTTACACGCATCCGTGATGAAAAATGCTCCAGTGTCTGTGTTATTTGTTGGAGAACTGTCATCACAGAAAGGTTGGAACAGTGTCTCCTTACTCCAGATGGAAATCACCTAGATTCCACAAGGTGCTTATAAAGTGCTGCTGCTCAAATAGGAGAGTCCAAGTGTTGTCTTCTGTAGTTCATGCCCCCTGGATGTCTCTGCGGAACTGCCTGGCAGGTTTGGCTTGAAAAGAAACAATTCTTTCAGCAAGTGTTTGCTGATAGCTTGTCTATGTGTCAGGCACTGTTCTGGGCAATGAGAATACGGTGAACCAAAAACACTCCCCTCCACCTCACACACCTGACTTGGTCCCAAGGAGACAGAAAACAAACAGACATACATACCATAAAATGTCAGGTTGTAACAGTGCTGGCAACAAAGATAAAGCCAGGGATGGGAGTGAGCTGCTTGCTACACATTTTCACCAGAGGTGGATGCTGGACAATTAAAAGCCCCCCTCGTCCCACCCAGTGCTCTCTTGTACCTTTCTCTCCTGAAGTGTAAGAAGGAACAGGGAGAGGAGGCTGGAAGAATTCTGTGTAGCTGTAGCTTCATTTTATGATAAAGGCCGTGTCTGATACCCACTTGGGAGCCCTCCCTTATATAGCTGGAGGGTCAAGAAGTTGAATTAAACTACCCTTGTAGTAACTCTTAGGTTCTGCCCTCTTGGTCACAGAGCTCACTGACAATAGATTTTTAAAAATTGTATTGATAACTTATCCCCAGCTGAGAGCCAGAGCGCCTAAGATACATCATCTTTTTTGTGGGAAACCACACAAGCAAGGCCAGTTGCACTAAAACCAGGATACTGGCTTTTCTTGGTTGTTTCAAAGGCTGCTCAGATTCCTGACTGTGTGCCTGTCAACCTTTCTACTAGATGACTTCTCTGGAAGACCCACCCGCCCCCCACATCGTTCTACCCTTCCCTCCCCACTCCCCCAACCCCTGCCTTTTCCATGCCTCTTTCCACAGGGATCATTGTTTTTCTCGGCCTCCTCTCGTCTGACATGCTCCCAGTGTGAGAGTGAGGCTTGGGGTACAGGGCAGCCCAGCCCGGCGAGATCAGCTACTGACCGAAGCTGGTCATTGCTTCTCCCTGGGAGCCACTGTGAATACATGCTACTATGACCCTGTTATTAACATGTGATATTGGTGTAGTATGTTTGTTACAATTAATGAGCAATTGTTCAAAATATATCAAAAATATTGGTATATTATTAACTAAAGTTAAGACTAGTTGACTAAAATTAGATGTTACTGAACATAGCCCTTCAACACATTTCACCATAGGTGAGAAATAAGCGTGCTTCTGCCCTCTCTGTTTTCAGCAGGGTAGAATTCATAGTGATGGCAAAGGCTGGAAGTGAGCTTTGTCTGTCTTTGCAATCAGCTGAGCCCACAGGGCAGCAGATGAGGCTGAGAGCCACAGTGCTCCGTACAAGGCTGCTCATCCACGACTAAGCAGTGTCTCCTCTGCATTTCCAGAAATGTCTGACTCAAGCTGCCCCTGCCATGGCTTCCTTAGGAGAAGGACGTTGTACTTGAACCTAGGGAAACAGTATGACTGGACAATCCAGAGTGCAGAGTAAAGTCATCCAACTTCACAGTGCTGTAACTGTCATCAGCTGGTAATAGAATACTTTTTTAGAGTAGCTTTAGATTTACAGAAAAATTGAGCAGAAAGCACAGAGAGCTTTACCCCACTGCATAGTTTCACCTGTTATTAACATCCTGCATTGGTGTGATATGTTTGTTACAATTGATGAGTCAATTTTGGTACATTATTAACTAAAGTTAATATTAGTTAACTAAAGTTAGATATAAACTAAAGTCCCTCGTTTACATTAGGGCTCACTCTTGTAGTTGTACATTCTATGTGTTTGGACAGATTTATAATGACACATACCCACCATTATAGTATTGTACAGAGTCATTTCACTGACCTAAAAATTGCCTGTGCTACACCTGTTCATCCCTTTCTCCCCTCTCCCAAGCCCCTGGCAACTACTGATCTTTTTACAATCTCTACAGTTTTGCCTTTTTCAGACTGTCATATAGTTAGAATCATACAATATACAGCCTTTTCAGACTGGCGTCTTTCATGCAGTAATATGTATTTAAGCTTTCTCTATGTGACTTGATGCTTATTTATTTTCATTGCTGTATAATATCCCATTGTATGAATGTACCACAATTTGTTTATCCATTTACCTACTGAAGAATATTTTGGTTGCTTCCAAGTTTTCACAGTTATGATTAAAGCTACTGTAAGCATCTATATGCAGATTTTTCTTTGAAGATAAGTTTTCAACTAATTTGGGTAAATACCAAGGAGCACTATTGCTGGATTGTATAAGGGTGTGTTTGATTTTGTAAGAAACTGAAAAACTGTCTTCTAAAGTGTCTGGACCACTTTATCAATTGGTTTTGACTCCTGAACCACTTTCATTTAGATGAGTCTAATTTTTCCAGAAAATACTTCAGAAATACACTAACTGTTAGTAACCTGAAACCCTTTTCTCACTGCACTCTTACATGGGACTTAAAGGTGAAATGCTGCCACCTTCATTCTTCTTTCTGTAGTCTTCCTGCTGGTCTCTGTTCTTGCTAGAACTAAACCATCCTAGCAGAAAACTTCCTCTTTTCCCTCTCCCTCCTTTTTGCTTCTCATCACCACCCTTTCCCCAGCAAAAGTTAAAGGGGAAAATGGACTAGAGCAGGGTTGGTAGGGGAGATCCCACTCCCATTTTCCCATAGCAGAGCTATTGCATTTTCTCCGGGATTTTTGTTTTCCTTTAAAATGTCTTAAATTGACACTGCTAAAAGATACATGATGCTCTCTGCCCCACAGCTCTGGGGTTGGCATGCCTTGTTCCTTACTGGTTTGTCTCGAGTCAATAAATGAGATTCTGCCCATACAACTAAGTGCATTTGGGGCATTAACTGAACAGCTTTGCTACACGTGGCTGGTAAGAACATGTATTGACCTGAGGGAGATACATTAGGGGCCTTAAAATCTGGCAGTGGACCAAAAGAAAGTCAAATGCATCATCCCCGTGTGTTTCTTCCCTCTTGGGGCTTCCGAGTCTCATTGGAACCCCACCACTATAAAACACCTGGAGTGGGTTTTGTGACTTGTCAGTCTTGTTACTTTATAAATAGGCTTCATGTTGTGTAACCTGAATGCTTTGGGTTAATACAAAGAGACAGACAAGACAGGCACAGGCTGATGACCTGGAGAATAGAGGGAAGAGCTGACAGGAAAAAGCATTCCAGGTAAATGGGGCAGGTTGGATCACCATGGTCCTTCTGTGACCATTTTCAAGGCTCTAATGAGTGGCCCTGTCTGCTCATGTGACTACAAGCTTGTTGCATTTCCCCTGAGTTTTGGGTACATCTGCCCATATACAGTTGGAAACTAAATGACCTGCAGTTGAAGAGACTTTCTCTGTTGGGGCCCAGAATTTCTCAACAGAGTGCACTGTCAATATGTTAAGCAAGACAAGGTTCTGTGCATTACAGAAATCAGAAACTTAGCATCCGCGGCCCCACCATTAAGTACCAGTAGTGCCCCCTAGTCCTTGTGACAGTCAGAAAGCACCTCCCACCACAGGTTCTCAGATGCTCCCTAAGGGGCATCTGCTACCAGCAGTAAGAACCCCTGGGCTAGCGGGTGGTCTGGTCAAGGTCTCCCAGTGAAAGGGAGTAAATCTGAGTACCACCCCGTCCACTCCTCCTCTTCAGCACCTGGAGCCTGCACTTGTTGCCCAGGCCTTTCTCCCCTACTAGCCTCTTCTCCCTCCTCCTGCCCCTTGCTTCTGGGGCCCAAGGAGGAGAACTTAGAGATTCTGCCAGTTTGCAGTGTGATGTGGGTTGAGAAATGTGGAGCTGCAAGAAGTAAGTGTATTTACCCCTTAACTCTTGAAAACCTGTAGTTCTGGGGATTTGTTTCCTTCTTGATTGAACTTGCTTCTTAATCAGCCACCCTTATCAACTCAAGTGAGCATGCCTAAGGGGTGTCCTGTGGCCAGCCCCCAAGGTGGACAGTGGGGATTAGCAATGGGGCAGCATTGTCCCCTTCCCCCATCCCCTACTTCCAGGCTGATGCTGCATTGATCTGAGATTCTGCCAAGTCACACTGGTATTTGTATTGGCCCAAACCCAAAGCCTCACAATGCCTTCTGCAGGGTGGTTCCGGGGTGTCCAGGGTGTTGTGCACCAGGGTGCAGGGATGAGTTTGTCATCACCAAGCTATTCACATGGAGGAAATGGGACAGAGTTCAAGGATTGCTTGTTTTTACCTCCTCCCTGCTCATACCCTACTTTCAAGCCACTTGTGTGAATGATGCCCACACATGGCTTTGACTGAGCTGAGGGGATGGGCTTGGTTTGATTTCAGCCACCAAGAGTCTAACTTTGCTGGCCCGAGGTGCACACCAGCAGAACCACTGCTCACCTGGGCCCAGAGGATGGTAATTCTGAGACATCACAGGCCAGGGAAGTTGAGATGGGGCCAATGGGCCTTCACGGATAGGGAGGGACTTATAACCTCCCCATGGATCCTTCCAGAGGTGGTGTTTGGTTCCTGTACTTCTTGTCAGCCAGGTGCCCTCTGCTCAGCTGGTTCACAATGCAAAGGGCCCAGGGCCCTGTGGATAGCTATAGCATCTGCCACTTTATCCCCAGCTTTGTCCCTAGCCCACTGCCGCCATCCCCTTCTTCCTCCCTCCTGGACTCTGGGAAAATCAAGTGTAACCCTTTCCAGAGACACCTCAAGGCCTCGTGTCACAGTGCCAGTCAGCTGGAACAGGTTTTCAGAGTGCCTCAGCTTGGCACGGCTTCTCTGCAACCTCAGAACTCGGCCCTGGTAGAGCCTGTTGGTGATTCAGCAGCTGGGGAACTCCAGCCAGCCCGAGAGGGCTCGGCGATACTCGCCCTGTTGCCTTGAAATTCCAGGAATTTGGATGGGGGCCCTCAGCCAGCCAGTGCGTGAGCAGGCCTGGGGAAGAGGAAGGTTGACTCAGTACCCAGCCCCTGGTCTAAGTCTTTGATAAGGCTTAAACTCTTCGGAAGAGACAATTGCTTCCTCCTGGCACAAAAGGGTGTGGCATAGATCTGCACAGGTGAGAGCAAGCACAGGGCCTTCCTCACCTCTAGCCAGATGCGTGCTGCATCCTGGTTAACACTGTTGGATAAAGATGTTTTACCTATCTGCTATTTGCTTTGCTTTATGAGAGAGGGTTCTCTCGGACCACCAGATCAGTGGGCAGCCTTATTCTATAAGGCTTTGAAGTGGGTAACATGTTGGGGAGAATACAGGAAGATGTCTGTGTGGCAGTGTGAGTTGTTGCATCACAGTGGCCGGGCCTTAGAAACAAAAGTGTCTCAACAGGAAGCAACTGGCTCCTCCTCCAAGGGTCTCTGTGCCTTTTTTATTTAGTTGTTTATTTTTTGCATGCTTCTCCAGATGTCAGGAAAAGCATTTCACCTCCTTTTGCAGCTATGTTACTTCTCTGTTAACATAGCTGCAAAGGGTTATGTAACAACTAGGTTACTTCTGTGGTGTCAGTTCTGGGCACTTGTTAGTGGCATTGACTCTAAAGAGTTCAAAGCAGTTTGCCAATATTCTCATTTGTCTCTTGAAGTAGGGAAAGATAGTAACCAGCTCTCCTAAATCAGTAATGGTGGGAAATGAGGTCTGGGCTGAGAGAAGGAGGGACAGGAGATACTAGTCCATGTGAGTGACCTGATCTTATACCCAGCCCAGTGCTGGTGGGTATTAGGAGGTGCAGGCAGGGAGCTCTGCCTGCCAGAGTGGTCAGGGGGCATCGTGGAGGACTTGGGGATTGAGCTCGACCTGGAAGGCTGGTAGAAATGACGTCAGGCAGTAAGGAGGCTTTTCTACGCAGAAGAGAAGGAGTTAGTGTTTGTAAGAGACCCGGACTAGGTAGAAACATTTGGGTGGAAGAAAGGGCTGTAATAGGGAGCATCAGAGATACAGGAACACCAGTGAGTGTGTTTGCTTCAATCATCTGGATTGTAAACTCCTTGTGGCAAGTCTTGCCTTTGCTTGAAGAGCCCTGGGACACAACATTCACAACGAACGTTCACAATGAGCGTTCACTCCTCTGTCTTAGCCTCCTTGGGATATGGCCAGGCCTCTTTGGGGTCACTGGATGGAAGTCTTTGTGTTCTTATAAAAGTTTCAGGAAAAGCCAACAAAATGAGTTAAGGGTAGGAAAATAAAATATTTCAGGGGTCATCTCATCGGGTGACCAAACAATGCAGGATCCACTTGACAGGCCACTTCAGCAGACTTAAATCCGGGCTTTGGATAAGGATGACAGTTCCTTCATTCCTCATGGATTTTTCAATATTGTAGTGGGAATATTTAATATCATTTAAATAGAAAAACACAGATTTAACTTACCACCCAACTGAACAATGGTACAGCTATTTATAATGGAGTTCAATGGCTTTTGAGAATTGGAAGGATCCTTTCTCATAGGAAGGGACTTTTCATTCATTGCTCTCTGCCCAGCACCTAGACAATGTCCCGCTAATGGTGCAGCAGGTGCTCAGTGAGCACTTGTTGAATGAATGAATGTCAGGATTCAAGTGCTCTGTGCAGCAAACCACCATGGCCCACGTCTACTTAAGTAACAAACCTGCACATCCTGCACGTGTACCCCTGAACTTAAAATAAAAGTTGGCTGTGATCCCAGCACTTTGGGAGGTCGAGGCAGGTGGATCACTTAAGGTCGGGAGTTTAAGACCAGCCTGGCCAACATGGTGAAACCTCGTCTGTACCAAAAATATAAAAAATTAGCCGGGTGTGATGACACACACCTGTATCCCAGCTATTCAGGAGGCTGAGGCAGGAGAATTGCTTGAACCTGGGAGGTGGAGGTTGCAGTGAGCTGAGATCATGCCACTGTACTCCAGCCTGGGCAACAGAGTAAGACTCCATCATAAAAAAGTAAATAAATAAAAAATAAAAGTTGGAAATAAAAATTCAAGTGCTCCTCATCTCCACTGAAATTAGAGTAAGAACCAAGACCTAGAGCTGTAGCGGCAGGGATCTAGACTAGAAGTAAAGGAATTCCCGAGGATCTGCAGGTTTTCCCATTCCCCATCTGTACACCCTCACTACTCACTACCCAGCCCCTAGTCCAAGTCTTTGATGAGACTTTAACTCTGTTTTCAAGCTGGTGACCTCTTAGAGAAATTCAGTTCAACATAAATGTATTAAAATCCTATGTAGGTGCGTTAGGCCAGGTGTAAGGATAGAGATGATTTAGCCACAGCTCCTGACCGCACTAGAGAGGAGAGACAGGTAAGATGTAAAAACTTCTGAACTGCAAGGCAGAATAAAGTAAGGATTCCTCTGAGGAAGAAATGATTATTTCTGACATTTGAGCAAGGCTTTGAGAGGCCAATTTGATTCCCATGGGTAGAGGATGGGATATGCCGACTTGAGAGATCAGCATGATGTGAATGAAAACTGTCAATAGGTTCGGTACGGTGGCCTGCGCCTGTAATCCCAGCACTTTGGGAGGCCAAGGCAGGTGAATCATGAAGTCAGGAGTTCAAGACCAGCCTGGCCAATATGGTGAAACCCCGTCTCTACTAAAACTACAAAAATTAGCCAGGCATGGTGGCGCGTGCCTGTGGTCCCAGCTACTCGGGAGGCGGAGGCAGAAGAATCGCTTGAATTCGGAAGGCAGAGGTTGCAGTGAGCCAAGATCGTGCCACTGCACTCCAGCCTAGGAGACAGAGCGAGACTCAAAAAAAAAAAAAAAAAAAAACAAACAAACAACAACAAAAAAAACTATCAATAGTAGCAGCTACCATTTGTTGCATGTTTATTGTGTGTCACTCAATATACCACATTTTTCTCATGTGTCTCTCGTTTAATCTCTAAACAACCCTGTGCAAGAGTTGGATATCTTTATCTGCTTTTACAG
This sequence comes from Homo sapiens, assembly GCF_000001405.40. Taxonomy (NCBI): domain Eukaryota; kingdom Metazoa; phylum Chordata; class Mammalia; order Primates; family Hominidae; genus Homo; species Homo sapiens. The sequence continues at coordinate 70,521,458 of NC_000002.12, read as the reverse complement.
TGAAGGAAACTGAGGCTCAGGCAACTAAACTAAAGTCAGCAGCCATAAGAAGTTGGGTGAGGATCCTAGTAGCATGAACCCAAGGCACCAAGTTGGGAGTGCCAATTTTTGTGCAGGGAAAAGGGGCAGTGCTGGGCAGCTGGGGTCAGAGGACCTGACAGGAGGGAATGGGTGGAGTTTAGGTGGAAACGAGGTCTAGGATCAGGTTATGCATGCTAAATCTCTACTCAGGACTTGGGGCTGGGTTCTGTCTCTGCGCTGGGTTCTGTGAGTGGTACAGAGCCCATGGAGAGCTTAGAGGATAGGAGTGATTTCATTCAGCAAGGTCAGTCTAGTAGTAGGAGCAAAGATTTTTTTTTTTAAGCTGTTGGCAAGAAAACCAGTCTAACAACTATTTTGATAGCACAGGGAGAGATGATAGGGCCTGAATTGGGGCAGTAACAGCAGGGATGCAGGGGGATGGATAGGATGGACGGTGTGGAGGCTGGGTGTGTAGGAGGGCTTGGCTTGGATACTGGGTGAAGGAGAGGGAAGGGCTGACAATGACTGCCTAGTTATCAGTCCCGCCCAGAACCAAGGAAGAGGTGGAAGACATGAGTTCAATTTTGAACACATGATCTGGGGTACAGGCCTTGTGGAGAGTGGTGGAGGTTGGAGATAGTGTTTGGGCATGGAAGCAGGGGAAGCATCTATGGGAATATAGGGTCGGTCCGGTGCCTTGGTGGGCTGTAGTGATAACTTCAACAGCCTACACTTGTCTGCCTTTGTTGAAGTAGGGAGGATTCCATTTTTCTCGGGTAGTTGCTGTCCCACGTGACTTGAACATTTTAAGGGAAAGTCAAAGGTCTCAGATTTCTCTTTTTTTACTTAATTTGCTCACAGTATGTAGGTGCTAAATAAATATTTGATTAGTTAACATAAGTAAATAACAATTTTTTTTTTTTGGAGTGGGAGTCTCGCTCTGTCACCCAGGCTGGAGTGCAGTGGCACAATCTTGGCTCCCTGCAATCTCCGCCTCCCAGGTTCAAACAATTCTCCTCCTCTGCCTCCCAAGTAGCTGGTATTACAGATGCCCACCACCACACCCAGCTGATTTTTGTATTTTTAGTGGAGTCCGGGTTTCACAATTTTGACTATTTAAACCCTCAAAAGGCGTAAAAGGCATGCTATTTCAAGATCAGTCCATGGAACATCAGTAGCCTGCAGCTGGGCGACCCCGGGGCCTCAAGTAAAACCCTTCGTTGAAGTTCCCTTAGTGATTTCCAAAGGGAGGAGGGTCATGACCACCTCCTCATCATCCTGAACTTCCTGGAAGTTATGATGAAACAGGACCAACATGAAGCCCCATCAAGTGCTGTGTTCAGTGGGTGCTCATGGTGACTTATGGACCTCATGTACTCTATTTCATTTTGTTTCACTTAATCCTTGCAAGTCCCATGAAGGGCTGTTATCCTTGTTTTATGGATGAGCACACCAAGCCTTAGCAAGGGTACATAATAGAGCCAAGATCTCACAGTGAAGGAGTGGCAGAGCCAGGATTTGCACCCAGGCCTGATGGCAAAGCCCCTTTCTGCTGTGCTGTGACAGGCTAGAAAGTGGTAGGGGGTTGTGGTGCAGGCACCCATCTGCCCATCTCTCTTGCCTCCCTGATCCTGAAGATTCATTCTGAATACTTTGTTTTTTGCTATTGTCAGATATGTTTAGATGGATATGGAAAATTCCTATGAGCTTTCAGGTAATGCTGGATCATTTCCTGTGATGTCATAATCATGAAGTATTTCCCGAGATTTTTCTAGTTGGAACTTGCTGCTGTCCAATGGAGATGCCACATGGCTACTTTTGACCTTAATATCCCAATGAGTTTATGGATAGTCCATGGTACGCTCATCCTACCAGCCTTGCTCATAGTCCTCCTCTGCAGGGCCTTCCCTTTTTCCTTCTTAATCAGTTCTTACCCTGAAGCCAGCATCCTCACCTGGCTGTCAACCTCTTGGATTTAAAAATATTGATGAAATCATACAATTTAGTGATTTTTGCTACGCAGTTAAAATCCTGCCATGCTTGCAAATAAAATTTGAATGTTGGGATATAATTCATAAGGGAAGATGCCATGAACCTATACTATCTGGCCCTGGGTTCTGTGTGGCCCATTTCTTTATATATTTATGCCTACATGGGAGCCTTTGCAGACCTCTCCCTGAGCAGCAGGATTCCCACCGTCTACGTACCACTAACTACTTCCTGTTCCTTAGGACCTGCCAGGTCTAAGAATGGTAGGGGAGGAAGGGGGAAACCTGCTGCCCTCTGAATACCCACACTCCCTTCTGCCCTGCCCTCTAGCACAATTCCTATCCTCCCGCCCTGAGCGTGTTCTTCATCCAAAGGCCTTTCCTCACCACCTCGTCTGAATCCAGAACATCCTTCATCCAAAAGGACCTGCTGCAGCCTCTTCATCCTCCCACATCCCCCTGAAAACAAAAACTTACCCTTCATCCCTTCATGCAGGAAGTCTGGCTTAGAGGATCCCAAACAGGTGAAAGGTAGAGCTCTTGATATTCTAGAGGGAGCAACTGATCCATGCAGTGGAGTACATAGGGGCCTGAAAGCAAACCCCAGCCCCAGCAGAGGCCAGAGCAGGACATGGTCCACTCTGCTGAGGTGGTCAGGGGCCAGAGGATGCTCCTCCCAGCTCCAGGCACTATAGCTGAGTGTCCACAGAAGAGGTGGTCACCAGGCCAATGGGTGGTTGATGATGAAGGGTGTCTGACGCTGAAGGCACAGCCTGGGTATCTGTGCAGAATTGCTAGTCCCATGCCTGATTGAGGAGTTGGAGTGGGGGTATCCTGCTCTGGGGCCCAGGGGAGAGGGGTGTCCAGCCTCTCTTAAGAGCATTTCCCATTGACACATCAGCACATAGGTTTTGGGATGGCTCCACTTCTGGGGACTCATGAGCTAAATGGGTGAGCCTCCTTTTTACCTTGTTTCTGTTGGGAACATTTACCTGAGTACCAAACAGCTGAACGATAAGCATGGCAACACTTGTCCTTCCTAAGGGCAGACCAGGTTCCCACTCTATTTTGAGGGACACAGGATCAGCCTTTCATAAGGGTTTTCTTCCGTTGCATGTGGTTTTCCCCTTGATACCACCCCCTTCTTTTCTTTTTTCTTTTTGAAGTCCACAGTCTTGGGATTTCCCTCTTTGGAGCTATTTAAACAGAAATAGGATGCCAGCAGGAGTGGCCTAGAAGGGATTCCTAGAAGCCTTCCTGTCCCGAGGGCCTGCGGCGGGCAAGGACCTGCTTTGAAACTTAGGCAGGAGGAGCCTGTGGCTGTGGGCCACCAGGCCTGTGCACTGTGTGTCTCCCTGAGCCACTGCATGTGGCTGCGGTGCCTGTGGCTGTCCTCTCCCCATCCTTCCTTTGTTTGGAGTGACCCTTGGAGCCTGCCAAGGCCACATGTTTCTGGAAGGTCCTCACACAGCCTGGCTTTCTAAGCACAGTCGTGTGGCCAGAGGGCTGGGCAGCTGGTGAGCCTGGGTGCTCATACCTTTGCCCCTCATTAGACCTTGTTCATGGCAGGGAGACTGGAGGCAGTGGGAGAATCCCCAAGAGGCAATGCATGACTCTCAGGGAGAGACGGATCAAGGCTCAGCCGCTGGGCCTGCAGAGTCTGTTGTTTGGACTAACTTGGGGTTTGTGACTGCTGAATACACACCTGTGTCACAACTGGCCATGGTGAGAAGGACTGTGGTGTGGTCTGGTAATTAGACACTGTCTTGTGCATGGGAGTTGGAGACACTTGAGTTTGAATGTGGCTGCAGGAGCTTGGGCAAATTTCTTAACCTCTCTAAGCCTCAGTTTCTTCATCTCTATGACTGGGCATTTCTACCAGCTGGACCAGAAGGTTGGGAGGCACCTATGTCATGAGTTGTTATAAGGACTAAGTAAGAGAACACATGCAGAACATTAGCACTGGGCCTGGGACTAGGTCATGCCCAAAAAGTGGTACACATCCACCTGCAAAGTGAGAGACCTGAGCCCTGTCCTCCTGCTCCAGGGTCCTCTTAGGTTCACCACATGATGAAGACAAAGCAGAGGCCTTGCCGCTCATCACAGGGCCTCAGCTGATGCTAGGCATGGATCAAGATTGCAGAGTGAAGCCCAGGGCACCAAGAAGTTGTTTTCCGTGAGGGTATAGAAAGGACCTATTCTTCTTGTGTTGCTCAAATTATGAATAAAAAGCCAGTGTCTTTCATCTGTGGAACATCGTGGTTTTGCAAACTTTAATTCATTCCCAAAACACCTCTGTGAGTTTAGCAGCTGCGAGCTCACAGGTGAGGAACAGAAGGTGAAGTAATTTGCCCCAAGGCTGGGGAGCAGGCCCCCATTGCACACCCTCATCTTCCTGGAGCAGTGGTGCTCATCAGTGTCTTGTCCTGGATTCAGCTGTACAGTGTTTGCTTTCTTGTCTGGGTTTTGCTTAAACAGAGGCCAACATGGAGCCCAGGAACCATGCTGACTGGGTTCACCCTGACTGACAGGATAGGGAGCAGGAACAGGGCATGAAGATAATTCTTTAGTTCGGGGCAGTTTGTGACAGGCAAGTCACGCTTCCCCTCAGAGTATGCAAAGCATCCCCGGTGTCATCCTTGAACACTATTATGAGTCACTGGCTGACTTTAGCCAAGGATGGTTTGTGGCAGTGCCAGCGAAGTCAGAACATGACTGTTCCCCAGCTTCAAGGGGGCAACTGCTGACTTTTCCCGGCTTGGATGGGGATGCCTTGTTTTAACACTGGTGTGTGGGTGACAGAGGGGCCCTGGGAGCCTTGCTTCCAAAATTAGCATCAATTGGACAGCAAGAAAGAATTGCACAGGGAAGACATGCATGATTTTACTGATTTTCTCTCCCTGTCCCCCTGCCCTGCCTCCAACTCCAGCCCAAACATCTGGCTTAGGATTCTGTAAAAGTCTTTCGGAGGTCCATGCCAGACCTCCAGTAAAAGCAGTCTGAAGTTCTTATGTTTCTCATTTCAGAGGTTGGAAGGAACATCGGGAGCATGATTGCTTTATCTATTCCAAGTGTGTTTTGTTCTTTGAGAGTCAGGACTTCTGTGTCTACACCCTAAGTGAAAAGGGGCAAGGAACCCTCACAGCCTGCAGAGTAGGGGGCTGCATCGATCCTGTAACAGACAGAACTTTGCTTGTTTCCTGTGCTAACTTGATTCATTTGCTTTCTGAGCTAACCTGTCAGAGGCCCAGCCCCTCGGCACAGCAACTGTGGCATCTTTTTGCGTTTCAGTTTTGGGAAGTCATTCTAATGTGGCTCATGCTGATTGCATAACTCAGAAGAGGTTCCTTCTTCATTGGAAGGTTGCTACCATTTCCAGAAACCTCGAGTACTGTAATCTGAAGGCACATAAAGGTCATCTGTTGGCAGGGCTGGTTTTATGGGCATGCAACCTGTATAGGTCACACAGGACCCCATGCTCACAAGGGCCCTGAGCTTGAGGTTTAACACTCTGCAGTTGCAGTCTTAAAAATCTTGTAGTTTTATCTTTAAATTTGCGTCTTGTAGGTGAAGTCCAGTGGGACAATACAGTATGCACTGGGGGCTTAGAGGCTTTGTTCCCGTGGTCCTGCTTATTAATATCTCCCTGCCTCCCCTAGGTTTTCTTGCTCCTGCCATGATCTATCCCTGGCAGGGCCTGGGGTTAAGTACATGGCATCTCAGGGTACGGCATGGTGGCAGCTGTCCCCATTCTGGACTGGCAGCTCCATGGCATCTTCAGTGGGCAACTAGAGAGGGGTGAGCTGCTTGACTCCCCCTGATCCAGGTACCTAGTACATCCTGGCAGGGAGGAGGCAATATCCTTAAGGGGTCACCCATCCATCTTGGGTTGGGACAGCCACTTCCTGGGAATAAGAGATACCTGACTAGACCCCTCAACCCCCAGCTGGGTCACAGCACATTGGCCCGGCTGCCAGCTGGAAGGAAACCCCAGAGGGAGTGGGTCCTTTGCTCCCTTACACACTCTGTCCCTGGGGTATACCTGTGAGAGGCTGCACTCAACCTGTGGGTATCCTCATACCCAAAGGACAGCAATGACATAAATAGCAAACAAACATGATGACATGAACAACAGGGTGAAGGTACTTAATGTCACTGAAATGTACAATTAAAATGGTTGAAATGGTAAATTTTATGTTACGTATATTTTCCCACCATAAAAAAATATATATTTATAAGGTGTTAAGAAAAAACAAAGGCCAAAACCACCCTGACAGATGGAGAGAGAGACTGGGAAGAAGTGGAAGGCTCTGGATTTCAGTGCTTTTCATGGGCATTTTCTTCTTACTTTTTCAACAAGGGGTCCCATGTGCTCATTTTGCACTGATATCCACAAATTATGTAGCTGAGCCTGTCTACCGGCCACTCTGTGAAACTACCGAACCTTTGCCTGTCAAAGGGCCTGCCCTCTAAGCGTCTGAGGACATCATTTGCCAAGCAGACTCTGACCTTTTCCCTCTTCTCCTCCACCCAACAGGTATTGTGTTGGCTGCGTGCCAGGCCTTGGAGAACAGCACGTCCCCGCTGAGTGGTGAGTGCAGCTGCCGTGGGTGTGTGGATCGTGTGTGGGAAGGGAGCGGGCCTGCTGCTGTGTGGCTCCTCAAGAGCTCCCTCCCTGGCCTCCTGCCCACCGAGCACACGCCTGTCCCGGAGTCCTCTCTGCCCCCTCCTCAGGGGCGAGGAGGCGCTCACTGGAAGGTCTTAACTGCAGGCCCAAGGGGGGGCTGTTCCTGGCCCCCTCAGGGGCCTCCCCTACGTGTCTCTCTTCAGCTGTTCAGACAATTCCTGTGGGCAAGTGTGCCAAAACAGGGCCTGCAGGACCCCAGAGCTTGGGGCCAGCTGTTTTCCCCACTCTCGTAATAGTCCACCTGAAGTAGAACCCAGATTTCTGAACCCTCATCGGTGACCTTTGTTTAGTTATTTTCTGGTTTACGTTTTAATACTTATAGTAAAAAAAAAAAAAAAATCGGTATTTTTTTTTATTATTATTTTAAAGATTCTAAATCAAAATAGTGGAGAGCTTGGGACATGTAGGAGGCAAACCATCAGTGGCCACAGCACTGCAGGGGAGCAACCTCTGTTTGATTTGCATGTTGCTTTTGCCCTTTCTCCATGTGTGTTAATATTTTTATACGAGTAGTCCTGGTGAGGAAACAATGTGGATTCCTGCTTTTTAAGCTCAAATGTTGGGGCTGTGCATTGTTCCATGTTGCTGGAAAGTCTTGAAATCTCTTCTCTTAAAATGTCATGCTGTCTCATTAAAGTGAACATGGGTGATTTAATGAAACATTTCCCATTGGATATTTACGGTGGCTCTAGTTTCTTAAGTTATGATGCTACCTCTTCATGCCTAGAAGCTTTTTCCACCTTTTGGATTCTTTCCTCAGCATGTGTCTCCGGAAACAGGAATAAATACAGATTTATGACCCTTGGTACAAACTGCCAGATAGCTTTCCGAGTGAATGGTGCTGATTTCTCCCAGCAGTGTGTGAGTGCACCAGTCCCACAACTCCCTGGTTAGCACAGAGTGTGTTTCAGTAACTTCTGCTCCCATCTGTTACTGCACTAGCCTCCTGCTGTGTCTCCATAGTTATTTCAGAGAGGTTCCAGTGGGAGGGGGCGGGTTTCTTACCTATTCATAAATTCTGTAGCCAACCACACCGTGTCCCTGGTCTCTTCTCCTCCTTCAGGCCTTTCCCTCCAAACCCACTGGAGGCGACACTGCCAGTCCCACTGGGTACCACTGCTCCTGCAGCCCCACCAGTCCCCCTTGCTACTGTTATCCTTGATGCGCTTGGACCCTTAAGGTGCCTAAGCCACTTGGTGGTCCATGATGACACAGAAGAAAATGCCTGTCCCACTCTGTGTCGTGCTTTGTTGGGGCTGGAAGTGGAAAGGTGTAAGTGTGTCCACCTCAAAACAGTGCATCTGGAGTCCAGGGTCTACTAGGGTTTCCATAAAGCAGTACTTTCACTTTTTAATTACCTCCCATCCACAAAGGACTCAGATATGAACATATAGGGAGGAAAAAGAGGATAGCTTAGTAACTTCACCATGCCATTCTCAGAATTGCCCCAACCCCCTTTCTAGAATGCACTTGCCCCAAGCTTCACCTTCTGCCCCTCCTACAGATAGACCTCTGGTGACCTGCCCAAACACTAGAAAGTACTGATACTCTAGCAACACTTACGCACTGGGTATCATTTGAGAGAACCTGGACACTGGGCCAGTTGGGGGTTACCACTCATTTTGATACTTGTCACTATGATCTCCACGCATCTCCATGGGCTAAGAAGCCTCCTGTGTTTTCCTCACCCTCCCTGTTCTCTTCTAAGCCAAATTGGGTAGAACTGAGGTATAAAGGCCTTGAGATTAAGCCAGAAGGGGGAGATGGAGTCCTGTGCCCCAGGCCTCTATCCCTAGTTTCCCGGCTCTCTGGTGAAGCCTTCCTCCTGCTCCTCCTGATTCACACTCTAAGACCTGGTAGGCCAAGAGCCATGTTCTCCACTGAATCAGGTGACAAGTTGCAATGATGGCAAGTGCTGACACTGCCATGCATAGAGAAGGGGGTCCTCTTGGTTATTTGACCCCCTCCTCCAAGTCTCCATCCATTCAGACAGACAAGAAAACCCTAAGGGATGTCGCCCTGGAGCCTGTTCCCCAGGAGCCTGGCATAACTCCTGCCTAGGCCTTTTGGGGTTCCCTAGGCCCTGCTGGGCAGATGTGGGCAGACCTGATAAATTTGTCCAGAAGGGGACTATTCTTTTTGCAGTCGTGAACAACCTCTGTTCCATCTTTTCTTCCTGAACTTTCTATGAGAACATCTCTGAGGTTTACTTCCCCTCATTGTGACATGTGGTCAGAAAACAGCAGTTGAACCCCTGCTGCGTTGCATATTACCCTGTAACCAGCTCAGTGCCACTCGGGGGCCTGAGGTGGTCTGTGAGAGCAGAGGCAGTGCCACACCTTCTAAAGTCCAGAGAGCCTCAAGCCCCCCGGGTTGGCTGCCAGTCTGCAGAGGAGGGAGGTGGCTGCCCGTCTGCCCTCTCTGTTGCTCTCTGTTTGATGGGTCACTGAGCTACAGAACTTGCACCCCAGGGCCTTAGAGATTTAATGAAATTACTCTTTCCAGAGTTATTTACTCTTGGCCCTGCCCCATGAGACCCAGACATGAATCCAGAGAGGGCTGGGCCAGGAGAAAAGTCCAAGTGGTGATGACCGTGTTATAGTCACACCTCCAAAGGCTGGGGCTTTATGACTAGATCAGGCTTATGCTTAACTTTCTTTCCTTTAGGGTGTCCTTCCTGTCCCCTAGAGGACTGCTCAGGCCCTGGTAGGCCTTCCCACCCCATCCCACCCACTCTCTCATCACCGCACAGGGCTGAAATCCTGTGGTGGGCGCAGCTCAAACTGGGGACCAACTCCCACCAGCCACACTCACTGCCCGTCATTGTAGCAAGTGTGTGTGTGTGTGTGTGTGTGTGTGTGTGTGTGTGTGTATTCATGACTAATAAGTAAAACTCTCTGTTAACATTGTATTAGAGAAACCTTCATCCACAGAAGAAGAGATAGTGAAATCAGTTCCTGTATACCCATCACCCAGCTTTGACAATTAGCATCATTCTGTCATTTTTCTTTGATCTATTCTCCCTATCTTTCTAATTTCTCCCTGTGCCGGGGTATTTTAAAGCAAAGCCCACTTCACTCGTAACACTTCAATGCGTATACGTAACAGATAAAGCCTTTTAAAACGTCACCACAATTCCATTACTGCACCAGAAAGGCAATGATGATTCCTTTTTGTTAGATCCTCAGATATGGAAGGTAGATGATGCTGTATTTAATTTTGTGCTACTTCGTTTTAATTTGCATTTACTTTCATGTTTTTGTATCTTGCATTCTACTTATATTTCTTTTCAGGTGAACACTGTTTTCATAAAATGTATTCATGTCTCTGCTGAGTGACTTTCACATCTGAGTGCCCCTAACTCCCAATGCTCTGGATGCTGGTGGGCTCCTTTACTCAATCCCAGAATCAATCCAGAAACAAACCATCCAGAAAAATGTAAATGGTGTGAAACCATCCCCACCAGTTAGGTGTGAAAATGGGTAATTTTAGAACAAAAGCTATAAGGACTTTACCCATGATGTAAATTTGCAGGCCTTCTCACTGTAAGAGTTGATGGGAATGAGAAATAATAACGGATGCAAGATAGGTTTTGATACATTCCTGAGTGACAGCACTAGAGCATAGGGCAACAGGAGTACTCAGGGTGAAGCCGACACACTTTAATGGAACATTGTGGAGAGAAAATTGCAAACTCCATGTGCTAATCAAAGGTGTTAAATGGGCTCAAAAGAGCATGGGGCTTATCTCATGTGGCTTTCTTGTGCATTTTTTTTCTTTTATTTTTAGAAATGAGATCTTGCTATGTTGCCCAGGCTGGTCTCAAATTCCTGGACTCCAGCAGTCCTCCCACTTTGGCCTCCCAAAGTGCTGGGATTACAAGCATGAGTCACCACGCCTGGCCTTTCTTGTGCATTTTGGGGAAAAAAAAAGTTCTGTGTTCTTATAACTTGACCATTGCTCTTGGCCTTTCTTCTTGACATTTCATTGGTTTCTTCCTGTCTTCATTTCTCTTAGATCCCCAAATATAAAGGGCAGATGATGCCAGCGTCATAGGAAACTGGCATTGTCATTAGTAAACGCTTCTCAGACAATTTGAGTGGGACAGCAGAGGGATGTGGTGACTGAGGCTGGAGGTGAGAGATCATGGGTTTTGGGCCATTTGGTCTCAGTTTTTTCTGAGTTTTCTGAGGGTTTTTTTGAGTTTTTTTGTCCAGTCACTGGGCAAGTTAGTTTTCTGGTTCCTGTTTGGATTTGTTTCCTCATCTATTGGACTTGAATCAGAAGTGGCCTGTGAGGTTTTTCACATGACCACACACTGATGGATTGGTAGAGATGACTTGGAGAGCCAGGGTGGGGAGGGTTATAAGGCTGACTGCAGGTTTTAGGAAGTACTGCACTGATCCATTGGTGATGCTAATTGTCATAGGCCCAAGGTAGGGAAGTGGTAGTGTCACTGACACGTATTTGATTTTCTTGGAACTAGATGCTTTTTTACATTCAGGTTCAAAGATTCTAGTTGCTGGAACTATACAAAGGAGCAGGCTTTCTCTGCCTTGTCCTCAAGGAGCCTCCCATGCAGGTGAGAAAAGACAGCATGGGAACCCGTGGGGGAATGTGTCACAATGATACGGGCAAACTTGGCTGACTGCTTAATGCATGATTTAGAAAATAGTTGCCATGGGAGTGAAATCAATAGCATGGTTGGGGACAGAGTATTTTTATCAGGTTGGTTGTCAATTTGTAAAGCATGCAGAGAAACATTAGCTGGAGGCAGGACGAGGGTGGCAGCACCTATAGCTTAGAACACCTGTCACACCCTCTCCAGGAAGGAGTTATGACCTATCTTCAAAAGACACTTTTAAATGCCCCTTAAGAGGGACAGAATGCACCCTGGTTAAGAAGTTGTTGGGTGGCTACTTGCTTAACCCTGAGAAATGTTGCACAGTTCCCAGGCTGCCCATCTGGTTCTCATATTTCCATGAGACTCACTCTAATGACCAAGGGGGTGTGGTGAGGGCATTACTCAGGCGCCCGGGAACCAGCCTCCAGGCTTCCATCTGCTATCTGCCTTGCATGAGCTGGGTACTCAGGGCGGCACTTTAAACCTCTGAACTTCTGCTCCTTCCTCTGGCCTGTGTCTAGGGACACCCACCTGGAATCAAGGCATGTTTGAAGGCTTGCTTAATTTAGTGTCTGGGAGGCTTCTCAGAGGTGAGGATGAAAGAACATGGAAATTTACAGTGCGATTATTCATGGGGAATGTCACCATTATCAGCTGGCTTAGGGAGATGGTGATCAGATCTCAGTGGTGACCCTGGGCTTAAATACGTTTAGGTGGCAAGTTTGAGCTGGGGGTGCACAGAAGGAAGGCAGATGAGATTATAGGGAAAAGCCTTTGAAGGCTTTACTTGTTTGGAAAACAGGTAGAACGTGTGTCAGCCAGCAAGCAAGCAATCTGGTTATTGCTCATCTCGCCTAACAAAAGCTTTTCAGAACTGCAAACTGCTTCCCCGTTCCATTGTCTAGAGTTTTCCCACATGGAGCTGAAGTCATTCTAAAATTAGAAGGCTCATGTTTTCTACCCAGGTACTACATGGCTCACCTGCTCCAAATATGTGTCTATAATACAAGACACTTGGTATGTCTCAGTTTGGGGATAAAACCACATACACTCATTTGTGTTTACTTTAAAGAATGCTTAGAAGAGCATTAGGAGGGAATGAGGGATTCTTCCTTTCCTCTCCAAGATTTATCCTTGTCATCCACATTCTCATTTCACCTTCTACTTTTTTTGCAAAGGAAATTGTGCTGGGTCAGTGCTTTTTGAGCAAAAGCTGCTCAGGGTAGTAGACAGAACACAGGATATGCAGTCCAGAATCGTAATTCTGACTCACTGGCTGCAACACCTTAACAGACCTCTTAAATCTTCTTGAACCTCCGTTCTGCCATCAATAAAATGAAGGAGTGGAATGAAGTCAATGTCTTTTCAAACTGAGTTGCAGAATCACTTTACGGGTCATAATCAACATTTTTAAAAGTGGAATTGAATAGTTTAGAGAATTTCAGAGTGCATCACATGGAGGAAGGACAGGTACCATTTCATGACTCTTGTTTTAGTTATTAATAGATTCATATATTGGCATTCTGCATCACTTTACTTGCATGAATTACACCCATATCACTTCTTCTATAATTTCCAGATTTGATTTATTCATAAATAAGAGCTTAGACACTTGCAGAGTAAGTGCCATAAATCTTTCTAGACCTATAACATTCCCCCCCTTCACCTCCCTAGTTTTTTGTTTGTTTGTTTTGAGATGGAGTTTTGCTCTTGTCACCCAGGCTAGCGTGCAATGGTGCAATCTTGGCTCACTGCAACCTCTGCCTCCCAGATTCAAGCGATTCTCCTGCCTCAGCCTCCCCAGTAGCTGGGATTACAGGCACCGGCTACCACGCCCAGCTAATTTTTGTATTTTTAGTGGAGACAGGGTTTCGCCGTGTAGGCCAGGCTGGTCTCAAACTCCTGACCTCAAATGATCCACCCGCCTCAGCGTCCCAAAGTGCTGGGTTTACAGGCATGAGCCACCATGCCCAGCCCTCCTAGTCTTTTATAGTTGTCTTATCCACCCTAACTTAGCAGCAGTTCGTCTTCATTTTTCCAAAACTCTCTACTTATAGAAACAACAGCTCTTTTCTTATGCACAGGTATTTCATTAATTTACATAATATGTAATTAAGTTACATAAGTGCAATAATGAGTACAGCTGACATAAACAGGTTTGGCAACAAATGCAAATGGCCTCTTGGTAAATATATAGCCTAACTGTTGAGAACAGAAATAGGTTGATAAACTAGAGTAGCCAACTGAGGTTTTGCATGCTGAGGGCATTGGTCTAGATGCTTTAGCAAAGAAATGGAGAGTATGGGGTTAGGTAAATCAGGGCCTTGGTTTAAGTGGAGCTCAGTTAATAGCGCATCTACCATCTTCAAAAGAGGCAAGGCAAATGACAAAACTAATGGATGTGAATATGGACATAACCTCCTGAGAAATAGCTTAACATTAATAGCGAACCGAATTCCTTAGTATTAGTAAGTGAAAACTTAAAAATTGTATATGCCCTGTGACCCAACTATCGTACTTAGGGATCTGTTTTACAGAACAATCAGATGTTAGGTTATTATCCAGTAGAGTGAAAAGTAGCCAATGTCAACAAGAGGAAAATAGTTATGGAACAGGTAGACAGATAGGCTACTATGTAGCCCTTTAAAATCATGTTGATGAGGAATGTTTAAAGATTGGGAAAATACACATGATATATACATAGAAAAAGTAGTATATAAAATTGGATGATGTAACTCGAACTTATAAACTATATACACAGATGCAAAAATACAGGGCATATAGTGTTCACATTAATGATCTCTGGTTAATGAGACTATATGTGAATTTCATTTGCATTGTGCTTTCCTGTTTTTCCAGTGTCTAGAAAGAAGAGGCAGTGGCTGCCCTGCAGGTCTGTTGGCCAGTGTGCACTGAGTGCAGGCTGCCTCGGCCTTGCAGTCCAGTGACTGCACCTGCCGAGGCTCCGAGGCTCAGGCAGTACGGCTGTTTCTAGAGCATGGGGAAACAGTGGCGCCTTGCATGAGGGACACCCATTTTTGTAGCTTGGCTCCCAGGCCTCACTCCCCTGCACAGCAGCACTCACAGGACCTTTGCTGTCTGGATGAGTTGTCCCCAGCATTTGCCACTTTGCCTCAGAAGTCTGGGAATATTCATCCAAACTCTTCTTCAGTGCCTGTGACTCCTAAATATTGACCCACTTTGCAGAAATTTCAAGTACTTAACACTTCCAGGTTTCAACAGAGAGGTTGGGTCTTTCTGGGCATCCAGGTCTATGGTCAGTCTCTCAAATGTGAAGACTCTGAAACCAGACAGTCCAAGTTCAAATTCCACCTCTGCCACCTACTAGCTGTGAGACCTTGGGCAAGATACTTAACCTCTCTGTGCCTGGCTTCCTTGCCTGTAGAATGGGGATAATAATAGTACCTATCATAGGGTTGATGTGACAATTAAGAGTTGACTATAAAGCACTTGCAACTGTTTGTATACACGGCAGCTACTCTAAGTGTTAGCTGCTGCTGCTGCTGTTACTACCCTTTTTATCATTACTGGTGATGCATACAGTGTGAAGCAAAGCTGTATCTTTATGGTTACTTTTTGCCACCTGGAGTTAAGTCCTATGGTAGTGGTCTTACATTTCAGTGTGCGTAACAGTCATCCTGCTGACTCTGTTGAAATGCAGATTCCTAGGCCCTTACAGCATGCGATCCAGAAATCTGCATTTTTAGTCATCAACCACATTTTATTACAGTTGGATGGGAAGATGAGGCTGAATGTACTGCCCTTGTAGGCTGAGATACTCTCACCAGAAGGTGACAGCACTTCTCCATCCCCCAAGTTCTTGCTTTACCTCGGCCGGACAGTGCTGGTCACTGGGAGTCTGTGAAATGTGTGTGACCCAGGACTGACTTTCTAGTATTCACCCAGGACTTTGGTAAAGAAAAGTCAAAAACCTCAGAACTTGGGCCACCTCAAACCTCAAACGTCTTCTCTCTCATTGGCCTTACTGTGATGAAATGATGAACACGGTGGCTTTCTGGTGAAACATCAGCTCTGTTTTCTGGCTGTGCAAGCCCAAACTCCTGGCTTCTGAGTTCAGAGATTGACCTGGAGCATCTGGTTATTTACTGATGAAGAGACCTGCAGCTATTTTAATCCAGTGAGGCTCAGATGTCCCCACAAGCAGGCTCTCCCACTGTTTGCTTTATGGATTTGTTCAGAATCTCCTTTCCTCGTTTCCTGTCTTGAAAGTTACGGCCCAATTACGTTATCAGAATGTGTAATGGAAAGTGATTTCACACATCTGGCCATTTTATCACCAGGTTGCATTGACTAAAATGTTTCTTAAATACCAAAACACAGGAGAAAATGGATTAGATGAAGCAGAATGGAGGGCCTCAGTTCTATTCACAATGTAGTGGGGGCTCAAAAGGAGAAAGTTTTTTGTTTTTTTTTTCCTTCCTAGTTGTCACTTAGCAGCTTCAGGAGGAATCCCTCTTTTAGGGTCTTTTTTCGTTTTGACTTTTGGGGGCTTGGATTTAATGAGCATGTCTCCTTGCCTTGCACAGTAGGTCCAGAAAGGTATCTTTAAGATCTTGAAAGTGAAACTTGTCGGGTATTGCTATGAAATCTGCCACAAATGCATCTTCCTGGTGCTCTTAGATATGAAAAATAGAAATACGATTAATCACCTAACAGTCCACAGGAGCCTCTATATCTGATATCCTGTTAAAGAAACAGCCCAGCACAGTGACAGGCTCTAGAAACCTAGATGCACCCCTGACCAAATGATAACCAGATTGCAGTTGCCATTGTGGGCAATTTCCCAGGGATTCAGCCCTTGACCAGTGCTTCCCAACCTTTTTCAGAATAAAGATCCATTTTTAACATCAAAATTGTGTGAGACCCCACAGAGAGTAGTTGTGCCTTTATTATTAACGTAAATTATATTAAATGAGTTAATAAACATAATGGTCAAAAGCTGCTATGAGAACTCAGTGACACTTTAAAATGAATTTGTATTTTATCAATCACAATAGAATTTACATAATAATATGAACTAACACTTATAGAGTACTCCCTATATGCTGGGTGCTGCTCCATTTAGCTTTATTTATTTCTACAACAACTCTAAGAAGAAGGTACTACTATTAGCTCCATTTTACAGTTGGCAAAATTGAGGCACAGAGAAGTTAAGTAACTTGCCCAAGGTCACCTAGTTAGAAAGTGGCAGAGCTGGGATTTAAACCCAGGTAACTGGCTGCAGAATTCTAAGCACTTCACCACTATGCTTCAAAAACATACACACACACAGATACACATACATCTCACTCAGACCACAGGTGTTATTTGAGGGGAGATTTACAAACACTTTGCATTAAATAACTGTGTGACTCTTTTTCTTCCCCTTCCCCAAGACAGATTGGAAACCACTTTCTTGGGTTTTTAACCCTTCATTTCATTAAAATTTAGACATACAGCTTAAAGCCAGGTATGTGTGTGTATAACTATATGTGTGAATGTGCACATGTATACATATATACCAATGCACATGTGAGTATATGCATGTATGTATATATAAGCTTTTATTTTTATCTTATCACAAAACTATGGAATCTTCTGTGTGTGTGTGTGTGTGTGTGTGTGTGTGTGTGTATGTATGTATGTATGTGTGTATATATATATATATATATATATATATATATTTGTTTTGTTTTGTTTTTGGTTTTGGTACAGAGTCTTGCTCTGTTGCCCAGGCTGGAGTGCAGTGACGCTATCTCAGCTCACTGCAACTTCCACCTCCTGGGCTCAAGTAATCCTCCCAACTCAGCCTCCCAAGTAGCTGGGACTACAGGCACATGCCACCACACAGGCTAATTTTTGTGTTTTTTTAGAGGTGAGTTTTTGCCATGTTGCCCAGGTTCATCTCGAACTCCTGAGCTCAAGTGATCCACCCACCTCGGCCTCCCAGTGTTGGGATTACAGGCATGAGTCCCCGTGCCCAGCCTGTATACATTTTCTTCCACTCAACAAACACTGACTTGTTTCCTGTGATGGACTTTGTTCTGTGGTGTCTAGGTTCTTATTATTGTAAATGTTTTTGCACAAACCTGGTCACAAATAGATGTTTCCTAAAAGAGTCTTTTCGTGAATTGACTGAAGATGACTGTGTCAGTAGGCTTATGAAGCACAGGGGATTGAACCTGTCAGACTCCAAAGTCACAAAGTCAGTGGGGATGAAAACGCAGTCTTCCCTCTCCTTAGCTTGATTCTGTGCACAGAGCTCACCATCTGCTAGCCACCTTGGGTGTATGTCCAAGGACGGGGCCTCTAGGTCAGAGCAAATGGATCGCTTGATTTCCGCTTCTCATTAACATGTGAGGAAATCATGCCTTTTTATTATTTAAATTTGGCTTGATGAAAAGTTGCCTACAAATAAAAACTGTAAGTATTTGATAGCACGGTGGTTAAAGTCAGGAGCCAGATGACCTAGATTTAAAGCTTAACTGTGCCCCCTGGGGACTATGACCTTAGGCAAGTTTCTTTTTTTTTTTTTATTATTATTATTATACTTTAGGTTTTAGGGTACATGTGCGCAACGTGCAGGTTTGTTACATATGTATTCATGTGCCATGTTGGTGTGCTGCACCCATTAACTCGTCATTTACATTAGGTATATCTCCTAATGCTATCCCTCCCCCCTCCCCCCACCTCACAACAGGCCCCGGTGTGTGATGTTCCCCTTCCTGTGTCCATGTGTTCTCATTGTTCAATTCCCACCTATGAGTGAGAACATGCGGTGTTTGGTTTTTTGTCCTTGTGATAGTTTGCTGAGAACGATGGTTTCCAGCTTCATCCATGTCCCTACAAAGGACATGAACTCATCATTTTTTATGGCTGCACAGTGTTCCATGGTGTATATGTGCCACATCTTCTTAATCCAGTCTATCATTGTTGGACATTTGGGTTGGTTCCAAGTCTTTGCTATTGTGAATAGTGCTGCAATAAACATACGTGTGCATGTGTCTTTATAGCAGCATGATTTATAATCCTTTGTGTATATAACCAGTAATGGGATGGCTGGGTCAAATGGTATTTCTAGTTCTAGATCCCTGAGGAATTCCCACACTGACTTCCACAATGGTTGAACTAGTTCCGTTTCTTAACCACTCTGTGCCTCCGTCCCCCATCTGTAATGTGGAGATAACAGCAGAACCTACCCCACAGGGTCTCCGTGAGAATGAAATGAGAGAATATACGTAAAGCACTTAGAACAGGGCGAGGCTTACATAGGACACAGGTAAGTCCTATGTAAGTATTTGTTATAATTCTTTTCATTTAGATTTACAAAGACAGAAAGCAATAACATTCAAGTAAGAAATGGTATCTGAAATACCAAGATGGCCTGAGCCAATTGATGGCAGAGACATGATTTGAGCTTAAAGTCATAAGGGCCATGACAGGATCAATCGCATAACTCAACACTAAGGAGTTATTTTTGACACTTAAAGAACAGATCAGCTGGGTGTGGTGGCTCACACCTGTAATCCCAGCACTTTGGGAGGCCAAGGTAGCAGATCACTCGAGGTCAGGAGTTCAAGACCAGCCTGGCCAACATGGTAAAATCCCGTCTTAGCCAGGCATGGTGACTCACACCTGTAATCCCAGCTACTCGGGAGGCTGAGGCATGAGAACCACTTGAACCCGGGAAGCGAAGGTTGCAGTGAGCCTAGATCATGCCATTGCACTCCAGCCTGGGCAATAGAGTGAGACTCCATCTCAAAAACAAAAACAAAAACAAACAAACAAAAACAGATCAAAGGAAGCCACACTTTGGCTGTTGGGAAGTAGGGTCATGGAACCCGCTATTCCAGTAGATGCCAAAACACTGAGCTTTACTTTTAGAATTACAGCACCCAAAGCAGAGAAAACACACCCCCTCGGTGCTTTCCTTTACTTATGGGAGACGTGGAATGCTTTGCACTATTCCAGCAACAAGATTCAGGAGGAACATCGATAAATTGGAGGGAACCACCAGGGCTGCTGTGTGGAAAGGCTGAAGGCCAGAGAAGCAGAGGCACAGGAGGGCAGAAGAGGAAGGCAAAGGAAGGTCTCAGCTCCCTGCAAGTGCCCAGAACCTGCCACACAAGCACAGAGGTGAAAACGGCAGGACCATTTGCTTGAGGAAGTCATGTTCTCACTTGCTCGCTTGCTCCACAGAAGCCCTTTTCACACTGTTCTTTAAAATACAAACAGGTTGCTCTCCTTTGGTGTGAAAGGTTCAGGGAGAGGTGATGATCACAGATGGAGACTATTCATAGCACTTTATGTGAGAAAAGTTAGCGCCTAATTTCCCTTTTGATGCTAATGCTGTAAGAATTGAAGTGAGAGTACAGGTTAGAAATGTATAAAGATGGAAAATAATTAGCTCATTAAATGGAGAGTATACCTAATTGGGGAACTAGAGCTATTTGAGTTTAAATTCTTTACCATCTGGGGGACAACGTGGAAGAAAATCATACCTGCTCAAAAAAAGAAAAAGAGAGTTCTTCGGTACCCTGGAGTAACAGGGTATTATTATACTGAAGGGCTCTTTGGCCCAATTTAAGTTGACTTTCTCTCTTTCTTGTTTAAGCATTTTTGTGAGTGAGCAGGAGGGCTTACTGCAGAGGGCTGTACTGGGCATCAGAGATGAACCAAGGACAGTCATTGCCCTTGGGTTCTTCTCAGTGGTGAAGGTGACAAATAGAACTGCAAACCATTGCCTGAATTAAATGACTGTCTGCCAGACTTGTGAACAAAATGGTGTTAGGAAGGATGCAGGCTGTCCTCTCTTGAGGGCACTGAAGAAGTTTCCCTGGAGGAGAAAAAAAAAAAAAAAATTGCAAGCAAAGAGCACTTTAAAAATTTTTTCTTTAAAATTTTTTTGACCAAAAAATATATGTGGTGTACATGTTCCAATATAAGTATACATTAGGGAATGGCTAAATCAAGCTAATTAACATATGCAGGAGTTCATGTACTTAAGACCCTCATCGCATAACAAATACAAAAATCGACTCAAAATGGATGAAGACTTAAAAGTAAGATCTGAAACTGTGAAACTACTAGAAGAAAACAGAGAAAGAGCTCCATAACATCAGTCTCTGCAATTTTTTTTTTTTTTTTGGAGATGGCCCTAAAAGCACAGGCAACAAAAACAAAATAGAGAAAAGGATTACACCCAATTAAAATGCTTCTGCACAGCCAAGGAAACAATCAACAGTGTGAAGAGACAACCTATGGAATGGGAGAAAATATTTGCAAGCCATCCATCTGATAAGGGGGCTTATATGGAAGCCTACACAAGGAGTTCCTGTATAAAGAACTCAAATGGCTCAGAGCAAGGGTGCCCAGGGCCAGCTCTTCTAGGAGAGAGAGCCCCTTTGATTTAGGATACAGTGGAGGTAGCACCAGACAGTCTGTTTTACTGCACTGGGAGAAGGAGCTGAGTTGAGCAGTTCTTCCTCCCTACTGGTCACGTTTCAAGTCAAAATGATCAACCTTGGTAGAGTGTTGGTACTACAGGGCTATTCAAATAGTTGCTCTTGGAAAAAAAGTAGTACTAACTCATTTAGCCACAAGAATTCTCCAAAAGTACATTTTGCCATTAAGACTACAAGTTAACTTTTTTTTTTTTAAACTCTGCTTAAGTAGTATCACTTTGTGAGTGAATGTAGCCCCTGAACCAGGATGTTGTTTGGGGAGAGAGCTTTGATGATACCAATATTTTAAAATATCAGTGTATTTTTATTGGTGTTCAAAGGCTGATACTATTAAAAATCTGGACCAGAGAGGATTCTCAGTTAATATTTTTGTTTTTAAGTAAAAGAGTTCCTGATGCCCAGGCCACTTGCATGTGGTACCTCCTTGAAGAGGATATCCCGAGAAGCCTCTGGCAGCTCTGTCTAGAACTGCATCGTCCAATATGGCAGCCACATGCAGCTGTGGAGTGCTTGACACATGGCTAGTTCCAATGGAGATGTGTTGAAAATAGATACCATATACCATATAGTGAAGACTTAGTACATTAAAACTGAATATCTTATCGATAAATGTTTGTATTGCTTGTTTATTGAAGTAACACTATTTTGACCTTATTTGGTTAAATTAAATACATTATTCAAATCAATTTCACCTTTTTATCCTAAAGGTGGCTACTAGAATATATAGAATTACTTATGCGGCTTATGTTTATTTCACAGTTTTAGAACCTTGCGACACATTTGTTTTCACTCACATCCTTTCCTTCAATCCTGGGTTTCTCCCTAAACGCCAGCCCCAGGGTCATCCTTCCTCAGTCTCACCCCAATATTGTGCTGCAGCCAGCTGTTGAGTGCTTTCTCATGTCCCTGTACTTGTGAAAATGCTCTGCATACGGATGAACCCCTAGTGCAATGTCTGACACAATAGATACAAAATAAAAGTTGAGTAAATAAGTGAATACTAGCTCTCTGTAGCTCACCTATTTCTTTATAAAGAAACGAAGTACAGAAAGTTAATATGGCATCGAGGTTACTTCTAAAAGTGTGGACCATAGGCTGTTGGCATAAGAATCACCCAGAACGCTTGTAAAAATTAAGATTTACTCCAGACTAAAAGGTTCAGTCAGGAGATGTTAGGTTATGCTGCAGTGACAAAATTTCACTGGCTTAACAGCAGGTTTAACTCTCGGTCACTCTGTGTCCACTGCGGGCCCTGGGATACTCCCCAGGAAAACTGATAGTTCAGGTTAGACCTCCATATCAGCAAGTGGGATCCATCAGCAAGCTGGGTACTCCCGCCTAGTTATGCGTTACTTGTCAGTGCTCACATTTCATTCTCTGAAACAACTCATATGGCCATACCTAGCTCCAAGGAGACCGGGAAGGCCTCTATATACCTAGAAATAGAGGTGAGTGTACACTGGTAAGCAATGGGAATGTCTGCTTCATAGGCCAAATGCAAATCTCAGAGGTAGGGCCTGGGGATCTGCATTTTTAACTCCCCTAGTGATTCATATTCACTGTAAGTTTGAGGACCATTGAGTAGAACTAGAGTTCTCAACTATGGCTGCACGTTAGAATTACCTGGGGAGTTTTAAAAACACTAGTGTCCTGGCCCCACCCCAGAGATTCTAATTTACAGGGCCTGGGGATGGCATCCAGGCATCAGTAATTTTTAAAACCTCCCCCAGAGATTCTAGTATGCAGCCAGGGTTGAAAACCACAAGTGTAGGGGAAAAAGAGGGAAGGACTCTTGAATCCTGACTCTAACACAGACCGAATCTGGTTTTGCATGTCTGTTGAAGGCAGTAAAGATCAAATGAATGTGAAAGCATTTGTCAACTATAATATAGAACAAATACTGGCCATTATACACTGGCAGGTGTGGACTTTTATGCAAACTAGATCTGTGCAAGCTGTCATATATGTATGACATGATCTCACTGCCACACACAAAACCAGGAGAGGAGGGGCAGCATCCACCACACCTTTGCACCTGCCACCTTTTACAGTCAGTAAATGGGTGGTCCCTTCTACCTCCCCTCCCCTCCACTTAACTTGATGATAAAGGGGATAAAGAGAAGAAAAAACTCATTCCTTGTCTTGATTTTTTTCTCTCCAGCCTGTTCCAAAACCCTTAGCCCAAGCCCCGTTGCCCTTACTCTCTGTTAATCTGAAACTGGTGCCTCAAACCTCTGGTCCTCTGCAACCTCATCTCCTCCTCTTCCTGCAGCCTATTTCCCACCTGCCACCCTAGTCCCATGCCAGGAAAGGCAGGGCCCTGGGGGAGCCCCAAGCCTGCTGGCTGATGGTTTGAACAGCATAAGGAATCCATATTCTCAGAAAATTTGTGCCCAACATTGTCCCTGGTGGTATTGTTAAGAATGGCAGATTTAGCAGCACTCTGTTTAAGAGGTGAGGTATGCAATAGGTAAGACCAGCTTTTATGAGCTGCTCCAGCTCTTTCACCCACTTTTTGTAATATTCTGTTTCCTGTGGATTCTGAGATCTCACCAAATGATTTACAAACAAGCTCTTGGAATGCTACTGTTATGTAAACTGGAAATTGTACCAACAGTCAGTTTTCTTTGGTTATAAAAATACCACATTGGCTTTCTTCCATTGGCAGAGCTAAGAGTTAATGCTGGAATAAGCTGTTTTTAGTTATTTTTCCTCTTGTATCTAACAATTTTCAAGGCAGAACAATGCAAGAGTACCTCAAGTAAATAACTGTAACACCTTTTGTGAAAATACAGATTTGCGCATTTGATATGAATTAGCTTTAAAAAATGATGGAAAGAATTGCTTAGCCTGGATAGCTGTGACATAGGTTCTGTAAAATGATTCTTACTGGTCAGGCTGACATGGCCAAGGTTCTTGGCAGTGGAAGTTTTATGTCAAGCAGCAGATCACAGGCCACCACTGTCTTTTCAAAACCTGGAGGCCACTTTCTCTTATCCTACCCACCAGCCTGGCCCTCCTTTCTACAGCTGGTTCTTAATCAGAAGTTAGCAGGGCTGGGATGCAATGTGCCCAAAGGAGAAGATGCTCAAGGACCTCAGCTCCTTGTAGGCAGTGACCACTGGTGCAGGCTTTTCTTATTTCAGTGCCTCCCATATAGTAGGTGAAGAAAGTGCTTTTCATTATTTTGTGCATGGGGTTAGGTCTGGTTGTGGACCTTGGAGATTCACTGAATTGAACAGAAATGCTTAGCAATCTTAAAATGAGCCTCCTAAGTTAAGATCTATGTCATATACTTTGTTGCAAAGAAAATAGTTAAAAATGTGTGTAAGCTTCTGGTTTAAATGGCAAACCCAATACTGCATCTCTCATATCAACAGCTACAAGAACATACATAGTAACATACTCTCAGAGTAAAGTCCAAGCTCTCCATTGCCCTGCAGAGCTCTGCCGGGTGCAACACCCATTCCCACTCCATCTGTAGCTCATACGTCTTTCTTCCTTACTTTCTATGCTCCGGTTCCCTGGTCTCCTTTCTTTTTCCCAGATGTATCATGTCCTTCTCTAACTTCTAGGCTTTGCACTTGCTCCTCCTTCTGCCTGGAATGCTCTTTCCCCAGTTTTTCCAGTGGCTGACTCATTCATGTCCTTCGGGTCTCAGATGTGCTTCACCATTTCAGAGAAGTTTTCCCTGCATGGTGATTCTGGCAGTAGCTCTTCATCACATCTCTGTGCATTTCCTTAGTAGCACCCAGTGCTGTCTATAATGATTTCGTTTGTTTATTTACTTATTTGCCTGCCTCCCCCATTAGACTTAAGTTCCTTGAGGGCAGGGACCTTGTCT
This sequence comes from Homo sapiens, assembly GCF_000001405.40. Classification (NCBI taxonomy): domain Eukaryota; kingdom Metazoa; phylum Chordata; class Mammalia; order Primates; family Hominidae; genus Homo; species Homo sapiens. The sequence continues at coordinate 70,496,809 of NC_000002.12, read as the reverse complement.
GTCTAGTTAATTAATGGATCCCCAGTACCCAGCACAGTGCATGACGCATACAAGACACTTGATATTTTGTTGAGTGAGTAAATGAATGAAGGAAGTAAAGAAGGAAGGAACACTATGCACCATACCAAGTGCTTTATATCACCCATTTTGCCTTTATAACATTCCCTATTGATTCATGGGGAAACTGAGCCCCAGAGAGTTTCAGTGACTTGCCCAAGGTCAGAATTAGTAAGTCACAAAGAGCCAATATTTGCTCTCAGGTTTGTCTGCCTATAAAGGTTTGTGCCAGAGTCAGGTCTGAGGTTATGGTTCAATATTAAGTTTTTGCCTCTTTCTGTATCTTCATAGGTATAATAGCATGAAGTATTCTGTTTTTTTTTCCCTGTGGCTCAAAATTTTTTGTCCATGGCCTTTGAAATAGGTCCTTTTCTGCTATTTTCTGCAAAAGAACTTGGTGGTAACAAGAAAGGGTTCTGGTAGAAGCATATTTTGGAGGGAGCTGTGGAGATCTGCCTTGAGTGTGAAGATTACGAATGACTCTTATTTGAGAAGCAATATGTGTCTTAAAGTCTCATTTTTAAAAAACAATAAAAATAATTTATGGCAGCAACTGGAAAGCAGTGTCCAAGCTTCAGATAACAGTGATACTGCTCTGGTAACACCACCTCCTTCCCCCAGTCTCGGGGCCTTCAGGTTCACACATGTGGGTATGGCAGCAGCTTTGCAGTATTCAGCTGAGATCTCCACGGCAGCCAGGCTCCTCAGTGCTCAGGAGCCTCTGGTTGGAAAAGAGATAAATCACTATTTCTACAAATTATATGAGTATATATCAAGGAAGCACGCACAAACTGCCACAAATGCCTATTAGAAATCTTAAAAGTAGCCAGTAGGGTGCAAGTAAGAAAACAGTCAGTAGTTTTCCTATAAACCATCAATAACCAATTAAAAATATACTGAGCAGGAGGGGAAAATGGGGAATTATTATACTATTCAAACGGTAGAATGTTCCAGTTATGCAAGATGAAAAACTTTATTGATCTGCTGTACAACATTGTGCTTATAGTTAATGATATTATACACTTAAAAGAATCTCCCTCAAATAACAATAATCATAGTAACAATAAAAAATATACTGGAGAGAATCACCTTCAAAATAGTTGTAAAATATAGACTATAGACCAAGTAGAAATAATCTTTAAAAGATGTGTCAGAATCTGTTTGAAGAATACCATAAAATTTCCTTTTAAGGTAATTTATTTGACTAATAGAGAGACCTGTGCCCCTGGGAAAGTAAAAGGTTATAGAACTGTTCTTCCCATTATTACTTTAGAAACCCAAGGCAGTTCTAGTTACTCTTTCCACAAGATTAGGATGAATAAGGGGGAACTTAACTAAATGATTCTAAAGTTCACCTTTAAGGCACAAGAAAATGCTCATGTAAAATGTGGAGGGATTTGTACCTCCAAATATTAATAAACATTAAAACACTGAAATAATTAAAACATTGCAACACTGGGACAAGAATAGACACATTCATGAGCCAGCATGGCAAGCTCCAAAAGAAACCCAGTTATGCATAAGCTGACATGTGATAGTAGTGGCATTTCACATCCATAGGGAAGGAGCGGACCATGTCACAAATTATTCTGAGATGGTAGGTTAAACATTTAAAAAGAATCTAGATCTAAAAACGTAATGACATTCTAAAATAAGTTCTAGGTGATTGAAATACTTTTTAAATGGAAGCATAAAATTTCTCCAAGGAAATAAGTGGATATTTATATAGCTTACACAAAAGGAGGTCTAATCAGAGCATTGAAAACAGAAACCATAAAGGAAAATAGAGACATAAAAATTATAATTTTCTGAACATCTCCTGAAAACCACTATAAATAAAATCCGTATTTGCTAGTGTTTGAATCCTAAAGAGGATTTATATCCTTAATATGTAAAATAAACTCACACACCAATAACAAAAATTTTAACACATCAATAAGAGAATAAGCAAATTATTGGAATAGGCAAGTCACAAAAGAAAAACTACATACGGCCAATAAACATAGAAAAGATGTCCAGCCTTACTAGTCATCAAAGAGATGCAAATTAATGAAATATCATTTTCATTGGTCAAATTAGTGAAGATAAAAATAAGAGCTGCGTACAAAGCAGATAAGGTCGGAGACTTATTGGGTATATAAATTGTACAACATTTATGAGAGCCATTTGGTAATACTTATCATAAGGCTGAAAAATAAGCCCTGCTTATCTGTTGACCCAGAAATAACACTTCTAAAAATTTATCCTAAGGAAATAAGCATGGGTGGATTTGTGCCAAAACTTAGCTTAGTGTTCATTGCAGCCAGATACTTATCAGGAAAACTCCAAGCACAGACAGATGATTGAACAAACAGAAGGAAATTATTTTCATTTGGTGCAGAAGGCTGAATTGTGGTCCCCCAAAGATGTCCAACTCATATTCTCCAGAAACTCTGACTATGCTACCTTACATGGCAAAGGGGACTTTGCAGGTGGGGTTAAGGACCTTGAAATGGGAAGAGTATCTTGGATTATCTGAGTGGGCCCAGTATAACCACAAGACCTTTATAAGAGGATGGGAAGAGGTTCACAAACAGAAGAGAAGATGTGTTGAGGGAAGCAGAGCTTGGAGTGATGCAGCCTCAAGCCAGAGGATTCAAGCAGATTCTAGAAGGTGGAAAAGATGAAACAGATTCTCCCCTACAATCTCCAGAGGGAACCATCCCTCCTGGTGATGACACTTTGAGTTTATCCCCATAAGACTCATTTCAGACTTCTGACATCCAGAAATGTGAGATAATGTGGGTGATTTTAAGCCACTAAATTTGTGGTAATCTGTTATAGCAGCAATGGGAAACTAATGCATTTGGAAAAGGAGGAAAAATCAAATTTGTACTAATGTAGAGCGTATACACGAGTTGGTCCTGAGTGGGAAGTTCAGAGGCCTAGATTCTAGTCCCAACCTTAGGAAGTCACCTCTTTAGAGCTCCTTTTCTTCATCACTAAGGTTCCCTTCTTGCTCTAAAGTTCTGTTCCTCCTTAAGCATTTGTTAACCATCATTAGGTATGTCATTGTTATGGCACTGGTAAGTATGGGTGAGGCTGCCGAGTAGATTTTAGTTTATTTGTTTTAAAAGCTGGCTACACTGTTGTTAGCATTTTCCTTTTTGGGGTGGGTGCTTGGGTGAATAGTGTGTTCTCATATGGGGGATTCTGGAACATTTCAGAGGGTACTGTGGAGGCAAACACAGAGGTTAGAAGCCATCAGAACCAAAACAAATCGGGGGTGGAGGCCTCACAGAGTCTCCCATGGTGGTCCTAGGTCTTTCTGCAAAGATGTCCTGAAAGATCCCTCCTACCCAGACTCCTATGCTAAAATCACTGCAAAATTTTGTACATACAGAATAAGAAGTTTGAAGCTATAGTGTCACGTCAAGGCCATGCAGTGGAACAGCCCAGGTTCCCCCGGTCACTTGTCCAGAAGGGAAGGTGGGCCTCCTGAGTCTCCTCACATGCTCTCTGGCCCATAGAAAGCCGCAGTCAGTGCTGCTGAAGGAAACTGAAATGTGAATGGTGAGAGTTACTGCTTGATACTACAGGGTATATGGCATGTTTAATAACTTGGTACGTGGAGCATTTGGGTTTTATCATGTACATTCTTTCATCTATATATAAGCACAGGAACCATAATCAATATTCATTACCATTTGAGATTGAATATATGAAAGATAAATATATACATGTAGTTTTCATATTTGTATATGAGCCTATAGGGAATGAGGGCTACATTTTAAAATTTTTAAGTGAGAATGAGTTTTAAAATCAGAATGAATTAGTCTTATAACCATTGGACACAAATTGCTATAGAATTTAGCATTCTAACTAAATGTAAAGTTTTTTTTAATCAGGGAATAACATGAAAGGCACCTTTGTTTTTCAGAGCACATTTGAAGCACAATTGGTGATTAAGAAACATGTAAAAGGGTCGTAGTTATGACTTGTTAACCCAACATTTGGAAAAGTTGTGAAATGGAACCTGGGTTTTGAAGTTAAAGATGAGAATATGGAAAACCCCTACTTTACACGAATTCAGTTCAATAATTAAAAGGGATGTCCAGAAACATCAAGGTGAACAAAGCCTCATACAGTGAGAGAAGAAAACAGAAGCCTGGGCCTGAATCACCAGACAGTCGTGGCGCTCTGGAATGGCCCTGGTGCCAACCAGCAGAGAGCATCCTTAGACAAGTCACTTAACCTCTTGCTTCTGTTTCCTTGTCTATGAAATGGGAAAATAATGCTTGTTTGCCTGGCGATGGTGAGAAATGGGGCATGCAGCCACTCATCTTGTCCACACTGGACCTCAAGGGACCACAGTCCAGCTGAGAAGATGTCAGGGCCATGCTCGATTGACCATGATCCAAGCCAGAGCCCATTAATTCCTGCTCTAGAGTCCTCTCCTCTGGGCTCCACCTTCACCAGGTGTGGAGAAGGAAATGGCGCATTCAAGTATCTGTTAAGGTGCAATTATAGGTTATGGGGTAGCTCGCATCAATATAGGACAAGCTTGCTCTCTCTTCTTCCCTTCCCAAGCCCTGGCTATGTCAGGTCCCAAAGTTTTGTCTATATTCTTACCTTCCACCATTTCTTCCCTTCTTGATACTTTTTCCTCTCCCTGTATCATCATAAATCTTAGACCTCATGCAGGTCTAAGATCCTGTGAATATAAGGCATGACTTGCTCATGGTTTTTCTTTTCTGCAGCATCTAGCCAAGTATTCCTGCACAAGGAAAGAGCTAAGTTAATATTTGGTAAGAAATTTAAAAAATGTAGAATTGAAGTTCTCACCTACAAGAAGCTGGAGATGTGCCATTGTGCAGCTCATTTGGTGGGTTTTATGCACTCTTACTCTATGATGTGTGGAGTGCTGCCCTGGGACTTCCCAAGGGATGAGGGTAGGAAACTGACAGAGCCATGGAATCTTGCACAGGGCAGGGAAGCCATATGTGAGCCTTTCCTTAGGGGGCCAGAGGACAGCAAAAAGTGTCTTTTGCTCATAAAGGAAGAGCCCTTCAAAGAATAAAGGCAGTGCCAACAGTCATGTGCATGGGACCCTGTTATGCCACTGTCTCCGGGGAAGGGGCATGGCTGGCTGGGAACAGGGTAAGAGGGAGACTTGACATTGTACACTTTCATACTTTTTGAATTTTCAAAAAGATAAAGGGAATGAACTTTTTTAAAAACCAAGTTTCATATAGGCCAGTTCACAATCCAGAGACTCATGGAAGCACAGGTGGGCTTTGGTGGAGCCATCTTGAGTGGAGTGGGCTTTCCTTGCCTGGTGTGGTATGGATGACTTCTGAATCATACCAAGCTGAAAACTTTGGTTTGGGTTGGGAGGGTTTTGGGCCCCCCACACTTTACTGAACTGAAAGCCACTGGTCCTGGCCAACCTCCCCACACCTTATTGTTGCCATGCCCCAACATGGGTTTGTCCTGGGAGACCCCATTCCAACCCCATCCCTGATACTACATACCTGGCTGCTGAATAGCCTGAAGGAAGCACCATCCTGAACCTCCACTCATTGTCCTCAGACCCAATCTCAGCAAACTTGCTGGGTTTCTGGTGGGGCCATAGGAGCTGACAGTGCCTTCTTAATAGGAGTTCAATTAAAGGTAGATGGGTAGGTGGGTGGGTGAACTCTGTGCTGCCTCTGGGCTTGGACTACAGAATGCTGTCAGTTTTTCTGTGATCAATTCCCCACCGAATATCGTGATATCCTATATAAAACCTGATCTGCTTGGGGAAACCTGAACCAAGAGCCACTTTCTATTTTTCTGAGTCAATTTTATGAATGGCTTGAATTGAATGGAAAGGCACTAATTGGTCCACAGACATATCTACACTTTATGTTTTGTAAGCGGACTCCAGGACCAGATAAACAAAAAAAGCATGGGAAGCACCATAAGCTGAGACTTGTCTTTGGAGCTGACATCCTGCCTAGGTGGCTAGAACGTTAGGGCAGATGTCTTTTCATAACTCACCTATGAGTTGAAAGCAAAATAAGGCAGGAAGTTAGAGAGAGACCAATTCATACCCCCTTGATTATTTACTCAACATGATGCTGAAAGACATTTGTGTTTTTTGGAAGTTCTATCCCCTGGCAGTGAAACAAAACCTCCTTTCTAAGCGGGAAAGATTGATGTCCAACTGCATTAAAGGAGTGTGTGAGTAAAAGGAAACTCTGTATTCTATAAGTGAACACAAGAACTTCCACTGTACTTACGTAACTGCAGTGCAAAGCGCATTATCCGACTGAAATTTCCAGTGCTAAAGGAAAATTGTGCTAAGGCTGAAGCACAAAAATGTTCCCATTTGCCATCATTTGAAAATTACTATATGAGGAGGTTTTGTTTTAATTAGTCACAAGGTGGAAAGAAGATGGGAGAGAGAATATCTTATCTTTTACCTTCTCTGAATAGTGCAATTCGTTGTTATTTTCTCAAGTGCATCATTTATTGACACTATATGGTAAAGACATCAGATTGGTGGTTATATGTTCAATTTATTTTCAATAAATTTTGCTACAGTTGTTTATAAACTTTCTATGATTCTATTTATAGTCCAGGAAGGGATTTCTCATTTTTTCTTTTAATCTATTTGTGTGTATACTAGACCAGTTGTTCTCAAACTTTGCTATATGTTACAATCACCTGAAGAGTTTTTAAAAATCCCATTGTCCTGGCTGCACCCCATAACAATTAAATCATTATCTCTGGGTGTGGGGGTGGGCCCTGGCATGGGTACTTTTCCAAGGTGACTGCAATGCGTGTGGAAGATTGAAAGGCGGTAAACCAGAGCTACATATCTCAGCCTACAATGTGTGGAGGACTCTCCTGGGGGCCTGGTTAAAATGCAGATTCAGATTCAGTGGCTCAGGGGTGAGGCCTGACACTCTGCATTTCTAACAAGCTCCCAGGTAGCACCAGTGGCACTTGTCTGTGGACCACATTTTGAACAGCAAGTTCCTAGACTATAAAAGAGAACCTATAGCTAGACCCTACATGGTAGACACAGTGAGTATAAAATGCCACACAGGTTCTCACTTGTCCCTTGACTGCTTTGTAAACAAACAGCAAAGCCACCACAGCCTTTATCCTCCTTTTCCTGTGAGGATTTTTGTATTTTATTTGTAAGCACCGAAGGAAAAGCCCCTCTCTCAGACATTGTCTGATGGTTTTCTTGTCCTTGAGCACATCAGTGACCCCTGAGTTGGAGACTGGGGCGCCCCCGCCTTGAATGGGTGGCAACCGTGTGATTCTCTGCCCAGCGGCTCACCGTTGTGGGAACATTCCCCAGGCAGCCCAGAACATCCTGGTCTTGTGCTTCGTCTGGTGTTGAGAGATTTTAGTAAACACTGCGTGGGAAGAGGAATGAAATAGGGAGAGAATGAGGTTAAGGAATGGGTGTGTGAAACTCCAGGTTGAGCGAAGCCAGGGTGCCTCTGAGCAGCATTCCAACGCCCACCTTTTTCTAACAGCTGGTGGGAGAAGGCGCTCACCTGCCCAGGGAGCCTCTGCCTGTGGCACAGAGCCAGGCACCCTCTCCCCAGGAACAGACAGGCAGCACAGTTTACAGAGGAGTAAACTGAGACCCAGGGATGGGAAGGACTTGGCCAAAGTCATCTAGAGTGAGTGTGACAGAGCTGCTACTGGGGCCCGTGCTGCTGACTCGGAATCTTTTGTGCCATCTTTCCAGCCCTGGAACACCCTTCCAGCCTCCAATGTATGGTATTATAGCAGGGCTTGGTGGCTGGAGGCCTTTCCTTTTTCTGTCAGGGATGGTTAAAAGTAAGCTGACGGTGTTACAGAGAAATAATAAATCCAGCAGTGGTGGTTGTATGCAGGACTTCCATGGAACTTTACTGCAGGGTGCATCACAGAAATGCGAATAAATGGAGAAGCATAGCACATTTGTGACTAGGAAAACTCCTTGTTGTAAATGGGCCAGTTATCTCTAACTTGATGTATAATTATAATGTCAGTCCTCTAACGGTTTGGATATGGGGAAGAGAACTTATAAATGATTCTAACGGTCACCTGGAAAAACAAACGGGAGAGTATTCAAAGTGTTTTCAAAAAAATGAGGGGTAGGGGCAAGGGAAGATGACAAATTTGTAAATTTGTACTGCCAGATATTAAACATATTGCAAGGTTACAGTAAATGCTTTGGTGCTGGTACAGAAACAGAATCTCAGTAGAACTAAGTAGAAAGACTGAAAGTGAGTTATTAGCCTATGATAAAGGTAACATTTCAAATCAATAAGGAGATGATAAACTGTTCAACAAATGGAGTTAGGATAATTGGTTGGCTGTTTAGAAAATAATGAAATACGTCTTATGCACTAAATATAGATGGTTTAGAATTAAATATAAGCAATAAAATAATGGAAGGAAGTGTAGGTAAATATTTATATAATCTTAAGAAAGGGAAGGCCTCTAATAATGTCAGGGTGACTTCTGCATAAGCAAAAGGAAGACACAAACCACAAATTATTTGTAACATATATAACGGGATACAGAGTTATTAGTATTTTAAAGAGTACTTTCAAATAGACAAGAAAGAATGTATCACTAGAAAAGTAGGCAAAAGATATAAACAGCTAATTAACCAAAGTTGAAATACAAATGTTAATAATCATATGAAAAAAATCTACATCAAGAAATTAAGAAAATGCAGTTAACATAAGAGATTCTTATACATTGCCACGAAATTGACGAGAAGGGAAATGAAAAATATCTAGCATTGGAACGGTTATGAAGAAACACTCATCTCCTCCTCAGGGGAGTGTAAATTGTTACAAATTTCCTGGAATGCAGCTTGATAATGTGTCTCAGAAAAAGGAGCATTCCTTTGCCACACTAATTCTACTCTCAGAAAAATAATCATAAATGTGCGTGAACAAAGATCTATGTAGAAGGATATTCGGTTTCATATAATGTTTCATAATAGTGAGATATTGGGAAGCTATCACAATGCCCAATAAGAGGAGATTGGTTAAACAGTATATATTAGATGAAAACTTCAGCCATCAAAGATTACCATGTCCAGACTAAGCATCCCTAATCCCAAAACCTGAAATCTAAAATCCTCCACAATCTGAACCTCTTTGAGCACCAACATGACACCACAAATGGAAAATTCTACACCTGACCTCATGTGGTCACAGTTAGAATACAGTCAAAACTTTGTTTCATGCCCAAAATTATCTACAATATTATATAAAATTACCTTCAAGATATGTGTATAAGGTATATATGAAACAAATGAATTTTATGTTTAGAGTTGGGTCCCATCCCCAGGATATCTCATATCTCATATATGTATATGCAAATATTCAAAATTTGAAAAAATCCAAAATCCAAAAGACTTCCAATCCCAGGCACTTTGGATAAAGAATACTCAACCTGTAGCATAATACTTAATTGAGTTGGGGAAGTGTTCATGAGTAGTATCGTTTTATTCCCTGTTGGGCACACAGAACACAAAATAAAGACAATATTTATATTCCAAAGTTTTAATAGTGGTTATCTGTGAATGGCTTTTGCATGCTTTGAGTTTATTCTTTCTTTGTACTCTTCTGTTCTCTCAAGTTTTCTCTCTTAAACATGTATTGCTTTTGCAATTTCAAAAGTGATTAAAAACAAGAAATAGGGCTGGGCGCAGTGGCACATGCCTGTAATCCTAGCACTTTGGGAGGCCGAGGCGGGCAGATCACGAGGTCAGGAGATCGAGACCATCCTGGCTAACACAGTGAAACCCCATCTCTACTAAAAATACAAAAATTAGCTGGGTGTGGTGGCGGGCTTCTGTAGTCCCAGCTACTCAGGAGGCTGAGACAGGAGAATGAGTGTGAACCCGGGAGGTGGAGCTTGCAGTGAGCCGAGATCGTGCCACTGCACTCCAGCCTGGGCAACAGAGCAAGACTCTGTCTAAAAAAAAACACCAAGAAATAGGCAGGCATGGTAGCTCACGCCTATAATTCCAGCACTTTAGGGGGCCATGGCAGGCAGATAGCTTGAGCTCAAGAGTTTGATACCAGTCTAGGCAACATGCAAATCCTCATCTCTACAAAAAAACACAAAAAGTAGCCTGGTGTGGTAGCGCGCACCTGTAGTCCCAGCTACTTGGGAGGCAGAGGCAGGAGGATGACTTGAACCCAGGAGGCTGTGTTTGCCTCACTGCACTCCAGCCTGAACAACAAAGTGAGACCCTGTCTCAAAAAAAAAGACAAACAACAACAACAAACAAACAAAAAACACAAGAAATGAATAAAGGCAGGGGGTGCAATTATAAGGATCTTGTTGCAATTTGCTTAGATGTTTTTGAGAGACAGCTTTGGTGTTTGTGGTTGGGGTCTCATACAACCAAGAGGAGTATACCTTAGAGGTACTCAGACACGGATGGAAGGAGGCAAAATATCCTGCCTTTGTTCCCTGTACCCTTCGTCCCTTAAGGGCCACTGTGGAATAGGTCAGAATATTCATTGTTTCACCATCTAAGTCTACAGAGGTCATTTTTGCCATATTGGCTGGAGGCAAAATATAGACCTCCATCTGCAAGAAGAGTGTCACAAGTGGGTAGGTGAGGGAAAAGTCCACTCCAGTGGGCAGTAGAAAGCAATGACTTCCTGATGTAGCAGGCTAGGAAAAATATGTTCAGGGCACTGTAATTAAGATATATATTTTGTGAGCTTTTGCCTTTCAAATACTATCAGCTTGGCATTTGGGAGTGTAGAAGAGTCCTCGGTTCCAGGAGGAGGAAATATGATTGTGAATTGTGACTTCCTGCTGAAGGATACAGCGTTGCCCCTGATGTAGCCAATTAGTAAGTATCTGGTCTTTCTTGACTGTTCATCTGAGACTTGATGGAGAAGGGCCAACACAGCCAGCCACCAGAGTGGGGTGGTTGCCTGTATAAATGCAATATATGAATATAATTTCAGCTATAATGTCTTTGTAGCATACAAAGACAGGGAAGTAAGTAAGTACATGTTTGGCAAAAGAGCCACTGAGCTGATCAGTATGTCCCTAAGCTGAAATTGCAGGGAGGGAAAAAAGTCTCAAAATGGTCAAGCCAGATGCTATGGGAAGGGTAGCAGGGATGGTTTGAAAACTAAGCAGTGCTCGGTTCCTTTGGATTGATTCTCAGTCTTCAGAGGTGATCCTGGATTTATTTTCTAATTTCATAAAACACTAAAAGGGACTGTGCCAGCACTTTGGGAGGCCGAGGCAGGTGGATCATGAGGTCAGGAGTTCGAGACCAGCCTGGCCAACATGGTGAAACCCCATCTCTACTAAAAATACAAAAATTAGCCAGGCACGGTGGCGGGCACCTGTAATCCCAGCTACTCGGGAGGCTGAGGCAGAAGAATCACTTGAACCCAGGAGGCGGGGGTTGCAGTGAGCCAGATCGTGCCACTGCACTCTAGCCTGGGTGACAGGGCAAGAGTCTGTCTCAAAAAGAAAGGGGGGGGATGACTGTGAAGGTAGGCGTATCAATTTAGGAAGGGTGAGCTTGAGAGAAGAAGGAAGAGCGGTAAGGCTACAGAACACAGTATTGCTATAAACAAGACTTACCACCTTGGGTAACTACAGATTTATAGCTCACTTTGGGGGCAGTGAATAGATGAAACTTGGCATTTTAATTCAGTTTCTGCCTGTGGGCTTGTTGAGGAAATGTTTTTGGAAAACTGAAGCGAATCAATGGTTGCAGTGAGTTGAATGGGTGATTCCATGATCCTGTGGGCACTGGAGAATTGGTGACAAGGAATAGCATTATAAGAAGTCAGTTGAAGAACAGATCTTGTTCCGAATACATCAACTAGGGTTCTTTGGTTGCAACAATCAATTCCAACTAACTTGAACAAAAGCAACTTTGTTGGAAGGCTGTTGGGAGCACACAGAATCTGTGGGAAAGCTGGAGAATCACCCTTAGAACAGAACAGTAACCCAGATGACTCCAGGAAGCCAGGAATCAGGAATGGCAGATTCTATCTCAGAACAGAAACTCTGCTCAACATGCCACAGTTATAATGCATGAATTCCATCAGCATTATCTTTTTGTCTTTCTTATCAAGATTCATATTTGAGGTAAAGAGGATGGAAGGGTGGGTAGCACATCTGAACATGGTGATAAGCCAATGTAAACCTGTAGGGGAAGAGGTAATTCCCTAAAAGAAAACCTGAGTGCTGTTATGAAGTAAAGAAATGTTTGCCAGGCAGCCCCAAATAAACAAATAGGCTCAATAATGACATGGACAGTTGCTTCAAGAAAAAATAATCGGGATATCAAAAGTTAAATCATCATAGATCAATTCTGTAGATAGATGGTTGATCTAAGAAATTAATATTGTCTGGATCTTGATGACAAAGTAGTCATAAGGATAGAATGTGGTTTGGCAACAAACTTCAGATGGGTATATTTTCTGGAAATCTCAGCATGCTGCAAATTGAACACCTGAAGAATTCTTTACATACTTGTTGGTTATGTATTACTCAGAAGATAAAGAAGACAACAGGGACACCTGCTTCTGTGAATGCAGTCTTGATCAGAAAGGATAACAGGTTGATATCTATATGTGCTATAGAAGTGAGAGAAGGAAACACTAGGTAGAGTTCAATTTCAGGCAATCAGAGTGTCCAAAAATTCAGGGTAAAACCACATGTGATCCCACAAGCATGATTCTACAAGGGAATAAGGCCAGGCCAGTTGAGAGGCTCATAGAGTTCTGAGTTTGTAGTCAAAGGGTTCATGAGAAAGTAAAGGGGAGAGAGACTGTAAGGAACCCAAATGTGGCTGCAGAAGGAATTCTCTGATACATCATCTAGTAAGTTATGCAAGAACATCAAAAGAAGGATGTGTCCCAAGAGGTGACAAAGAATAGAATGGAAGAGCACTTTGTTGAGGGAACAAGCACGTTAGTGCCTCCTAGGTGGCAGGTGTTTATGAGAATGTCAGGAAAACTGAAGGACAGAAAGAACTAGAGTTGTGGCTATTGGCCACAAACCAATGGTTTTCTGAGGCTATCTTTGGGAGCAGACAGGTAAAAAAAGGAAGGAATAAGTCCATCTCTTGTGGCAGGTAGAAAAGGTTAGTGCAAAACCAGGAAAAGACTATTATTGACATAATTTTGCTTTTATATTTTCTGTCAAAAAGAATAAAACAAACATAGTAAATATGAAATAAAAGGTTGAGTGAGTATCCTAGTAAAAGACCCCTAATACCACAGATGAGTTTACTCATCACAGGTACAGATGAATTTTACTTCAATGTACTGAGAAACCTGTAGCAAAAATCACCCATCCCTGTTGGTGATTTTTAAGAAATAGCAGCAAATGTAAAAATTGCTCAGAGAATGGAAAAAGACAAATACATTTCTGACTTTAATGATGTAAAAATGCCTGAAGATTGTTTAGAATGTAGATTATAAAACTTGACACTCCCAGGAAAACATTAGACCAATTTATTACAGCAAATAAAGAATGAAAAGTCACAGCAGATTAACTTTACTTCTTTTTTAGTGTTGTAAGACTGATGAGGGAAATGCCACCAGCATAAGGCTGTATAAGAGGATACACGTTGAGTTCAACAAGGCACATGACAAAATCAAAATATTCAGTTGGACAAAATGGAGAAATATGAGTTACAAGAGTTCACAGTTGGCTAGTTGGTGAGAAGGAACAATGCCAGTGACCTCTTTAAATGAAGAGATCCCCAAACATACTCAACATGGGTTTACCTAGAAGCTTTTGGGAAGGGTAGGACGTTTTTAACTAGGTCATCTTCAGAAAACATTTGTTGATGTATTCGCATTGACCTAGAAGGGGGACTCCTGGGTGTGCCAGCAGGCTTTATCCTTCTTTCCTGTTGAGACTTTTATGAGCAAATCAAAGGAAGACATATAAGGAAAAGTTTATCAGATTTAGAGACAACACAGTGCCCAGAATGATAGCTGAAGTATTGGATGATAGAATAAAGACTCAAGAGAAAAAAAAAAAGTTTTGAGCCAGAACAATGGATCACAGCCAACCAACCAAGTTAAATTGAACAGTGACACATTTATAATAACAGTCAGTATTTAGGTTAAGAGTAATGATTTAATCAGGAAGATATGAGGCCAAATTTGACAGTAGTTTAAGTGGAGAAACAGCCAGAGGCCTTAGCTGACCACAAATTTATATAATCCAACAGCATTCCAGGACTGCTGGCAAAATTGATGGAGAACTAAGTTCTATCAATGTAGAAATCAGGTCATGGGAGGTGGTTTTCCTACTGTACTCTGTTCCTGTAACCTAGAGCTTTAGAGCTAGGACTCTGAGGTCACACTGCCTGTTTTTGGATTTCCCTTCTGCCTCTTCCTAGCCCTACATCTTTAGGCAAGGCTTTTAACCTCTCTAAACCTGTATTCCTCATCTGTAAAATGGATAGAATAATAGAACCTATATCACAGGGCTTTTATAAGAATTAACTTAGGTAGTACGTATAAAACTGTTAGCACAAAGGCCAACATCCAACGTATTTGGTAAATGTGTTTTGTTGTTGTTGTTGTCCCCATTACTCTATAGTAGACTATTTTAAGAAAGGCACTAAAAAAAAAAAAAATCAGAATTTTCCCTGAGGTGAGAGGTTTGCAGACTTTCTTGCTTAAAGAATACTTATAGAAACTCAAAGTGTATGTTATTTATTGCTATATGACAAATTAAAATTTAGTAGCTTAAAGCAATAAACATTTATTTTCCCACACAGGGTCTGAGAGGAATTCAGAAGTGGCTTTGCTGGGAGGTTCTGGGTCAGGGTCTCTCATTGAGGTTGCTGTCAAGATGGCAACTGGGGCTGCACTGTCATCTGAAGGCTTGAGTGGGGCTGAAGAATGGCTCACTTACAAGCTATTGTTGGGAGGCCTCAGTCTTTCCACATGGACCTCTCCATTGTGTGTCTCAATGACTTAGCAACTAGCTTCCTCCAGAGTGACCAATCCAAGAGAGAGAGACAAAGAGAACAAGGCAGAAGTTACAGTGCCTTTTATGACCTAGTCTCTGAAGTCACATCCCATTCATATTCTATTGGTCGCACAGACCAGCCCTGAGACAGTATGGGAGGGGACTTCACAAGGCTGTGGATACCAGGAGGTAGGGATCATTGGGAGCTACCTTGGAGGCTGGATGTCAAGGGGAGTTTAGGACCACAAAGACCCAGAGGTTTGGTGGCTGACTATAGAAATGGGAAAGGACTGCTGTATAGAAGAGGGAGACTTATTCTGTGTGGCTTCCAAGGATGGAATTCAAAACAATACACAGAGGTTTCTGGGAGGCAGATGTTAATGTGTTTAAGGAAGAACCTCCTAGCAATAATCTGCCCAAATAGAATGCCAGTACTAAGGCAGCTCATTCTATTTGGGGCAGTAGTACTTAGTACTACCTTAGAGACTGAGCCCCTGAGTACTGGAAGAGTAGAGCACAGGCTGGGTGTCCTCTCCCAGGGACACCATATGCAGAACCCTGACTGGGTAGAAAGTTAGCTGTGAGTACCTCCAACTCTTTGATATTTCACTTCTGGACTAGGGGAGAATTTTGTGAAATGAGACCCTTAGGGCTTCATTTCTTTTAGTTTTGAGGAAAAACAAATTTTTCATGGAACTATGAGGTCTTTGCTTCTGAACCAGTATGGCTTGGAGAAACTATTAAGAGGTAAAATGACCCTGGTGTTTCTGGAATCCCCCAACATTTCTCCTTGTAAGAGCAGAGCTCCAAGTTGCTTGATTTACACTTAGCCCAGGGGATTTAAACCAGGAATTCCCAACTTTTTTATGAGGCAGAGCCTTTAGATCATGGAAGAGGCAGGAATGTTGGCATGGAGTTTTCCTCACGGGGAATCCTGGCACACCTTGGAGAGAGGGAGGGGGGTTGCAGCTCTGGGGGATATTATCCAGGGAAGGCTCAGATATCCACCAACGGAAATCAGTCCACTCTTTGAGCATGCAAAAATACTAGCTGATGCTTTGCTGGGGATTCCCATAGAGAGAACTGAGAATGCACTCATTTTTAAAATAGCCTCATGGAGAAACTTTTTAAGTGGTTGGTGGGGGTGGCGAGGCACTGTTATATTGGTCACCATGTGGGCATATAATGTAGAAAACGTCCATAAGCAAAGGGTTTCCAGGGAAATTAACACTACAGCATACCACGTTTACTCCTCCCTTAGTCCAATCTACCCTTGGACACTCACTGAAATGATCTGTGAAATATGAAACCATTTCTAAATGTATATCAGTACTAGAAGCTCTGAAGAATTTCTGCCAGTGAGCGTGCAGGTGGCAGCCCTCCTACCCTAGTCCAACAATCACTCCTCTGGAAGACAGGATTGTCAGGAGCAGAATCACCCAAACAGCCCAACCTTGGAAGGCCAAGGTATGAGGGTGAGGGCAGGCCATCTGGATCCTGCCAATGCCTTAAGAAAGGACACAGTCAAGGCCACAATAAGTGACAAACTCAGTCAGCTCTCACTACTGGCATGGCATGAATGTCTGGAAAACACAGGGGAAAAGAGAAAACTCTTTGGTGTGTACCTGTTGTCTCCTGCTTCTACCAAATAGATTTCTTAGGTATTTGAAGGCGCTACAGTTAAACTTCCCCTTTTCTGTCTTTATCTAGCCCCAAAATATTGAATAGGGCCATTGTCTCTGTTGAAGCCCAAATTAACTCCCCATGATGCTACACGAAAGCAGATCTTTCTCTGTAAAGATGATGATGCAAGAAATCGCTGGCCACAAGAAAGGATTTCATCATATGAGAAGATTTTTTGAGGAATTTCAACTAATGCCTCTATTCCTAAGAAATGGGTAAAGATATTGAATAATCTAATTTATGTCTTCAAGACTGAAGCTGACACTGCATCTATGAAACAAGTAAGAAACAGCTACAAAGAGATGACAGAATATGGTGACCAATTTTAAATCCATAATACACTAATGAGCAGAAGATTAGATATCACAGTAAAGTCAGTAATTTTTTTTAATGGGCTGGAAAATTTCTCCCAGAACTCAGGACTGAAAAACAAAAATAATGAGAAAAAAAGGAAAAAAGGACCCGGTGATCCAATATACAGATAATTCCAAAAGGAAAAAAGAAAACTAAGGCTGACACAATCATCAAAGATCATTAAAGAGAACTTTCTTAAGCTGAAAAAGACTTGTCCTTAAGATTGAAAGCATTAACTTCAGGGTAATTTAACCAGTTCTCATTGCAAAGAAAAGGTCTTATAAGCACTGAAGTGAAAATAAAAGCAGGTTACAAAGGAATATAGTAAATCTAGCTTCAGTTTTTTCATCAACTACAAGCCAGAAGTCAGTGGTGGGAGGCCTATGGGGTCCAAAGCTCATGACCCAAGTTGTCATTCATATGCAAAGCCATGTACATGAATGAAACACAGATGTTCTCAGACATATAATATTTCGTTATATGGATATACTTTTCACATGCCCTTCCTGGAAAAAATGTCCAAAGAGCCTCTTCAACTAGATAACAGCTATATCAAGATAAAAACCCCCAAATGGGGAGGATATAATTTTTTCAAAACCAGCGATAATGTGTCCAAGCAACTGTTGTCAGTTTAGTTATACTAGTACAGATGTCAAAATTAATTACTGAAATATAAGTTTTATATATAAAATAATGAGGATATGAAATCAGATGACAAATAAAAACTGGTAACTGGGAAGAAAAAGAAGGAGGAAGTAAGCATGCTAATTTTTTATCAAATGACACATCAAATTTCATTTTTAACATTGATAATTGAGAAAATAAACTAAATTTTTTTAAAATGTAAACAAATTAAAAAGAGTATTTATATTCTAAATCACCACAAAAGGGGAAAGAAGTCAAAGAAACATGATCTTTTATACAAAAGACAAAAAAGGCAACCTACTAAAAATAATAAGCATTTGTAAAATGTTTTCTAAACACAGGTTATTTCTTCTCAGTGATAAGACAGCAAGTCATTTGCTTAGGATATTTGTATTTCCAAAAATTATACAATGAAGATGCATAACTTTTAAATAACAAATTATAAAATCCCTTGTGGGGGCTGTTATAAAAAGTTGTTTGATGTGTAACACATTGCCAGTAAAACTAAAGAATGGATGGATGAGAAGTTCCCAGTTATAACAAGATATGATCAAGATATTCTGGGCCAGGATGGTCATGCTTTTTTTTTTTCCAGTGGTATCGATTTAAGATTTTGCAGCTGGTGAGATACATGATCATGGCCATTTGGAGAACTGTAGGGCATCCATCTTCTATGTCAAGAAGATTGATGTTATAGTAGTTACCATGCTGTCCTGCCTTGGCGATTTCTGCCCAGAGGGTTTTGAGAATGCAGTATATTTGCATCAGCTGTATAGCATTTCCATCAAAACAGTTGTGCCCTGCCTGCTGTCAATTGTGGCGGCACCATTTTATATTTTGTTTTATAGAGTTGCAGAAGCAGCCTTTGCCCCATCCACACTTTGTTCAATTACAAAGCTGATCTCACTCCTCACCCCAAAAGACTGTTACTACTCCTGGAGAGGTTTGTGAAGGTCGACCTGATCCCTCCAGGATGGAGAACGGACAGAACAGACCTTAAGCTGGGGACCAGGGTTTCAAAGTGGAGCCTCCCAATCAGGGCCAGATTGACTTCAGATTGTAAGCACAGGGCATGTTGATGTTTGGATGAGGCTCCCAGAAGAGACAGAGAAAGAGAGAAAAGGATATGATTTATTGTGAGGATTCATCCCACATCAGAAATTCTCTAACCAACCCCTAATGCCAGACTTCAGGCTTGGCATTAGAGTAACACTCCCTGCTGTAACAGATAAACCCTGAATATTGTTTATTTCCTGCTCATGTCAAAGGCTCTGCAGGTTTTCCTGGCCCTGCAGACTTCTTTCCATGTGCTTATTCAAGGACCCAGGCTTCTTCCATCCTGTGGCTCCTCCCTCCTCCATGTCCTGCAGGAGCCTCTCTAATCAGACAGCAGCTGGGAAAAGACAAAGGGAGGTCACACCGGGAGGTTCTTATGGACCAAGCCTGCAAGTGGAGCATGTTACCTCTGCTGAGATCCACTGGCCATATATCCTGGTCACATGGTCACACCTAACTGCAAGGGAGGCTGGGAAATGTAGTCTCTATTCTCAGGAGAAAAAGGACTTTGGATTTAGGGGAACTCCTGGGAGTCTCTGGCCCACACTTTATCTTTTGCATATTCCCTGCCTCCTTCAGAGAGCAGTTTCCCAGCTGAACTCTTTCAATTAAAAGAAAAAAAGTGACATAAGTATAGTGGTTGGAAATGGATCAAATAGGCTGTACTCTTTTGGGATTTTGTTGTTTATGGTAGGAGTGTGTGAGGTTTCTGTCCATAGAGACCAAGCCCGAGGTCATCTCTTACCAAACATCTTTCTTCTAAGCATCTTCTGTCTTCTCTAAATGATTATTTTGTCTCCTTCCTCCTTCTTCCTTTTTATTGATAAAACATGAGGCAGTAACATGATTTTTCTTGTGCAGATTAAATCTAGATTCCTCAAGGCCAGTCTTCTATAACACTACAATTCTGTCTGTGAATAAAACACTAACAATAAAAATTGGTTAAGCTTTAACTGTGTTTATAGTGTTATGGGGTTTTAATTTTAAATGGTTGTGTTCAAACTCTAAAATGCTCACTTCATGAAATTCGAAAATTTATAAAAAAAAATAATTGCGTATAATTCGACCACTCTCTTACATCTCAGCTTCTTTCCTCTTGAATATAATCTTGATTGAAGGGCTTTTATCTAAGGACAAGCAAAATCATCTGTACAAAACTCAGAGGGAATAGGAAAGAGAGTCACATCTTTGTCATGGGACATAGTCCCAACTACAAATTCACTTCTATGTTTTTAAGACTGTTGAGCTTTGCCTTAAATTTACCTCTGTATTCTTCAGTTTCCTCACTTAAAATGAGGAGTATCCTTCTTCCACCCACACGGCATCTGCAAACTGCCGATGAAAAAAGGCACCTGTCAAAAGTTCTGAGGACATAAAATGTTCTAGAAAAACAATCATCCCAATAGCGCTTATATGTGCTCAGTGTAGAGGGTTTAAGGGGATTATGGTTCAAAGACTCAACAAGAGGAAGCATTTTTTCCTAAGGGTGGATTGAGAGTTTCCTGCCAACCACTTTACCTAACAATTTTGATATTTATAAGGAGAATAGAGGCACACAGAGACTGCAAAGGCAGGTAGCCCTGGGCTCTAACGGGGCTGTTCCTCCAACAAAGCCAGAACAGAATTCCCCATCCAGCAGGACTGGGCTCCAGTTCCCAGAGCCATTCACATTCTCGTTCAAAGCCAGCTGATGAAAGCCAAACATAAACCTCCTTGTTTACCTTGTGAATGGAACTTGGAAGTAAAGTATTTTCCAAATGCTGGTTGACACCAAGAGGATGTAATTACAATAAGGGGCTTTCTGGTTTGAAGAGATGAAAGAAGGAAATGATTTGTCTCTTTGAAATCAAATTATCACATATTAAAAGAAAAGGGGGAGGCTTAGCTTCCAGTCCTCAAAGCAAAATCGTGACCTGTAATTTTCTTAATTTTTTTTTTTTTTTTTTTTTTTTTTTGCTTAAAATTACTAAGACCAAGGTAGTAGGGATAGAAGAAGCAACCTGGGAGCTGGAGAAATGGGGTCATGAGGAGGAAGAGGAGCTTAGTGGCAGAGAGTGTGATCTTCGTCCAGTATATTTCCTGTCTATTTCCATTGCATTTTAATCCATAATGAATGTAGAATGGTGATTGGCAGGCTGCTTGTGGAGTCTCATACCTGCCTCTCTCCTCCTTGTGCCTTTTGGGGGAGGTAGTGGTCTTCCCAGGGGGAGTCGGGGTACAGGTAACAGGCCAAGTTGAAATATGTATGTCGTGCATCTTTGGATGGATACAGTCTCTGGTTTTAGCCTGCACTTAACATGATTCCACTGAGGTTTTATTTTAATTTCCCAAAGCCTCTTTGCTAATTAAAGCCATTTGCCTTGGGACTCTTAGCCCTTTTAATTCTAAAATGCCCCTAAATTTTCCTGGTAATTCCTGATTTGTTATTTTCCAAATGAGAGTCATCTTGAGTGTGTGGAAGATGCCCATAAGGACTTCTTAACTCTCAACTCTCTCTCACACACATCCACACACGCACCATGCCCTCTGAAGTGACAGTGTGCTGTATTAGAAAGGGCGAGAGCTTTAGAGGAAACCAACCATGAGTTCTGGTTTCCGCTCTGCCATTTGCTGACTTCGCATCATTGAACAACTTTAACCCCCCTCAGCTCCACTTTCTTCATCTGTAAGATGAGATAGTGAGGATTTCCTTGCAAGATTTTTGTGGGGATTAAATAGAATTCGCTCTATAAAATGCTGGGCATAGCACTTGCAGTAGGTGGACAATCCAATAGTAGCTGCTCCTAATAATAATGTCATCATCATCATAGTCCAACCTCAGAAAATTCTACATTGGGTTAAAAACTCTAAGACCAGGTACTTTAGATAAAATTGAAAGCTGGCAAAATACTTCTGTGTTCATGTTATCTGATTTTCTTCTCCCTGTTGGAAAATGAAAAGGTACCAAAATGATGCAAACTCTGCTTTTGCCTTCAAAGTAAGCATGATGAACCCCACTGGGGCTTCTCTGACTCTATCTTTTTTCCCAGTACACACACACACACACACACACACACACACACACACGGCTGCTGTGTTATCAATAACCAGTATCTTTGTAGGAAAGTAGAAACTAAATTGTGTGTTTCTTTACCAATATCTTTGTTTGAATTTGGTTCCATCACATCTGATGCCCCTTGGGTTTTTCCCAAAGGGAGAAATGGTCAGAGGGAATTAAAATGGCTCAGATGTTCCCTTAGGTTTCCCCTACAGCATCTTGTTTGAAGCTGCAAAAGCAATTCAGAAGTCCATCTTAGGCCTGCTCTGAGCTCCTGGACAAGAGCACTGTGTAGCCCAGAGGTTCCTGCCCTTAGTGGAAGGCCTGATAGCATCTCATGTTCCAGCCACCACCCTACTTCCAGCAGCTCCTCAATTAACCATCATCCCTGGACATGTAGAAATCTCTTTTGCATCTGTATTTTCAACCACTGCTCCCTTGTGAGAATAATAAGTTCCATATGTATAGTTCCCCACTCCTCCCCCAAATAAAGTAATACTTCCTCTTGTTTCTCCTGAAAGTGCCCCTTTCTGATTACTAGAAGATGTTCACTAGTTAAGTGTTCCCCTTCCTCACTGCCAGCGTGATTTGTGGGTTGGGATCATGTGCCTTCTCAGCATTTGTCTTTCTGGACTTGAATAGCATCCTAATTTTCTATAGCTCTTCAGTATCTCAATATCAGAGAAAACTGAGATCAAATTTCAGTTCTACTACATTCCAGCTATATGTCCATTGACAAGGTTATCTAAGCTTCAGTTTTGTTTTCTTATCTTAAAAATAGAGACTAATAATGCTAACCCCACAGGGTGCTTTTGATGTTTGGTGAGATAATATGGAGTCTCTGCCCTTCAGTGGGGATGGAGGGGTGGGTAGGATCTAAAGTCAGTGTATGATCAGGGAAAGTTAAAAAGCAAATAGGGTCAGATTTGGTCAATATTGGAAAAGATCACTGAAGAATTAGGAGATTTTTCAGGGATTATGTTATAGGAAAAATATGTTCTCTTTTAAGCATAGGAGTTCTCTCAGTAAATTGTGAATCTGGGGTTGGGGAATGATAGAGACAAAAATGGCCCTGCCCCACCCCACCCAGCTGAACAAGTGGAACAGCAAGAGAACTGTAGCACTATAGTTACCTTTCTCTCTTTCACTGCTTAACTACAACGAAGGCCCCTTCCCTCTTAAATGATGGTACTGCAGGCTAAACTCTGTTTTCAAATGGTTTTATATCCATCGTTTAAAAGATAGTGATCTTGGGTTTAATAATGAATGAGTTGCATAATTATATTTATCTCATCTCCACCATCCCACACACCCCCCTCTAAGACAGCAAAATTGAATTCCCCTCATTAGTTGGTAACACTTGAGATCAATTTCCTACTGTAAATGTGACAGGGATTCCCTTTCCGTAACTCTGCTGACATCCGCTGCTCATTTGAAAACCCTCTTGTTCTTCTGCCTGCACACACAGCCCCAGGAAATGCCCCTGTCGATCAGTTTCCTTGATAGGGCATTGCTCTCTCTGCAAAGGTCAGTAGCATTGCCACACTAGATGCTGACAGTGCCCTTCCTCTTCGGGATCATTCACAAAAAGTAAGAATTATTCTCACCTCCCCCCACCTGCCCAGGGGAGCAGGATCCCTGCTCACCAAGTCTCTCTGGGCAGCCACTGGGTTCTAGACCATTTACTTCTCTAAGCTCTGGCTTAGCAGTTCTGCCACCCGAGTGTAAGCCTCCGCACCAGCCTCTCCTTCACTCCATAGCTGCTTTTGCAGGTTCACGCATCACCTCCCAAGCTTGGAGTTCCACCCTTGTAAACTGGGCCTGCTGCTGCCCTGAAGCCAGCCTCCCATCCCAGAGCTGAGTCCAGAGCTTTGGGTGACTCCAGCCTGGCCTCAGGGTGGAATGGAGGCCTTGATACCTGGGAGTATCAGATTTATACCCCCCGCCAGCTTCCCCAGTAGCTACTGCTGACTCCCATCTTTACTAAATTAATCTACTGCCTTTTCTCCTAGACATCCAAAAAGTATTAGTTGGCTTTGCCATTGTAGTATCTGAAGACAAAATATTTAGTCCCAGGTCAGAAACTTTGGCTGAAAGTTCCTACTAAAAAGCCAGACGTCATGATTAAATTGTTAGAAAGTTAGCCATGATATCTGAGGAAGTTATGAAATGGCTGTAAATGATGTAAGCTCTGCAATGGGCAAACGTGTTCACAACTTTTGACATCTGGGGAAGAGAGTTAAGAGCCACAGGCTCAGCCGGCTCCCGCTGACCAGCACAGCATGAAGTCCAATTAGGGCTGCTTTTAAAGGGGGTGATTGCGCTCAGGGGTGTGGATGCTGCTCCCAGGGGAGCAGGGCTGTTGGGAGGAGCTGTCCAGATGGCTGTCTCCCTGGCTCCTCTGAACTACGGAGACCCCTCCTGTGAATTGGATGGGGGATTTCCCTGCCCCTCAATTGCTATTCCAGACCCTCTTCCTGTAAGTAGGGTTGGGCTCCAGGCCCTGTTAGTGGGTCTGTGGTCTCTAGGCAAAGCTTTCACAGCTTCCCCAGAGAGCAGTGGTGTCTGCAAGATGTGCGTTTGGTTAACATGCTGGAGGGGCCTCTCATAAATTTCATGGCAACAGGAACTGAGTGGCTTTGAAACTCCAGCTGCTGGTGGGCTCGATATGAGGTCTGTTCCAAAACCTGGAACATTTGCTTT
The DNA here is from genome assembly GCF_000001405.40 of Homo sapiens. Taxonomy (NCBI): domain Eukaryota; kingdom Metazoa; phylum Chordata; class Mammalia; order Primates; family Hominidae; genus Homo; species Homo sapiens. The sequence continues at coordinate 70,472,295 of NC_000002.12, read as the reverse complement.
TCCTATCGTCAGCCCCAAGTGCTACTCAGACTTGGTGTCTGGAGGAGATGGGCCAGAGTCCTGGGGGCCAGTGCCAGTCCTTCTCTGCCCTCAGCTGGCACATCTTGGGGAGACTTTCTTTGGATATTCCCTGCTGGCCTTTGCCACCTTCCTTTTCTAAGTGATTCTTTTTTTAAATTTTAAGTCTCTAGGCCTTTCCTTCCCTCACTCGCTATTTTCTTGAATTTCCAGAAAAAACAATAGAGTGGGAAAGGGAGAGTGAAGGGAGATAGAGAAAAAAATAGGGGGAGAGAGAGAAAAGCAGGAAGAAAAGAAAGAGGCAGACTCTGAGAGAGAGGCTGAGAGAATCATTCTTAGGAAAGATACCAGGAATTTGGGGGGTTCCTTGTAATGCTCATTTTTATAAAATAACTGGAGGCAGTTTTGCCCCCCAAGGAGGAGATGGTACTCTAAGTTACTGAGCAAACCCTTGCCCATTGACAAGGTTGTCTAAGCTTCAGTTTAGTTTTCTTATCTAAAAAATGGAGACTACTTAGGTTAAAGCAGGCCGCCTACCCTGCCTCGACTTGGCGGATGATGTAAGGAAAGCCCCCAGCACTTAGCAAGCACTCAATAAGTGACATCCCTGTCCCTGCCCTCCCCTACCTTCACCAAAGTGCCTCTCATAGGAATAGCCTTGTCTGCCTGGGCTGACCCTGCCCTGGTATTTGGGGTGTTCTTTGCTGAGTCTGGGAGGATCTAAGACAAACACCTTTAAAGGCCCTCAAATGAGAACAGTTACTCCGCCCTCACTTGTTGGAGATGGCTTTAGTAAAGCACATCAGCTCACGAGGCTCGTACAGCACCCTAGGGGCGCACAAGCCCCAGTGCTGCCCCTCCTGGAGCTGGCTCATCCTAAGGGTGCACAGGAAGAGCAGAGTGGTCACAGTGTGGCTTGCCCTTGGGACTGTGGTTTGACCCACTCCTCCCTGTCCACTTAGGTCTCAAGTGTGAATCACATCCCCTATCAGAAAACCTGTGACAAGCTACAAAGCTGCCAAATATGCCAGTGGAAGAGGAACCCGTTCTGCACATGGTGCACATTGAACTTCCTGGGTGGTGGGGGCAGGACAGCACCCTGCGCAAAGAACCTCGAACTTGAATTAAATGCTTGTTTTTAAGAAGTTTGGTTATATGGTGGGGGGGGTGCGGGGAGGAGAATGCACGTAACAGAATAGAAAGAGTAAGTTTAGGTGCATGTTCGTGTGCAGTGTATACTTACATGGTTCTCTCTACATAGTGGATTACAGATGGGTTTTATTCTCTAATATGGTACTTATTATATATTGATTTATTTTAATTTCCTAAAAATATGTCACTTTTGTAATGAGAAAATGTCTTGAAACTTTTGAAAAAGTTTCAAGAGTGAATGTATCATGGTTGTAGTCAGGAAAAGGGTTTTTTTTAATAAACAACCTTCTAATGATAATCCACTAGCATCAAGCTCCCTTCATCCTCTCTGCCCTTTGGGCTGAGGCAGACAGGTGGAATTATGGAGGACCAGGAACTTGCACTCTAAGCCTCAGGCTTGTTTCCACTCTGGTCTCTGAATACACAGAGCGAGACCACCACATGTCATCTGCCATCACTGTTACTGTTGCATGGAGCTTCTTCACAGCTTGGACTCTTCTGGCTTCTTAGTGAGCTGTGTGAAGTGAAAGAACTGATGGTTTACACGGGCAGATGCTTCTTTGGGAAATTGTTCAGGATGTCATCCACCACAGCACATGAAGTCCCCTTCAAAAACACCCGCAGAAGAAGAGAAGTTGCTCTCTGACCGTTGCTCTCCAACCACAGACTTAGGGAAAGCTGAGCCTGTCCAGCTTGTGCAGAACAAGTATATATATTCCTATCTAATGAACCTTATACATCCTTGCTAAGACTGCCAGGAGGCATAGAGTTAGATTTGTCCCTCAGCTTTGGCATGTGCGTGTGATTTTCTGATATCCATCTTTGTGTATTAACCTGGTGCCTGTTTTGCTCATTGCTGCTCCTTACCCTTACTTTCCTTTGTCCCAATCTCTCCTTCCCTCTCTCACTGCCCGCCTGTCTGTTTCTTCCTGTTTCCCTCCCTCCCCTCTTCTTCTGTTCCTTCTCTCTCTTATCGCTCTCATAACCCCACCCCGTCTCTCTCTACTCTCTGTCTCCCTTCCTGTCTCCTTCCCTCCTTCTTCCTTTTTATGTCCCTCTCTCCCGTCTCTCTCCTTCTCGCTGTTTCTCCCACACACACTTGTTTCTCGTTTGCATTGCCTTTTTATGGTACCTATTTTTATAACACCACCTCATGTCATTTATAAAAAGAGGCAAAGGTATCCATCAATAGGGGTTAAATGAGACCATAGCAGAGTCCACCCTTCACCAATCAGTTTTAGAGAAGTGTTCCAAAACAGATTCCAAGTTTTCTCTTTCTTTGTATTTCTACTGACCTAATACTTTACCACGAAGAACCTCAGCAGATTTCAGGCTTTAGAGTCACACAGGAGTTTGAAGAGCTGGAAGATAATCAGCTCCAAAAAGGACCCTGGCCTTTCCACTTTTGCAAGAGCCCATTTATCCTTTGCTTCTGTGTAACACAAGCCTGCGTCTCAAACATTAGTGTGCATCAGGATCACCTGCAGGGGGCCAGACGTGGCGGCTCGCACCTATAATCTCAGCACTTTGGGAGGCCGAGGTAGGCAGATCACTTGAGCCCAGGAGTTCGAGGCCAGCCTGGGCAATGTGGTGACACTCTGTCTCTCTACTAAGATACAAAAATTAGCTGGGTGCAGTGGAATGTACCTGTTAATCCCAGCTACTCTGGAGGCTGAGGTGGGAGGATTGCTTGAGCCTAGGAGGTCAAGGCTGCAGTGAGCCATGAACGTGCCACTGCACTCCAGCCTGGATGATGAAGTGAGACCCTGTCTCAAAATAAAAATATAAATTAATTAATTAATTAATTAATTACCTGCAGGGCAAACATTACAGTATAGCAATTCTATTTCAATAGGCCTGACTTTAAAAAATCACCTAGCAAGTTTGTCCCACAGATTTCTGGGCCTCACCCCAGAGATCCTGATTCAGTAGGTCTGGGCTGGGTAGGGGTGGCAGGCAAACTCAGGGGAATGTGAAGCTGTCTGTCTGCAGATCACACTTGGAGGAACCCAGCCCAAAGCCCTGACAAAGGGACTTCCTCTAGCCACTTGGAGGTGGTGGTTTAAACGGCCTTTTGTGGAGCCTGTCAAAAGCCTTTTTGAACATGTACATCAAATGAGATCCACTAGCCCAGCAGCCCCCAACCTTTTTGACACCAGGGACCAGTTGCATGGAACACAATTTTTCCACAGACTTGGGAGAGGTGCTGGTTTCAGGATGATTCCAGCTTGTTACATTTATTGTGTACTTTATTTCTATTATTATTACATTGTAATATTTAATGAAATAATTATACAACTCACCATAATGTAGAATCGGGAGGAGCCCTGGGCTTGTTTCTCTGCAACTAGACAGTCCAATTTGGGGGTGATGGGAGACAGTGACAGATCATCAAGTATTAGATTCTCATAAGAAGTACACAGCCTAGATCCCTCACATGCACAGTTCACAATAGGTTTCCCGCTCCTATGAGAATCTAATGCCACTGCTAAACTGACAGGAGGCGGAGCTAACGTGAGCAATGGGAAGTGGCTGTAAGTACAGATGAAGTTTTGCTGCCTTGCCGGCCTGCATTGGCCTCTAGAGTCTAGCCCCTTCATCTCTCTGTGTTTGTTCCTTGACAAGTTCAGTGAGCACAGAGAAGCCAGTTATGCAAACTACAGCAGACCCTTCCTGTCTCAATTCAGCATCCAGCGTCTACTGTTAGCCAGTGACTGGGCCTGTTCCTCAACCACTCAAGCCAAGCACATGCAGGTGACTGTAACCAGCCCAGGCAACTGGACCCAGCAGTCCTGCAGACTCCTGCTCAGAGGAGGGTCCAGCAGCCCCAGGTCGATATCTCCACCTGGCTTTGGGCTTCTCTGCTTGTCCTCATGTGTGAAAGACAGTAACTGTCATTAAGGGCTAAAGGGGACACTTGGACTTTTAGTTATACCTCACTGAATGTATGGGGGGATTACTTACTGTAGTGGTTTTATCACGTGGATATTCATTCATATCTTGGGATTGTCAGTGGTGACAACAGGAGAGCTAACAGCTGAGTGTCATACCAGACAATCTCTTGAGTACAGAACTTAACAAGCATTACCTCATTCAACCGCAGAGGACCAAGGAGGCAGGGGGACCCGCTGTCTTGTAGCTGCAGAGGCAGGCTAGGAGAGGCCAGCTGCTTCAGGTGGCAGAGGCAGGATTCAAACCCGTGCCTCTGACTGCAAAGCCCATGTTTTTAACCACTACACAATGTGTCTCCTTCAATGTCAAGGATTCTGTTGTATTTTTAGCCTCTGCTTTTCCCCCCTGGAATTATGGGATTTCTAAAATGATGACACTTCTAGAAGCAGCTCATGAATAGAAAGATAGCAACAGGAGTTTAATATTTAGTGATGGTCTAAAATCTCCCAAGATATTAAATGTTCTGTCCTTTCTCAGAGAGCAAGAGCTCCAGGAACATGGATTTTTTTCCCCAAAAAAACTAAGTGGGCAAGACTCACTCCTGAAATACCCAAAATAGAAGCATAAGAGGACCTGTTGAAAGAAGCAGTGGAGACTATATCGATGGAGCTGTCTTGAAATAGCTACATACCATGCCTCAAATTTACTTTGGACAAAATGGGAGTGGAAAAAAATAAGCCCAAAGTGCTGCCTGGTCAGCAGGTCTGTTGTGCATGACGGTGCTCCTGAATTGGCTGGCTATTTTTATTCCTGTCTGAAAGCCAGGGATGGAAAACCCTGAGAGGTTTGGTGACCACCCCAAGCTCGTGAGAGTCATGGTACTAGGGCTCTGAGTAGGACCCATCTCAGCCCCTACTCTGCTCTTTTTCCTCTCTCCCCATTATGGGAAAGAGAAAAGAATTTCCCAACACTGACTGTGCTGCTCTCATATGGGTTTCTTGCTTTAAGTAATCTTTTTTTTAAAATTATTTAATTTTTTTAAGTTCCAGGGTACATGTGCAGGATGTGCAGGTTCGTTACATAGGTAAACATGTGCCATGGTGGTTTGCTGCACATAACAATCCATCACCTAGGTATTAAGCCCAGCATGCATTAGTTCTTTTCCCTAATGTTCTCCCCCAACACCCTCCCCCAAAAGGGTATGGGGGGAGAACACTCCCCCCACACTCTCCCTGTGTCCACGTGTTCTCTTTGTTCAGCTCCCACTTATAAGTGAGAACATGCAGTGTTTGGTTTTTCTCTTCCTGCGTTAGTTTGCTGAGGATAATGGCTTCCAGCTTCATCCATGTCCCTGCAAAGGACATGATCTCATTCCTTTTTATGGCTGCATAGTATTCCATGGTGTATATGTATTACATTTTCTTTACCCAGTCTGTCATTGATGGGCATTTGGGTTGGTTCCATGTCTTTACCATTGTGAATAGGCCTGCCACGAACAGACGCATGTGTGTATCTTTATCATAGAATGATTTATATTCCTTTGGGTATATACCCAGTAATGGGACTCTAAGTAATCTTTATAGCCTTATCACTCCTAATCCTACCAAGAGAAGCCCTGCTACCATCTTAGTGTATGTCCTTCCCAGACTCCTTCATGTCTAATTTCTATTTGTGTTGGGTTTTTTTGGTTTTTTTGTTTGTTTGTTTTTTTGGTTTTTTTTGAGACAGAGTCTTGCTGTCGCCCAGGCTGGAGTGCAGAGTGCAGTGGCACAATCTCGGCTCACTGCAGGCTCCGCCCCCCGGGGTTCTCGCCATTCTCCTGCCTCAGCCTCCCAAGTAGCTGGGACTACAGTCGCCCGTCACCTCGCCCGGCTAATTTTTTGTATTTTTAGTAGAGACGGGTGTCACCGTGTTAGCCAGGATGGTCTCGATCTCCTGACCTCATGATCCGTCTGCCTCGGCCTCCCAGAGTGCTGGGATTACAGGCGTGAGCCACCGCTATACAGACAATACTGGAAACCCATTTACTTAACTTACTGTATATCATAAGCACCTTTTTGCATCATTAACTCTTCTGCTTCTGCATCAATTTAATGGTTACAGAATATTCTTTTGTACCTTTCCATTCTCTTGCTTTCAAAACAGATTCTTATGACAGCTATCTAAAAAAAAATCACTGTCACTTTGCAAAAGTGAAATTAGGTAGCTCTTGTGTTGAAATAGTAAAATTGCTCTGTTGTCTTTGAATTACGTTAGTTTGAGGGGAAATTTGTTTTGCTGTCTACAAAAACAAAAAGCTGGAAAGCACGCTATACAGGAGCTCTAGGCCTGTCTTAGGCTTTAGAAAGTAAGTGAGAGCTGAGGAGGGTGTGCCCCAGGTGAGAACCCAAAGTCCCAGCCATCAGGGGCTCCACCTTCTTGACTGGTAGGGTGGGAGGTGTGGGGTTTGCATGTCAGCTGTTCCTGGATCTGAGCCCTGCATCTTTCCTCTCCCCAGCAGACCCGCCCGTGGCTGCAGCAGTGGTGTCCCATTTTAATGACTGCCCAGATTCCCACACTCAGTTCTGCTTCCATGGAACCTGCAGGTTTTTGGTGCAGGAGGACAAGCCAGCATGTGTGTAAGTATCCCCTGTTCTCCTGGAGATCTGGGGCTGGGGTCAGTCCAATATCCAATTAGAAGAGCATTTACCTCCATAAGACTTGCCAGAGGCTCCGAGACCCCTGGAGCCAGATGTGTCAGAGGATTGGAACAGTGGGGCTGAGGGACACCTTTTTCAAAACCAGATGTCTAAAAATCCAGGTTCCAAGGCCCCCAGCCCACAGCCACTGAGGCAGAACCCCGGGAAGTTCAAGCCTGGGGCCCTGCATTTTTAACAAGCATCTCAGGTCACTCATGGGTTTAGCAAAGTCTGAAAATTCTTGGATTCAAATTTAATTCACAACTTAGAATTTCTGGAGCACAAGGCACTGGGATGGATAACTTTGAGTGGCCAAAGTCTCTAAGATGTGGTCTCTGCCCTCTAGCATCTTCACAATCCAGCTCATAAAACAAGCCAGAAGTGCAGGTGAAGGGCTAGTGTACATAAATGGTAACAGAACCAGAAGCGACTTAGAAATAAAGATGCAGGACATGCATGGTGGTCTCCACACCTGGCTGAGCATCATCCTCCTTGGGGGGCTTCTCGAAGTATTACTGAACTCTGCTCTGACCTACGGAATCAGAATCTCCAGGAGTGGGACCTGGGAATCACATTAGTTCAGAGCCACAGCGACTGCCACAGTCAGCCAGGTTGGGGAAGAAATTCACTCGAAGAAAGCTTCCCAGAGCAGGTGTTAGGGTTAGACCAGTTAGGGGGAGTAGAGAGGTTGTTCCAGGCCTCACATGCTCAGGGGATCTGCTACTGCAGATCAGTGTGGCTACACCAGGGAGACAGAGAGGAGACCAGCTTAGAGACAAAGTGGAGGCCAGAGCCTGTTGAAAGCTGTCTTTATTCTTTAGGCAATGGAAGCCATGTGGGTTTCAGAAAGACATATTTAAAGACAATCAGTCTGTCTATAATAGAATACTATTAGGGGGACCTATATTGAACCTTGGCACTATTACATTTGGAGCTGGGTCATTCTGTTGTGGAAACTGACCTGTATACTGAAGGAAGTCAGCGGTATCCCTGGCCTCTATCTACTAGATGCCAATAGCACTACTATCCCTGGCCGTGCCAATCAAAAATATCTCCAGACATTGTCAAATGTCCTCTGCAGGGCAAAATTGCCCCCCAGTTAAGAGTCATGGATCCATATGAAATTGCCATTTTTGTAGGTAAAATATGGTTGAGGATTGGCAGTTTCATACTAATCATTAATAAAAACTGGCACCTATTAAGGTTTTGGCTTCATGTCAAGTACTGTTTGAAGTACAATCCGTGTGCTAACTCATTTAATCATACTGACCCCATGAAGAAGAAAGAGAGGCTATACCCAGCCCGCATAGCAGGGCCTGGACTCAAGCCAGCCTCTTTGGCTCCTGAAGCTGAGTTCTTAGCCATGATGCTTAAGGCCATCAGATGCATCAGCCCAGGAGCCTGGGGACCAGGAGAGCCTGCTGCAGTAGGCGGTGTGGTCAGGGCTTTCCTCTGTCTGAGGTGCAGCTGTGTGAGTCTGGGCAGGCCCCTCAGGGTGCCTCTGAGCCCTCACCTGGAGAGAAAGAAGGAGAGGCACACTGGCCACCCTCCTCCTCGGAACACCGCAGGGCTAAGAAACTCCTCCAGATGACAGGCCTCCACACCCTGTTAATACAAAGCACGATGATGATGATGATAGACACTGTCATTATTCATGATTATCATTCTTATTAATAATTAACATACTAGGGGCCCCTGGGGGACTGATGGGGTTGTTTTCATGAGTGCCCTGGTCATTGTGGAAAAACACTGGCCCTGAAGGAAGTTTGCCCTCTTGACCCAGATATCAGAAAGCTTCCCTGTACAACAGGCAGAAGGTACTCTCCCACCAGCCACGTCCAGGGCTCGGCCCAGAATCAAGCATACAGGGCCTCTTGTGCACTGGGCTATGAGTAGAGAGAATCCTCTTTGGAGAAAAAGGGCAGGTCTTTACCAAGTTCTGACCCAAAGTGAGTCAGAAGCTCAGTTTTTCTTCCTCAGGTGCCCTCCCCACCAGATCAGGGCTGGTGTAAATTTTCCAAGAGCTGGCAGCCAGGCAAGCCAAGCCACAGCCACCTGTGTGGCAGAAGAGCCCCCTCTTCAGCTGTTAGAAGCCTTCTGAACGCTGGGGTGGGTGACTGCTCTCCCATTCCCCTCAGTCCCAAGCCTTGCTCTTGGCCCAAGGGAACTGTCCATCACATTCACACACCCTTACACTTTGCTAATCAGGGTGATTGGCCATCTCTCCACATTCACATCATACACGTTACTATTAATAATAATAGTAAGTGCTCAATAAAAGCTTAGTTCATGGCAGGCATGGTACCCAGCACTCTGCATACCGCAACCATGGATCCCTCACAACTCCCCTCTCAAGTAGGGATTATTACCCTTGTTGTATAAGTGAGAAAGCTGGGGTTCAGAGAAGTTGAGCAACTTGCCCAGAGTCCCAGAGCTAGTAACCGGCAGAGGTGGAGTTCAGTCCCATCATTCCAGCACCAGAACCCATGCTCCCAGCTGCTGCCCAGAGGGTGCTGTGCCTCTGCTTGGCAAAATTCACCTCAAACCACTCAGCTCTTTTGCTTCCAGGCATTTTCCCCCTGCAAATTAACCCTCCTCCTGAGAAAGGCCAGGGTCATCCCCAAGCCCAGTTCCCTGACCACAAACTCTTAACAAGTTTTTCCTATGGGCCAAGTGCGGGGCTACAGAGACAGCTGAGACACACTCGCATTTGGAAAAGCTGACCATCTTGGGGGAGGCACGGCCATGCAAGCAATTACACCTCTTTACCTCAGTTTCCCCCCTGGATCTTGATGGCCCAGGGACAGTATTCAGTCTGCAGAAATGCTTTACATGGCAACACATAGTGAGCCACGCTGTTCTTAGATGGCTTTAATCAGTTGTCAGCATTTTAGAAGGGAGATTTCACATTTCCATGCAGACATCCAGCTCCTCTTGAATAAGCAGAATGGCAACACCGGGCCTGAACTTCCAAACACAGCCCCTCAGCTCGGACTCACTCAGGTGTGCCGCCCCAGATAGGGCTCGCGCTCTCCAGCCCTTCATTCTCCACCTCTCCCCAAAATTCCCGACAGCAACATGACACTGGTCCCTGGTCACCTGTTGCCCTGCTGCTCTGCTTACACTAGGCCACTTGGCTCACTTTGCCATCCGTGGGACCCCTTGGGGCTTGCATGTGTTCAGCCCTGGGACAGGGTCCTCTGCAGACCCCTCTGACGGCACTCCTTACCCCCTGATGGCTTGTGAGCTCTGGGAAGACAGAACCACACCTTATCCCTTTTTGTATTTACAGTACCCAAAAGAATGTTCTAATTAATGAATTCCCACTAGACCAGAAACTCTTGAGTGCATGCAGAGAAAGTAGAACACTCTGTCCCTGCTCCTGTGACTTGCCCGGCCCTGGGAAGCTGACACACACATCCTGGTCAATAAGCCTGACATACCCTGAGGTCAGGCCCCATCTATCATGGCCTCATCAAGCAAACCCACAGGGAGCCAGGATTCTAGTCTCGAGAGAGGGAGCACTTTCTAAAATATCGTAAGTCTTAAACTCCATCCTCCATAAGAACAACAGTCTTTAGGTTTCCAGAGAACCTAAAATGACATCTCACGCTATAAAATGAAGGAAAGAAAAAAAAGTTTAAACAAATAACTAGTCACAGACTGCCAAAGGTGGTGAAAACTAGCCTTACATATTTATGCTTCAAGTGAACCCTAGATGGTATTTTACAGCTCCCTTTAATAAATCCCCTAGTCCCAACCACATCAGAAAACTAATGGGAAGAGAATTTGCAAAGACAGTAAAGCTATAGAAATGCAAGGTTAGGACTCTCACCACTTTTTCCCCGAGGCAGATTCCCCACACCATTGGTCTGCTGCCTGCAGAAGCCTTCAAACAAAGGAAAACCGTTGAAGGAAGACACCCAGGTGACAAGTTTACCCCTGGCAACCAGTTTGAAGTTTCTCACCTGTCCCAAATGCTCCTCGGTGACCCAACTCCCTGACAACTTTCCCACAGCAAAGTATGAAAGCAAATTCCTGTCAGCCAAGGGAAACATTCCACCTGGCCCTGGCCACAGACCCTTCCAGTGGAATCTGAACAGAGTTAAACACCCGAAGAGACCTGACCACCATCAGTTCATAACTGGCTGCCTGTGTGACCAAGGTGGCGCCTCCCCAGAGATTAGGATTGGGGGCAGTTTTCTTGTTGGTACTCGAGCCCCCTTACATAGATCCATCAGCAGGTGGTGGGGGTAGGGTTAAGAAGGATGACATCACTGCCATCCACAGGTCTGGAGAAAGTGCAGGTCCTCCCAGAGTGGGGGTCACACACCAGGCAGGAGGACAGCACAGTTAAAGGCATGGATGGGAGGTCAGGCAGACCGAGGTAAAGTCCAGCTGAGTCTCCCATACAAGTGACTTGGCCCCTTTAAGCCTCTGTTTCTTTGTGCACAAAATGAGGATACTAATACTTCATAGGATTGTAATGGGGACCCAGGGATGATAATATATAGAGAGCAATTGCTGCCTATGACAAGAGCCACTGGACTCTTAAGTAGTGGGACTACTTAAATTAATTGATTAAAATTTAGTTTCTCAGTCTCACTAGCCACATTTTAAGGATGTAATACCTCAGGGTAGCTAGTGGCTACTGTATTCATCTGCCCAGATATAGACTCTGTCATGATCACGGGAAGTTCTATTAGACAGCACTGGAGAACATTCAAGCCCAGTTCCCAGCACAGCATATGAGCTCAAGTGTTTGCTATTGTGGCCGCTGTTGGCACCATCACCACAGCCAAGGGATGTTGTGAGGTCCTGCTGGAAGGAGTATGTAAGTAGGGCTGACCATACTCCAGCCCTCTCCCCACCAGCCCCCAGAGCACAGAGGTTATAGGACTTGGTGAATCTGGTTCTTGAAAGGCTGAGAATGTGTGAGCCCAATACACGTGCCCTTGGTCCTAGTGCACCCACTGTCTCATAGCCCTGTGGAATGTGCAGCCAGGTGAGAACCAACGCCTACCTGAGGCAAAGGAGAGAACAGCAGCTGGATCAAGTGTGATTCATTTGCAGCCAGGTGAGGTGACTCTTCCCACTCCTTCTGTGACTTGTGCCTAAAATAATCAGCATAATTAAGTCTAATATTAGTAGAAGCTTGGGAAGTTTTTTTTTTAAAAAAAGTATGTCACCAAACCTTTTTCTTTTTCCGTCATAAAGAGCAGCTGAGAAGCATTTCCATTATTACAACTAGGAAGAGAAAGGATCGCCCTCCCCTGCCCACTGGAATCAGCTAGGAGCTTTAAAAATCTTGATGCCCAGGACTGACTCCCAGAGATTCTGATTTAATTGATCTAAAGGTGTGGCCTGGACATCAGGATTTTTGAAAGCTCTGCATGCAATTTCAATAGGCAGCCACAGTTGAGAAACGTTGGTTTCTCTGTTAAAAACTTCATGGTGGCTCTCAACTCTGGCAGTGTCAGAATTACCTTTTGGCCCTTTCTTTAAAATGCCCAGGCCCCATTTGCAGAGAGATTTTGATTGGGGAGGTCCCAACTGTAGGTGAGACCCACTGGGCTGCTTGGGGCTAAGACGCACTGTTCTTGGAGCTCTTCTAGGTCATGACCTGGAGTCCCAATGATGAGGCAGTTACCCAGGTGCCTCCCACCTTGGGGAAGTGTTCGCTCAGAAGCATGTTGGGTTCCCTCACTGTGTGGGACTGGGAGTTGAGCGTTTGCAGCTATTAACACTAGAGTGATAGGCATTCTTGTTGGCATGAAGACTTTCCTAAGGGGCTGGGGCTCCTGCTGGGGCGGTTTTAAAGCAGAGCTGATTTGCAGGGGCCAGCATGCATGAATGGCAAATGTTCCTCTGGTAGAAAAAGCATGGAAAGTCAGCAAGGTGTGTCCCAGCCCAGGGGGTTATCTCCCTTGGTGCATTAAGACGGCACTGTCTGGGGGCACCTTTGCCCCTTGCCACACTGAGCAAGGAGACCTCGCTCCAGGACAATCAGTAGCCCATCTCTTGTGCCTGATCAGATTTGTGTTTGTCACTAAATCACTAGCCCAGGGTATCTTCCAAACCAGTCTGCATTAACCCAGAAAGGTAGCCTTACTGGGTGAGATTGTTAGTTCCCAAACCTCTAGAAGCTTTTGTTTCTTCATCTGTCAAACAAGGTAAATAATAGTCGCAACCTCACAGGTCAGTTGTGATTGCTGGGATTAAAAGAGATGATTCATGTAGGAGTTTAGCCTAATGCTTGCAGTGAATGTTATGTGTTGTAATTAGCACTTGGCTGCCACTATTTTATTTAAATGAAATGTATTGGGGTCTCCAGTATTGATGTGTTAAATCGCAGTGTTTTTAGTGCCAAATAATAGGTGAGGTGCTAGAATCCCTCTTTCCCAGGGCCTGCTGGTTGAAGTAGAAACGTTTCAAGCTGTGTGAAATTGTCATGGGTTGCTCACCTTCCTATACGCTGAGACTTTCACAAAAGACTCTGCAAATCCTCATTATGGTACCTTTCCCCGGGAGAAAGAAGCACTAACCCTAACCCTAACCCTTTGCATAGAAGTCTCATTGGCTTGTCCACAACTCCTGGTTACAAATCTGATAATCCATTCCAAAGCCCAGGCTCCCCGGCCCCATTCTGTTCAGTGGTTCACCGGAGGTTTCTGTAGAGCTAAGCCCTGCCCTGCAAGAGCAAGAAGGCTGGGACCAGAAGTGAAGCTGGTCAGAGAAGAGCAGTCAGAAAGGTGGGCATAGTCCTGGGGGGTTCAGGGAGGAGAGGTTAGGGAGATCCAAGTGAGCTATGGAAGAATGGATGGATGGATGACAAAAATGAACGTAAACGAGTCTGTAAATTACATCCTTCTGGAGAATGTGGTCCTTGGGATGGAGCCTGAGGAGGAGAGTGAGGAATGATATTCCAGGTGGAAAAGGTAGCCGGAGTTGAGATGCACAATGGAGGGTAGTTGTTCATTCATTCTGCAGGTGTGTCCTGAGTCCCCACATGCTGGGAACTGTGCTAGGTGCAGTGTGTGGATTTAACACTGGGCTGGGGGTGGGGAGTGGCAACAACTTGGATTGGCTGGAACCTAGGTGGGTGGGAGATAAAGTACAGGGGTGGATTAGGGCCCTGCAGGAGAGAGGGCTAGATATCACAGAGGAAGTGCACGATTCAGGGACCCCATCTGGAAGGTTGGAGAGCCATCTGGGTGCAGGAGAGGAGGAGCTAGAGGGAGGGACCCTTTGCAGGATTTTCTTGAGATATGGATGGCTTAGATTTATGCACTGCCTAAGCCTGTTGCTTATCACCTCTCAGCCTGGAGTCTAGCCCACTCTTCGCCTCCGCCTCATAGGAAAGGGCCAGTGCCTGCAGGGAGAGCTGTTTCTTGACCTTTGCCTTTATGTAATTTTGTTATTAAAATCAAAGCAAGCAAACAAACAAAAAAAACCCTGCCCCTGTCCCATAGCCCCTGAGCCGTTGAAAGTCAGTGTTCTTATTCAGAGTTCTGTGATCCCCTCTCAGTGTGCCTAGTCTTCAAGGGCCTTTTAATCTAAAAGCGAAGGTTAGAGGCTAGCTAATTAATCAAAAGATAAACTCTTTAGAAAAGTTTAGCTATCACTGCCATGTCTGGGGGAAAAACAAAACTAAACAAAACTTTAAATCTAGCATATGATATGGGGCTGCTCTGTTAAGAAGTCCTCACCAGCAGGCCGGGCACTGTGATTCACGCCTATAATCCCAGCACTTTGGGAGGCCGAGGTGGGTGGATCACCTGAGGTCAAGAGCTCGAGACCAGCGTGGCCAACATGGTGAAACCCCGTCTCTACTAAAAATACAAAAATTAGCCAGGCATGGTGGCATGTGCCTGTAATCCCAGCTACTCGGGAGGCTGAGGCAGGAGAACCACTTGAACTCAGGAGACGGAGGTTGCAGTGAGCCGAGATCCCGCCACTGCACTCCAGGCTGGGCACAAGAGTGAGACTCCATCTCAAAAAAAAAAAAAAGAAGTCCCGCCTGGCAAAGGAAGTGGCGATCTTAGATTTCTATTGACGATAAGAATGTTACTCTATACAAAGGGAGTAACGAAGTAACAAAGGGACCAGTGTCTAAGCTAAGTATCTTTTATTAAGAAGAATCACATGCTTGGGGGATTAGTGGCTCAGGGTGAGGGGATGCCTGTAAAAGAAAATGACCATCCCATCCTTATGGCCAGGGCACATCCCGAAGCACTTTTGAGACCCATCTGGGCATAGCAGGGGGCCGTGATTGAAAGATTAATACCAAAGAACCTCTGAATGACTCGCCCTCCCCTGCCCACTGGAATCAGCTGGGAGCTTTAAAAATCTTGATGCCCAGGACTGACTCTGAATGGTAGCAATACCAGGAATTACATCACCTGGTATTAGCACCACACTGTACAGGCTACACGCACATTCAGACACGACCTTGCTTGTGCCTTTACTAAGCCTGGGTGGAGGTGGGCCAGGTATTGATGGATAGGAGGACACCAGAGTTCACAGGAGAGTAGTGATTTCTCCAGTCCTACAATGACCAGGTAGTCATGCTGAGTAACCTGGTAAATACTTGAAGAACTAACTAAACTTGAAGAAGATAAAAAGGCAAACCACAAGCCAATGTCTCCACTGGTTTCAGGTGTTTTCTTTCTCATCACCAGAAAGTCTGAAAACCACATTTGGTTTAAAACTAACCTGGATTTTTTATGAACTGCCAACATGAGGCTTATGTCATGAACACATGTGCTGCCTTTATTCCTCCAGGATTTGGCACAGTCACAATAGTCATGGATTGCTTCAGCCGTAGCTTGCCTCCGCAGATGATAAGGATGATTAGATTCCCCTTCCCTTCTCCACATAAGCAGCGGTGCCTGCGACAGGGAAACAGGCATTTTGCTGACACCTTTCCCTCCAATTGCAAAAGCTGGCAGGGCCCCTTTGGGCTTTACCTGCAGGCTCTGGGTCCCTCCAGGAAAGCCCTCCCTGGAGAGCTAGGGTAACAAGACCTTTTGTCAGGAGAGTGCACTGACGTTCCTTTCTTCCCCAGCTGCCATTCTGGGTACGTTGGTGCACGCTGTGAGCATGCGGACCTCCTGGCCGTGGTGGCTGCCAGCCAGAAGAAGCAGGCCATCACCGCCTTGGTGGTGGTCTCCATCGTGGCCCTGGCTGTCCTTATCATCACATGTGTGCTGATACAGTGAGTACTTGCTGCCCCTAAGGCCAGGTCCCCTGCCCACCTCCCCTACCAGGGACATCCGCAGTATATCCAGATAACAGGGCCACCTCAGCACAGCTTATTTCTGGGATGTCTGAGTGCTGTCAGGAAAGCTAAATGCTACTTTGATGACTGTTGGCATGGCGTGGCAGCCAAGCTGCATGAAAGCCTCATGCATCCTGGGCGGATCCCCAGCTGGGGGGTTGGTGCACTGTGGAGGCCAGTGCAGAACCAAAGGCATGCTCGTTCTTTCCACGGTTGTTGGAGTCTTCAGAATAGTGATGACATGGGCAGGTGCTCCAGAGAGGACTAGAGACAGCTCCTAGCCTCCTTCCATCAGCACCAGAAGTACTTCCTCTCTGCAGAAGTCACTTTGCAAATACATGTCGAGGGCCATTGTTGCTGTTACAGGCTGATGACCATCATTCTGCACAGCCCTTCCTCTTTGTCCACTTCTCTGCCCCTCCTCATCCTCCAAAACTCAGTTGCTGTGTTGTATCTTCCAGGAAGCCTCCCTGGGGCCTAGACCAGGAGAGACCTTTTCAGGTGTGTCCTGGCCCCATTTGCTTGCCCACATCTCCTGACTGGACTGCTGTGCAGGGTCAGAGACCCTGGGAATACAGTGCAATATTCCTAGCATTTGGAACTATGCCAGATTTATTCCCTGGAAATATCTAAAGTCTGAGTCTTAGGGGATTTATTAGGTTGGTGCAAAAGTAATTGCAGTTTTCACCATTACTTTTTAAGGCCAAAACCACAATTACTTTTGCACCAACCTAATATACCTAATTGGATATGCACAAAGAAGTCACAGGACAGTTAAAGGCTGCCATTCAATTCAGTGTAGGTTAACTCATGGTGGAGACAGTCAGTGGATGGGCCCCTCTGGCAAGGTTGTGGTCAGTAGCTACATGTCGATGCAAGAAGCCAGACTTACACCCTCCAAGGTTGCCTAAGATTTGGACAGATAAACAAACTGTCCCTTTGGTTTGTGGCTATTGAGACATCTGAAACACATGGCCCTGGTTCTGGTAACAGTGAGGCACCCGTTAGAGCCCCAGCTTGTTGACAGTAGCCACAACCTGCTCACATCCTTCTCCTGGACCAAGGCAGCACTGAGTGGTGAGGTTTGAGGTCTGAGCTGGGCTGGCCTTTCCCTCCCCACCAAGCAGTATCCATTCTGCTTCCAGGGGCCTTGGAAAAACATGTTTGCTGGGAGAAGACAAGTAGCTCTGGTTCAGACTGGGCCACAGCCCAGGCTCTGTCACTCAGAAGGGCCCTCCTCGAGGAGCAGGAGCAAGCTAGTGGGCTGCCAGCCTTGCTTCTCATGGCCAGTAGCTGTGTGTGCTGCCCCATCCTTCCATTGTCCTGTGTCTATGGCCAGGAGGGTCACAGGGACTTAGGAACAAGACTGGTGGCCCACACAGGCCTCCCCAGAGGGACCTAAGAGCTAATTTTGGCAGATTGTCTGGAAACAGGAATGATCTAGGTGCCTAGACAGCATCTCTCATTTCCAGGGAGGCGGCCAGTCCCAACTCCTGTGTCCCTTCCCAGCCTTGGTCTCCCTGCCAGAGACCAAGTTCAGAATCCATGAGCCAGAGACTAAGCTCTCACTCCTGCCAGGCTGCTGGCTTCCTGGGCTTAGGGCCCTCCTGAGTTGCAGGGTCCAAGTTGGGACCAGCTTGTCCCATGCTGGAGGGATCTAGAGGCCTTGATCCCATTGCCCGGGGATGCTCCTATCTGGGAAGTGACAAGGACAAGTCCACCTGGCTGGCTGACTGTGAGAAAGTAGTCATTGATGGCTCTGGAACCAAGGCCTTTAGAGCCCCCTGGCATGGGATGTACTGTTTCCAGCCCAGACTCTGCAACTCAGAAGGGCCTCGTGCCCAGGCACACTGCTCTGGGCTCCCGGTTTTCACCTGTAACATAAGCAGCTTGGGCAGGAAGGTCTCAGAGCCTCCTCCTTAGCCCTGCTGTCCAAAGATTCAGGGGCTCCAGTAACCTTTGCAGCTTCTCACTGCAGGACAGTGCCAAGACAGGGGCTGGGATGGGAATCGTGAAATGCCCACCAGATACCAAGAGAGAAGCCCAGCAACAGGCTTATTTCTTCATCTCTGCCACCTGGCTCACCTTAGGAAATTTCTCCTAACTCCAACCCTAGCCCAGGGATACATAAATTATATACGAATTAGGGTTAGAATGAGTGGAAACAAAGTTCTCCACGATAGCCCAAGGGAAATGGCTGGTAGCGTCTGTGGGGAACTCATCTCTCACTCAGTGCTTTCTTTTCTGTTCTTTTGGGGCTTTTTTTTTTTCATGCAAAGTCTGAAAACTCTCCATTCCTGCCCACAGAGGGAGGCAGGAGCCTTTATAACCCTGATGCCTCAGGACTCCGGGTCACACAGGTTTACAGAGAGGGTAGATGTTCCAAAACTAGAGAATTTTAGTCCTGAAAGCAGGATTCAAAGCCATTGAGATCCATAACTCATTCTTCCATTTTTTTCCATGGGTCAATTCAGCCATCCAAGTTCCTTGTTCTGCTACTGGCAATACCAGATGAATAACCTCTTCCTAAACCCTCACAGCCCTGCCAGCTGGAGGTGGCCACTTTATCCCAGTCCTTTGTCCCAATTCTGAGGCCATTACACTTGTGGAATTACCCACCTGGTTCTTTATCAAGAAAGCCGAGTGGAGGACCAGTTCTCTCTGACAGCTGGGGAAGCTGGAGCCAGGTCAGCTTGCAGAAACAGAGCAAATACTTTAGGGTAGCCAACAGATGCTTTTGTTGTTGGCCAGCATCTGCCCCAAAAAACCACTGCCCTACAATGCCCTCAGCCCCCTATGGTGCCTGTCCCTCTAGAAGCCCCCATGGGGAGCTGGTTTGGAGCTGGTTTAGAGCTGGAGCTGCCCAGCAGGCCCCTAGGGCAGATGCTGTACCACCCTGGCCCTCCTACCAGGCTCCTGCCCAGACTGGGTCCTCTGTGTCTTTGCAGCTGCTGCCAGGTCCGAAAACACTGTGAGTGGTGCCGGGCCCTCATCTGCCGGCACGAGAAGCCCAGCGCCCTCCTGAAGGGAAGAACCGCTTGCTGCCACTCAGAAACAGGTAAGGAGACTCTTCTCTGGTGGGAGACACTATTGGGTGGAGAAAACGACCACCTTCTCCAAGTCAGGGCAGAAGTTCCTGGAGTATGAAGCAGGAAGAGAGGAGAAAAGGAAGAGACTGTTTCATTCTACCAAGTCAGGTTTAGTTTATTCATAGGTGCCTTTTACTTAGTAGGGACCCCTTACATCCTGGCTGGTGGCTGTGGGACCTTTGACAAGTTACTCACCTCTCACAGCCTCAGAGTTTTTTTGTTTTGTTGTTTTGTTTTGTTTTTTGAGACGGAGTCTTACTCTATCACCCAGGCTGGAGTGCAATGGCGTGATCTCGGCTCACTGCAATCTCCACCTCCCAGTTTCAAGTGATTCTCCTGCCTCAGCCTCTCGAGTAGCTGGGATTACAGGCTGCCCACCACCACGCCCAGAAAATTTTTGTATTTTTAGTAGAGACGGGGTTTCGCAGTATTGGCCAGGCTGGTCTCAAACTCCTGACCTCAGGTGATCTGCCTGCCTCGGCCTCCCAAAGTGCTGGGATTACAGGCATGAGCCACTGTGCCCGGCTTACCCTCGGTTTTCTTATTCTTAAAAAGATGTGCAAATTGGAGGAGTACTGATATAAAATACCTAGTATAGTGTATCACCCAATTGTAGGCACTCAAGAGATGTTCATTCTCTTTCCCTTGAGAAAGTCACTTCCCCTTTTTCATCTGTAAAAGGAGGAATTTGGCCTATGAAAGGTCTCTAATGACCTTAAAACCCTTAGATCCTATGATCTTCATTAAGTTTACCTTGTTTCCTGGATATTTTCGCCAACATCCATGAAGACATCAGGATGTGGGGCCCAGCTTGCACCTCAGGAGCCTCCTCGGAGCATCAGTGGCTCTGTGCTTGTGGAGGTGAAGAGTCCTTCATCCAAACAGGGCTGGAAAAGTCTCACACCGGCCAGCTTTTCAGGGATTCAATTTTGACCAAGAGAGCCCATCGTAAAGTTCTTCTTGAGGACATAGTGGGTCAAGAGACAGTCATTAAAGCGAATCCACCCAGAGGTGTCCTTCCCTAGTAAACAGTTGGCGTTCAGAAGTTCCAGGGTCCATGGAGAGGGTAGGGAGGAAGGCTTCTGGGAGGCTGGACACATGTGCATTCATTAGAGCTCATGGTCATCTGGAGGGAGCTGAAGCCCCAAGAACATATGTGTTTGTTCTTTATTTCAATAACCATAGTCATCGTGCACAGTAAGGGAGCACACAGAGAGTGCGGGAGCGGCACTTGAGATTTAGGAGCCACAGCTCTTGAGGATGCAAATCCATTCAGCCTTACAGTGGTCTTAGGAAGAGGATGGCTCATGAGCGATGTGGGTAAACTGAGTCTGATGACAGCCTGCTTGGGTCCCACTGGGAATCAGTGGGGGAGTGAGGATGAGAACCAGGGCCTCTAAAGCCCCCTCTCAACATCTCCTTTCAGCTACCTTGGGCTAATCTATTGAGCTAATGAAGGTAAATATTTTTATTTTTTCTTTTAGCACCAATAGAAAAATGTTTTTAATCTTTTAAGAAAATTTGTAATAGATTCTGTAGCATTTGTCTGAACCTAACAGAGTCATTTGGGGTGGAGTAAGTTTCTTGTTAATGTCACTTCTTCTCTACCCACATTTAAGAAGTTAGCTCTAAGCCTGGGGATGGGTCTGGCCTTTAGAGATGGCAACCTGGGCTGAAGTCCCTCTCCCTCAGATGGTGCATATCACAACCTCATATAGCACCTGTCAGGCCTGCTGGGCCTAAAGGATGGGTGAACCAGTGGTACTCACCTGTGAGCACCTCTAGAAGAACCATGGCAAGGACCTAGAGACATGTCCAGGCTAAGCTGAACTCAGGAACTGAGGACGGTCCATGCTGCCTCACCACGACAGACACAGAGGATACCCTCAGGGCCCAGCCATTGAAAAATAAATGGGTCCATTCTTGTATGGCCTCAGGGGAAGCCTTTCTGCCACCAGAGCCCTGGACTAGGGCTGCCCACCAAGCCACCCCTTACAGGATCTGACTGCAGGCCAGATTAAAATGAGACCCTCACAACAGGGGGCATCCCCCCGCTCCCCCCCATCTGCCTTCCTTCTGCTATCACTCACTCACTCACTCACTTTCAATCAGTCTCTCTAGCTTCCTTTGGCACTGAAAGTACTAGGTCAGAGGTTGCGGTCCCTGAGACTGAACCAGCAGAATTTGGACTCGGGCCTAACTGCCCGAGAGAACTTGGTGACATTGGCTCTGCCATCTCCAAGTCTCTTTCCTAAGCTTATTTTCCCAACGTGGCCAGGGTGTGGCCCACAGTGCTTAACCTGTTTTTCCTTCCTGCCAGTGGTCTGAAGAGCCCAGAGGAGGAGTTTGGCCAGGTGGACTGTGGCAGATCAATAAAGAAAGGCTTCTTCAGGACAGCACTGCCAGAGATGCCTGGGTGTGCCACAGACCTTCCTACTTGGCCTGTAATCACCTGTGCAGCCTTTTGTGGGCCTTCAAAACTCTGTCAAGAACTCCGTCTGCTTGGGGTTATTCAGTGTGACCTAGAGAAGAAATCAGCGGACCACGATTTCAAGACTTGTTAAAAAAGAACTGCAAAGAGACGGACTCCTGTTCACCTAGGTGAGGTGTGTGCAGCAGTTGGTGTCTGAGTCCACATGTGTGCAGTTGTCTTCTGCCAGCCATGGATTCCAGGCTATATATTTCTTTTTAATGGGCCACCTCCCCACAACAGAATTCTGCCCAACACAGGAGATTTCTATAGTTATTGTTTTCTGTCATTTGCCTACTGGGGAAGAAAGTGAAGGAGGGGAAACTGTTTAATATCACATGAAGACCCTAGCTTTAAGAGAAGCTGTATCCTCTAACCACGAGACCCTCAACCAGCCCAACATCTTCCATGGACACATGACATTGAAGACCATCCCAAGCTATCGCCACCCTTGGAGATGATGTCTTATTTATTAGATGGATAATGGTTTTATTTTTAATCTCTTAAGTCAATGTAAAAAGTATAAAACCCCTTCAGACTTCTACATTAATGATGTATGTGTTGCTGACTGAAAAGCTATACTGATTAGAAATGTCTGGCCTCTTCAAGACAGCTAAGGCTTGGGAAAAGTCTTCCAGGGTGCGGAGATGGAACCAGAGGCTGGGTTACTGGTAGGAATAAAGGTAGGGGTTCAGAAATGGTGCCATTGAAGCCACAAAGCCGGTAAATGCCTCAATACGTTCTGGGAGAAAACTTAGCAAATCCATCAGCAGGGATCTGTCCCCTCTGTTGGGGAGAGAGGAAGAGTGTGTGTGTCTACACAGGATAAACCCAATACATATTGTACTGCTCAGTGATTAAATGGGTTCACTTCCTCGTGAGCCCTCGGTAAGTATGTTTAGAAATAGAACATTAGCCACGAGCCATAGGCATTTCAGGCCAAATCCATGAAAGGGGGACCAGTCATTTATTTTCCATTTTGTTGCTTGGTTGGTTTGTTGCTTTATTTTTAAAAGGAGAAGTTTAACTTTGCTATTTATTTTCGAGCACTAGGAAAACTATTCCAGTAATTTTTTTTTCCTCATTTCCATTCAGGATGCCGGCTTTATTAACAAAAACTCTAACAAGTCACCTCCACTATGTGGGTCTTCCTTTCCCCTCAAGAGAAGGAGCAATTGTTCCCCTGAGCATCTGGGTCCATCTGACCCATGGGGCCTGCCTGTGAGAAACAGTGGGTCCCTTCAAATACATAGTGGATAGCTCATCCCTAGGAATTTTCATTAAAATTTGGAAACAGAGTAATGAAGAAATAATATATAAACTCCTTATGTGAGGAAATGCTACTAATATCTGAAAAGTGAAAGATTTCTATGTATTAACTCTTAAGTGCACCTAGCTTATTACATCGTGAAAGGTACATTTAAAATATGTTAAATTGGCTTGAAATTTTCAGAGAATTTTGTCTTCCCCTAATTCTTCTTCCTTGGTCTGGAAGAACAATTTCTATGAATTTTCTCTTTATTTTTTTTTATAATTCAGACAATTCTATGACCCGTGTCTTCATTTTTGGCACTCTTATTTAACAATGCCACACCTGAAGCACTTGGATCTGTTCAGAGCTGACCCCCTAGCAACGTAGTTGACACAGCTCCAGGTTTTTAAATTACTAAAATA
Source organism: Homo sapiens (assembly GCF_000001405.40). Classification (NCBI taxonomy): domain Eukaryota; kingdom Metazoa; phylum Chordata; class Mammalia; order Primates; family Hominidae; genus Homo; species Homo sapiens. The sequence continues at coordinate 70,449,042 of NC_000002.12, read as the reverse complement.
AGTTCAAGTTTACATCCCTTGGGCCAGATATGTGGGTTGAGGCTTGACTGTAGCATCCTGCTTAGAGACCAATCAACGGACACTGGTTTTTAGACCTCTATCAATCAGTAGTTAGCATCCAAGAGACTTTGCAGAGGCGTAGGAATGAGGCTGGACAGATGGCGGAAGCAGAGGTTCCCTGCGAAGACTTGAGATTTAGTGTCTGTGAATGTTCTAGTTCCTAGGTCCAGCAAGTCACACCTGCCAGTGCCCTCATCCTTATGCCTGTAACACACATGCAGTGAGAGGCCTCACATATACGCCTCCCTAGAAGTGCCTTCCAAGTCAGTCCTTTGGAAACCAGCAGGTCTGAAAAAGAGGCTGCATCAATGCAAGCCTGGTTGGACCATTGTCCATGCCTCAGGATAGAACAGCCTGGCTTATTTGGGGATTTTTCTTCTAGAAATCAAATGACTGATAAGCATTGGATCCCTCTGCCATTTAATGGCAATGGTAGTCTTTGGTTAGCTGCAAAAATACTCCATTTCAAGTTAAAAATGCATCTTCTAATCCATCTCTGCAAGCTCCCTGTGTTTCCTTGCCCTTTAGAAAATGAATTGTTCACTACAATTAGAGAATCATTTAACATCCTGACCTGGTAAGCTGCCACACACCTGGCAGTGGGGAGCATCGCTGTTTCCAATGGCTCAGGAGACAATGAAAAGCCCCCATTTAAAAAAATAACAAACATTTTTTAAAAGGCCTCCAATACTCTTATGGAGCCTGGATTTTTCCCACTGCTCTACAGGCTGTGACTTTTTTTAAGCATCCTGACAGGAAATGTTTTCTTCTACATGGAAAGATAGACAGCAGCCAACCCTGATCTGGAAGACAGGGCCCCGGCTGGACACACGTGGAACCAAGCCAGGGATGGGCTGGCCATTGTGTCCCCGCAGGAGAGATGGGCAGAATGGCCCTAGAGTTCTTTTCCCTGAGAAAGGAGAAAAAGATGGGATTGCCACTCACCCACCCACACTGGTAAGGGAGGAGAATTTGTGCTTCTGGAGCTTCTCAAGGGATTGTGTTTTGCAGGTACAGAAAACTGCCTGTTATCTTCAAGCCAGGTTTTCGAGGGCACATGGGTCACCAGTTGCTTTTTCAGTCAATTTGGCCGGGATGGACTAATGAGGCTCTAACACTGCTCAGGAGACCCCTGCCCTCTAGTTGGTTCTGGGCTTTGATCTCTTCCAACCTGCCCAGTCACAGAAGGAGGAATGACTCAAATGCCCAAAACCAAGAACACATTGCAGAAGTAAGACAAACATGTATATTTTTAAATGTTCTAACATAAGACCTGTTCTCTCTAGCCATTGATTTACCAGGCTTTCTGAAAGATCTAGTGGTTCACACAGAGAGAGAGAGAGTACTGAAAAAGCAACTCCTCTTCTTAGTCTTAATAATTTACTAAAATGGTCAACTTTTCATTATCTTTATTATAATAAACCTGATGCTTTTTTTTAGAACTCCTTACTCTGATGTCTGTATATGTTGCACTGAAAAGGTTAATATTTAATGTTTTAATTTATTTTGTGTGGTAAGTTAATTTTGATTTCTGTAATGTGTTAATGTGATTAGCAGTTATTTTCCTTAATATCTGAATTATACTTAAAGAGTAGTGAGCAATATAAGACGCAATTGTGTTTTTCAGTAATGTGCATTGTTATTGAGTTGTACTGTACCTTATTTGGAAGGATGAAGGAATGAATCTTTTTTTCCTAAATCAAGACTGGAGTGTTTCTTTAATGAGATTAGGATATTGCTCAAGGAAATGAAGACTTTTCTCTGCAAATATGAATGATGAGGAAAAATTAGATGATCTTTTGCAAAATGTGGAAATCCTATAATTAACCATAGTTGATCCCTGTCTCCTTGAAGAATTCAAGTTCTCTGAAGCTCTTCCCAGTGTATAAGTACTTAGTAGACTATGTGTCCAATAATGCTAATTGATGTGGTAGAAAATATATACAACCTCTGCCACTGCAGGAATTGAAATCTGGTCGAGAAGACAGACTGATACGCTAAGAATAATTCAGGACTATTTCTAGACAATACAAATAAGAGATGAAATTATAAGGTAGAGCATATATGTTAACAGCTGTGGTTCTCAAAGCATGGTTCCAGACCTGCAGCATTGGTATAACCTGTGAACTTGTTAGGAATGCAAATCTTTGGGCTCCAGCCCAGACCTACTATACTGTGGGGGTGCTCCATACTCTCTCTGCCCTCTGGGTGATTCTAATACATGCTCAAAATTTTTATATATTTTTTAATTTTGTAGAGAGGCGGGGTCTCCCTGTGTTTTCCAGGCTGGTTTCAAACTCCTGGGCTCAAGCAATCCTCCACCTTGGCCTCAGAGTTCTGGGATTATAGGCGTGGACCACTGCGCTTGGCTGATGCTCAAATTTAAGAACTACTGTGCTATAGGATTCAGTGAAGGGACAACTTACTTAGTGTTGAGCTACAGTTTTATGGAAAAGCTTTGAAAAGGCTTTGCAGAAGAAGTGAAACAGAGTTTACCTCTTGGAGTTCAAATGTAATAGCCATCAGAAAGTGTAGCCTTGAATGAAGGGCTGCATTTATCTGGATCTTCTCTGCTCAGCCTAGTTGAAGGAAAAAAATAGATCTGTCCATCTCCCACCATACCCCTGGGCTCACCCACCCCTGTTCCCTACCACCCAGTCTCTAATTATAAGGAATTGTTCTAAAACTGTCAACCGGATCTTACAAGCCCATAGTAAGGCCTCTGCACTTTTTTTTTTTTTTTTTTTTTTTTTTTGAGATGGCGTCTCACTCTGTCACCCAGGCTGGAGTGCAGTGGTGTGATCTCGGCTCACTGCAACCTCTGCCTCCCGGGTTCAAGCAATTCTCCTGCCTCAGCCTCCAGAGTAGCTGGAACTACAGGTGTGCGCCACCACGCCCAGCTAATTTTTATATTTTTAGTAGAGATGGGGTTTCGCCATGTTGCCCAGGATGGTCTCAATCTCTAGACCTTGTGATCCACCCGCCTCGGCCTCCCAAAGTGCTAGGATTACAGGCATGAGCCACTGCACCCAGCCAGGCCTCTGCACTTCTAACCTGTGGGTGGGTTTCACATATGCAACATAGGAAGCACTCACAGAGAAGTGGAGGGTGAAATCGTTGCTGCACAGTATAAAATCCTGGGCCCCAAAGAAGGTTCTACTCTTTGTAGGGAGGGACGAGCATGTGGAGCTTGCTGTCCAGACCCCAGAGGGCTTAGGATCAGCCAAACTTGCAGAAAGATGGAAACTCAAGGAATTCTTCATCCCAAGCTCCCTGGCCTGGCATCTGGCCCTCAGTAAAGTCTTTCCCTACCTCTTAAGAGAGAGTGGGGAGACTTGCTACCCAAACCTGGTCTTCCTCCTCATGACCCTATTCAGTCTTTAGAGACATCTCCAGGCCTTCTTCCTAACCAGTGGGATTTTTCACTAGTCCCCATTTTTTCTCCTCCTTCCCAATTTCTAAACCATCTACCTGCCAAGGCTGCCTGCCTGCCAGAACCAAGGTCCAGTGATTGCCCCTTGTCCTGGTCAGGTGCACTGAACTGTCTGGGGTGGGGAGGACCCATTCCAGGAAAAAGCACCGATCAACTTTGAATCAAGCCAGACCTTTCCTCATCCAGTTGACTTGCAGTTGACAACTTGAAAGCCATGTTCTGGATGCTTTGGGTCTAGCCTTTTTGGATCCTGTTGGCCCAAACTTCAGACCCCTATCTTTCCTAGTTGCCCTGACTTATGCCTGGCTGTTTGGGGACATTTGAGTATAATCCTTGCCTTGCTTCCTCTCTAACTCAGAGCTTCACTATGAGCACTTTTTTCCCCCTGGCTCCTGAAACCTCTCTTCCGCAACTGCTTTCTGCAGGACTTGCTACTTCCAGCAGGCTCTGAGATTTCCACCACAGCCTTTCACCTCCAGAAGTCAGGAGTGAATTGCTTGCAGTCACAGAAGCTGTGTCTAGCGATGCCTGTTTCATAGCGTGGTGTCTGCCACCCAAGATCAATAAGGAATTTGAATATATGGGGATGGACCTTAGGCATCACTTTAAAAATCTCTCCAGGTGATTCTAATCCATATCCTACTCCCCTCTCGAATACACGAGGCCGCAGGGAGCAGGTGGCATGGGAGAAGTGTGATGCCTGGAGCTAAGAGTACCTGGTGCTCACCCAGCGCACCCCACCCTGGCCCATCCTCAAGGAGATTCCTTAATATCCAACAGATGTTCACCTCTGGGGAGACAGAAGCTTGGGCCTCCTCTCAAGTGGGATCACCTAAGGCAGAGAAGTGAGAAATCTCCTGTGGGTACTCCTGTAAGGAGTGCCTTGTGGCTGGTGCTTGAGGTCATAGGTCATGCACAAGTGGGAAGTGGCTTTTTTTTTTCGAGTCAGGGTCTCACTCTGTCACCCAGGCTGGAGCACAATAGCATGATCTCAGCTCACTGCAACCTCTGTCTCCTGGGTTCAAGCAAATCTCCTGCCTCAGCCTCCCAGGTAGCTGGGAGTACAGGCACCAGCCACCACGCCTGGCTAACTTTTGTATTTTCAGTAGAGACAGGGTTTCATCATGTTGGCCAGGCTGGTCTCTAACTTCTGACCTCAAGTGATCCACTCGCCTTGGCCTCCGAAGGCAGTGGCTTTTTAGGAGCCAAATTTTACACTTGGGAATAAAAGAAAGTTGGGCATTTATGCTGAAAGAGAAAGAGAGAAAGTGGGAAGGGGAGACCACTTTCCAGGACCATTTGCTCCAATGGAAACCTCAGGCTTGTGCATCTGCACAGGTGCCTGGGACCCAGAGTCCTTAAGGACCTCCATCCCAAGACCTGCAGAGCTTCCCCTGCAGGAAGTAGGTGAAGTTGAGAGCTGGGCAAGAGGACATCTCCACTAACCTGGGGCTGGGGCTTCAGCTGTTAGTCCTGCACATTGCAGGAAGGGATTCTGGACATGTGACATCCCAGGAGAACTGGGCTGTGAGGAGCCAGCATCACTTAAAGCATGTCCTACCAGATCAGAGCAAACAGCCACACCCCTCCACTGCAGCATAACTCTCCCACCAGCCCTTGTGAAAGAAGCCCCCTAACCAGAGTGCAGAGGTCCAGAGCCCCTGTGGTGGGAGGAGGCTTGGAGGCAAAGGCCCAGGGTTTCACTACAGCCTGCTTCTTGCTGGCTGTGTCACCCTGGAATGTTACTGTTTCCTTCTGAGCCTCCTGTGCCTGTCTGTCTAATTCCCACCGATTTAGCCCAGGGTTGTGAGCTGAATCTCATAAGCACAGCCTGATTCTTGGAATAAAAAAATCTGATGTGATCCTAAATGCTATCAATATATTGTCCAGCTCTAGGGAGGCCCCCCTCGCCTTGTCCCCCACTGACCTTCAAGGTAAAAGAAGCTGTGAGGTGGGAGGTGCCCAAGAGAAATATTTTCATAGAGCCAGTAGCAAATGGGACCAAACCAGGGGGTGATGATTTCAGGACATCACTTTTCCAAGTGGTTAATGACCCAGAGGAGTGAGGACAACTGTCTTCAGACATAAGGAGGTTTGGTCTGACCTCAAGGGGCAAGGCCAGGAGACAGTTTAGTTTTGTCTCAGTAGAAGCTTCTGTTTCATTGACAGAGCTGCCTGCTGGCTCTGGCTGTCCTCCAGGCAAGTGTGCCTCCTAATTCCAAAGTGATCACACAGAGGTGGGTACCAACCAGGGCCCAGAGGGTCTCCTGGTGAACTAGAGCATAAGCCAGAAGACCTGGGGCATCTGACCACCGTCTCCTACCTATGAGTCCATGGGTTACCCCTATTTAGCTCCAAGCCTCCATCTCCCACTGCACCCTTCTGGAATAATCTTTGCGAGTTCAGATTTGATCCTCTGTCCTCCCAGGGCTTCCCAGTGATGGAGGGGGATCTCAGGCCCTGCTCAATCCCCTTACCTCCCATCTCCTAACATCAGAGCCATCCTAAGGATGGCCCCCACACAGGGACCACATCCCCAGCGACTCTCATCAGGAGAGGGCTCTCTCTGGTGCTTTCCACTCCTTAGGTGCCTATTTGTGCCAGTCATTTGCCACTCCCAGATCCATTCTCCCCATGTCTGCGCTGTGCCCAGAAGCTGACCCCTCTGGGCCACCTCCTTAGGGCTCTCTTGTCCTCTGGCTTCCAGTTCAGCCAGTGGGAGGCACTGGCAGGAGATCGGAGTGCGTGTAGGAGGAGAGACATGGGGACTTGTCATCCTCGCTCCCTCCCTGCTCCAATGCTGCATATCTGGCAGCAACTGTGTCCCCAAGGCTAGGCTCCCTGGGCCCCTACTCCCCAGCCCCACTCCCACTGGGCTTCAGGACACCACGTCCTCCACTTGCCCCTTCAGTACTGGGGTGGTAATGCCTTCCCACAGTTGCCAGTTGAACTCTGCCAATCTTACCCTTCCTCTCTCTTTAGTATCCAATGATGCTTACCCAGAGGCTGAAAAGTCAAACACCTCCTGGAGTGAAGTGAGTCATCTGAATTAGTGCAACTGCTTGATGAAAGCATGAATGACGATGAATGAGTCTGAATCCAGGGTTGTGGTGGACATAGTGATGTACTGGCAGGCACTGACCACCGCTGAAGGAGGAGTTCACTTCTCAGTCCCAGTCTAAAGTGGATCTCCAGCAGGGAGGTCAGTTTTACTATTTTTTTTTTTCAAGAGAAACAGAAAATCTGGCCCTTTTCATAAAATATCTCCATCCTTAAGTGTGGTTCCAGTTAAGAAACCACCCTGTGGCCCCAGCACAATCTGTCAGCAGGCCACCATCCGTTAGCAGCCACCACTCTCAAGCTGTCTGCTTGTCTCTGGCTCTGCCAGGCCCCTCACACCTCTCTATCTTCGTAGTTCCCTTTGCTGGGAAAGACTTTTTCTACATCTTTGCCTGAGCAAACTTCTGTTCCTTCAAGAACAGGCTCACAGGCACCTCACTTTCTTCTGAAGCCTTCCTGGAGCATGAAAAGATAACGCCCCCAATTTCATCCATGTCCCTACAAAGGACATGAACTCATCATTTTTTATGGCTGCATAGTATTCCACGGTGTATATGTGCCACATTTTCTTAATCCAGTCTATCATTGTTGGACATTTGGGTTGGTTCCAAGTCTTTGCTATTGTGAATAATGCCACAATAAACATACGTGTGCATGTGTCTTTATAGCAGCATGATTTATAGTCCTTTGGGTATATACCCAGTAATGGGATGGCTGGGTCAAATGGTATTTCATATTCTCACTCATAGGTGGGAATTGAACAATGAGATCACATGGACACAGGAAGGGGAATATCACACTCTGGGGACTGTGGTGGGGGGGGGAGGGGGGAGGGATAGCATTGGAAGATATACCTAATGCTAGATGACGAGTTAGTGGGTGTAGCGCACCAGCATGGCACATGTATACATATGTAACTAACCTGCACAATGTGCACATGTACCCTAAAACTTAAAGTATAATAAAAAAAAAAAAGATAACGCCCCCACCCCAAGGCCCCTTGCATACTTGCGTTTGAATACTCATCTCACGGTGCCGGACTTTTCGTTCCTCCTCCATGAGCTGTCTTGTGCCCCTGGCCATTCTGTACCCCAGGTCTTGAACTCTTCAAGGTAAGGCATCTCTGTGCATCTTTGTAGCCTGGTCGTTTAGCTCAATGCCTGAGGCATGGTAGGTAACATGGTAACATTCTGTGGAAAAAAATCGTCAGAGATATGAGGCTTTGGGTGGACCACCGTATGTCTCTGGAGGTAAGAGAACAGTGTCATATGGGATCCCTGGGTCTTGTGGGACTGCATTATTGGTATGTTGTGTTGGGTGCTATAATCAGACCCCTTGAAGGTCAAATAGGTCTTTGCGACCCTCCCTGGTTCCCCATCTACCATGAGGAGCTTTGCTTCTAGGCAAAAATACATTGTATGTTCTGACCCATGACTTACCAAGAATTCTGTCACAGCCTAGGTGGATTTGACAAAAATTTTTAATCACATCCATTCTACCCTCTGTGTTAGTCTCACACAGAAGAGTTAACTCTTTAGAGAATGGTTATGATTTCATAGCTCTTTTTATTTGCTGTCTGACAGTCTACACCCCAGCAACCTGCCAACAGGAAGCAGCCTGGCCTGAGCCCTGAGCTCAGACTAGAGTGGAGGAAGTTGCACACAAAGACAAAGGAGAGGAGAAAGATGGGAGGAGGTTTCTCAGAAAGCTTTCCTCTACAAGATTTCCTTCTTGTGGTTGGTTTCTTTGAAGTCTAATCTGCTCCCTTGAGAGGCCTCTGATCCAAACAGGCAATGATGTGAATATAATCTCTATCAGCCAAAACAGAACATCTATTTAGTGTTAGGAATAGGCAGAACAATGAGTCTAAGAGCGACCCAGCAACTGAGTTTGCTACAAAATTCTGTCCCTCCTCTACAATACAAAATTTTTAAATCTGGGTTCCCCCAAAGACAGGGCCTCAGATAATAATTTGGGGCAGATCTTTTATTTTAGAGGCAATCTCAGGAAGCAGGAGTGAGAGACTAAGAAGACTGAGACAGAGAATGAGGAAAAGTCAGCAATGGGAAATTAGCAGTGAGCTGACTACCAATATGCAAAATTGGGACTCAATCCTACTGGACACTCACTGAGGAAATATGTAGAATGCCACCTCTGAATTGAGCCTCTGAACATCAGAAGGCATTAACTACTGACTTCCATCACCCAATGGTGAGAGTTGCCATAGGGTCATTAATCCTCCACCCCCACCACACACACACACACACACACACAGCACAAATCTTAGGGGCCTGATACGTGACACTGCTACTGAGCACAGGAAGCTTTTCCAAAGCTGCAACTGAAATTAGGTGGTCTGAGGGCGTATGATGTGGCGAAAATAGCATCTGCTACAATTATTAATTTTTAACAATAAAATTGTAATAATCAGTTTTTTCATGAAATTCAGATTCTCTTCTCATAACCAAAAGTTCTTTTGAAGATGCAGATATTCTGATTCCGTAGAATACCGATTCAAGCAATGGCCATTGGGCGTTCTGCCAAATGTGGATTCTGTGTGCCTCTAACACCTTCCAAGATGTCGGCCAGAGACCCTCCCTTCTTCCCAGATATCCCGTCCCTTTGTTCCAGACGCAGTTACTGGACTGTGGCAGGCCCTGAGGACCCTGAGGGGTCAATGTATTGGTCACACAAGTCATAGGTCTCTGGTTAGTCCATGAATTCCTTTGAAGAAGAAAGTCTGTGACAGAGAAAATGGGGCTGAGGGAATGGGGCCATCAATGGTGGGCCATGAGCAAGCAGGTGGCTAAGCTGAGGAAGCCATTTTGCAAAAGGAAACAATGAGGCAGATTCACAGAGAAAAAGAAACAGCACGTCTAATAGGAAGAGAGAAAGTCACACCCATTCTCAAGCACTTTTTCGTTCTTGTTCTTGTGGTACCTGGCTCACAGCCACCTCTGCTCTATTGAGCCCTGAGCCTTTACAAGAATCCTCTTTTCAGCCCAGCGCAGTGGCTCACGCCTGTAATCCCAGCACTTTGGGAGGCCAAGGCAGGCAGATCACTTGAGGTCAGGAGTTCAAGACCAGCCTGGCCAATGTAGCGAAACCCCATCTCTACTAAAAATATAAAAATTAGCCGGGTGTGGTGGCACATACCTGTAATCCAGGATACTCAGGAGGCTGAGGCACGAGAATTGCCTGAACCCGGGAGGTGGAGGTTGCAATGAGCCGAGACCATGCCACTGCATTCCAGCCTGGGTGACAGAGCAAGACTCCATCTCAAAAAAACAAACAAACAAACAAAAAAATCCTCTTTTCACCTGAGCCAGCTTGAATGCATTTTTATTTCCTAAAACCAAAAGAGCCTGGACTAGAACAAATGCCTCTTGGGTATCTCTTAAGGTAAATCATATGGGCTCCCCACTATTATTTATAAGGTAACACATTATATCAATATTAAATTATATCAAAATTAAATTGTATTAACATTAAACCTTGCTTTTCTGAAAAATTCTTTCTCACACCCCACCCCAGCCCTTCTATGACTGGCTCCTTTTCCTTCAGGTCTCAGTTAAATGTCACCTCAAGAGACTCCTACATGTAAGTCCACTCCACTACCCTGAATACCCCTTCCACTCTAGTTATTCTCCATCCAATATTATGTTCATTTCCTTCATAGAACTTACCACAATTTATATTATATGTATATTTTTTACTAGGTTAATATCTGTCTTCTCCACTAGATAGTAAGCTCCATGAAGGTAGGAATTATATCTGTCTTCTTCACCACTAAATATTTGACATCAAGCTCAATACTTGACACATAGTAGACGACCAAATTGGATGGGTGGATGGATAGACGGATGGATGGATGGATGGACAGATGGATGGACGTCTAAATTCCTGGATAAATTGGATGGATAAATTTACCAGATAGTGTATCATTTTTTAGAAATATTGTAGGATTCTACTCACTGGTATTTTCTTAAGGACTTTTGCACCTAAATTCTATATCCACTGAAAATATCCTAAATTAATACAGAATAGGGACACTTTGCAGCCAAACAAAAGGGGAAATAATTCAGCAGAAAAAGCTACACACTACAAGTTATACTAAATGGTACTCTTCAGGCAGGAACATGATCTCACATGGGATGACAAAGGAATAAACAGTATCAGAAAGAATAACTGTAAACAGGCCGGGTGCGATGGCTCATGCCTGTAATCCCAGCACTTTGGGAGGCTGAGGCAGGTGGATCACCTGAAGTCAGGAGTTCAAGACCAGCCTAATATAGTGAAACCCTGTCTCTACTAAAAATATAAAAAGTAGCTGGGCCTGGTGGCCGGCGCCTGTAGTCCCAGCTACTTGGGAGGCTGAAACAGGAGAATTACTTGCACCTGGGAGGCAGAGGTTGCAGTGAGCCAAGATCACACCACTGCACTCCAGCCTGGACAACAGAGCAAGACTCCATCTCAAAAAAAAAAAAAAAGAATAACCATAAACAAATATAAAACAATAAAAACAATAATGTCTTATGTGGTATAAAAATATTTAAAGAACTAAAATACCCAACAGCAATAACATATATACTAGGGAAGGGGCATGGGCAAATAGAGGTAAAGTGTTCAAAGACCTCTTCCATTGCTTAGAAAGTGGTAAGTCTATTCATTTTTATTAGACCTTAATAACTCAAGAATGCATGTTGTAATCTCTAAAGTAACCATTAAAATAAAAGTAAAATAATGTATAACCAATAATCTAAAAGGAGGGGGAAATGGGAAAATAAAAAGAACTTAATTGAACCAAAATAAAGCACAAAAGGAGAGAAAAAGAAACATTAAAAAATGTGACAAATGAGAGATTTCGACCCAACTAAATTGGTAACTATATTAAATGTAAATAAACTAAACATTCCAATTAAAATTCAAACACTGGATTAAAAAATAAACCTGACTATGTACTGCTTATAAGAAATGCACCTGAAAAATATGGACCCAGAAAAATTAAAGGTAAAAAGGTAGAAAAAAATAGACTATAAAAATGCCAACTAAAAGAAATCTAGTGTAGCTATACTCACATAAGATAAATTCACCAGGAAGATATAAAAATACATAAAAATCTGTATGTGTGTAGCTAATAGCATAAGGTATTCAAAAAATATAAAGCAGAAATGAACAGTTTGGAATCTCCCTAACAGGTAAGGTACTGTTTAGAAAGCAGAAAAACATTTATACCCATGGACGCTTAATTTCCAGGAACAAAATTGGAAGGGAGATAAGGGGAACCAACTTCTTGGGCACACCCTGAAAGTAGACAGAAGTGTACCTATGCTCAGAGAAAGTATTAGTATTTACAATAAGTGAATGGAGCTTCCACGGCTTTTCTCCTAGCCTTTGAAGCAAAAGAACATGTTAAAGACCCTATGACAAATCTAACCCAGATATTTTCCCAGCCCTCCTCCCAAATGCAGCCTGAAATCTCCCTGTTTCCTTCTTGATAATCTGTGTGAGAAACTCAGGGATACCAAATAACTTCTCTGTGAAGCCCCCAAAGCCAGCAGTCTCCTGACCACTCCTCTGCCACTGATCTTCACTGCACTGTAGCTTAGTGGTCAGAGCACAGCTTAGAAGTCAGTCCGCCTAGGCTCAAATCCCAGCTCTGTCACTTGTTAGCTGTGTGAACTTGAGTGAGTTATTTAATGTCTATGCACCTCACTTTCCTCCACTGTAAAATGCAGATACTTTAAAGAATGGTGGTGGAGATTAAACATGCACATTTTGTAAAGATTAGAACAGTATCTAGCACAGAGTGTTGTCTATCATTTTTTATCTCCTTCATCTTTTATGTTTTGATCTAATGCTGTCTTCAGCTGGGTCAGAAATACGTTCCAAACATTCTGCGACCTTCTTCCACCCACCTAAGGATCTATGAATATACAGTAAAGACCCCTCAGCTGAATATGACTGGCTGCTCTATATGGGGCTTAATTATGGCCACACCCAAGCCTTATTCCCTCAATATATATTCATATGTATACCAGGTTATCTCCATTCTGGGAAAGAAATTACAAATGATGTAACTCTGGCAAAGGCATATTAAACCCCCAATTTCAATGCTATGGTTTTTGAGTTGAGTTTTGAGAGGTCATAAACATCCTCAAAAGCATTTAATCTGTAACTTTATGATGTTTCCTTAAATGACTATTTAAGATATTGACGTAGGATAAAAGGCATATCTCAAACTCTAGATGCAGTCTTTTTTTCACAAAACCATGTACATTGAAATAGAGAAAACTCTAAAGGTGACCCACCAAAAGTGTACAATTTACATTCTCTAAAGATAATATGCTGAAACTAGAAGTTAATAATATGAATTTAGCTAGCTACAACAATAACAATAGCAACTCAATGTTTTTATTAAGCAAAGACATAAATAATTTTGGCCAGGAGAGATAAGTGGTACATGTCCACCCTCACCACTTCTATTCAACATTGTACTGGAGGTTCTAACCAGGGCAGTTAAGAAAGAAAAAATAAATAAAAGGAATCCATATTGGAAAGGATCTTTATTCATATAATAGATTATAGATCTTATATATAGGAAACCCTAAATAATCTACCTAAATATATATATCAGAACTAATAAATGAGTTCAGCAAGGTTACAGAATACAAGTTTAATACTTTTAAAAAACCATATTTCTATACACTTGCAATGAACAATCCAAACATAAAATTAAGAAAACAACTCACAACAGTAGCAAATAAAATACTTAGAAATAAACTTAACAAAAGAAGTGCAAAACTTATCCTCAGAAAACCACAAAAAAACTGTTGAAAACAACTAAGGAAGACCTAAATGAATGAAAAAATATTCCATGTTCATGGATTGGAAGACTTAATACTGTTAAGATGGCAATACTCCCCAAATTGATCTACAAACTCAGGCAATCCCTATCCGAATCTCAGCTGACTTCTTTGTGGAAACTAACAAGCTGATTCTAAAATTCATATGGAATTGCCAGGAATCCAGAATAGCCAAATCTTAAAAAAAGTAAAAAGTAAGAAGACTCACAGTTCCTGATTTCAAAACTACTATAAAACAATGAGAATCAAAGCAGTATGAAATTGGTGCAAGAACAGACAAAACAGACCTAAAAAATAGATGGATAGGATAGGGTAGGATAGGGTAGGGTAGGGTAGGGTAGGGTAGGGTAGGATAGGATATAGTATAGGATAGGATAGGATATAGGATAGGATAGGATAGGATATAGGATAGGATAGGATAGGATATAGGATAGGATAGGATAGGATACAGGATAGGATAGGATAGGATATAGGATAGGATAGGATAGGATATAGGATAGGATAGGATAGGATATAGGATAGGATAGGATAGGATAGGATAGGATAGGATAGGATAGGATATAGGATAGGATAGGATATAGGATAGGATAGGATAGGATAGGATATGGATAGGATAGGATAGGATAGGATAGGATATAGGATAGGATAGGATAAGATAGGATAGGATATAGGATAGGATAGGATAGGATATAGGATAGGATAGGATAGGATAGGATAGGATAGGATATAGGATAGGATAGGATAGGATATAGGATAGGATAGGATAGGATATAGGATAGGATAGGATAGGATATAGGATAGGATAGGATAGGATATAGGATAGGATAGGATAGGATATAGGATAGGAAAGGATAGGATATAGGATAGGATAGGATAGGATAGGATAGGATAGGATATAGGATAGGATAGGATAGGATATAGGATAGGATAGGATAGGATATAGGATAGGATAGGATAGGATATAGGATAGGATAGGACAGGATATAGGATAGGATAGGATAGGATATAGGATAGGATAGGATAGGATATAGGATAGGATAGGATATAGGATAGGATAGGATAGGATAGGATATAGGATAGGATAGGATAGGATATAGGATAGGATAGGATAGGATAGGATATAGGATAGGATAGGATATGGGATAGGATAGGATAGGATAGGATATGGGATAGGATAGGATAGGATATGGGATAGGATAGGATAGGATATGGGATAGGATAGGATAGGATATGGGATAGGATAGGATAGGATATGGGATAGGATAGGATATAGGATAGGGGATAGGATAGGATATGGGATATGGGATAGGATATAGGATAGGATAGGATGGGATAGGATATGGGATAGGATATGGGATAGGATATGGGATAGGATATGGGATAGGATATAGGATAGGATATAGGATAGGATATAGGATAGGATAGGATAGGATAGGATAGGATAGGATAGGATAGAATAGAATAGAATAGAATAGAATGTCCAGAAATAAAATCATACCTCTGTGGCTAACCAATCTTTGACAAAGGTACCAAGACAAGCCAATGGGGAAGGAATATTCTTTCCCAACAAATGGTGCTGAGACAACTAGATAATAACATGTAAAAGGATGAAGTTGGACCCCTATCTCAAATCACATACAACTCAAAATAGATAATATACCTAAATATAAAAGGTAAAAATATAAAAATCTTAGAAGAAAACAGGCATAAATCTTTGTGACATTGGGTTAAGCAATGATTCTTAAATACAACACCGAAGAAAAAATAGATAAGTTGAATGTCATTGAAATTAAAGTATTTTGTGCTCCAAGGAATACCATCAAGAAAGTGAAAAGATAATCTACAGAACGGGAGAAAATATTTTCAAATTATGTATCCAAGAGATAAGTATCTAAAATAAATAAAGAATTCATAACTTAACAATAAAAAGGCAAATAACCCAATTTAAAAATGGACAAAGGATTTGAATAAACATCTGTCCAAAGATATATGAATGGTCAACAAGCATATGAAAAGATGTTCAGCATCATTAGTTAACAGAGAAAAGCAAATCAAAACCACAATGAGATACCATTTTACATCCACTAGGGTGGCTAGAATCAAAAAGTCAGATAATAACAAGTGTTGACAAGGATGTGGAGGAATTAGAATCCTCATACATTGCTGGTGGGAATGTCAAATGATGCCGCCACTTTGGAAATAGTTTAGTGGTTCCTCAAATGATTAAACATAGAGTTACTATATGACTCAGAAATTCTACTCCTGGGTATATATATACACACACAAAAAAAGAAAATATATGTCCACACAAAAACTTGCACATAAATGTTCACAGGAGCATTATTTTTAATAGCTAAAAAATAGAAACAATCCACATGTCTATCAATTGAATGGATTTTTTAAATGTGGCACAGACTGTGCAATATTATTTGGCCAAAAAAATGAAATACTGTTACATGCTATATTGTGGATGAATCTGGAAAACATTACACTATGTGAAAGAAGCCAATCACAATAGACCACATATTGTATGACTCTATTTACATGAATTATCTAAAATAGGCAAATCCATAGATTATTTGTTGCTAGGAGCTGGGGGAGAAGGACAGAGGGTATCTGCTAATGAGTAGAGTTTCTTTTGGGGATGTTGAACATGTTCTAAAATTAAGTAGTAGTGATGGTTATGCAACATTGAGTTAACTAAAAACTGCTGAATGTATACTTAAAGAATTGTATACTTGAAGAATTGCATAAAGAATGAATTTTTTGGTATGTAAACTGTATCTCAATAAAACTATTCCTAACACACAAAAAAGGACAACTATAGATCCCATTATGGAAAAAAGGAAAAATAATAAGTTAAATGAAAATGAAACCATCACTGAACTGAAGAAATGGACTGAAATTTTCATTGTTTTTGTCTCAACATGAGTATGTATTTGCTGGAAATGCAGTTGTTCAGCATGATGAAGACAGGATTCAAAACGTACAGGACAAAGTAAGAAACCATTAGGCAATTGTGATTTTTTTCTTATCACCGATGAGACCATTGATATAAATAATATCATACAGCTACTATACTTATAGTTGTTCGTTGGTTTTTTGGTTTTTTTAACATGAGCAAAGAACTTTTGGACATGTGCCCATGTCAGACACAACATTAGGGAATAAATTATTTTGCATAGAGAACATTCTTGAGAAGTTAAATGTAGACAGGTCAAAATTAGTCAATATAAATATAAACAGTGCTGCTGTGATGTTGGTGCTAACATGGGACCTCTCATGAAACTTTTCCATGGTGGCATCATTCAGCAAGAAAATAGGATTTAAATTCATTGTGTCATTCACCAGGAATCTCTTTGTCGGTAAAACATTAAAAAGATAATGCATGATGACTGTAGTAATTAACTCTGTACACAAGATTCCCACTCCGGCTTGACCCAGAGTCACGATGAATTGTCTTCACAGTATGGCAATCTGCTGCCCTACACAGAGGTTATTTGGCTAACTAGTGTCCTCATACAAAAGCAATTGTTTCAACTATGGGTAGGAAAATTGCATCATTCATGTCATCTGAGGAAAAGTCCCCACCTCAGCTCACCAAATAAAATTGGATCAATTCTTGTTACTTTTCTTTGTCAAGACAACACCTCCAAAATGCCTTTGAAGGGCATTCACAAGTAGTTCCTCAAACGTATGATTTCATTTGCTCACTCTTGAGAAATTGTGTCTTTGGGAAACTTATTTGGCAAGAACCAACCTGGTTGACCTTCCTGCACAAAAATCAGTTTTCTAGTAATGAAAGTGATGATCTGAAGTTTATTTTTAAATTGAGGAGGTGAAGATTGAATTCCACAAATGGGCCCCTGTTATTAAAATTATGAAAATGAATGTTGTTCAGTTGTCTTTCCCAATTAATATATTAATGATGTGGATGAAGAACTATGAAGAGTTTTTAAAATCCAGTACTGAAAACTAAATAAAAAGACATGGGTGTACCAGAATCCTATAAATGTTCGTGTGATGGTTACTGTAATTATATGTATTTTTTTTAATTTCCTTTTCTACCATAGGCCTCAAAGCACTTTAAATATCCACTTGGAAATTCTAAAAAAAGAGTGTTTCAAAACTGCTCTATCGAAAGGAAGGTTCAACCCTATGAGTTGAATACACACATCACAAAGAATTTTCTGAGAATTCTGTCTAGTTTTTTTTTTTATTATTATACTTTAAGTTTTAGGGTACATGAGCACATTGTGCAGGTTAGTTACATATGTATACATGTGCCATGCTGGTGCGCTGCACCCACTAACTCGTAATCTAGCATTAGGTATATCTCCCAGTGCTATCCCTCACCCCTCCCCCCACCCCACAACAGTCCCCAGAGTGTGATGTTCCCCTTCCTGTGTCCATGTGATCTCATTGTTCAATTCCCACCTATGAGTGAGAATATGCAGACGACATGATTGTATATCTAGAAAACCCCATTGTCTCAGCCCAAAATCTCCTTAAGCTGATAAGCAACTTCAGCAAAGTCTCAGGATACAAAATCAATGTACAAAAATCACAAGCATTCTTATACACCAACAGCAGACAGAGAGCCAAATCATGAGTGAACTCCCATTCACAATTGCTTCAAAGAGAATAAAATACCTAGGAATCCAACTTACAAGGGATGTGAAGGACCTCTTCAAGGAGAACTACAAACCACTGCTCAAGGAAATAAAAGAGGATACAAACAAATGGAAGAACATTCCATGCTCATGGGTAGGAAGAATCAATATCGTGAAAATGGCCATACTGCCCAAGGTAATTTACAGATTCAATGCCATCCCCATCAAGCTACCAATGCCTTTCTTCACAGAATTGGAAAAAACTACTTTAAAGTTCATATGGAACCAAAAAAGAGCCCGCATCGCCAAGTCAATCCTAAGCCAAAAGAACAAAGCTGGAGGTATCACACTACCTGACTTCAAACTATACTACAAGGCTACAGTAACCAAAACAGCATGGTATTGGTACCAAAACAGAGATATAGATCAATGGAACAGAACAGAGCCCTCAGAAATAACGCCGCATATCTACAACTATCTGATCTTTGACAAACCTGAGAAAAACAAGCAATGGGGAAAGGATTCCCTATTTAATAAATGGTGCTGGGAAAACTGGCTAGCCATATGTAGAAAGCTGAAACTGGATCCCTTCCTTACACCTTATACAAAAATCAATTCAAGATGGATTAAAGACTTAAACGTTAGACCTAAAACCATAAAAACCCTAGAAGAAAACCTAGGCAATACCATTCAGGACATAGGCATGGGCAAGGACTTCATGTCTAAAACACCAAAAGCAATGGCAACAAAAGACAAAATTGACAAATGGGATCTAATTAAACTAAAGAGCTTCTGTACAGCAAAAGAAACTACCATCAGAGTGAACAGGAAACCTACAAAATGGGAGAAAATTTTCGCAACCTACTCATCTGACAAAGGGCTAATATCCAGAATCTACAATGAACTCAAACAAATTTACAAGAAAAAAACAAACAACCCCATCAAAAAGTGGGCAAAGGACATGAACAGACACTTCTCAAAAGAAGACATTTATGCAGCCAAAAAACACATGAAAAAATGCTCATCATCCCTGGCCATCAGAGAAATGCAAATCAAAACCACAATGAGATACCATCTCACACCAGTTAGAATGGCAATCATTAAAAAGTCAGGAAACAACAGGTGCTGGAGAGGAGGTGGAGAAATAGGAACACTTTTACACTGTTGGTGGGACTGTAAACTAGTTCAACCATTGTGGAAGTCAGTGTGGCGATTCCTCAGGGATCTAGAACTAGAAATACCATTTGACCCAGCCATCCCATTACTGGGTATATACCCAAAGGACTATAAATCATGCTGCTATAAAGACACATGCACACGTATGTTTATTGCAGCACTATTCACAATAGCAAAGACTTGGAACCAACCCAAATGTCCAACAATGATAGACTGGATTAAGAAAATGTGGCACATATACACCATGGAATACTATGCAGCCATAAAAAATGATGAGTTCATGTTCTTTGTAGGAACATGGATGAAATTGGAAATCATCATTCTCAGTAAACTATCACAAGAACAATTATATGTACTTTTTAAAACACTGTGAAAACACTATATCTCCGTTTAGAAGTGCCACACTTTTAATTAGACTTTTTTTGTTTGAAAACTAAGCATTACCTCCAAGTAAAGGATTCAAGGCTGAATTCCACCTTTGCATCATTAAAAAGGAAAATAAGACCTGTCTTTGAATTGTCAGTACAAACAGAAATAATACTGGAATCCATATTCTACAAAGAAGTAATAAAAAATTATGAGAAAGCAAAAACATATTATTATACAATTTTTCTTTTACTCAACTCCATATTGAAAATATGATCAACAATATCACGCATATTTATATCATATTGGATGCTTCTCTTCATGGTCTAATAAAAATAAAGTTTTACAATACTTAGAACAGCTTATCTTTCCTATCAGGCTTGTTTCACTCAGTTACATTACTTCCCTCATCCCTGCAGGCATTCTGACCCTTTTTTCTATGCTGGTGGAGACATATACAAACATCTATACACATATAAAGATTTTTCCAGCCGGGTGCAGTGGCTCATGCCTGTAATCCCAGCACTTTGGGAGGCCGAGGCGGGTGGATCACCTGAGGTCGGGAGTTCGAGACCAGCCTGGCCAACGTGGTGAAACCCCATCTCTACTAAAAATACAAAATTAGCCAGGGGCATGGTGGCACATGCCTGTAATCCCAGCTACTCAGGAGGCTGAGGCAGGAGAATCACTTGAACCCGGGAGGCAGAGGTTGTGGTGAGCCAAAATCGCGCCATTGCACTCCAGCCTGTGCAATGAGCGAGACTCCGTCTAAAAAAAAAAAAAAAAAAAAAAAAATCCACAAATAAGGGATTAACTATAAGTGTTAACTACTCAGATTTCTGTGGGGTTTTTTTCACATAATAATACATCATGAGCATCCCTCCAGGTCAATAGACATCAGTCTAAATCATTCTTTTTAATAACTGTACAACATTTTATTGTATGAATATATGACATTTTATTTCACCACATGGCTATTGATAGATACTCCATTTGTTTTTAGTTCTTCACTTCCAAAGTCAATGTTATACATAAATTGTACATAAATGTTTACCTACTGGTACTTTCATTTCTTAGGATGAAGTCACATGTAGGAATGGCTGGGTTGAGGGTAAACATGTATCTGATTAGAGGCATATTTGGCTACCATTAACAGAAACCCTCCTAACAGAGGCTTAAATTAAAAAATAATGATTTGTTCACCCATAACAAGGGCTTAGAGGGTAGTAGTGGTGGGTATTAGTTCAGAAGCCCAGGCCCTTATACATTTTTCTGCTCTGTTATCCTAGCATGTTGTTCTCATGCTTGTTTCCTCACGATTACATGGCTGCCGCAGCTCCAGGCATCAATCATGTTCAAATTCAAGGTAAAGTTGAAAAGTAGCAACAGCCTCATTTGTACCTTACATCAGCAAAGCAAAGGCCTTCCTAGAGATCCTGCAACAGCAGTCTTTCCCTTACTTTTTTTTTTTTTTTTTTTGACACGGGGTCTCTCTCTGTCACCCAGGCTAGAGTGCAGTGATGATCTCAGCTGACTCAGCTGACTGCAGCCTTGACCTCCCAGGCCCAAGCGATCCTCCCACTTCAGCCTCCCCAGGAGCCACCACATCTGGCTAATTTTGTATTTTTTGTAGAGACAAGGTTTTGCCATGTTGCTCAGGCTGGTCTCAAATTCCTGAGCTCAAGCAATCCACCCACCTCAGCCTCCCAAAGTGCTGGGATTACACATGTAGGCCATCATGCCTGGCCCCTTACATTTCATTGACCAGAACTGGGTTACATGGCCACTGATAGTTGCAAGGGAGCCTGGGAAATTGAGTAACTGGAAATTGTCATGATGGCTTAAATCAATTGTGGTAATTCACATTTCTACCACAGAGATAGTAGCCATTTTTTGAATCCTTGTCTACCCTAGATATAATAAACCTTTTTTATTTTTACTGGTCTGATATGTTAAAAGTATATCAATGTTGTTTTAATTTGCATTTTCCTGCTAATTAATGAGGTTGAGAATCTTGTAATATAATAATTGGCCATTTGGATTTCCTCTTCTTGAGTTGCTGCTATTCACATTCTTTATTCATTTTTAATTGGCTTATTTTTCTTTTCCTTATAACTTATAGAATCTTTTTGTGTCATATTAACTATTCATCTGTCATTTGTATTACAAATACTTTCCCAATCTTGTTGTGTCATATATATATATATGTATATATATATATAAAATTTTTTAATTTTGTGGGTATATAGTAGGTATATATACTTATGGGATACTTGGGATGTTTTGATACAGACATGCAATGCATAATAATCACATCGTGGAAAATAGGGTATCCATCCTCTCAAGCATTTATCCTTTGTGTTACAAACAATCCAATTATAGTCTTTTAGTTATTTTTAAATGTAAAATTATTATTGACTATTGTCACCTTGTTGTGCTACCAAATACTAGGTTTTATTCATTCTTCCTAACTCCAATCTTGTTGTCTTTTGACTTCATTTATGGAATTTTTTGTTATATAGGTAGTCAATTTTGTCTATTTTTTTAATTGGTTCTGGGTTTCCTGTCTTGCTTAAGAAAATATTCCCCTCCTCCCCTAACAAATTAAAATTATTCCAGTGCTCAGAAAGCTACTCATTTCAAATTTGAAGCAAATATGACTAGATGTCTAAACATTGGGGATAGGGGGAACTATATAGTTCAATCTCATTTATAAATGGAGATTTTTAAAATCCTAAATAAAATTTTAGGTTTTTAATTTGAAGTGTATTATAAGAAAAGGCATTACAACCAGCAGGGCTTATTCCAGACCTACAAGGATAAGGGGCAGATAAAAAACACATCACAGATATAACAAGTCATGGTCACCTGCATAGGCTTGTGATTAAGTCCTCACTCTACCACCATGGACCTTGGGAAGGTTACTCAACTTCTCTGGGCCCCAGTTTCCTCATGGTAAAATGAGGGTGTTAATCATATCTAACGCAAAGAGGTTTTGTGAGACTTACATGAGTTAATGCTCTCAGCCCAAAGACCGACACATAGCAAATGCTCAATAAATAGCTATTGCATTAACTATTATTAACAACACAAACAACCTGCATTATTTGTCTGTTTGCTTTGTTGGTTTCAGCCTTATTGATCCCTGGGAATCATGTTACGTATACACAAAGCAAGATCTCACTCAACACAGGTGTGTTGTGAATGATCTTTGAAGCCAGTTCCCACTACCATGTCGAGTGTCTGTTAAGGGAATACAGTAGAGACGAGGGGAGCCAAGTGTTTGCAGGGGAGCTGGGCCAGCCAGGTTTCATCATGCCAGCTGCCTGAGAAACACATTCAGATCTGTGCCCAGCGACTCGGCAGTCATTGCACAAGGCACAGGAACACACCCTCGGGGAGACACACCTAGTCACAAAGCAGGTATAGTGTGTCTGCCAGGGTCCCCCACCCCCAAACCAAAGGGCAGTGAGAGGTGACAGACACAAAAATGGGGCTCAGAAGGCGGTATGACAACCTTACTCCTGAGGGACTCCAGCAGGCCCTCCTCATGTCCCTTCCTGCTGGCCCCTAGGGCAGGCAGCTAGAGGGCTTCAGCCTTGGAAATTGCTGCTCAGCTAGCCTTTTGAGCCAACCTTACAGGTTGGACTTGCATTTGCCTGGATCCTTCTTCCATGCCTAGCCAGGCTACCTGAGAGTGAAATTAGCAGCAGGAGAGTGAAGAAGCTTCCCACTCACTCCCAGACCCCGTAAGACTCCCCAGAGCTTGCATGGCTTACACCTAGGAAGGGCTCAACACATTTAATTACACTTTCCTAAGAGGAATCAGACTAAGGGCATGGCTGGACTGAGGGCTTAAGTTCCACTTAAAGATCTGCGTTATTGGTTTGGCCTTGTTCTTCTCACTAGATTTTTCTCTCCGCTGGGTTTATTTTTTTCCTATCACCCCCTACCCCACCCTCAGAATAGAATACAGGCATTTTACCACAGGTGACATTTCAGCTTAACATACAGGCAGCAAACAGAACAACCAGCCAAGATTCAAGAAGGAGTTTTATTCCAACAGAATTAGAATATTTAGAGTTACATGAGACATGGCCCTTGTATTGGACTTAGATATCACCATTCAAAAGTAAGTTTTCAGAGAGCCTTTTAACGATGAGAAGAAAAGGTTCACAATCTAACATCAGGAGAGGGGAAAAAAAAGACTATATGGGAAAATATTAAAAATTAGTGCTTTTTCTGTATAGCAGGATTGGGAATGGCTTTCATTTTCTTCGTGTTTTTTCTGCCTTTTTTTTTTTTTTTTTTTTGAGACAGAGTCTCACTCTGTCACCCAGGCTGGAGTGCAGTGGTGCAATCTCAGCTCACTACAACCTCTGCCTCCCAGGTTCAAGCAATTCTCCTGCCTCAGCCTCTTGAGTAGCTGGAATTACAGGCACCTGCCACCACACCTGGCTCATTTTTGTATTTTTTAGTAGAGACGGAGTTTCCCCATGTTGGCCAGGCTGGTCTCGAGCTCCTGACCTCAAGCGATCCACCCACCTCAGCCTCCCAAAGTGCAGGGGTTACAGGTAGGAGCAACCACACCCAGCCTTTTTCTGCATTTTCCTTAAAGTGTACTCATTAATGTCATTATCATGTTTGTCACCCGGACCAGAATTCCACACCTGTCCATCAAAAGCCAGTTCCCATCTCTATCTCCTTGCATTTTCATCCACCTACTCTGCATCTCTAAGCCCAAATGCCTCTGTCCCTGGATTCTGCTTCCAGAGGTGTATCCCAATCACCAGCACATGCTCAGCAAAGGGATTTATCAAAAAATTATTTTTAATCAGATTTCAAGCTTTTCATGAAAAATCAGAAGACCTATCATAGTGCTCCAGGAATCCCACACGGCAACTAACAGTCTACACAACCATACCTTTTAGAGGAGCCACTCTTTTTCTGCCTCCCAGCAGCCGTTCCCTTCAAGATTTTGTTGCCTAAGCTAATCACTGCAAGGGGAATAGCCTTAATTTGTTTGACTCAATCAGGATTGACCCCCTCAGCTGGAGTTGTAAGCTACTTCCCTGAGCATATGAGAGGGTGAACAAAAAGCATCACTGAGCAAGAAAGTGGGGAATGACAGCTGGATGGCTGACTCACATCATTTTCCATATTATCTATGCACACTTCAAGGCCCACCTTAACTCCATCTTTCTTTGGAACTCCACCTTGGATCCCTCCAATTCCTTTCAACCAAGAGGGCTGACTTCCTGGATATCTTCTTTATAATTAATAACCCACAGTCTTGTGGCATTTCTCGAGTGTGTTTGGCACAAAGATAAAGTCAACTCTCCTAGAATGAACGGATGGATGAATGAATGAATGAACAAATAGTTATATGATAAAATGTACCGGAAGAGGACATGACTGGAGGAAGCCAGCAGGCCAATGCATTCATTCAAGAGAAGGGGAAAGGATAGATTGAAGCAGGGATAATGAAGATGAAAATGGAAAATATTTCGGAGATATTTGGTAAGATCTATCTAGCCTACTACTGGGATGTGGGGGTAGGGAGGGGTGGGGAGGAGTTGAAAATGCTATGGTTTTCTGGCCTAGATTCTGTAATTCTATTCGTAGAAGAAGAAAGCTGCAGGGTCCAGGGAGCTTGGCAGTACCTTCTTCTTATGGCATTGCTAACTAATGCCTCAGGTATGAGAAGATACTTTTGGGGTAAAAGGGGCCCAGTAATCAGCCTGGAGTCAGGATTGTTGTAAGGGAAGAGAGTGCATGCCAAAAGGGCTGATATTTCCGTTATGTCCTATAACTGGGAACTCCCTAAATGCAAGACACTTAATCAGGTCCCATAGAGAGAGAGGACCTCTGAAATGCTGGGCTAGGCTGCTGTCATATTAACTCTAGTGACAGAATCAACATCCAAGCACAGGGCAAACCTCCATAAATGAGCACCACAGAACACTGGGTCTCATGCTGCTGGGGGAAGAGTCAGGGCAGTTCCAAACACTGCAACCCAAAATCATTGGAAAGAGCCCCAATATTGAATTAAATGAAATCAATTTGATTTGACCATTCACTGTATTTTAAAATTCTCTAGCCTAAAAAAGGAACACA
The DNA here is from genome assembly GCF_000001405.40 of Homo sapiens. Classification (NCBI taxonomy): domain Eukaryota; kingdom Metazoa; phylum Chordata; class Mammalia; order Primates; family Hominidae; genus Homo; species Homo sapiens. The sequence goes on along the minus strand of NC_000002.12, from coordinate 70,423,351 downwards.
AAGGTATTTGGAAGATTGTGCTCCATGATTTAAAGGGCAGGAGTCTGCACCAAAATTATCTCCAATTGAGTTGAAATGTCTCTAAGAATGGAAATGTAGATCATAACTGGAACTTACTTTGAATAAAGCCCACTTATGGGAATTTACGTTGGTCCATGTTCCTGGCAGAAAGAGCACACATCAGCCATCCTTCTCAAAAGACTCCATGCTATGGTTTGAATGTGTCCCCCAAAATTCATTTGTTGGAAACTTAATCCCCAGTGCATCAATGTTGGGAGGGGTGCCTAATAAGAGATGATTAGGTCCTGAGGGCTCTGTCTCATGAATGAATTAATGTCATTATTGCGGGAGTGGGTTTGTTAGCTCAGGAGTAGGTTCCTTATGAAAGGGTGAGTTCAGTCCCTGCCTCTCTCTTGCCTTCTCTTAGCTCTTCCACTTATCTGTCATGTGAGGAACAGTGCTCCTCCCCTCCAGAGGATGCAGCATTCAAGGTGCCATCTTAGAAGCAGAGACCAGGCCCTCACCACACACCAAACCTGCCAGCATCTTGACCTTGGACTTTCCAGCCTCCAGAACTATTAGCCAATAAATTTCTCTTTATTATATTAATAAATCACCCAGTCTATAGCATTCTGTTATAGCCACACAAACCATGACACTAATCATTCAGAATTGTAAGGTTTACCTTCTTTCCCCTCCCCCTTAGTCTTCTATTCTCTGGCCTAAACAATCTTTATTCATTTCACTTTTCTATACCCTCACCTTTAATTACTTTGGCTCATTTCTGTGGCTTGTTTTGGGTTCTCTTCTGTGGCACCTTCAAATTTCTTCAGTAGGGTACAGGGACCCAAGCCACGCCTGACACAATGAGGACATTGCCATGCATCTTTCTGCCATTCTGGATGCCTCTTCTCTAAAAACAGGCAGTGGATATGAGCAGGTATATCACCTAAGAAGAAATATTATTATAAGTGGTCAATAACATATACTCAACTTCACTAATAATTAAAGACATGCAAATTAAAATAACAATATAACATTTTTCGCCCATCAGATCAGCATAGATTTAAAAAAAAAAGATTCTTAATATCCAGTGGTAGTTAGGGGTTTTTCAAACTATTGGTAGGAATATTGGAACAAACTTTATGGGGGGAGGGAGAACTTGATAGTTCTATACAATTTTACATGTATACATGTATACATTATACATTTTACATGTAGACATGTAGACATTATCACCCATGTAGACATTATCACCCATCTATTCCACTTTTATGAATTTATCCTTCAGAAATATTAGCACAAGCGTGTAAGATATAAGCAAAAGGGTTGCAGCATTGTTTGTAATGGGGAAAAAAATGGAAAAAATCTAAACTTCCAACAATAGAGACTGGTTAAATAAATGGTGCAAAAATACAATGGAATTCTATGCAGCCATTAAAAAGAATGATAGAAATCCCTAATCTAGGATATGATGTAGGAAATCAGCAAAGAAATGTTAGCTAGGATATTTTGTTAAATGAAAACAAATTTCAAAATTATTAGTAAAGAATGGGTTCATTTTTAATAATCTGTTGTGTATACGTGTAGAGATACAGAGATATACAAGTCTCTGTAGGTACACGAAGAACACTAAACTGTGCTTCTTAAGTGAGGTTCCTATACCAGCAACATCAGCATCACCTGGAAACTTATTAGAAATGCAAATTTTCCAGCTCCACCCTAGACCTGCTGAATCAGAATCCCTAGGGGTGGGGCCCAGCAATCTGTTTTAACAAGCCCTCCAGGTGGTTCCAATGTTCACTAAAAATTTGAGAATCACTGTTCTAGAAAAAGCATTTATCTAAAGGTGGGGAGAGAAGACATGTAGCTTACAAGAAAATTTCTCATTGTTTATTCCCTTTTATAATGTTGGAAAAAAAGTTAACTCTTTTAATGAGGGATGTTTCTCAAAGTCACGTACACATCTTATTAGGTTGTGGCAACTTATCAGTTAAATTGGCTTTTAAATTTTTTTTAATTTTTTGTGGCTGCATGTTAAGTGTATATATTTATGGGATGCATGAGTTTTTTGTGTTTATTATTTTTTAAGTTCCAGGGTACATGTGCAGGATGTGCAGGTTTGTTACATAGGTAAATGTGTGCCACGGTGGTTTGCTGTACCTATCAACCCATCACCTAGGTGTTAAGCCCAGCATGCATTAGCTCTTTTCCCTAATGCTCTTCCCACCGTCCCCCGCCCTCCCCACATACGATGCTTTGATACAGACATGCAATGTGTAATAATCACAGAGAATGGGGTATCCTTCTCCTGAATTGACTTCTTATCAGAAGAACTGACTTTTGCACTCTGCTTGAGGAAAATCCAACCTTCAAAACTTCCAACGTTTGAAGGGAGATACTTACATTACGGAATGATTTATGACATCACCAGAATAAAGGAAAATGAACACACACACATCAGGAATTGAACCTGGGTCTTCTGTGTGAGCTGAGGGAAGGGAGCTCATGGTCCCTGAGCCGTGGTTGCATCGTCTATGACTGAGGATAGCAACAGTACCTTGTCTCCTCAGAGGTCACACGGAGGAGCAGGTGACATACAGGAAAGCTTACTGCTAATTATCATATTCTGAGTACCAAGGTTTCTTAAAACAGTGCCCTCAACAACATGATCAACTGACTCTATTTTTCAGAAACACCATTATTGCATAACATCAGCCTAGAATGATCCTTCTAGGAGAAACAGCTCTGCCAGAGAGCCTTTGACACACACCTGCCAAGATTGCTTTTACTAGTGAAACATGTAAAACCTTGATGAAGCCAGTGAATAAGTGCAAATGATTTATTTGCACTCATTCCCAGGCCCTCCTGCCAGTCAGCCTCAAGCCTGCTTTGTGTGGAGTGTCCCTTTTATGATCTGTGAAAGCTCTGCTTCTTACAACCTCACCTCCTTGTCTTCAGACAACAAAGCAGGCTTTTCTATTTGCACAAAGTGCTTGTTGCTTTCTTGATCCATGAGAAAACGCGGAGCAAGAGAACAATAATGTGCTGCTTCTTTCTGCTCCAATAAAAAAGAGTTATGAAACAGAAGCCTGGGGCCAAAGCAGGCTCTCTGTCGTGTGTTTTGACAAAGAAATTGTTCCTTAAGCACAGTCTTCAGGCAGATGGCAGTAAACAAGACGGTGTGGCTCAGATCATATCACTGGGAGGCTCTTGCTCTGTCAATGCCACCCTGCTCTCTGGACCCAGCTAGGTGCCCAGAGTAGCAAGCAGAACCTTTGCCTTCCATCCAGAATGCCTCAAACCCCCTTTCCCCAGTGGATAGAGGTGCAAAGACCACCCAGCTAGGTGCCCAGAGTAGTAGGCAGAACCCTTCCCTTCCATCCAGAAGGCCTCAAACCCCCCTTCCCTAGGGTATAGAGGTGCAAAGACACCCAGCTAGGTGCCCAGAGTAGCTGGCAGAACCCTTGCCTTCCATCCAGAAGGCCTCAACCCCCCTTCCATAGGAATAGAGGTGCAAAGACACCCAGCTAGGTGCCCAGAGTAGCTGGCAGAACCCTTGCCTTCCATCCAGAAGGCCTCAAACCCCCTTCCCCAGTGGATAGAGGTGCAAAGACCACCCAGTTAGGTGCCCAGAGTAGTAGGCAGAACCCTTCCCTTCCATCCAGAAGGCTTCAAACCCCCCTTCCCTAGGAGATAGAGGTGCAAAGACACCCTGCTAGGTGCCCAGAGTAGCAGGCAGAGAACGCTTCCCTCCCTCCAGAAGGCCTCAAACCCTGCTTCCCTAGGAAACAGAGGTGCAAAGACACCCAGCTAGGTGCCCAGAGTAGCAGGCAGAATCCTTGCCTTCCATCCTGAAGGCCTCACATCCCCCTACCCTAGGGGATAGAGGTGCAAAGATACCACCTAGAGCTGTCCCTAGCTCCCAGACCTATCCCACCAGCCCTCTAGCAGTCTCCATCTGGCTTCAGGAAAGCTGTTGGAAAAAATTCAGGTGGATTCTGTTTTCTTCACAATACTAATTTGATAGGGTTTGAGGAGGAGCCCAGGAATTAGCCTTTGTTTGTTTGTTTGTTTTTCGTTTAACCTCTCTGGATGATGCTGATGGGCGGCTGAATTTAGGAACATGTTTTAGAGGCATCTAAAACATTTCCCTTTCTTTGAAACTCTGGCTCTCCTTAGCAGAACTGGTCTAGCCACCCACCTTAGCCTTCCCTGGGCTCTTCACACAGGCCCCCTAAGGGGCCCATACACATATGAAATCTATCACCCCCTTTACACATATCTCTTACCCCTCAAAAATAAGTAGAGGTTGGATCAACTGGGTCCAACTCCAAGCTTTGCTACTTACCAGCCCACGTCCCTGGGAAACTGACGAGCATTTGAGCCTCCGTTTCCTCAGCTGTAAGACGAAAATAATAATTATTGCCTAGGTTAACGAGGTTGAAAGGACCCAGGTGTGGGAAAGCACTACGCATGTGTACAGCATGGGCAAAGGCTACAATCGTTATTCACAGGTGTTGGTTCAGAGCTCTCCTCCCAGTGGGTGGTCCTCAAACTGGTTCCTGGCCTTTTAGAGACACCACAATGACCAGTGATATGGTTCGGCTCTGTGTTCCCACCCAAATCTCATGTCAAATTGTAATCCTCATTGCTGGAGGAGAGGCCTCGTGGGAGGTGATTGGATCATGGGGACGGACTTCCTCCTTGCTGTTCTGGTGACAGTGAGTGAGTTCTCGCGGGATCTGGTGGTTTAAAAGCGTGTAGCACGTCCCCCTTCACGCTCTGTAGCCTGCTTTGCTGGGTAAAGATGTGTCTGCTTCCCCTTCGCTTTCCTCCGTGATTTTAAGTTTCCTGAGGCCTCCCCAGCCATGCTTCCTGTACAGCCTGTAGAACTGTGAGTCAATTAAACCTCTTTTCTTATAAATTATCTAGTCTCAGGCAGTGCTTTATAGCAATGCAAGAACAGACTAATATAACCAGCATCCTTAATTCATTTCCAACCATTCCTCTAAATTTAAGGGATGGGGAGAGAGGAGGGTCGAAGGGCCTTGGGTGTGGGTGTGCCCTGCTTGGGTTAGGGGAACTCCATTTGAACAGTTGTCTTCACCACTCAAGAGTTCCTTTAGGAAAATCGTCCTATGCTGAAAACCAGGCTGGGGTAGGGGAGGGAGAATGCTGTGTGTGAAAGAAGTGATGAGTTACCACACTTCTAATAAGTTGAACCAGGCTTTAATTTTTTTTACTAAGCTACATTATTTGGGCTTTCACTAAAAAATTCTATTAATATTTTTAATGAGAAATGTGCTTGGGTATGCTTTATTACAGTTTGAAATCTTGTTTAATTCATTTTGATGCAGCATTTCCAAGATTTGTTCTAAAGTGGGCTTTTTTCAATACTTGTATTGATTGGCTATTATTGCTGGAAAAGATACTTCCCAAAGACACCTGCAGTACATCCAAATGGGAGAAGCGAATTGTGATATTCAGTGTTCAAACTGACACCAATTATACAAAGGCTTTTGTTGAAATGCAGCTGGTGAATTTATATATTCCTGACGCCAATTGTTCCACAAACTAATTGGAAGGTGTCACATTTTTACATTAACAAGGTTCAAAACTCACTGAAACTCTTCATTTAAAGATTTGTAAATACTGAGAAAAGCATGTTCCTAAGTTTTTTAAGAAGGCAGATCTGGGCATTTTTTTTAGGAGGCCCACTGCAC